>NC_000008.11:103839222-104464222 GCF_000001405.40 Homo sapiens
CTATTGACTTTTTGTTCTCATTGTTATGGATTCATTTTCTTGCTTCTTTGGATGCCTTGTAACATTGTCTTGCAGGGTAAACACCTAAATGATGTATTGTAGAATTTTTATATTATGTTTTCATCTTGAGAATGCTAATTTTGATTATGTCAGGCAGCTAAATTAAGGAGGATCACCTTGATCTTGTCAAAGTTTGGTTTTAGGCTTTATTTGGAGAGTACTCTTTTTTTTTTCTTTGTCATAGGGCACAGCCCTTACTTCTAGGATATGGTTTTCTTACTCTTAATGCATGGCCTTTGTGAGGCCTCAACTGAATGCCCTGGGATTTTTCACAAATATCTCTCCAAGCTTGCTTGATCAGAGAGTTTTATAGTAGGGTGTGACTTCTGAAATTTTTCTTCAACTTTCAGTCCTCAGCAGGTGCAGTCTACTAGGCTCCAGATAGCCTGCATATGTACTGCTTAGAGTTTGGGCAGGAACAAGAGCAGAACTTCTATTCCTATTTCTGGAGCTTATTCACTTAGCTCTCTTCTGCCCTAGTACTTTGCATCAAAAATTCTAGCTGCCAAGACCATACTTTCAGGGATTATTTCTGCAGTTCATTACTAAAAGAAGTTTCTATGAATATGTAGCGCAAAACAAAAACAAAAACAAAAACAAAATTCTAGCTGTCTTAACAAGCCTGAATTTTAATCTCTATTTTTAACACCGGACTGTGTTTCTTATGCTCCATGAAACCAATGCTTTCTGCTTGGACTCCAGTTCCTAATACTACAGTTGGAAGATTGTTTCCAGGTGGAAAGCTAATGTGAAGCTTACCGCTTTCTCAAGAATCTCAGCCTTATGTTTTGTCTTGTCCAACACATTAAAGTGGTTGTTTCATATTCTGCCCAGTTTTATAGTTGTTTATAGAAAGAAGGCAAACCTAATACTAGCTACTCAGGAACCTGTTAATTATTTCATAATAATGTAATAAACATTCATGAACATACCCTATCAAGCAAGAGCTAGAACCTTGGCAATCATTTCCTTGACTCCTCCAGTTTGTGGCTATCATGATATTCAGCCCCAAGTTCATCATTTCTGTTTTTTCTTCTATACAGGTTTCTTATATGTATTTCTAAAAATCTTTGGTTATTTCATCTTTGTAAAAAGTCATTGTTCTATTTTTCCCACTAGTTCTACATTGCATTCATATTGTTGTGGGTTGTGGTAATTCATTTATTTTGACTGCTGTATAATATTTTAGAGTTTGATTATATCACAGTTTTTAATCCACTCTCCCACAGAGAGATTGTTGGGGTTGTTTCCCTCTTTTGCCACTGTGAAAGTGCTGCTGTGAAGATTTTTGTGTATGTTTTCTGTTGCACATATGTAGGAACTTCTCGTGGATACATTCCGTTCATATGTTAACTTTAGGAAAAATACTATAAGTATTTCCTATATACTATATACGATATACTATATATATCCTATATACCTATATACTATAATTAGGAATAATAATAGTTTTAAGGCAATGACAGTTCAGTGTATTCACTGTATACTGTGGGAATGAAACGGTTCAAGAGCAAAACCTTAATTAAAAAGCTGGAAAATTTAAACCAGGCAGCTGCTGGAAGGTACACTTGTTATTTTGACAAAAATATAATTATAGCATAAGTGTATTTTAAGTGAACTTACTCGTATCAGAAATTTCTTTCTTTTCCTTTTTTAAAATGCCAAAACAATGTATAAAAGCTTCCTGCATCAGTGAAGGAAGGGCTTTGAAATAGGCAGGAATGCTAGGTGTAGTTTATAGAGCAGGACTTAAAGAGCACAGGGTATTTTCATGGATAAAGTCTCCAGATTGCTACGTATTGTCAGAGAAAACTGTTGCTGTAGTGAAAACAAATTAGACTCTCTGAGCTCATCTAGGTCCTTAATGCTGCTGTTTAGGAATTATTTATTTATTGACAATTAATTAGTACCATGTGTCCTCCCACTACATACATTTTTATCAGGAAATTAATTCCTTTTTGACTTTTATATCCAGAAATAATAAATGCCAAGTCTCTAAAATGTATTTCAAGATCTGAAATTGCTGCTTTTTTTCTTACTAGCTCAGAAGAATGTTTCCCTACTTTCTCTCTCTCATACATATTACTTTATAAATATCTCTTTTTAAAAATCTTTTTTATTAAACATTGAAAAATCTAGACTTGATGATTCTCTGTCTCGGTGTAAATGACCGTTATCAGCAACAGAATACAACCAGGTGAATCATCATAAGAATTTCAGTCTTCACAGCCTGATAGTACTGTCCAATCAGTGTGTAGCTCCAGAAATGTAGGGGAGCCTTGTTAACCCAATCAGCTAGACATTTTACTCCACAAAATCTTACAGATGGTTCTGATGTTTCAGCAGTCTCTTAGCATCTGTTTGAAACTTTCAAACTGCTTCTACCTGTTTTGCTTGAATCCTGTTTGTGGTTACCCTTGGCTACACATCTGTAGACATTTGAGGATTGCCATTAAGAAATAGCTTTACATCGACCAGCCTGGCCAACATGACGAAACTCTGTCTCTACTAAAAATACAAAAAGTAGCCGGGTGTGATGGCACACACCTGTAATCCCAGCTACTCAGGAGGCTGAGGCAGGAGAATTGCTAGAACCCGGGAGGCAGAGGTTGCAGTGAGCCAAGATCCTGCCACTGCACTCCAGCTTGGGCGACAAAGCGAGACTCCGTCTCAAAAAGAAAAAAGAAAAAAAAAAGAAAAAAAGAAATAGATAGCTTTATGTCTTACACTTATTCAGCACTAACATTACTTCTAGTGCAACTATAATTGAAGTGAAAAATAAACAAAAGCAACCAAATATGTATGAGATTATGGTAATCAGAAGAATACAGCTTATTAACCTCATTTTAGGTATGTTCATAAAATCTAGCACATAGAGCAAAATCCTGGTTTTCTATTGACTCTCCTTATAATTTCAGTTATTTTATATTAGAATAATGCTTTTTGACTATCTTCATCCATGTTAAGTGAAAAAATACAGTTATAGTTTTTGCTTTTGTTTTACATATAAGAAATAAAAAGGCATAGAAAGAAGAATTAAAGAAACTCTAAAGAAACTGTAGCAAAATGTTAACAGCAATTGCTTTGGGCGTTATAATTTTAAATATAACTAAAAATAAATAATGTGGCAATGAATTTTATGAAGATTTAGTAGATGGCCTCACAAATAAGAAACACTAAGTAAATAATAACTTATTATAATTAATTAATTATTATCAATTATTACTGCTTCTTACTGCTTAGGCCTTTTCTTCTCTTCAGGATTTCACTCTGAAAGATTTCCTGATGTTTAATTACTATGTCAAAATGTACCAACTTTTCTAAGACTTATGTGTAATTGCTTTCCCAAAAGGTAAATACATTTCTACCATGAACACGTAGAATTGCTTTTCATCATTGTCATTGATTTCTTTCATATTGTCCTATTTGTAATTTCATTGGTTGTTATAGAAGTTTTTTAAAAAATTTAAACATTTACTCATCTGTATTAGTTTGCTAGGGCTGCCACAACAAAGTGTACCATAAACTGGGTGGCTTAAACAGCAGGAATTAATTTCTCACAATTCTGGATTCTAGAAGTCCAAGATCAACGTGTCAGGAGGTTTGGTTTCTTCTGAAGCCTAGCTCCTTGGCTTGCAGATAGCTGCCTTCTCGCTGTGTCTTCACTGATCTTTCCTCTTTGTACACAATCCTTAGTGTCTCTGTCCAAATTTCCTCTTCTTATAAGTATACTAGTTAGATTGGATTAGGACCCACCCCAGTGGTCTTCTTTTAATTAATCACCTCTTTAAAGGTCCTATCTCCAAATATAGTCACATTCTGAGATGCTGGGAGTTAGAGCTTCAACATGAATTTTGAGTGGATACAATTCAGCCCACAAGATCATTTAATTATTAATCAAGGATAAATCAACATATTTTCATGAGAATTTAGAGCTTCTGTTTCTTGGCCTGCTTTCTCTAGTTCGTAACCCCAACAATTTCATTGTTCTTGATTTCTTTTTGGTTTTAAAGAGACAGGGTGTTGCTATCTTGCCCTTGTTGGATTTTGAACTCCTGAGTTCAAGCAATCCCCCTGCCTCAGCCTTGCTAATATGCACTCCAGGCATATTATGCACTCCAGGCATGCACCACTGTGCCTGTCTGTTCTTGATTTCTTAAATGTAATTTATTTTTCAGCAGACAGTGAATGCTTTCAGTAACTTTTAAAAGAAGGATATTGATGATGTTTTTTGAGAATGTGTCTATTTGAGACTTTTTCCTCATATTCCTCTTATCCCTAGGCATATATAATCTTTGAATTAGTAGTTTTCTTCAAAGTTTTGTAGGGAGCTAAGTGATTATTTCTTCTTTTGAAGGCACACTATAGTTAGAATAGTGCATATTTCCCATCTATAATACTTTATCATAACTATGGTGAAGACTACCTTATTATTTCTCTTATAGGAATGAGTTTTACCACATGATGCTATGGCATATCTATTAATAATTATTTGTCTTTTTTATCGTCTTTTAGAATCTTATAAAAATTTATGATTGTTGTAATTAAAATAACTTTTTTTGGCATGATTTGAATTTTCTTTCTGCTATGGTTTGACTGTGTCACCACCCAAATCTCATCTTGAATTCCCACGTGTTGTGGGAGGGACCCAGTAGGAGGTAATTGAATTGTGGAGGCACGTCTTTCCCATGATGTTCTCATGATAGCAAATAAGTCTCACGAGATCTGGTGATTTTAAAAAGGGGAGTTTCCCTGCACAAGCTTTATTTGCCTGCTGCCATTCACATAAAATGTGACTTGCTCCTCCTTGCCTTCTGCCACGATTGTGAGGCTTCCCTAGCCACGTGGAACTGTGTGTTCTCCATTAAACCTCTTTCCTTTGTAAATTGCCCAGTCTCAGGTATGTCTTTATCAGCAGCGTGAAAATGGACTAATACATTTTCCTTTTAAAACATCCTTGTTTGTGTGTCTTTAATTACTTTCACCAATTTTTATAAGGTAATATCTATGAGAAGTGTGCTGTATTTTTAGTGTGCTTAGCAGCCTCTAGTCCCTTGTATTTTGAAAAGAGGAAAATATTGTAGTCAGTTTAGTCTTCTTCTATTTCCATATTTCATTAAAGGTTTTAAGAGATTTACTTCAGCTGTACTCAAACTGAACTGTCAGTCCCAGATATGGTTCATGACTGTTGAAGGTTGGTTATGATTCTTTTCTTGAACTGTATTTAGTCTTAGTTTTCAAGTCCTCTCTTTTAAAAAATATTTCTAAGTTCTATCTCAAGCTCACTCCTCTTTGATAATGCCATTGGCTCTGAAAGCCATCATATAGAAATAAAGCCACTTTGTTAGTAACTTTCTTTGTAGTTTTTATAAATGTTTATTTTTTCCTAAAAACGGTAAACCTGTAAATACTTTCACTTTTTATTTTCTTTGGACATTTTTCAGTGCTTTTTGGTTAAGAAGAGACAGAGAGAATGAGAGATTATTCTCTAGTCTTTTTCATTCATATTACTGAAAAGTATCTACCTTTTGTTTCTGCTTCTCCCTATTACCTTTTTCTTCTACCTTAGCTATTCTTTCTGTTTGCCACTCAGTAAAAATATTCAGTTTTTAAAGAGAATATTACTTTATTGACTTGGTTGCATTTTGAAATCCTTTTCAACATACTTCAGCATTTCAGCATTTTCCAGCTCTTAATAGACTTCCAACTTCAAGATTTTTAATTTTTTTGTGGAAAAATATGTTTTCTTAGTTTCCATATTTCTGTCAAGTCTTTGTTTTTTAACAAAATAAAATCTTATATTTTCAAAATTATACCATTTTATTGTTGCTTGTGAAAGTTAAACCTACAATCACTTTAATTTTAAGCAAGTTTTGCAGAGAATAGTCAAAGATCCTTTTTTAAAACATTTTTTACACATCCAAAATCTCTTGCTTGTACATCACTCTTTTTTATATCACTTTGTACCATACTCCTTTTTTATGGGCATGCTTGATTTCTGTAGCCAATGGTGGTAGGAAAAGCAGAAGAAATGGAGACATTATCTATAATTCTTTCATTATTAGGAAACTGCCACCATTAATTACTACTATCCCTACCTGTTATTACTAGTGAAAACGATTTTAAAACAATTGGAATGCTTACTAATATTTTGATGCCTTACAATTAATCACTACTTTCACTTGTCTTAGATAATCATTACTGTGACTCTCTAAATCATGTCGTATTAGTATACTACCATTATTTTACAGGTTTTAGAAATTATGTTTAGATAAGTAATATGCCCATGATTTCACAACTGGCAGAAACTAGTACCCAAACCCAGGTGCTCTTACTTAAAATTAAGTAATTTTTTTATAGCTGGATACATGTCAAATATGCTTTTTGCTAGTTATAAGAAAAAGGGCTTGAAAGTTCCCACACTCTAGGAACTTAGCTTATGTGGGGTAAAGGTTGGGAAGAGCAACAGCCTAAGACAACATCTCCAGTTTTTTATGGTAGTTCATACTTGAGTAGAATAGGAAGATCAAAGGCAGCTATTTATCCAGTGCTTTTTATTTATTCTTTGAACTAATATTTAAGTACCTACAACTTGCCAACTGCTTTATAGGCACTGAGGAGGAAGGTGGGGAAAAAGATGCTAAGGATCTCTATTCTTGAAGAACGTAATACTTACTGGTGACCTTAACTACAAGGAAAACTTGTTTTCAAACAAACCATTCTTAAACTAGGCCTTTTGTCTCACCTTGATTCTGCCCAATTGACTGCCCAATTGACTGCCCAATTTCTGCCCAATTGACTGGCTGTCTCACTTCTTTTTAATTAAGTTTGTGTGAAATCTGGGGCCTGATGACTATAAGTCAGAATCTTGATATTTAATGAATATTAATCTTGAAGTCTATTTTCTTTTTACTGCCTTGTGCTTGAAAATTCCAGTTTATTTGAATTTATGCTGAGGCTTAGAAAAAGAAAGAAAAAGAGGAGTATTGCCTAGAAGCAGAGTCTAAGACAAGAATTCAGGTGCATATGCTTTATAGTGGGAATGCACTTCAGGAATAAATTGTAAGGGAATGGAGTGAAGCAGGATAGAGAAAGAAGAACTAGTCAAGGGCATGGTTTCAGGTTAAGCCTAGCCATGGGGCTGAAGGACTCTGAATATAAATCCTTCCTCAGTTTTTTCTCTTATCTATATACCCCTATCAGAGCTATCCTTGGACTGAGGGTAACCTCCTACATGAGATGGCTATCATTTGAGGTTCTTTCTTTGGAGAACAGGGATACTATGTGCAATTAGCAGCCAGTATTCACAGCAGCTGGAAGATGAGTGCACTATCCAGATAAAGGAGATTTGGATAAGCCACCAACAATGTGTACATTAGTGTACCCTTTGTACCAGTCAGAGCCAGTTGCCTCTGATAATTAAATTTACTCTATTCAGGCACAGGTCCTCCAGGATTCTGTGCTCACAATTTCTGTAAAAACTTGTCTCTGATCTTGTGACCATAACTGATACTTAAATATTTTTTTCCACTTTTACTGATTTGGGTGACATACCTGGTAGATTGACTCAGATCCTCATCCCTGCAGAGTCTGAGCTCCTTGTCATCATGTACTTATGGTTTCCCATTTATAGTTGCAGCGTGACTTGGGAATAACGAGTCACTCCAGTGGCTAACCTGAATGTCAAACATATCCTCCCATACCCATTTTGTAACAGATGTGTTACTTGCTCACAGTGATCAGGGTCAATTACTAATGCCAGTGTGATTATTATTATTTTTTCTGGCATAGGGATCACAGTGACCGGGCAGTAGCCATAGCTTTATGTGTCCCCTGTTGAAGCATCCCCCACTTTAGGAACCAGGATTTCTTGCTTCACAGAGCCTGAAGCAACAGTATGGCACAGATTTCCCAAGTGGATAACTGGCAGTAATGGTTAGTGGTGCCACTCCTTCTTCTATCCCTTAGTTCTTAGATCTGTGAATTCTACGTATCGGGGGCATAGCAGCTTATGATAACCATTGAATTAAGGAATATACTGTGTCCTGAAGGATAGTGTCCGGTCCTGCAAGGTGTCCACTGTAAGCACAGTCTTAGCTACATGTTTAATGGGGCATTTTGCTATCAGACTAAAGAGTTCTGGATGGCACAGTATGTGTTGGGATCAGTGGATCTCATAATTAGTGTTTTTACTGCATTAACACTACAAAGAAACATATTTCCTTTGCTTTGTCTTAAATATGTTATGTGGTATTCCATGTAGGTAAAGCAGGCAGTCTATGAGCACATGTATAAAGGCACTTGCTGAGGTGCTTTGGGCAGGAAAGGCAAACTCATACTTGGAATGCCTCTTTATGTCTGTGTGAATGAATTACTGGCCTTTACAAGGTGGAAGGTATCTAGTGCAGCCAACTTATCACCAGATGTCCAGTTGTCTCCTTGAAGGGTGGAATCATGTTGAGGTTGGGGAGGGGTCTGTGATTGACAGATGAGGCATTCAGCAGAAGCAAGGATTATATACATTATGTTAGGAGTAGAATATGCTGTTGGGCACATGCTTGCCTACATATCTGTCAGTGTGGCTTTATTCTACTTATGGAGGTGGGTGGAGTTGGTGAGGACAGAGACCAGCAGATATCTCAGGATGAATTCATTGGTTTTCTTGGTTATTTAATACCTCTTGTGTAGATCTTCTCTGGTACACATAAGTATGTAATGCAAGGATCCACATACCCTCAGCCCACTCCCAAAGGTCCATCCACATGCCTCTTTATTAGAACTTCTTGTCCTCAATCTTCCAGCAGCCCCTGATCAATCAGCTAAGCTATTCACCACTATTCCTGTCCATATGTGTTATGACCTTAGGCTTCTTTTCTTTTTACACAAAATGGATAACCAGGTTGTGAACTGAAACTCCACTTATTGGGAGGATTTCTTCTCATTACTTTATTTCAAGGCCAACACTGAATGAGGCTGCAGTGAAGAAGCACTCAATTTTTAGTTTACACTCACATACTGAGCTGACCCATTCAATATCCAAGCTTGGCCTTTTTCTTTTTTCTTCAAGTGGATATGAACTTCAGAGGCAGCACTGATGCAATAGTGTTAAGTAACTTGGTTGTCCAAGTCACATGTTTGGGCATCTTCCTTGTCCCATCTGGACCTGCTCAACCCTAGGCCCAGATCAGCTACTTCCATTTTATTAGAAATGGAATACTGCTGAGTCTGTCTGGTCTTATGATTTGGTGGGTTTCATGATGGGTGCTTCTGGATTCGTGGTCACTTGAAGTCTTGAGATCAGATGTTCCATTTCTACCCTGACTACATGACCTGAATGGTTTTCCACTTTGACAGTATGCTCTATTCTAGAACCCTATGGGTTTATGTTGTTCTACCACAGATATCTCTAGTACCATGGGTTATATGGGATTGTGTCATGTTCTGGACCAATTGCGAATCTCTGGTTTTGCTCTGGGCCCTACTCTGACAGGACCCTCACTTTACCATAGAAGATTTGCTTAGGCTGAGAATTTAGCCTTCTGTGAAGTTCTGTCAATGTTATAATTAAATTCTGTGACTAGTCTTCAGCTCTATCTTCTTTCTAACTTTAAGAGATGAAGAAGCCTTTAAACAATGCTAGAGAGGCCTTTTGACTCTCATACTTTGATTTATATTAGTGGATGACTTCTCTGACCTTGTCATTCTTAATTTGTAATGCATCCATTTGGCATTCAGCAATGACCATCTAAAACTAGTCTTTACAATTACTGTTTCTCTCATACCTTTGAAATGATAGAGATACCACATAATCCAGTGCATCCCTTGCTACCTATAATCTATTCCAATTCGCTATAGGTGAAAATCTTAACAGTTGCATGGCCACTGTGTGGCAGGGACCACGGATATATTCAGTCCACTTACAGCAGTGATGGAGTGTTCATTTCTAGTTGGCCAGCAAGTAATCCAACTCCAGAATTTCCTTCCTAGTGTCTGTCTCTAGGTTCACTCCTGGCATTAATTGTCTCAGGTCAAGTTCATTAGAAACAGAGCTTAAGACAGGGATTTCTGTACACATGAGTTAATGAAGGAATGTTCTTCAGGAAAAATCTTTAAGGAGGTGATGGAAGCAAGATAGGAATGAGAAAAGAGCTGAGGAAACATGTGGTCTCAGGTAAAGCCTTGCCTTGGCTAATCCTCGCTGTGTGTTTATGGGGAAGTGTGTGTTTTGGAGAGTTGTTTTTTGAGTGTAAATTGCAAGGCATTGTTTTTTCCTTTGAAGCAAGGGTGGCCAACTTTGGTATCGCCATATCAGTAGGTCATTAGCTCTGAACCATACCTGGGGAGGGAATAGCAGTGCTACTTTCCAGTGGAGGTGACTTCTGTTAGTTGAGGGGACCAGTTCTCTGCAGAAGGGAAAATGTTAGCCATTATTGTAGCCAACACTTATAGCAGCTGCGGGAGGGATTCATAAGACTGGTAAAGGGTATCTGTAAAGGACATTAACAGTCTGTACCATAGGGAGAAACAAAAATTATGTGTATCTTCCTGAAATACTGTGGCTTAGGAACTCTCGACAGATTTCAGTGTTTTACCATATTATAAAAATTAACTCTTTTGTCTAAAGAGGGAGGTGGATATATTAATCATTGAGTAAGTTGGTGAGGAAAAATGTCAAAAAGAAAAATGGTCCTAATATAGCTGTTTACACGTAACTTTGTTAAAGAGGATGGACGTAGCAAAAGACAATTACTGAATGGATTCCATACTAGAAGGAAAACAATATTGAATGTTGGGAAATTTGCCAGTATCTTATTTAACAAGGTATTAACATTTTTCTTTTCACTCACTTTTATTTCACTCCAGAAATCATTCTTTATAATTTAAGGTAATATTCCTAATCTAGTCTTTACTGTTTAAATATAGTCATTCAATTACATATGACCGTATATTACACAAATAGAAAAATTTCCAAGATTTGTATCTTGTAGAACAAAAGAATGAAATACTATTACATTTGAAGAAAACATTATTCTTATGCAATGAGTATTTAATTTCAAAATATAATATATACTTGGTATTGATAATAAATTGTCAAACAAAATTCTTACTCCATCATGATCAGAGTCCCCAAGTCGTTGACAGCTCAGTAGATTTCCTCTGGTGCCTGTGCTGTTTGGAGTCCTGTTACAGAGGCTGCTAAATAAACTGTCTGATAGGAAGGATCATCTTCCAATGTAGCTCCTTGGTGCCTGTTTAGTTCTCCAATGAATGCCAAAGATCAAATGCTGTGGTTTTGGTTGAGGGTGAAGAGACTGGAGCCATCCTAATTCTAATCTTTGTATCTTTTGTGGCCACCTATTCTTTTTGGATGACTATGACTTTGTACTTTTACCTTGTATTTATATTTCTGGCTACAACTCTTAAACGAACAGAGCTAAGAAACAGTCTTGGAGTTTAGTAGGTAAGTCATATATTTTTAATGTGAATGACTGAAATGTACCAGATCTGCTCTGTTGCACATGATCTTCTTTATCTGAAAGTATATTTAGAATCCTATATGTTTCTTATCCAGTACTCACTACTGGATAAGACAACTAATTATTGAGTATAAGGTGCATTAGATATGTTTTCCTATGTTAAATCTATGATGTCCTTGAGTGGGGAGAGCTTTTTATAACTTTTAGATAAATGCTAAAGAATATCCTATTCACTTTGTTGGAGTTTTGGAAAAGTAACTTACAAATTCATGTGGTTTTTGCATTGTAAATTATTTTTGTCAAATCTAATGTGAATTTTTATATTCAGGCATAAAGGGAAAGGTGCTTAGAGAACAACTATTAATATTTATTTAAACTTTTCTTCATGAAGTAACATGGAAGATCAAAAGGGAAATGAAGTGACCAGCAATAATCAAACAGTTATATATCTAGTTTTCTTTTTGATAATTCTTAGAGTTAAGGAAGTTGGTTTTAAAATGGTTGTGAATATTCTATTGGTATGTGGTACTATATTTCTATTAAGAATTGTAAGCTATATGTTTTGCTAGTTATGTATAAAGTTGCTTTATAATTTTGATAATTCAGAAATATTTATACTGCCAATAAAACATGAAAAAAATCTGATAATGTAGGAATGATTCCTTAAAATAAGAATAGAATAAGAAAAATAATATAAATGAAAAAAATTATATTCTATATAGTTAGAACAATGAGATTTCAAATATATGACTAAGAGTAGAGTATATTTTCTTCCTTGTCTTTATGTACTGAAAATAGTTTGATTTTAGTATTCTTATAGTTGCTAGCTGCAGACCAATTGTGTATGTATAGATGTGTATGCCTGTGTCTATAGGAATGCTATGTACACACACACACACACACACACACACACACACACACACACACACACACAGGCAACTCAAAAGTTTAAGATTCAAAGAATGACACTTTTGGACTGAAATAAATTAAACCAAACAAATTATGTGCACTGATAAGCAAAATGGGACTTTATTCATATTATGATTTCATTTGCTGCATTATTTTTGATTGCATTGCAAGGACATGTAGAATATGAAAATGAATTGCACTTTTAGAAAAATCATTAATTGTATGGTTCAGCCCTGTAAAGAACAAAAAAAAAAATTAGAACTAGCTAGATTGCATGTTTTTGTATCTCTCATGTGTAGATGCTGCAAATCGTACTCGGGCAGATGGGCATTTAGACCAATCCTCCACTGCAGTTTCCGTATTCTTCTCCCTTACTCCAAGACGGGATAGACACTAATGACTTTTCCCCGAAAACATTACTTAGAGAGTGAAGAGGCTATTTTAACAGTAGGATTGTGATTGCAACTTCCAGCAAGATTGGATCCTGTTTTTTCTCTTATGTCAGAAAAGCTGGTTTGCCTGAGGGGAATTAGCATTAATTGAACTAAGAAGCAAGCTAGTGACAAAAGAAAATAGTATAGATATAATAGTGATGGACTCACATAGGGACTTGGGGGCTAATTTTAGCAATTTAATCATGAATTAATTAAATACATTTTAAAATGATTTCATTTATTTGAAGTCTGAAACTAAGATCATAGGTAGTATTACAGTAGAATTAAATTTTGTAGTTACAAAGCATTTTCTTTTTTTTTTTTTACTTTTTTTAAGATACAAGATGTACATGGGCAGGTTTGTGCTCAATTGCAGTATATCTCAGTGGGTATATTGCAACCAGGTTGCAAGCATGGTACCTAATAGGTAGTTTTTTGACCCAAACCTCGCTCTCTCCCTCCCGCCTCAAGTGCAGCACAGTGTCTATTGTTCCCATGTTTATGTCCATGGGTGTTCAATATTTAGCCCCCACTTGTAAGTAAGACCATATGGTATATGGTTTTCTGTTCCTGCATTAATTTGCTTAGGATTATGGCCTCCAGCTTTATTCATGTTGCTGCAAAGGACATGATTTACTTCTTTTTTATGGCTATGTAGTATTCCATGATGTGTATGTACCACATTTTCTTTATCCAATCTGTCATTGATAGGCAATGGTTGATTCTCTGTCTTTGCTCTTGTGAACAGCACCGCCACGAACATGTGAGTGCATGTGTCTTTTGGGTATAATGATCTATTTTCCTTTGGTTATATACCCAGTAATCACATTGCTGAGTGAAATGGTAGCTCTATCTTAAGTTCTTTGAGGAATCTCCAAACTGCTTTCCACAGTGGCTGAATTAGTTTACATTCTTACCAACAGTGTATAAGTGTTCCCTTTTCTCCACAGTCTCACCAAAAAAATCTGGGGTTTTTTTTGTTTGTTTTTTTACTTTTTAATAATAACCATTCTGACTGCCATGAAATAATAAGTATCTCAATGTGGTTTTGAAAATGCATTTCTCTGATGATTAGTGATGCTGAGCATTTTTTTTGTATGTTTGCTGGCTGCGTGTATGTCTTCCTTTGAGAAGTGTCTGTTCATGTCCTTTGCCAACTTTTTAATTTTTTTTTGCTTGTTGAATTGTTTCTGATGCATAGTTTGTGAATATTTTCTCCCATTCTGTATGTAGTCTGTTTACTCTGTTAATAGTTTCTTTTGCTATGCAGAAACTCTTTAGTTTAATTAGGTTCCATTTGTCAATTTTTGTTTCCATTGCAATTGCTCTTGGGGATTTAGCCAAAAATTCTTTGCTAAGGCTGAGTTGACAAGGGTATTTTCTAATTTTCTTCTAGGATTTTAATAGTTTGAGGTCTTACATTGAACTCTTTAATCCATCTTGAGTTAATTTTTGCATATGGTGAAAGGTCAGGGTCTGGTTTTATTACTCTGCATATGACTAGCCAGTTGTCTCAGCACTGTTTATTGAGTAGGGAGTTCATTACCCATTGATTGTTTTTGTCAGCCTTGACAAAGAACAGATGGTTGTAAGTATGAGGCTTTATTTCTGAGTTTTATTTTCTGTTCCATTGGTCTATGTGTTTGTTTTTACACAAGTACCATGCTGTTTTGGTTACTGTAGAATTATTGCATAGTTTGAAGTCAGGTAGTGTGATGCCTCCAGCTTTGTTCTTTTTGCTTAGGATGGCTTTGGCTATTCAGGCTCTTTTTTGATTCTATATGAATTTTAGAACAGCTTTTTTTTTCTAATTCTGTGAAGAATGACATTGGTAGTTTGGTAGGAATTTCATTGAACCTGTAAATTGCCTTGGCCAGTATGGACATTTTAACAATATTGATTCTTGCAATCCATGAGCATGGGATATTTTTCCATTTATTTGTGTAGACCCTGATTTGTTTTTATCAGTGTTTCATAGTTCTCCTTCTAGAACCTCCTTGGTTAGCTGTGTTCCTAGATATTTCGTTTTCTTTGTGGCTGTTGTAAATGGGATTGTGTTCTTGATTTGGCACTCAGCCTGGACATTATTGGTGTATAGAAATATGACTAATTTTTTACATTGATTTTGTAATTTTTATCAGTTCTAGTAGACTTTTGGCAGAATCCTTAGGGTTTCCTAGGTATAGAATTATATCATCAGTGAGAGAGATAGATTGACTTCTTCTTTTCCTATTTGGATATCTTTTATTTTTTCTCTTGCCTGATTGCTCTGGCTAGGACTTCAGTAATATGTTGAATAAGAGTCGTGAGAGTGGACATCCTTGTCTTGTTCCATTTCTCAAGGAGAATGGTTCCAGCTTTTGCCTAATCAGTATGATGCTGGCTGTGGGTTTGTCATAGATGGCTCTTATTATTTTGAGACATGTTGTTTTGTTGCCTAGTTTGTTGAGGGTTTTTTTTTTTAATCATGAAGAGATGTTGGATTTCATCAAAAGCTTTCTCTGCATCTATTGAGATGAACATATGCTTTTTGTTTTGAATTATGTTTATGTGGTAAATAATATTTATTGATTTGTGTATCTTGAACCATCCTTGTATCCCAGGAAAAAGCCTGCTTGGTTGTGGTATATTAACTTTTTGATGTGCTGTTGGATTTGATTTGCCAGTATTTTGTTGAGGATTCTTGCATCTATGTTTATCAGGGATATTGGCCTGATGTTTTCTTTTCTCGTGGTATATATGTCAGATTTTGGTATTAGGCTGATGCTGATTTCATAGAATAAGTTAGGGAGGAGCCTCTCACTTCTTTGTAATATTTTCATTAGGATTGGTATTAGTTCTTCTTTGTATAACTGGTAGAACTCAGCTGTGAATTCATCTGGTCCAGGGCTTTTTTTGGTTGGTAGGTTTTTTATTACTAATGCAATTTCAGAGCTCAATATTGGTCTATTCAGGGTTTCAATCTATTCCTGATTCAGTCTCGGGAGATTGTGTTTTTCCAGGAATTCATCTATTTCCTCTGTATTTTCTAGTTTTTGTGCATAGAGATGTTTACACTATTCTCCAAAGATCTTTTGTATTTCTGTGAGATCAGTTTTAATGTCATCTTTATCATTTCTGATTGTACTTATTTGGATCTTCTTTTTTTCTTTATTAATCTAGTTATCTATCAATCTTGTTTATTTTTTCAAGTAACAAACTCTTGGTTTCATTGATATTTTGTATGGATTTTTGCATCTCAATTTCATTAGAGTCTTCTCTAATTTTAGTTATTTCTTTTCTTCTGCTAGCTTTGGGATTGGTTCATTCTTTTTGTTGTAGTTCCTTTAAGTGCAAAGTTAGATTGTTAATTTGAGATCTTTCTAACTTCTTGATAAAGGCATTTGTCACTTTTCTCTTAACTTTCCTCTTAACACTACTTTAGCTTCATCTCAGAGATTTTGGTAAGTTGTGTCTTTATTTTCATGAATTTGAAAGAATTTTTTTTATTTCTGCCTTAATTTCAGTGTTTACCTATGAGTTATTGAGGAACAAGTTGTTTAATTTCCATAAATTTGAGTAGTTTTTGAGAGGTCATCTTGATATTGATTTCTGTTTTTATTGCACTGTGTTCCAGGAATCTCTGTGGTATGTTATTTTTTTGAATTTATTAAGACATGCTTTATGACTGAGCACATGGTCAATGTTAGATTGTATTCCATGTGCAGATGGGAACAGCGTATATTTTGTGGTTGTCGGGTGGAGTGTTCTGTACATGTCTATTAGGTCCAGTTGGTCAAGTGTCAAGTTTAAATCCAGAATTTGCTTGTTAGTTTTTTGCCTTGATGATCTGTCTAATACTGTCAGTGGGGTGTAGAAGTTCCTCACTATTATTGTGTGGTTGTCTAAGTCTTTTCGTAGGCCAAGAAGAACTTGTTTTATGAATCTGGGTGCTCCAAAATTGAATCAGATGTTGCATGCATATGTATTTAGAATACTTATTTCTTTTTATTGGATTGTACCCTTTATCATTTTATAATGTCTTTGTCTTTCTTACATTTTAGTAGTTTAAAATCTATGTTATCTGATATAGGATAGCAACTCTGTTATCTGATATAGGATAGCAACTCCTGCTCATTTTGTTTTCCATTTGGGTGGTAAATCTTACTACAGTGGTACAGTGGTAAATCTTAATTTACTTTGCGCCTGTGGGTGTTGTTACACATAAGCTGGGTCTCTTGAAGCCAGAGATGGTTGGAGCTTGTCTTTTTATCCAACTTGCTGTGTCGCAAAGCACTTTTATGTACAAGTTTTAACTTACTAACGTGTCACAGAGAATACAAAACTTCTGTGTTTCAGATGTGACTTTTATACTGGAATGGCAACACAAAACATTTTTATTTGGAAGAAGCTGTCTTGTCTGCTACACTAAATTGATTTTCAATTGTAACTGATTAATTTGTCAAGAAAAAGTTCACATGGCAATTTGAAAAGAGAGGATTAAAAAGAGGAAAGTTGGTGGCCTTTCATAGTTTATGCACATAGTTTATGCCTGAAAGCATTCATTTGTTAAACAACCAAAGCACTGATTCTACTTATGGTAAATATGGCATATATCTAATACTAGCTACCATGAACATTAATTGAACATTTTAATTTATAGTTTGTTTGATTCGCCATCTTTCAATCCTGGTGAAATAGTATAGATAACTCAGTTATCTTTTTTTTTGTTTTTTTTTCTTTGAGAAGGAGTCTCGCTTTGTCGCCCAGGCTGGAGTGCAGTGGCATGGTCTCGGCTCATTGCAACCTCCGCCTCTCAGGTTCAAGCAATTCTCCTGCCTCAACCTCCCGAGTAGCTGGGACTACAGATGCACAACTCAGTTATCTTTAAAAAGATTTCCAATAAGTTTAAGCTAAGTTTTTTCTTTTAAATATTTATGTATAGGTAGAGACAATATCATTACATTGAACTTTGAGTTTTTCCCCTACAAATCTGCAACCTGTCTTCTTTAAAGTGTGGTAATAGCTGAGATACGGTGTTACATAAAATTTTACTCAGGATGGTTCATGAGTTACCAAACTTGATGGATAAGAAATCAGATAAGGGGTTAATTATCAATATACAAATCTAGATTTACAAATATATTTTGCATTTAATGAAAACTGCGGACATGGCTAGTGCCTCAGAATCTTTTATTGAGCTATTTGCTTATTTTGTTATGAATAAGATAGTTACAGTTTATTGAAATTCTTCAAATCAGTTGCATATTGTAATGCTCACTTGTTTTTATTTTTGTCCTTAATCTTAAGCAGCTATTTGTTCATATATATTATAAAAAACTGTTACTCAATATTTAACTCAATATTTAATATTGTATTTATTTTAAAAGTCCTCGTTTATCAATTTTTTGGAGTTGTGAAGCTTACATTTTGCTTTGGAATATTTTTGTTTATTTTAGGATATGTATGTATATGCAGTTGTGTGTATTCTGGCCTTTAGTTTAATCTCAAAGTAGTTGTTGATCATTAATTCCCCATGAGATACACAATATTTAATATTTTTAAGTTTATCATACAATTATTATTATATTCTAATCAATTTGTTGTTTTTAGAATTACACCACTTAATTGGAAAATCAGAATAATAGTCACCAGATCCAGAGATGTGTCAATACTCTATGTGATCTCACTATGTCTATTACAACTCTCTTCTCACTTTATTCCTCTACGCTACATTCTCCTCTCTGTAGAAGCTGCAAAGCAAAAAGCTCATCTTTTCATTGTAGCTTCAGGTAGCCTTGTGACTCCATTCTGGACAAAGAGTATGTTGTCAGCTAGTGCAGCTTCTCTGGCTTTGACCTTTCTCCTTCCTAAGGAGAAATGTCTGAGCTGTAATATCCAAAATCCAGGATTATAGTGCAGTAAGTTACAGAGAGTCTGGTGCCTTTTGGGCATCATTTAGTGCTACACCAGGCTTACACTGACTTCTTGTTGTACAGAGAAATAAATACCTCTCCTGTTTAAAATGTTTTATAGATTTTCTAGGACTTGCAGCCAAATGTAGTCTTAACTGATAATTAGGTTAACTTTTTGGGATGAGCTTCAAAAACATTTGCATACTATTGCTAAAACAGGCATGAGACATTGGCCTGGCATCTCCTTAGAATACGTTTTTGGACACAGTGAATACTGTTTTAACATTTAAAATCCCAGTCATGTCTATCATAATGCTTTGTAGCTAGTAGAAAATTAAGATATATATGAAGGAATAAAAATTGAGTGAAACAATTTATAAATTATTGGGTACAGCTAGCCAACTTTCCAATTTTATTTTAATATTAATAGAAGGCATTGGATTATCATATAAAATCAGAAAAATTAAGTTAAGGAGGACCTTAGCAAAGAGATTGGCCGAGCTCATCTAATTCAGAACCTAGTTACTTAAAATTATTTTTATTTCTCCTAGCTGAATAGTATAGGAAAACTTAACCATATATATGTACACATATATGTGTGTGTGTCTGTGTGTGTGTGTATATATATATATTTCTCCTAGCTGAATAGTATAGGAAACCTTAACCATATATATATATACGTGTGTGTGTATATATATACGTGTATATATATATACACATACCAATACATACCTATACACACACACACACACACACACACACATATATGGGATTATAATATACAACAAAATAGTATACAGAATTATAAGATTATACTGGAGTAGAACTAGAGGGAATCTTCATTTTCTAGTCTGAGCCATACATTTTACAAAGAAGGGGAAATAGAAGCCCTCTGGAATATATTCATTGAGCTTGTCATTCATTCATTTGTGTGAATGGGTTCAATCTGAAGTAGTTCTTTATAGCATAGCAATAGATATAGATAATTAAGGTTCGAATTAATTTTCAGGATCAAATAAACTTAAATACTACAAGATAGATCATGAGAAACTAAAATGTTATAATTGGATACAGAGAGGGTCTTTTTCTGTTGCCTTGGAATTACATACTGAAATCTAATGTGGGCAAGAAAGCATTAAGCATCTCATTGAAAAAAGTTCTGCCAGCAATTGGTCCCAATACTTTTCTCAGAGTTTTCTAAAAGGAAAGAAACTGACAATTACCTTCAGCTCTTAAACCCACTGGAACCTTCACTTTCCGTAATATAAATGAGGACTGAGGAAAGGAAAGGGGTAAGAGAGCAATCTGAGTAATAAATCTGGAGCCTAGTGGAGAATGCAGAAGCTTTCTTCTCCCTTTTCCACCACTTTGGGGAGGGATGTACTATTTCCTCCCACCCCCCACTGAAGGCCAAATGAAGGAAATCTCCAACAGAATTTTTTGTGGCAATTAGAGGAGCTAACAGAAAGGGGATGATAGCATTCTATTCCCTGGTCAGCCATCTACTTAAGCAGTAAAGTTACTGATCTATCTATCCCTATTCTTATTTCAACACAGAAAAAGATAATTGAAAAGAGGGTAGGTGGATGGGTGTCAGAGAGCAGCCTGTATTTCCATTTGTGGGGTGGAAAGGAGTGTTTATCTAGTATTCATGATTGGCAAGGTTATATAGCAGGAACAAGCAAATCTAATATGTCAATGCTTAACATACAAAAGAGGTTTACTTTTTGTTCTTGTATATTTCACTGTGGGTAAGGGGGACTCTCCAGGGTAATTACTTGTTATGTGGTCTAGCAGTCCAGGGTCCAACATCTTGAAGCTTCACTGTCTAGTGCATGTGGGCAGAGGGAAGAGACTGGAGAATAGGGCATGGGCTTTTTACTACCTCAGCACAGAAATGATACACTTTCTTTAGGAACTCAGTGGACAGACTCTATCACTTGGCCCCTCCCTAATAGATGGAAATAAGACGTGCATTCCTCTGTGTGCCAGAAGGGGAGGAAAATATCATGTCACAAGACTCCAGTAATATCTACCATAATGAATTTTCCATAGGTCTAATCAACATCATTGAAGATGGCTATGATTGAGCTATTCTAGATGTCATTATGGAATGGGAAAGGGAAGTTCAACAGAACATAGTTGAAAGCACTGATTGGAGAAAAATAATAATATTCTCAAATTTATTGCCTATTGAACTGAGATGGCTCACTGATCTGCACACATAAGGGAATGGCGTGTTTTGAGAGTGCAGGTTCTAGAGTACAACACACTGGGCCCAAATTTAGGCTTTGTTACTCCTTAGTGGTTCATCTTTTACTTAAGTACTCTGTTTCACTTTTCTTATTTGTACAAATGATATTGTAATAGAACCTTCTTCATGGAGTTGTTTGTGAGAATTAAATGAAATAGTGCAGTAAATCACCGTGCATAGTATTTAGCAAATAGTACATATTCAGTACATACTAACAGCCATTGTTATTGTTAGGCATTTGGGGGCTTAGGGAAAGGGTGCATGCAAGTTGTTTGTGAGAATTAAATGAGATAGTGCAGTAAATCACCATGTATAGTATTTAGCAAATAGTACATATTCAATAAATATTAACAGCCACTGTTATTGTTAGCCATTTGAGGGCTTAGTGAAAGAGTGCATACACTAGGAGGTAAACTAGAGATTAAAAAAAAAAGTATGTGGGAAAATATGACAAATTTTTCTTAATTCAACATTTCTTCTAGGGTCAAGTAAGGGAAACTTTACACATCCCAATGAGCAGAAATATTGTAAAATAATGTTTTTTTTTTCCCTACAAAATAATTTTAATACTTTGTGCCTGGGTTAGCAGCATCTTGTACTATGACATTCCTATACACACATAAGCATTTTATCCAAGTACAAATGTTAAAAACAGCATAACTTAAGCAATTGTCTGTACAAAGGTAAGTAGACATAGTAGGTTATATTTTTTCTTTTTATATTTTGTTTTTATTTTTTATTTTATTTTAGATTCAGGAATTACATATACAGGTTTGTTATATGGATATATTGCATAATGGTGAGGTTTGGACTTCTTGCCCATCACCCAAATAGTGACCATCATACAGAATAAGTAATTTTCAGGCCTCACCCCCCTCCTAAGCCCCCCATTTTTAGGGTCCCCAGTGTTTATTGTTTCTATTTTTATGTTTATGTGTACCTGTTGTTTAGCTCCCACTTACAAGTGAGGACATGTGCTATTCGATTTTCTGTTTCTGAGTTATTTCACTTAGGCTAATGGCCTCCAGCTCTACCCATGCTGTTGCAAAGGACATGATTTCATTCTTTTTGTGGTTGTATAATATTCCATGTTGTATATATACACCACATTTTCTTTATACAATCAACTTTTGATGGACACTTAGGTTGATCCCATGACTATGTAATTGCAATTAATGCTATAACAAACATATGAGTGCATGTGTCTTTTTGATATAATGATTTATTTTCGTCTGGGTAGACACCCAGTAGTGCGATTGCTGGGTTGATGGTAGTTCTTTTTCAGTTCTTTGGGAAATCTCCATACTGTTTTCTACAGAGGTTGTACCAATTTACAATCTCACCAACACTGTATAAATGTACCCTATTCTCTGCATCCTTGCCAACATCTGTTGTTTTTTGACTTTTTAATTATAACCATTCTGACTGGTGTAAGATGGTATCTCACTGTGGTTTTATTTTGCATTTCTCTGATGATTGGTGGTGTTGAGTATTTTTCCATGTTTGTTGGCTGCTTATATGTTTCTCTTTGAGGAATGTCTGTTCATGATGTCCTTTGTCTACTTTTTAATGGGGTAGTTTGTTTTTCTCTAGTTGAGGTATTTGAGTTCCATGTAGATTCTAGATATTAGTCCTTTGTCAGAGGCATAATTTACAAATATTTTCTCCCATTCTGTAAGTTGTCTATTTACTCTGTTGATTATTTCTTTTGCTGTGCAGCAGCTTTTTAGTTTAATTTTATTATTTATTTTTCATTATGTTGTATTTGCTTTTGGGCTCGTAGTCATAAATTCTTTGCCTAGGCCAATGTCTGAAAGAATTTTTCCTAGGCTGTTTTCTAGGGCTTTTATAGTTTCAGGTCTTACATGTAATTATTTAATCTATCTTGAGTTAATTTTTATATATGGTGAGAGAGAGGGATTCAGTTTCATTCTTCTTAATGTGGTTATCCAATTTTTGCAGCACCAGTTATTTAATATAGTGTCCTTTACCCATTGTTTATTTTTATTGATTTTGTTAATGATCAGTTGGTTGTAGATACTCGGTTTTATTTCTGGGTTCTCTATTCTGTTCCATTGATCTATGTGTCTATTTTTATATTAATTCCCTGCTCTTTTATTTACCCTATTCTTGTAGTATAATTTGAAGTCAGGTAATGTGATGCCTCCAGCTTTCATTTCCCTTGGATTGCTTTGGCTATTCAGGCTCTTTTTTGCTTCCATACGGCCTTTAGATTTTTTTTTTAATTTTGTGAAGAATTATGTTGATATTTTGATAAGAATTACATTGAGTCTGTAGCTTAATTTGGGAAGTTTGGTCATCTCCATGATATTACCTCCTGCAATCCATGAGCATGGGATATTTTCCATTTGTTGATGTCATCTATGATATCTTTTATCAGTGTTTTGTAGTTCTCCTCGTAGAGATCTTTCACCTTCTTTGTTAAGTGTATTCCTAGGTATTTTATTTTGTTGTGGCTATTGTAAATGGGATTGAGTTCTTTATTTGGGTCTCAGCTTGAGGTGATAATTTGTGTATAGAAAAGCTACTGATTTTGTGTAGGTTGATTTTGCATCCTGAAACTTTACTGAAGTTATTTATTAAGTCTAGGAATCTTTTGAGTTTTCTATGTGTAAAATCATGTCATCAGTGATCAGAGATAATTTGACTTCCCCTTTTCCTATTTGGATGTGTTTTATTTATTTATCTTTTTCTTGCCTGATTGCTCTGGCTGAGAGTTCCAGTACTGTATTGAATATAAATGGTGATAGTGGACATCCTTATCTTGTTCTGCTTCTTAGGGAGAATGCTTTCAACTTTTCCCCATTCACTATGATATTGGCTGTGGGTTTGTCATAAATAGCTCTTATTATTTTGAGGTATGTTTCTTCGATGCCTAGTCTGTGGAGGATTTTTATCATGAAGGGATGTTGGATTTTGTCAGAATTTTTTTTGACATCTGTTGAGATAATCATATGCTTTTTGTTTTTAATTCTCTTTACATGGTGAATCACATTTATTGAGTTGCTTATATTGAACCATTCTTGCATCCCAGGAATAAAGCCAACCTGATTGTGGTGTATTAATTTTTTTTGGTTTGCTAGTATTTTGTTGAAGATTTTTGCCTCTATGTTCATCAAGAATATTGGCCCGAAGTTTTCTTGTGGTATGTCTGCCAGATTTTGGTATTAGGCTGATGCTGGCTTCATAGAATGAGTTAGGGAGGTGCTACTCCTCAATTTTTTGGAATATATACAGTGGGATTGGTGTAAGTTCTTCCTTGTATGTCTGATAGAATTTGGGGATGAATTCATCTGATCCTGGGCTTTTTTTATTGTTGGAAGTTTTTTTTTTGGTTAATGATTCAATTTCATTATTCATTTCTGGTCTGTTCAGGATTTAATTTCTTCTGGGATCTTAGGAGGTTATATATTTCCAGAAATATATCCTAGGTTTTGTGGTTTGTATGTGTACAGATGTTCATAATAGTCTTTGAGGATCTTTTCTGTTTCTTTAGTATCAGTTGTAATGTCACCTTTATTGTTTCTGATTGTTCTGATTTGAGTCTTCTTTTTGTTTGTACTGGTTAATCTAACTAGCAGTGTATCAATTTTTTTCATATTTTCAAAGAACCAAGTTTTTTTTTTTGTTTTTTTTGTTTGTTTGTTTGTTTTTTTTGATGGAGTCTTGCTCTGTCGTCCAGGCAGGAGTGCGGTGGCGCGACCTTGGCTCACTGCAACCTCCGCCTCCTGGGTTCAGGCCATTCTCCTGCCTCAGCCCCCAGAGCAGCTGGGACTACAGGTGTGTTCCACCATGCCTGGCTAATTTTTGTGTTTTTAGTAAGGATGGGGTTTCACCATGTTGGTCAGGCTGAGAACCAACTTTCATATTACTGATTCCTTGTATGATGTGTTTTTTGTCTCAGTTTCATTTAGTTCATCATTATTTTTTTTTTCTTCTGCTACCTTTGGATTTGGTTTATTCTTGTTTCTCAGGTTGCTTCAGGTGTCACATGAGGTTGTTAGTTTGAGATCTTTCTATCTTTTTGATGTAGGCATTTAATACTGTACACTTTCCTCTTAACATTCTTTTTGCTGCATCACAGAGGTTTTGGCATGTTGTGTTTCTGTTTTCATTTTTCTCAAAAAGTTGATTTCTGTGTTAATTTTATTGTTTACCCAAAAGTCATTTAGGAGCAAGTTAATTAGTTTCCAGGTACTTGTGTGGTTTTGAGAGTTCTTCTATATATTGATTTCTAATTTTCTTCGACCATGGTCTGAGAAAATGCTTGTTATGATTTTGATTTTAAAAAATTTCCTGAGACTTACTTTATGCTAAATTTATGACCTGACACATGGTAAAAAAATAAAATGGTTTTCATTATTGAGCACTTGCTGTGTGCTAGGCATTGTGTTAAGCACTGGACATATATTATCTCATTTAATTGTATTAATTATTCTTAAGAAAATTAATTTCTTATTCCCACTAATAGATCAGTAAACTGAAGTCATACAACTAACAGTCATAGAGTTAGAGCACTAACAGTCACAGAGTATCAAGTGTGCCTGACTCTAGAGCTTGTGGCTTGTGCACCGAACTATTCTGTCACACCATTTATTATTTAAAAGTTATTTTGGAAAAGCAAAATAAACTCCTTAAGATAATTAATTAAATGATATTATCTCTCATCCAGTAAGGCAAATGAGTTGAGCTTTATATTCAGAATGGATTGATGCTAACCATACTATACTTTCTAAACAAGACCAAATAACAGCGCTTCCCAAACTATTTCCCTTCATAGCACACATAGAAAATGTTAATATACATCATATACTTGAATAAACATATGGGACTTGGAGATGTTTATATGAGGTTTGGTAATAATTTGTATTATAATTTTATTTATCATAATTATAAAAATAAAAATAAATACAAAGTCTCATGAATTATTATAACTTTCCAACTACCTTTAAAATTTTTAATGAGAAATTTGAGTTTCTCTGTGAATATAACTTTTCAATGTCAGTTTTTTTCTTTTTTTTTTTTTTTTTTGAGATGGAGACTTGCTCTGTCTCCCAGGCTGGAGTGCAGTGGCATGATCTCGGATCACTGCAACCTCCGCCTCCTGGGTTCAAGAGATTCTCCTACCTCAGCCTCCCAAGTAGCTGGGATTACAGGTGCATGCCACCACACCCAGCTAATTTCTGTATTTTTAGTAGAGATGGGGTTTCGCCATGTTGGCCAGGCTGGTCTTGAACTCCTGACCTCAGATGATCTGTCCACCTCGGCCTCCCAAAGTGCTGGGATTACAGATGTGAGCCACCACACCCAGCATCCATATCAGTTTTTATGTTTCAAATGGCTACCTTCATTTCCTGATAACTTAATGTATTTAAATATGATGTCTTTAAATTCATTAATATAAATTCATAAATATGATGTCTTTAAATTCTTTATGTTCATTATCAGAAAAAAACTTTCCTTAAAAGGTGACAGAAATAGAAGATTACTGCCTTTTCTCTGATTAACAGAAGCACTATTTTTTTTCTATTATTCAGAATTTGGATAATATTTTTAAAAAATTGATTAAAGTGTAATATTTTAGTCTTTAACACCTCTTCCTTTTCTAACACTGGAAAATTGTATTATTGTGATAATGCAATTGGATTTAGTATCATTTCAACTTATTTCTACAAGTGTTTCAATTATTTCACTTGCCCTTCAGTACATATAGATGTTGCTCTTTAGGACTCAAATAACAAATTTCATAACTTTAGTTTCACTTTTCCAGATTAGGTTTTTTATTCTGAATTTATAAACTTTCTTAGAAAACAGTAATATTTTTAAAATGCAGTCCTTAAAATTGTCTAAGAAGTTCATTCTGGTGCTCCAAAATGCCATGTTAATGTGTATCATCAACAAAATATTTTCAGATTACTTATCATAGCACTTTTTGTGAACAGGGACTACCTTCATAATGTAGCAGCAGAAAGTGAGTGATATTCTGATTCTACTTCCTTTTATAAAGCTGACAATAACAGGACTACAATGTCTTAGATTTTATTAACACAATATTTTGATAATATCATTTAATGTGGAATTCATATCTACATGTAATGGCGTTTCTGAGAATAAAACAATTACTTGAATCTCAAGGTCTTCAGAATAAATCTTTGTCTTTACACTTCCTGTCACTGCACAGGTATACAGAGTTGTGCTGTATTTGCTTAACACCTTATTTGTTTTTCCCTTTTTGGTAACTTATTTTGGTACTTCTCTGCATAACAAACGATATTTGAACAGTCATTTCTCTTCAGAGACTCCAATTTTGCTACATACCTAAGCACAGGTACTAATGTCAGTAGATCCATCATCTGTCAAAGATTTGTGCTTTCATAAACTTTTGGATTAACGTTGTCTTTGTATAATCTGACATGGTAATATGCTTACTAATGCTATTCAAAAGAGAGACCTCTTAACATCGGATATTATTGAACAAGATGACAAGTGAATCTGTAATTGTAGGAAGTATTTTGGCTTTTACTATTAATTACACAATCTTATAACCACATTTTTTGAAATTAATCTGACGCTTTTGTGACTCTTATTTTATTTTATTTTATTTTTTGCATTTTCAGGTGTTTTAAAATATTTAGAATGGCAGAGCTAGGTTCATATAGGATGAATATCTTGTCATGAGGTTCTGTGTCATTTACTTAGCACCACCAATAAACTGGAAATATATTTAGGTTAAGGAAAGGAAGAATTATTACATACACATTTTTAAAATGTGATATAATCCTTACTAAATGTTTAATATAAAAATTTGAAATTATGATTAAAATAAGTTTTTACTTAACTAAACTTTAAAATTTCAGTTAAATAAAAATGAAATCTGTTTTAAAAGGAAGTATTTAAGGAGATGCTAGCCAGTTATAGTTTCAGAAAATCAAATTTTCTAAATATTATTAAGATTGTCTACATTCTTAAGGTTTTATAAATTGTGTCAACTGAAAAATAAGCATGTAATAAGCAAAATTGAAAATTCGGAAATAACATTCATTTAATTTAATAATGAACATTTTGAAATACTCATAGAATACAAATATTATGTATTCTCATTATGATACAAATATTTTGAAAAATCTATTCTGAAAACATAAATGTTTATAATCCATTTTAAATATTGGCTTAAATAAATTATATTCAGTTACTCTTTGTCATCAGAACTAACCTTTTAAGTTTTCTAAGGCAAATAACTCATTATAAAAGAATGCAAGGAGTTAGTCTTTGATTAATAGTTAAGGTAAAAAGCTAATAATGAATACATAAATACAATAATAAATGCCAAAGTAGCAATTGAGAGGAATTACAAAATTAGTTGTTCTACTTATGCTTCTGTGCTGTGAGATAATAATAATTATGATAATAACCTCGACAAAGATAGCATGTACTTCTAATGTTAGAAAAAATCTATGAAAACATCAAATTAAATAAAAAATAAAATTCCATTTTTATGCAAAACAAAGAATTTAATAATTAGAGTTAGGCTATGAAGTTAAGAGACTGGAATGGTTCACTGGGAAGGTCAGAGGTACCTGCTATTTGCTTTAGTTGGTATAAAACACTTTCTGGAGATGCCTGCTACTGAAAATTTATATACCAAAATAATAATTACCATTGGTATTATGTCTTTCTAATAATTTTTAAAATGAAGATTATAATTTTAAGCCCATTATGTTTAATAATGTTCTGTTACAAATTTGTTTTTGGCTTCATTTGTTTATTCATTCTTTGTTCATCATATAGCCAACATTTATTAGACATCTTTTGTAGTGCTAGGGATAATTTTCAACAGCTGGGATCACAGAGATTGTAACAGCTAAGTAATTCTTAATTTTTTTAGCAGTCTTGGTTGGATACGTATACATAAATTGGTTAACTAGATAAGGTTCTAGTATTATAAATTTTGTATTTGAAACATTGTCTTAACTCATTGGTGATGATGAAAACTACAAGGTGAAAAACCTAGAAATCATCTTAGTTTTCCTTGAACTTGGATTCTTTTGACTAGTCCAGAATGAACGTAAGGCAATACGTTCTTGTTCCTGCTTCTGTTTTATTAAAAAAATAAAATACAATATAGACTCTTTACTCTCTGGATTTTTTCCTTTATGGTTCCTGAACTATAAACATTTTTTGTATTTTTTGTTTAAGTTCTAAAAAGGTCATGAATCTGTTCAGTATCTTTTTAAAGAATCTCCTCTTGAATTGGGAATGTGTTTAGTAGTCATTATTAATGATAATAGCATGAACAAATTCCCATGTGTTAAGATTAAACATACTTTTTAAAACAAGTTTGGTTAAATTTTTTTCATGGTTTTTGAGACAGTATTATGCAAATTAAGTAAAAAGTTATGGTTTTATGTGAATTTTAGTTTTTTCTTTGTAAAACTTTTATCACTTATTAGAATATCAAAAACATTTATTTGAACCTATTAAATATGTTCACTTGATATAATTCATGAGGAACTTCTGACCATGTTTCCCTATATTTTGTTGAAGTGACGATCTATAAATAGCTACAAATGTAGTCCTATAGTGGTATAAGACATAGAAAAAACTAATATAAATATAAGCATTATCATTATTAATTTGGCATATATGTTAAGTATTTAACTGCAAATACTTTATACCAAAATTCATCATAACTATTTAACTGCAAGTACTTATTTTATGAAAAAATTTGTTATTTTTTAGTTTTCGCTTTTTGGATTATTTTTTCAGCTCTTTAATTAGCTTTAAGATTGATAGTTTCCCTGATATATGCATTTCATGTATGAGGAGTGTTCACATTGTGTTTAAGAACATAAGAACATAAGCCTTGGAGGGAGCCTGAAGAGCTACTGTTGATGTCCACCAGCCAAAGACAACCAGGAACACTTTTTTTTTTTTTTTTTTTAAGACGGAATTTCGCTCCTGTCGCCCAGGCTGAAGTGCAATGGCGTGATCTCTGCTCACTGCAACCTCTGCCTCCTGGGTTCAAGCTAGTCTCCTGCCTCAGCCTCCTGAGTAGCTGGGATTACAGGCACCCACCACCACGCCCAGCTAATTTTTTTATTTTTAGTAAGAGACGGGGTTTCACCATGTTGGTTAAATTAGTCTTGAACTCCTGACCTCAAGTGATCCGCCCATCTTGGCCTCCCAAAGTGCTGGGACTACAGGCACCCACCACCACGCCCAGCTAATTTTTGTAGAAACGGAGTTTCACCATTTTGGCCAGGCTGGTCTGCAACTCCTGACCTCAGATGATCTGCCCGCCTCAGCCTCCCAAAGTGCTGGGATTACAGGCATGAGCCACCATGCCCGATGAGGAACACGCTTCTAATAAAAAAAAAAGTTGGCTACAGCGAGGCAGGACACAAACCTTGTGAAACTGTGGGTTATCTCAATAAGAAGGAGTTAAGGGGCACTTATACAAGTTGGGCTTGTATTAGGTGATTTGAAGGAGGATTTTAAAAATGGGGTCTTTGTTGAGTTTGATGCTGTTAGAAAGTGGGGGCAGTTTGAGGATCTTAATTTTAATCTTGGAGATGGGATAAACAGAACAGTGGTAGAGTTGTTACTGGAGAAGAAGTAATAGTCACTTGTGGCAGTTAGGGGAGGGGAATGTTTGGTTATTTTTGGTTGCACGGCATCTTTGCCTTTATCTCTGTTCAGACATGATGATGGAGTAGTATTGTTTTTCCTTTGTTCTATAATAGTTACAGTGAGCCTTTGGCTGATGTTGATATTCTGTGAAATTGTTTATGTGTACTAGGGGGTATCAGAGCCCAACTGGTAGCAACTAGGTCAGCTAACAGCCGATAGCTATAAGGACAGCTGTTTTTTTTTTTTTTTCCACTAGTTTTAAATTCCTTTTCTACTATTTACCAGCTATGTGATTTTAGGCAAAGTAAATGACTTTGGGCTCAGTTTACACATCTGAAAAATGGGGATGATAATAATAGTACTTCACAGGATTATTTTGAAAAATGAATTAGTGGATACATGTAAAGTACCCACAACTCAGTGCTAAGTTTAGCTAAACCACTCTTATCACCACCACCACCATCACCACCACCACCACCAGCACCACCACCACCACCACTACACCACTGCAATAATAAAAAAAATTATAGCATTCTTTATCACACACATTAATGGCATAATGTCTTCAAGCCCTCATACCCATTATAGAAATAGAATCTGCCATGTAGACTTTTATTAGTGATGGGAAAACACTGTCAAATTCTTTCTGTTCAGTGTTGTTTATTAAATATATTTATTTATTGGTCAATAGAACATATTTTTTCTACAAACTTTCTTTTTCCTCTATTCCAAATCTTACTCATTTTGCCCCTCAAGAAAAAAAAAACATAGTTAATGTTTATTTTTTTCTTACTTCCTACATCTAAAGTTCCACAGAATTTACCTCCTAAATATATGTTGTTTCATTCTCTTCCACTGCTTTAATTCAGGACCTCATAATTTCCTACTTGGATTATTGGAATAATCCAATTGATCTTTATAACACTAGATTTGTTCCTGGTCCCTAGGTTTAACCATAGGATTACAACCAGAATATCTGCTAATACAAAACATCTGATGATATCCCTTTTGTCTACAGGATAAAAGTTCAGAATGCTTGTCATGTTTTATAAGCCTTTTTCAATTTTTATCCAACTTTCATTTATGGCCTCTGCTGCCACTTCTGATTTTGATCCCAATTTCAATTTCTACTTAACTATTTTCTGCATCTTATTTTTGTGCCATTTCAAATTCATTGTGCAAAGAAGTATGATATAAATAATTCCAATAGAAAATAATGTAAAAGGGCCAGGCGCAGTGGCTCATGCCTATAATCCCAGCACTTTGGGAGGCCGAGGTGGATGGATCACCTGAGGTCAAGAGTTCAAGACCAGCCTGACCAACATGGTGAAACCCCATCTGTACTAAAAATATGCGGTGGAGAGCGCCTGTAATCCCAGCTACTTGGGAGGCTGAGGCAAGAGAATCGCTTGAACCTGGGAGGCAGAGGTTGCAGTGAGCTGAGATTGCACCACTGCACTCCAGCCTGAGTGACAGAGCAAGACTCTGTCTAAATAAATAACTAAATAAAGTCAAAGGGACTTTGTATAATATAAAAATCTAGTATAATTTTTTTTTGTGGATACAAATGTGTAGATTCAGTTATATATTCTAGTGCCATCTAGTGGTAACTACTTTCAGATTTTTTTATTTTCTATATGATCTACCACTTTAAATGAAGTCTGACACTCTTCCTGCTTACTGTCATTACGTTAGCCATTAGATCTTTGGAAACCATATTTACAAAGGTTTTTTTTAATGCTCTGACGTGTTCTGATTTCATAAACACACTTAAACTTTGTCACAACATGCAACTCAAAAGACTGTAGGATCAGGGGTAGAATGACATATTCAAAGAATTGCATTGATTTTTGGGTGTCTTTAAATTAAAACCGAAGGTGTTTGTTTTTTTTTTACATTTAGTTCTTTTGGGAAGTAAAATTAACTCTGTAGTTGTAATGCCAAGAACGAATTCTTTCTTTCTCTCCTACTGTCTTGTTTTCTCAAACTGTGACTGAGTTATTGCTAAATGTCAGACCCTACTTTAGGTATTCTTTACAATAATAAAGTCTCTGGATGAACAGCATTAGCAGTATGGCTACCCATTGCACATTTTTTTCTAGACTCTTGCTTAACTGTACAGTGGCCTGTAAGCAGTGATGTGCTGGTAAATATTTGACAACAAGCTTACCAAAGAAAAAAGACCTGATTTACTGCATTAGCCTGTTTCTGTGGTGTCAGTATCCATGGCTGAGTTTAAGCTACCAATGTGACATCACTGAACACAGAATTGGGAGGAGATGCTCATGATAGACTCTTGGCTCCAGCAGCCACTGATTAAGGAATTATGACTTGTGTTGTACTGTTCTATCTCTTATTTGAAATCACTCTCTCCTTGGCTTGTATTTCATCAGATAACCTGCACATATTTTTTGTTCCTAGACCACTTGTATCTATTGTAACCTTTTATTTACTTGTTTATAACAAGTTTGTTGTTAATTTACTAATGAGCGTAGATGTCTTAAAGAGTTCTCACTTGAGACAAGTCGGCTTTAGTTGACATTATGTTTAACTATATGTAACATAGATCTCATAACCACATGCTTAAATAAAGAAGTTTATGTTTTTCTCATGTAAAAAGAAGTCTGGAGGTAGACAGCTCAAGGATGATGCTATGCTCAAGGAAGTTAACAGAGACCTGTCTTCCTCTTGCTTAATGCCCTGCTACAACAATGTGTGGCTCTCAAACTCAAGATTAAAAGAGGGCTATTGTGTTATAGGTAGTAGCACCACATGACAGTTAAGTTGAAAGAATAAAGTATGAAAGGTGTAGGCCTATTGGGCTTATGTCTTTTCACTAAGAATGCGTAGCTTTGTAGAAACTGTACCTAATAAACTTCTATCTAAATCTTATTGGCCTGAATCACAGCCATGAGAAAACCCAGAAAAGAAATTTGTCAGACCAGGCACACTGCTGCCCTGAATAAAATTTGGATTCTATTTGTAAGAAATTAGAGAGATTAGATATTCAGTAGGCAACCAATTGTGTTTGCCACATTCTGTTTGTCTTTGGTTCTTTTATGGATTTTATAAAGCTATTAATTCTTACTGCTATCTTGTCAACTTTCAGTTTAAGAGGTGTTATTTGAACTCTAAATCATGAAGTTCTGGGTGCACTAGAGCTGCTTTAACTGAACACAACTCTAGACTTAAAATGTTTTGGTAGATAGGATATCCTCCTTTTTACTCCTATGTTTCCTCCCTCATGGATGGAGCTGCTTTAAAATAATATTCCTGGCTTCCTCCTATCCCTCTTCTATTCTGCCCCTTAGGATAAGGAAGTGAGCATAAGTAGCAATTTCTTTGTTTTTCCTCTTTCTCTTGGGAACAAGATGCTCACAGAGAGTGTACATTCCTGTTCCTGCCACAAGTTTTATAGAAACAGGCTGTAAAATAGTCTCAGACCAATGTAGTCTTTGCCTGGATGGGTGTGTCTGTATGATTCTGAGTTTTTGTATTAGGAATCCCACTTTTTACATGGAGACCAATTCTACAATTTCTGTTTTGTCAGTAATAGAAGTAATATTTCATGTGTCGTCTACCTCTTTTTTCTGTTTCTGAATTAGGTTAGCAGTTGGCCAAGGGATAGTTTACTGAGAATTACTTTAAAAAAGCAGCTTGTTGCTGTTGCTTGAAACATGTGGCATGTGGTTTGTTGTTATCTCTTTCTAGCCTTAAATAGAACAAGCCCAACATCAGAATTATCATGTAAAATGTGATATTAAATATGCAATATTTTGATTTTTAATCTCAGGAAAGATTTTCATCTCATTAAGTGACTATTTTTGCTGTAAAACTGGAAATATTTTAAAGAAACCATATGACTACAGCATATATAAAGGTGCCAGAGTGCCTGTATTTCAGAAAGGAAAAACACAATTTTCATAGAAACAGGGCTCAGAAGCATCATGACAGCTGATAAGAAAGCAACATACAGATTTTGGGGTCTGTCTATGTCACAGATTCTATGTCAACAAAGAAAAGTTTAGGTTCAAGTAATAGAAACCCCAAATGAGGCTGGCATTAAAATTAAAGATAATTTATTTGTTTACCTCATTGAAACTTCAGAAGTACATGAGTTGATTCAGGTGGGGATTGATCCTGAATCTCCTGTAAAGCGACCTAGAACCTAATTTCTTTATTTCTATTTTTAATTATCACTATGTGGATATTGACTCCATTTGGGGAAGGTTCTCTGACTTATGCCCTTAAATTGTCTTCTAGTGGCTGTGAGAGTTACATGAACTCTCAATCATGAAACAATAAATCTATGTCTCAGTGCTGTCAGACCAATGTCCTTAAGAGGCACTGTGATTGGACAAGCTTAGGTCATTGTGCTAGTCATTCTGAACAGAAATGGTACATTCTGATTAGCTCTGCTAATCATGGCTCAACCCTGAAGCAGTTGAGGCCAGTTCAATCAAAACCACAAAGCTTAGAATGGAGGAGACATTCCTTCCGTTTCAAGAAGAAAGAGAAATAGATGACAGAAAGCCAACAACAGACTTCATTACAGTTGCTTCCAGAGTACATTTCCTATTTTCTTCATTCAAAAGACTAAGTAACCCTAAAAGTCACCTACTTTTAGCTTGTAATCTAACACATTTTTAGAGAATAGATTTAAATTAAAGGCTAAACAAGTAATTTCACAGTGTGAAATTATTTTCTATCAGTTACTTTTAAAATTGCTAAAGAAACTTTTCTATAAAAGTGTTAAAAACACGTAATTTGGAGGAATTTATGTTAAAAACATATCCACATTTAAAAGAAAATTCTAACTGTGTTGTCTAATCTGGTGACTCATCATTCTCATGGTCTCAGACATGCCTCTTAGTTGATATCCCTCTTTTAATGTGGTGTTTAAAAAAGAACACCATGTTTAAAATATGATCAGATCACATAGAAACACTTGTTGAAATTTAACAACCTTCTTTCACAAAGCTCAGCCTCACCAGCATCTGGTTGCATCTGCTTCCTCATCTTATTTGGGGCCTAGCTCCAGCAAGCACCACACTTTTTTTGTTTGTTTGTTTGTTTCTTTTGGTTTTTTGCTGGCTCTAATGCATCACTGGCAGAGGAAATTTCTATAGGAGTGTTGGGAAAGAAGCTGGCAAGAAGATGAGAGCTTTATTGAAGAGAGATTTACTTCAAGAGCAGAATTATTAAAAAGAGATTAAATTTTTTTATTTCTATAGCTTTAGGGGTACAAGTGGTTTTTGGTGACATGGATGAATTGTGTAGTAGTGAAACCTGAGCTTTTAGTGTACCTGTCCCCTATATAGTGTATATTGTACCCAATAGGTGATTTTTTTTATCTCTCACTCGCATCTCACTCTCCCCAATTCTGAGTTTCCAATGTCCATTATACACTCCGTTTTATACCCATGGCTTAGCTCCCACTTATGAGTAAGAACATACAATATTTGGTTTTCCATTCCTGAGTTACTTCATGTAGGGTAATGGCCTCCAGTTCCATCGAAGTTGCTGCAAAAGAGATGATTTCCTTATATTTTATTGCTGAGTAGTATTCCATGGTATATATGTACCACATTTTCTTTATCCACTCATCAGATGATGGGCACTTAGATTGATTCCTCATCTTTGCCATCGTAAATTGTACTGTGATAAACGTGTGCAGGTGTCTTTTTAATATAATGACTTATTTTCCTTTGGATAGATACTCTCAGTAGTGGGTTTGGTGAATTGAATGGTAGATCTTGTTTTAGTTCTTTGAGAAATCTCTATACTGTTTTCCATAGAGGCTGTACTAATTTACATTTCCACCAGTGGTGTATAAGTGTTCCATTTTCAGCACATTTGTGCCAACATCTATTGTTTTCTGACTGTTTAATAATGGCCATTCTTGACTGGGGTAAGATGGTATCTCACTGTGATTTTAATTTGCATTTTTCTTGTGATTAGAGATGTTAAGAATTTTTTCATGTTTGTTGGCAACTTCTATATCTTCTTTTGAGAAATGTTTGTTCATGTTGTTTGTCTACTTTTAGTGGGATTATTTGGGTTTTTTGCTGATTTGTTTGACTTCCTTGTACAATCTAGATATTCATCCTTTGTTGCATATACAGTTTGTGAATATTTTCTCCTGTTCTCTAGGTTGTCTATGTGCTCTGTTGATTATTTATTTTGCTGTGCAGAAGCTTTTTAGTTTAATTAAGTCTTATTTATTTTTGCTTCTGTTGCCTTTGCTTTTGGGATAATAGTCATAAATTCTTTGCCAAGTCAATGTCCGGAAGAGTTTTTCCTAAGTTTTCTTCTAGAATTTTTATGGTTTTAGATCATATATTTAAGTCTTTAATCCATCTTGAGTTAATTTTTGACAAAGGTGAGAGATAGGGATCCAGTTTCATTATTCTGAATGTGGCTATCTAATTTTCGAAGCACCATTCATTGAACAAGGTATCCCTTCCCCAGTGTATGGTTTTTTTTTAAATCCAAACTTATATTTTAAAAAACACCTTATGAAGAAGTAGGGTCGTCTGATTTTTTTAAATTTTTTGTTTCCGTAGGTTTTTGGGGAACAGGTGGTATTTGGTTACATGAGTAAGTTCTTTAGTGGTGATTTGTGAGATTTTGGTGCACCCATCACCTGAGCAGTATACACTGAACCCAACTTGTAGCCTTTTATCCCTCACCCCCTTCCCACCCTTTCCCCCTGAGTCCCCAAAGTCCATCATCCTCATGCCTTTCATCCTCATAGCTTAGCTCACACTTATGAGTGAGAGCATATGATGTTTGCTTTTCCATTCCTAAGTTACTTCACTTAGAATAATAGGCTCCAATCCCATCCAGGTTGCTGCAAATGCCATTATTACGTTCCTTTTTGTGGCTGAGTAGTATTCCATTGTGTGTGGATTGTGTATATATGTATATATATATGTGTATATATACACACACACACTATTTTATATATATATATATATATATATATATATATATATATATATATATACACACACACCCCCATATACATAACACAGTTTCTTTATCCACTCGTTGATTGATGGGCATTTGGGCTGGTTCCATATTTTTGTAATTGTGAATTATGCTGCTACAAACATGCACGTGCAAGTACCTTTTTCGTATAAGAACTTCTTTTCCCTTGGGTAGATACCCAGTTGTGAGATCAAATGGTAGTTCTACTTTTAGTTCTTTAAGGAATCTCCTGTTTTCCATAGTGGTTGTACTAGTTTACATTCCCACCAGCAGTGTAGAAGTGTTCTTTTTTCACTGCATCTACACCAACATTTATTATTTTTTTGATATTTTGATTATGGCCATTCTTGCAGGAGTAAGGTGGTATCACATAGTGGGTTTGATTTGCATTTCCCTGATCATTCATGATGTTGAGTATTTTTTCATATGTCTGTTGGCCATTTGTATATCTTCTTTTGAGAATTGTCTATTCATGTCCTTAGCCCACTTTTTGATGGGATTGTTTGTTTTTTTCTTGCTTATTTGTTTGAGTTCCTTGTAGATTCTGGTTATTAGTCATTTGTCAGATGTATAGATTCTGAAGATTTTCTCCCACTTTGTGGATTGTCTGTTTACTCTGCTGCTCAGTGTATGTTTTGTTGGTTATAGGTATTTGGCTTTATTTCTAGGTTATCTATTCTGTTCCATTGGTCTATATGTCTACTTTTATACAAATCCCATTCTGTTTTATTTACTGTAGCCTTATAGTTTAATTTGAAGTCAGGTAGTGTGATGACTCCAGCTTTGTTCATTTTGCTTTGAATTACTTTGGCTATTGAGGCTCTTTTTTTTTGTTCTATGTGAACGTTAGGATTTTTTTTTAATTCTGTGAAAAAAAGGATGCTGATACTTTAATAGGAATTGTGTTGAGTCTGTAGATTGCTTTGAGCAGTATGATCATTTTAATGATATTGATTCTTCCAATCCATGAGCATGGGATGTTTATCCATTTGTTTGTGTCATCTATGATTACTTTCATCAATGTTTTGTAGTTCTACTTGTAGAGATCTTTCACCTCTGATATGGTTAGGCTTTGTGTCCCCACCAAAATCTCATCTTGAATTGTAATCCCCTGGTGTTTAGGGAGAGACCTGTTGAGACGTGATTTGATTTATGGCGGTGGTTTCTCCTATGCTGTTCTCTTGGTAGTGAGTGAATTCTCACGATATCTGATGGTTTTATAAATGGTAGTTTTTCCTGTACTGACACACACTCACTCTTGCATGCTGCCATGTAAGACATGTCTTTTCTTCTCCTTCTGCTGTGATTGTAAGTTTCCTGAGGCCTCCACAGCCATGCAGAACTGTGAGTCAATTAAGCCTCTTTCCTTTTTAAATTACCCAGTCTTAGGTATTTCTTTATAGCAGTGTGAGAACAGACTAAAGCAACCTCCTTGGTTAAGTATATTCCTAGGTATTTTATGTGTGGTGAATCACATGTATTGACTTGTGTATGTTGAATCATCCTTTCATGCCTGGAATGGAACCTACTTGATTGTGGTGAGTTATCTTCTTGATATGCTATTAAGTTTGGTTTGCTAGTATTTGTTGAGGATTTTTGCATCTCAGTTCATTGGAGATATTGATCTCTATCTCTTTCTTTTTGTTGTGTCCTTTCCTGGCTCTGATATCAGAGTGATACTGGCTTCATAGCATGAGTCAGGTAGGATTCCCTCCTTAATCTTTTGATAGTTTCAGTAGTATTGGTACCAGATCTTCTTTGAATGTTTAGTAGATTTCACGTGTGAATTCACCTGGTCTTGAGCTTTTTTTTTTTTGTTTGAAAATTTTTTTATTGCTGATTCAATCTCACTACTCATTATTGATCCCCTGAGGGGATCATCAATTGTGCACGATTTTCTAGATGTTTGAGTATCTAAGAACCTTTGTCTTTTAAATACGAGTTGAAAATATTGTCATGAATAAAATAAAAATTAATTTAGCATCTGATTCACAGAATCTTTTTGTTGTTTTGTATTTTAAGATCCAATTGTAATCTTAACTGGATAATAAGATTACAATTATTCTCATGAAAACCTTTTAGATCCCAATTTGGGTCCTCAAAAATTCGAATGCATGGGAAGTAGTTACAAAAGCAATAAACAAAAGAAAACATGTTAAGAGTAAAGAGTTAAAAATGAGGAAAATAGTACTGAAAGGAGAATAAACACTCTAAAAAGAAAGGGAGAAGGAAATTGGAGCCCTAGAAAGATCAGTAGAGAGTGAAGGGAAAGCACTAGTGGTATTAAAGGTGATACAAATGAAAGTCTGGGGTAGATGAATAAGAGGAGCTAGAAACAAGATGATTGATAGAGAAAGGCATTGGCACCAGAGTGTGCATTACAGTTGGAGGAACACCACCAAGAGAACTCACTGAGGGGGTAAAAGTGAATGGAAGGAAAAGTAAAGAGGAAGAAGGATTGCTATTAACTGCAATGTTTCTGAAATTTTCTTGACTTAAGAATAAAAATAAGCTGTGGGCAAATGGATTTTTTTTTCAGTTTGGTATGAACTGTGGGGTCTGTATGGTTGAAATTACTGGTTTTACATTCCTATGAAAATGAATTATTTTGAATTTTTATTGCCTTTCTCTTTGAATAATCTACCAGTCTTTATTAGAAATCTGAGAGGTAAAAAAATCACATTCTCTGTCCACATCTTCCCCCCAATCTTTTCAAGACCTACATTTAATTCTAAAATAAAATGATAGAGGTGAATACCTATACAAATAGTGGAATGGTACTACCATATATTCCTAGACCCTCATTTAAACTTGCTGTTTGTGAGATCTAAAAACAGCACAGCACTTTTTAATCTTTTTCTACTCGTCTAACACTGGCCTTTTCTCAGTTTTATATAAAAGTATTTGGAAACATTTAAATATAACTTTCAGAGTAGTAATATTAGTATCCAGATAACTGGCTTTTGCTAGGAAGGAATTTGTGTGGCCTTATTAAAATTCTTTTTAATTTTTTTTAAATCACTGAATGAGCATTGAGATGTTAATTGATAAATTAAAATGAGCAAAATTTGATTTAAACTTAGTGTCTAACCAACTTCTTAGTTAATGGAGCACATTACTTTTTATTAAATTTGTACAAAAACTGCTGCTTCTTGAACCTTTGGGGAAACATTGCCTTTTTACTGAAGATTAAGAAACTTGTTAGTGAATAATTGAAAAGAAGTTACAGAATAGGCCTGTTAAACTATTACTATACATTTTATGGTGAAAGCTTAAGCAGCACAATTATCAATAACAAGCACATAGTTATTTTAGAAATACTGCAATTCATATAGGAGAAGGTGATTTATAAATTTCTAAATCCACCAGTTTTAAGCGTAGTGCCCAGAAATGCCTTGGATGCAGCTTGCATTTGGTGTTCAGTATTGTGAGGCACTAATCAGCTAAGTACCATAATCCTCCTTACAGGGTACATTCTTACTTGACCTGGAGCTATATACAGCCACATAGTAACAGCATTAAAGAATAACCTTTTTCTTAACAGGCCCATCACTAGAGGATTCTATGACTCCATCCTTTGAATGAGTGTTGTTTTTGTGTAATTTTTTAGTAACTTAGTTTTGAAATAAAACAATTGTAAACAAGTAGAGACTTTCAAATCATCTGATTAAGGATGGCTCCTATGATTTTGCCAGGGCTAGAAGGATTAAATGAAAGCACTGCCTGGCACACTGTTGATGTATTTTTGTCAACATGATGCTTCATGCTCGACAGATGTGCATTGGTTGAACAAAGGTAAAATAATGAAAATATATTAAATCTTAATTGTGATATGTAAAAATTTATATATTTTTGTTTTTTTATAAATAGAAATTGATTTATTCAAAGCTTTTTGTAGGAATTATAGAAACGGGCCTTTGTTTTCATGTTTTACAGGATTATATACTTCTGTTAAATCCTTGATTTAATGTGTTTTAACAATTTAAAATTTTAGAATTTGGTTGCAATGTTATGCTTAAACTGCATGGTTAGTTAGCATTGTGTAATTGTATTCATGAAGTATTACATTAGTTTATTTAGCAATATCCATGCTTTATAAAGATTTTTAAAAACAAGTAGGTATTTTTTCAGGTTATTGATTTTTAAAGAGTGATTTACATATTTTTATTTATAAAGTAACAATTTTTTAATGATCTCTACTAATAATGCTTATGAGTCAGGAATTTTCATATAGGTAGTACTTAATTTAATAATATAAAATTTGAATTTACAAAAATTAGTAATCTTCAAATTTTGCACTGTATGTCCAGTGTTGTCATAATTTTTAAAAATTGCATATTTCTACAGTTGAGTTAAAATATGTAAATATTACAGTGTAGGTTTCCATGTAATTTTTCACTGTTTATAAATGTTTTCAAATGTTCATTAGACTATATTTTCAGAGATTTGATGATTCTTTTATCAATATGGTCAGAATTATAGCTGGTATTAGTAACACAAATCACTTAAGATGGTAAAGCCTGTAAATATTAAAATGGAAGTTATGGTAAAAACATGATGAATTAATTTATGGCATGTAAACCCTGGATGCCTTTGGGAAATCTGGAAGTGATTTTAATTGGGAAAGAAGCTTCTTTGGAGTTTTCCCATCAGTCAGTATGCTTTTTGGACATAGAATTTAAGGAGTCTAATTGGTAGGATTTCCTACGCAAACTATTTTGCATAGTTAGAATAACATTTATAATGGAGCATCAGATGTGTTATACAAGCTAGAATATTTAGAAATAGATTGAATAGTCCACATGACAAACAATTGTAAGCAAGGAATAGAAATGATACTTACTACAGTAGATTTAGGATGTTTAAAATGTGGTTTTCTATAAACTGGTTCTAATTAAGGACAGAATACTCTGGCAAAAGAGAAAGCAATTCTAACAACACAGGTGGCAATAAAGAGAAGTGAATCGATATTAGGTAAATATAAAGTGAATATAAATATATACTGATATTATAACAGAAATAAGGATAATAGAATGCGTAGGAGTAAAGATTAAGGCACTATATGATGCCACAAATACATTTTATACTAAAGAAAGGCATAATTTTGGATTCTGCCTCTTAATTTCTCAGGGTCTTTGAAGGATTAAGTGAAATGTAAAATCCTAGACGAATCGTTCCTTTTCCTTTGTATTATAACAGATGAATTAAATACTGCTAAATGCCTTATGGTTCTGTAGAGAAATATACAAATTATCAATGATATTGCTTTATCTATTAAATATTTTCCACCTGATGATAATAAATGCTAAGGCTTGTTTATAAAGGCCAATAGCAAAGATATACAGTAGAAACACATTACTTGAATTTACACTGATTTTATTTAGTTCCTGAAAGGAATATACTATCTATGAAATATAGAAGTTTAAAATTTAAAGGACAGTATATATGAAGTAATTCATAATATAGTTGGTAAAAATTGTTTGATAGAATATTTATTATTTTGAAATAATTGATTGCAGGTTCTTCATTGTTTGATACATGTATTGTTAGAATGAAATCTTGCCTTGTTTCTCGCATAGTGTTAACATACTGTAAGGTACTATACCTTAAAGGGTATTCTTGAAAACCTAAGTCTTTGTAACAGTGACAGTAGTCATCCCAATTTCCGATTATAACCACTGTTCCATTTTTATAGTGGTTATAATCTTAAATCCAGTACAAATCGACATCTACAGTATGATTCACATATTTCTGGCAAATTTGATAATCTCTAGAACAATGTGATTGCTGGATTTAACATTGAATTCAATTTTCCTAAGGTATGATTTTTAAAAAGTACTTAGATGGCTTGCTAGTGACTAATTATTAATAGCCTTTCTCTTGGAACTGAATTCCATAATAGGAAGTAAATATTCTTATTTATCTGTAAGATAAAATATAATCCCCTGTTATAAAGACTCATTGTATTCACTTTATACTCTACTTACTTTCAAAAATTCATGTTAATTCCTTAAGATAGGAATGAAATATTCCTTTTTTTAACTTCTATCCTAAAATACTCAGTTTAACATTAAATGTATTATGGGAAATCTTTAATGCATTAAGCTTTCATGTAGGCTTATTAACTTGATGAAGTTGTGGTATCAATATTGTAAAATCATAGTACCTAAGAAATGGAAGATGGTTTTAGAATCATTCACCCTCTTAAGAACAAGGAAGGTGTCTTAATCATTTCTGCATTCCTAATTTATAAGATAGTGTGTGGCATTTATTTCTTAACCTAATATATGTTTGTTAAAGTAATATATAAGTTAACATGTAAAATCTATGCCTCTCAATTTAAAGCACAAACTCCTAAGGATTTAATGGTTATATAGTTCGAAATAACTGGCTAATTACAAAAGTATGACTAAGAACTGTAGATTCCTTAAATCTAGTGTTCTCTTCATGATAGACTACTATCATGCTAGAGTTTTTTTAGTCAAATGTATAAAAGTAATGACAAAAGTGAAATGAATGATGCACAGTGCACACACACATATACACAGAAACATAGGGTGTTGGGTACTATAAATTTTTTTGAATGTTTTGTTTTGATTGTAAATTTTAAACTGTAGGAATCTATGGTTTTATGTAACAATTGTAATATAAAAGATTTGTAATTAAGTCCTAAGTGTTTCATATATAAATGTAAATGCTAAAAAATATCACATCCACTTTCTTAATTATAAAACATTTAAGGGATAGACTAATTTTTTCACTTTCTACAGTACTTATTCCTTTATAGTTCCAGGTTAGAGTTTATCCTGGCTTTGTACTTACATGAGATTTGAAAGGTAGAGGATATACAGAAGCCATTATTGTCAAGCATTAGTTGTTGGCTAGCAGATGGGCAGATATAAAAGTCTTAGTGGCTCCTGGGCAAACTCCTGTTAATTGGCCACCCTGATGCTGTAGGTGGTACAGGTAATTGCTGGCAGATTTCCATAGACTCCTGACATTCACAGCAGCTTTCTAGTGTCCATTTTGAGAACCCTTGTCTTTGCATCTTCAGGCTAAGATCATCAGCATTAACTTTCTTGGCCTTTATTCCTGTCGCCCATTCAACTGTTATGTAGCTTCTGGTTCCTGAATTAAAACCCTTCCTACCTGGAAAACCTAGACTAACTTCTGTTTTCGTTAGTGAACCTAATTGGTAGATTGGCAGACTGTGTTCCAAATATGAGGGGAAAAGGGATTCTGTGACCCGGGGGAGATATTAGAGAAGAGTGCTGATTTTGCCAGGTTGGGTCATTCTACTGTATCCTTTATCTGCTCTTGCTTTTGGGCTAAGAAACCATTGACTAAGAAATTCACAACTGAACTGTTGAATCTTAGTCATCTTTAACTTCAGCTGACTTCACTCTTTCATTGTCTCCTGTTCATGTCCTGGCAAAATCCCCATAATAGTTTTCTAAACCTTTTCTGTTATCTTCAGGATTCTAATCCTATTGCTTTTCATGATTAATAGTTGATATTATCTAAGTTTATTCCAGAGAAAAGGTTAGTGTGAATATTTTGTTAACAGGGTATCATGTCTTATTGCAAGGTTCACTAGGTTTTACCAGTGTTAGAAGGGTAAGTTGAGAAGGTAATAAGCAGTTTCTTCCTCTGAGACTATAAGGAAATATGAGGGGTCAGATGTGGAGACTTAGTAGAATAATATCACCAAGCTGTTCTTAATCTAAATGAAGATGGAATAAAAATAGCAGTTTTTTCTGATTTCTAGGATTTTTGTAATGAATAAATCATTATTATTTGTCTATTTTTATTGCTTATCTCAAGTTAGATCAATAAAAAAGGGTTGGAGACATGATGATAAAATGAAAATTTAGGTGAACCAATACTAGGAATGATCTAGAAGATGATGAATGAAAAATGATTTTTAAGAGCCAGCACTTAATTTTAGTCAGAAAGTATTCAACTCTTGAGCCAAATCAGTTTGGCTTCATTACATTTTCAGGTAACTTTCATATCAGCATGTTAGGTATAGAGAAGATGGAGGAAATATTTTTCTAAGCTGCTGAATAATAGTTGGTGGGTAGTGGAAGTGTACGTAGCAAACCAAGCAAGGAAATTAGAATAAATGCTAGTTTATAGCAGTGGAATATCATATTATCTAATTTTCAAGCATAAGCATATTCCAGATATAGTGTTGCAGGCACTTAATAACCACAACAAAGTACTTATTTGAACTGAATATAATGAATACTACTAAAACCATTGTTACGCTATGCCTTTAAAATGAAATTTTAAAAAGGCAAAAGGACTACTTAGTTATCCATCAACCTGCCAGCAAATCAATGAAATGTAAAATTGATAAACTTTTGCTCTTCTCATTGTTCTTTTCCTTTGGTTACTTAGGAAAAGAAGCCCATCTGTGTCCAGAGATCAGAATAGAAGATACGACCAAAGGGAAGAAAGAGAGGAATATTCACAGTATGCTACTTCGGATACCGCAATGCCTAGATCTCCATCAGATTATGCTGATAGGCGATCTCAACATGAACCTCAGTTTTATGAAGACTCTGATCATTTAAGTTATAGGGACTCCAACAGGAGAAGTCATAGGCATTCCAAAGAATATATTGTAGATGATGAGGATGTGGAAAGCAGAGATGAATACGAAAGGCAAAGGAGAGAGGAAGAGTACCAGTCACGCTACCGAAGTGATCCGAATTTGGCCCGTTATCCAGTAAAGCCACAACCCTATGAAGAACAAATGCGGATCCATGCTGAAGTGTCCCGAGCACGGCATGAGAGAAGGCATAGTGATGTTTCTTTGGCAAATGCTGATCTGGAAGATTCCAGGATTTCTATGCTAAGGATGGATCGACCATCAAGGCAAAGATCTATATCAGAACGTAGAGCTGCCATGGAAAATCAGCGATCTTATTCAATGGAAAGAACTCGAGAGGCTCAGGGACCAAGTTCTTATGCACAAAGGACCACAAACCATAGTCCTCCTACCCCCAGGAGGAGTCCACTACCCATAGATAGACCAGACTTGAGGCGTACTGACTCACTACGGAAACAGCACCACTTAGATCCTAGCTCTGCTGTAAGAAAAACAAAACGGGAAAAAATGGAAACAATGTTAAGGAATGATTCTCTCAGTTCAGACCAGTCAGAGTCAGTGAGACCTCCACCACCAAAGCCTCATAAATCAAAGAAAGGCGGTAAAATGCGCCAGATTTCGTTGAGCAGTTCAGAGGAGGAATTGGCTTCCACGCCTGAATATACAAGTTGTGATGATGTTGAGATTGAAAGTGAGAGTGTAAGTGAAAAAGGTAAGCTTTCTAATCATACATTTTGCTGTAATTGATTAGATAAGCGTTTTTTTTAATAGATTGCATTTCTGAGTGAAAATTTAATAGGTATTACTAGTAGCTTTATTTTAAAAGTCTTTTAATGGCATCGAACGTGTGAAGAAAATTTCGTGTTATAAAAAGTATCTTCTGTTGTTCATGTATAAGAACGACAGAATGATGTTCTATTGATTTTTAAAAATTGCCTTCTTGCTTTGTTTCTGAAAGTTTTCTTGTATCATTTGACAGCATATTTCAAAAATATCCATTAACTGTAGTTTTTAAAATAACATTTATTTTTTGTCTCCTTATAAAAGTAACAATATATTCACTATAAAACATCTGAAAAAGTCCTCAAAGCATAAAGAATGAAATGCAAGTTATCCATATTTCTTCCCCCAGATATAACCATTGTTAACCTTTTATTGTATTTTCTTTCTTTTTTTTCCTATGCATGTATGGTTTATAGATTTATAAAATTGATATCATGCTATATATAATTTTGTATACTGATGCTTTCAATTGTTATCACATCATAAATGATTTTTTTCAAGCCATTAGATGTTCTTTAGTAATACGTTTTAAATAGCTACACTAATATTCTATCATAAGATTATACCACAACTAAATATTTCTTTATTTGGGGCATTGCTGTGGCTTCCATTTGCCAATGTAAAAATTATAATGGTTATCTTTATACATACTTTTTGCCTACATCTCTTGAGTATTTCAAAAATATATATTTGTACTTTGGATTATTTTAAGCTTTAATTCAGATTACCAAATTGCTTTCCAAAAAGGTTGTAACATGCTTTACTCTTATCAGATGTACTTGAGTTTTCAGTCTCAATTCACCAAATCTTTGCCAATTGAATAGCCACAAAAATGCTCTCTTTGTCATTTTAATTTGAATTTGATTGTAAAGTTGAATGTTTTATATGTTTATCTGCATTTGATATCTTCTGTGAATTATCTGTTCATTCCTTTAATTCCTTCTGCCCATCTTTCTCTGGGTATTAGTTTTTCTATTATTGATTTATAAGCACTTTTTATATAGTTAGGATTTTACCCCATTTAACTATTATTTGCCAAATACATTTCTCATTTTAATGTTTATCTAGTATTTTAATTTGTTTATTTGAAACTGTTGAATTTAATGTATCTAAACCTTTGTATTTGGTGATTTTTTTCCATTATTTTCATCTTTAAAAGCTCTTTATTCGCTTCCAAATCAATTAAGTATTTAACTGTATATTATCTCATTTTTAAATTATTTTTAACCATTAACTTTTTTAACATTCTGGAATTTATTTTGGTGTATGACAAAAATATACCAGATGGATGAGTATCATACCAACCTCCTACCCCCAATTTCCTTATACTATTTGATGAATAGTCCATTTTTTGTTTATCGAATCAACAGGAATCACTAAGGGAATTCAAGAAAGGAGCTAGGTATGAAATGATTATGGAATCATTTTATACTGTACCAAAATAATTAGTTAGAACACATTAATTGTTTCCATTCTGAATTAAAAATAAAAAATGTGATATAAAAATAACTAACAAGAAATGAGGGGCCCACAGGAAGAGCCATAAAATTTTACTGAGTAACATAAGGAAGATGTGAGTAGCGGTTCATTTCATGTTCCTAATTAGGAAGGCTAAGTAGTATAAAGATGCAAGCTCTTTGCAGATAATCTCTTGGAGTTAATAACATTCTAGACATAATACCAGTTGGACCCTTGAAGTATTTTATTTCTAAAGTTAGTCTGGAAGAAACAACACTTGTAAGAATAATTAAGAGTAGTGAGGGAGAACTCACTTGACCAGATAGTATAAAATGACAATAATTGAAAATGTGATACTGATAGAAAATTTGGACATATCGGTGAAATTCTAATATAATATATTAAAACTAATAAATGATAAAATATAAAATGCACAACAATCCAAGTGGGGAGAGATAAACTATTCAACAAATAGGGTTGGGGAAATGCATATGAAGTTTTAAAAAATCACATTAGGGATATTTCATATTTGTTGCATTCAAATGATAAATACTAAGAAAAACTTGCTTATTAAAATATAGTTATCTATAAAGAGCAACTATCGATCTTAATTATTTTTTTTATGGAGTATATAGAGATTTTATTTTCCCTAAGCTGTAGTACTTCCTTAAGTATATTTAATAATCTTTAGTTTGGTCATTTTTCACATTTGCCAGAGTATATCATGATACTAAAAAATAAGAAAAAAGATAGTTTTGTTATCTTTGGTGGTTTGGTTTAGATTCTATCTGGTAGGTATTTCTATTATCCTTTGCTAAAGTAATGCCTTCACTTGTACCACATAAAAATGTAAAAAACTCAGAAATGTATCAATTCAGTGCTTGAAAGCTTTTTTATATGTGATATCTTTATTTTAGTATTCTGAAGTATCCACTTATAAAAGTCTCATATAAGTAAAAAGGTATATATGAGTTAAATTAAAATCCTATTTGAAACAAATTAGCAAAACTAAAACATTTATCAAATATAGAAAAAAATGGCTTTCACTTTTTTTTATTCCAAAACTTGAACTTCTAATAGACGCTCTTGAAGATAGGCCTCTGTCTCATTTATTTAATCATTTGTTTCACAGAGGACAGTTTCTGCCAACATGTATTTGGCAGAAAACTACACTTTAATTTGAATTTGGAAGAATAAACTTGAATGAAGTAATCTTTTTTCTGTTTGATATTTCCCCCAATAATTGAATTCAGTGAGGATAAATTGTAGCTGTTGAGACACTGGGATATTATGGGAAAGAGATTGAGTTATGTCTTGACTTTTCATCATTATAGTAGCATTTTTTTATTATTTGTGGAAAATTGGCAATTTGATTTGGGAATAAATTACCTTTAGAAGTATCTAACATTGTGATTCATCTTTGATAGTTAACTAATGTTAGAAAATTCTTCCTAATAGTTAAAGAAATTTTGTTAGTGAATTTTAAACATGTTTTTCTGTATTTTTATATGGAGTGACATCATTCTGAGAACAAACCAACTTTTAAAAAATAATCATCACTTTGCTTTATTATCCCTACACTAAATAACTCCAAAGAATGTGTTTTACAACTCAGATCTCTTTCTCCTTGTCTTTACTTTTCTGTTTTTTTCAATTTTGTGCATAATCTTTCAAAAATATGCAAGGCAAATTTGCATCAAGTTATCTAATTTTAAAATGTTAACCAACACTTTATAAATAGCACCAGGGAACATTATCATTGCAGAATAATTTTTTTTCGAGGTCCTAGTACATCATAGCTTCTACTACGTAGCAGAATCTTTCCTGGTCTATAAATAATAAAATTCCTTGGAAATTGGTAGCGAGTTTATAATTTACTCTACCTAATTTTTTTTTCTCTGCTGTCCTTTTGGATATTCTGTTTCTTTTCTTCTTCTATCTTTAGCCTTATTGGTGTGTTAGTGACTTTGGCTCGTCTCTTACTTGTCACTTCGGATGGATTTCATTATTTTAAATATACAGAGTTTCACTCAAATTTATAATAGATGTCATTTCATTCAGTATGTTCTGTTAAATGATGCTGCTAATTACAATGACTGGGCCATTGTTTGTGTAACAAAAACAGAGAGGTTTCATGGGAAGAGTATCAGTTTTGGAGTAAAAGAGGATGATCAAACCCTGGTTCTGTCCTTCACTATGTGATTTTGTTCTACCTTTTTAACCACTCTAGGTCTGTTTCTTTACCTATAAATCTGTAAATCAGGATAATAGTATCTTTATTGTTCAGTCATTGTAAGGATCAAATGAGACTGTGTATACACAATACTCATCATACAGTATTCAAATCATTTTTGGATTACTTAATGTTCTGTGATAGTTAAGACTTCTATAGGACAACTCTCAAGAGCTTTGAATGAAAGTATAATTGTGGTCATACGGATGTGGTCATTTGTGTTGGTTTCACCTCTTCCAAGATCTGTCCTAAACTGAATGAAGCTTGTTTTCAGGGTGGAAAGAGTATGCTTAACTTGTTGAGATGTAATTTTGAGATGTAATTCAGTGTCTCACTGAATACTGAACACCAATTTACTCATTTTTCTGCCAAGAACTCTTTCAGTGCCTATAATTTGCAAGGTGTTGGATTGGATCCAGTGGAAAATGTAGAAATGATTTACACATTTTTTCTATTCTGGAAATTGAAAATCTAAAATAACTAGCAATATAAGGCAATTGTACTAAACAGGTACCGTAGGACTTCAGAGGAAAGAAGCATTAGTTGTATTTACTGATTTTTGCGCACTCTGTATGTCTTGTAACACTTTTCTTTTACTCAGTGTGATATAGTTTGCTTTTTATAACACTAAATTGATCGCTTTCCCATACTTTCTGTTCGGTTAGGAAATTGCAAATTGATTTTTTTTCTTTTTCGTTTTTTGTGTGTTTGTTTTTTGCCTTTGGGCTATAGAAGGAGGTAAGTCTTAGATTGCTAATGTCATAGTATTTCTGAATTTAAATATTTTGAACATTCTTCTCAAAGTTTAAAATATATTTTTTCATAGCCTTAAAAAGTAATATTGGATTTGTAATTTGATCTATTATTTTCTTATTGAGTAGTCTATAGCAGGTTTCTCAACCTCAGCACTATTAACATTTGAGGCTGGATAATTGTTGTGTTGCACTATCTCATGCTTTGTAAGGTATTTAACAGCATCCCTGGCCTCTACCTACTAGATGCCAGTAGCACCCCTAATCACAGTTGTGACAGCCAGAAATATCCCCAGACATTACAAAATATCTCTTGTGGGGCAAAGTTCACCATCTCCAACTCTCGTCCTCATCCTTATCCACTTCATTGGGTCTCCTCCCCACTTCACTTTCAGAACCAATTGAGAGGATCATAACCATCATTTTTTTAAAAAGAGTAGACTAGAATAGAGTAGAAAACATCAAAGTCAAGTTCACAGAGTAAGGGTAATTGTGTTTGGTAAATTTTTGTTTTGTTATAATGTAAAATATATATTTCTTTCTGTAGATTATGGCCAAAAATGTTTTAAAGTTACTCACTTATATTAGAAGTTTGTGACTTACTTGATGCTCGTGTTTCACGTTTAGACCAAGAGAAAGGTCTAGAAATTGGTTTCAGTGGCGAATTAATATCTTGTATAATAGATTCTGAACTTTTCATTAGATATATTTTAATCTTAATATTATAATCCAGTGAAATTTTTCACTTTAATTAAATAGCCATGTTGTCAACCATTTGCCCAACTGCACAAAAGATGCCCCATTTGATCTTCTTTAAGTTGAGGTCTGTTGTGGAGAGTTTTAGTTTCTTCTGTGTCTCATGGCCTAATCTGACTATTTTTACCTGGTAGTTGCAGGCCTTTTTTTGTTTCTGTATAAAATTTTGTGTAAAAAGTGGCCTAGCAAATGTAAGAATACATGTGTTTAGTTTTCTAGCTATAAATTATGAAATGTTTGAATCAATTCTTACAGTTTTGAAATTAGCACAACACACTTTTACTTACTTTGTAAGATGAGAGGGTGAATGGAAATGGTGGTGGATTAATTTGTAGAGAAGACCTAGCATAGGAGGAAGGAAAAATAGACTACACCTTTCAGATAGAAGCGTTATCCTTTAAGCTTTTAAAACAAACCCAAAAGATGTCGGCTTTGTATTTGTCTGAGTTTAGATGTTGTAAGTATCATTAGTGAAATTTACTGACTTACATAATCTCATAATTTTTTATAATTTTTAAGTAATGAATTTATGTGTTTGTAAAGAAGATAGGCTGTTGAAGACAATATACATTAGCAGTGTGAGGAAAATATTAATTTATGGTATTTCAGACCAATTAAACATCTAAGGAATTCTAAACCAATTGGACTCAAAAATTTTTAGGACAAATTCTAATAATAAGAATATGTTAAAAATTCTTAGCTAGATAACAATTTTTTTTTTTTAATTTGAGACAGGGTCTCACTCTGTTATCCAGGCTGGAGTGCAGTGGCTAATCATAGCTCACTGCAGTCTTGACCTCTTGGGCTCAAGAAATCCTTCTGTCTCAGCTCCCCAAGTAGCTGGGACCACAGGCTTTCACCACCGAGCCCAGCTAATTTTTTTTATTTTTATTAGAGATGAGGTCTTACTATGTTGCGCAGGCTGGTCTTGAACACCTGGGCTCCAGCAATCCTCCTGCCTCAGCCTCCCAAAGTGCTGGGACTACAGTTGTGAGCCACCACTCCTGACTTGTAATAAAATTTACTAAGACTTTCACAAGTAAAAGTTTTTAAAAGTCAAAGATTGATTATTCTCTTATGTATTCACTCCACCTATCGGTAAAATAATCTTATGCTAAATAATTATTCCAATTTTAATGTGAGTCTTAGGACTTTACCCTTGAATAAAAAGGACTCAATCACATTGATGTTACATGGATATAATAAATTCCTTTGTTGCTATATTAGGCATCATTATAACTCCTGACCTCAGGTAATTGGCCTGCCTTGGCCTCCTGAAGTGCTGGGATTATAGCCATGAGCCACTGCACCTGGCCCAAATTTTAATTGAAAGTGAAGGCTGTTATGTTGGATTGGAATTCAGTAGAGGATGCCTAGATTTTAATATTTAGTAAAGCTTTAAACATTTGATGATTAAATTTGTTCAATGGATAGAAAAATGTATACTTTTGTGGAGGATATATTATTATTATATTATTATTATTAATTGATGAGAGACATAAAAGAGCAAATGTCCTAATGGTATTACAAATGGTGTATAGGGCATTTATAATTGACCTGAAAAAGCATTGAAATAGCAGATAAGTTGGGTTTAAGACTAATTCAATATTTCAAGAGGGATAGAGTAGATTCATTCATTCATTTATTCATTATTTCTTTCAGCTAAAATATATCAAATGTCAATAATATGTAATACTAGAGTATGAAACATGAAATAAGATAGCATTTTTTCTTGCTCTAGAATTCCAGCTTTGGGGTACAGGAGTAAAATCTTGGACTGTAAATTTAACTGCATATATGGTAGTTGCTTCATCCTAGAAAATTGTATCTGGGGTAGGCTTTTATTTTTGTTAGCCTGTGCTAGAAATATTACACAAGTGAAAGGATTTTAGAGTCAGTTTAGCAGCAAAACAACTTGACTTCTTATTTAAGCCTCAACCTTTTGGGTATACAATGTACTTTTACTGCATGTGGGAGATTATCCATTTATTAGGAAGTGTCACTTGAGAAAATGATCAAATAATGCAGTTTAGATCAGGGATAGATAAACTATGGTTTGTGGGCACAATTCAGCCCATCACTTTTCTGTATATCTCTTGTTTTTGAACTTGGAATGTTTTTTACATTTTTGAATGGTTAAAAAAACTTAAATATTTTGTGATATGAAAATCACATGAAATTTAAATTTTAGTTTATGTAAACTAAATTTTATTTAAACACAGCCAACCCAGTCATTTATGTATTGCCTATCGGTTCTTTCATTGATACTTTTTTTATGACAGAGTTGAGTAGTTGAGACAGATTACATGTTGTGCTCTCATTGCTTTGCAGTGCTGCTCAGCAACTACAAATTACAGTGACTTGTTTGTAACTCCACAGTGTTTTGAGTAGCATGCACACAGCCATGCTGTGGCATTTCATTAATTTTTTATTAACTGTGCACACATTATGTCATGTCAAGAAAGGATAAGGAAAGCGGACTTTGAATGTTACAGCTTTAAGGCACCATGGAATGTGGATCACATGTTACCAGATTAAACACCCATCACAGTATTATCAACTCACAGGAAAGCAAAGTCCAGAAAAATTTGAAAATTTAAGTCACCAGATTTGGTAACTTTTCTTAATGAACTTAACCCAAAATTGTGAGACAAAAAAATAACTATTTTAAGAGAAACTTATACTGTGGTAAAGTTATTTCAACAATTAATGTTTGAATCTTAACTAATGTCAAGCTGTTTTATATACTTTACTTGGTGTCAAAAGTTAAAACAAAATAGCAAGATCTCTGTCCCTGCAGAATTTTGCAGTAGAAATATCTTCTAAGGTCAAAGTACAGTTCCAGCAATGTTTCTCAGACTTCAATGTGAATACAAAGAAACCTCCGTATTTCAAAATTTGTTTAATTGTGCAGTTGAGGACCTTCAACTAGAAATGACTAATCTGCAGTATAATAAAATGCCAAGCTTTTAGTAGAAGAATCTAGTAAAAACCTAGAAATGTATTAAAAGGGATAAATATGCATAATTAGATTATATGTTTATCAATCGATATCAGTGTTTGGCAGTACCTATCTGTATGAAAAGAAAATTTTTGAAGATCAAATACCTCTTATTACAGATCAGTGGTAGCAGATGAAATTTCAATGATAGGAAACACTAACATTGAACCCTAATTAAGTGAAATGTTATCCCCAAAATGTATAGGTCTATATTTCAAAAATTATAGTCAATTATTATTTTATATTTTAAGTTTCATCAATAAAAATTGTGGAAGTTTGTCTTCATTGTTGTTACTTAAGACCTACATAATAGCTTCAATTTTGCTCTTTTGCTTCTAAAATATTTGCTATCTGGCTCTTTAGAGAAAAAGTTTGCCAGTCCCTGGATTACAGTACAGTATGCATTGTTCATTTTCGATAAAGTTATCTTGAGATCAGTTGATATTTTCTAAAAATGAGAAAATAATCATTAATACTTTTTTAACTTTGAAAAACTAAAAAAATTAAGTTTTAAAAATTAAATATTGTTATAATTATGCTTATAATTTTTCTGCTGGACATTTATTTTCTTCAGAATTTAAATTACTTTGCTTCACTTTTTAAGCAATACAATTTATTATAGGAAATAAAATTATGTGTACTTACTGAGTTCTTATTTTCCTGTAATTCTTTGACAAGGTTTTTTTTTTTTTTCATTTTTGAACATATTTTTAATAGCTGCTTTAAAATCTTTGTCTGCTAAATCCAACCTCTGTTCCACTGAGAGTCCGTATCTTAGCTCAGGCTACTATACCAAATTACCATAGACTGGATAGCTTAAAAAGCAGATGTTTATTTTTTACGGTTCTGGAGGTTGGGAAGTTTGAGATTAAGGTGCTGGCAGATTCAGTGTCTAGTGGGGGCCCTCTTTCCAAGTTGCAAATAGCTCTTTTTGCTGTATCCTTACATGATGTGGGAGAGATAATCTCTCTTGTGTTTCTTCTTATAAAGGTACTAATTCCATCATGAAGACTCCACTCTCATGACTTCCCAAAAGCTTCACCTCAAAAACTATTGTATTGGGGATTAAGGCTTCAACACATGAATTTGGCAGGAGGGGCATGCAGACATTTAGTCCGTGGCAGTCAGTTTCTTTGAATGATTTTTTTCCTAGTTATGAGTAATGTTTCCCTATTTCTTTGAATGTCTTATAATTTTTGGTTGAAAATTGGGCATTTTAAGTGATGATCATGTAATAACTCTGGATTCTTACAGATTTTCCTGAGGATTATGTTTTCTTTTTTCTTTTCCTTTTTATAGTAACTTTCTTGGACTTAAAATGTAGAATTTGTCTCCCTGTGGTATGTGTCCCTCTGAAGTCTCTACTCTTTGGGTCACGATCCTAATTGTTAGCCAAAGATTTGGGTAGAAGTTGTGCTCAAATATCTTGAATTTGAAAGCCTCCACCTTATGCCATTTAATGTTTGTGTGGTATACAGACACATTTAAAGTTCAGCCAGTTCTCAACCCTTGGGTTTTACTTTCTACCGTGCTCTCTCAGGATCTCCCCTGTGTCTAAGAAGTGGTATAATTTCTTAGCCTGATATATGTGGAGAGTGTATTTAGCTTTTCTGAGGGTCTCTTATTTCCATGGTCTTCCTGTCAAATTTCTGACTGGTCTGCTTCACCCTTTGTTGGACCACGCCTTAGGCTAGAAAAATTGCTGGTTTTCTATTTCTTACTGGGTTTGCCTCTTTTAGCTGACAAAACCTTGGGTTTTCAGCTCCACCCCAAATCAAGTTTATGTCTTCTGGTAGCAAAAAAGCTGCTGGTTTTCCCAGCCATCCTCACGCTGATAGATTTATTGATCCTTTCAGTAGACCCGTCCTGTGTATGTACTCTGGTAGAAGAAAGTTATGGAAGCAACGCTAGGTAAGAAGGTAACATATATCTGTTGTTATTATCTGAAGCTCTAGAAGTTTTTCTCAATTTGATATCTGCTTTTGTTTGGTTTCCACAGCCATACAATTGTTGTGACCAATTTTTCAAGACTTATACTTGATTTTTGTGAAGAGAAATAGTCAACACTTTGTGCCACTATCTAGAAGTACCACCTTTTGCATGATTTTGTGAGTTTGGAATTCAGGCAAGGTTCAGCTGTGTAGTTTTTCTTCTTCAAATGATGCTATAGAGGTTAACACTGGTGGAATTTAGCTGGTGGTATGAGCTCATCTAGAGGGTCCAAAATGACTTATTTTGCACATCTGGCACCTTAGCAGGGATGATTAGATGGGATTCTGAACCAGTGCACCTACTTTTGGTCTAACATAGCAGTTTCCCTATAAGGACTTCTTATATGATGGCTCAGGGCTCACAGAGATATAATTCTGAGACGCCACTTATTCTGTCCTAGCTTTGGACTCATGTGGCATCACTCCTACAATATTCTATTTGGTATTAAAAAACAGTCACAGAAAATACAAGGAGAGGGGTCCACAGAAGGGCATGGATACTGGGAGACATGGTTTGTTCAAGGACCATCCAAAGAGCCCCGTTACCCAAAGGGCTTTAAAGCATGATACATACATCTTTTTTTCCCCTTATTCCCATGGATATTTTCACAAACCACTTCTCCAGACATCCTTTTCTTCAATCTTGTGAATTTTTTTCCCTTGTTGGCCTATTAATTAGCCAAGCCATTTGCCCTGCCTATGTGTTTGTATATATTCTTACTTCATGGCACCTTCTTTTTCTACACAAAGTGGATGGCCATCTGAAGCCCTGGCCTATTTTCTTCATTGCTTTCTTTCAGGGCCACTCTTGAATAGGGCTGTGGTACAGCACCAGTCTACTTTTGGCTTTCATACACATGCTGAGCTATCCCATCAGTGAACCAGGCATGATGTTTGTCCTCCTTTGTCAGGTAGCCATAAGTGGCCCCTCATGTGGCCATAGATGTGAGCTGAGGGAGAGATGCCAATACAATATTAGTAGATGGCATGGAAGTCTGCGTTACCTTCATATGCATTTTACTCATGCCCTCTGGTCCTACTGATGCTCAAATATGGATCACTACATCTGTCTTATAATGAATCATTGTTTGGCTTGTCCAACCTTTCAGTTTGCAGACCTAGCAGACCCTAGCTTATGAGGGGCACTTCTAGCTGTTTGGTCATTGATGATTTATGACTAGATCTTTGCCCTCCACCAGGGCTAAGAGCATACCAAGAAGTAGTATATAGGTTTCCACTGCAGACTACATGGCCTTGTTCCAGAACAAGTGTGTACATTGTGATTCTCCTAGTGAGACTTGCCATAAATTGTATATGGCTTCTTTTCCCACCATAGATGCTTTTAATACCATATAGTTTGTTATATCATGTGGCCCAAGTGGCAGGGTTGGACTTTATCTAAAGCGTCTTTCTGCTCTGGGTTCTATTTTGAGCTGGAAGCCTTCTGTATTCTTGGCAATTGAGTCCAATCAATATTGCATAGTGTGGAATATGCTGCCTTCAGAATCCAAAGAGATGACCTACCACGCGTTGTGCTTCCTTCTCATTGGTGGTAGGTACAAGAGGTAATAATTTGTCCTTTGTCTCAGAGGGGATGATCTGACCATTCCCATGACCACTAGGTCTCTAAAAATTTCTCTGGTGTTACAGGCCTCTGAATCTTTGTAGGATTTACCTTCTACCCTCTAAAGAGTATATGACTAAACAAGACTTCAAATATAATTACTACTTCTTTCTCACCATATAGTGGACCAATATGATGTCCTGTGGAATGTCCCTATGGTCTCAGTCTTTTTGGACTGTATTATGATAGAAGGCAGGAGAATTAGCATAACCCTGGAAAGAACTATCAGTATGTCCTTTTGTCCATCCCAGGGGTATGTGATAGTTCTGGTCCTTCTTGATAGGAATGGAAAAAAACATATTTACCAGTTCAGTGTCTGCATATCATGTACTTGGGGCAGTATTAATTATTTAGGGAAGATGCAACATCTGGCATGTTAACCTGAGATGGGGCTACTACTTGATTGAGTTTATAGTAGTCCACTGTCATTTTTTAGGATGTATCAATGCACCTGCTTTTTTAGAGGGCAGACTGTTGAATTAAAAAAAGGAATATAATGTAGGCCATCACCTTTGTGCCCTTATTTTTTATGTAATTTTCACCAGTGGGAGATGGAATTTTCAGAGGCTTAGGCTTGACTTTCCCCATTATGGTAGTTCTTTTTGTTTGTTTTTATTTTTTTTTATTATTATACTTTAAGTTCTAGGGTACGTGTGCACAATGTGCAGGTTTGTTACATATGTATACATGTGCCATGTTGGTGTGCTGCACCCATGAACTCGTCATTTACATTAGGTATATCTCCTAATGCTATCCCTCCCCACTCCCCCCACCCCACAACAGGCCCCAGTGTGTGATGTTCCCCTTCCTGTCCAAGTGTTCTCATTCTTCATTTCCTACCTATGAGTGAGAACATGCAGGGTTTGGTTTTTTATCCTTGTGATAGTTTGCTGAGAATGGTGGTTTCCAGCTTCATCCATGTCCCTACAAAGGACATGAACTCATCAATTTTTATGGCTGCATAGTATTCCATGGTGTATATGTGCCACATTTTCTTAAACCAGTCTATCATTGTTGGACATTTGGGTTGGTTCCAACTCTTTGCTATTGTGAATAATGCCGCAATAAACATATGTGTGCATGTGTCTTTATAGCAGCATGATTTATAGTCCTTTGGGTATATACCCAGTAATGGGATGGCTGGGTCAAATGGTATTTCTAGTTCTAGATCCCTGAGGAATCGCCACACTGTCTTCCACAATGGTTGAACTAGTTTACAGTCCTACCAACAGTGTAAAAGTGTCCCTATTTCTCCACATCCTCTCCAGCACCTGTTGTTTCCTGACTTTTTAAATGATCGCCATTCTAACTGGCATGAGATGGTATCTCATTGTGGTTTTGATTTGCATTTCTCTGATGGCCAGTGATGATGAGCATTTTTTCATGTGTCTGTTGGTTGCATAAATGTCTTCTTTTGAAAAGTGTCTTTTCATATCCTTTGCCCACTTGTTGATGGGGTGGTTTTTTTCTTGTAAATTTGTTTGAGTTCTTTGTAGATTCTGGATATTAGCCCTTTGTCGTATGGGTAGATTGCAAAAATTTTCTCCCATTCTGTAGGTTGCCTGTTCACTCTGATGGTAGTTTCTTTTGCTGTGCAGAAGCTCTTTAGTTTAATTAGATCCTATTTGTCAATTTTGGCTTTTGTTGCCATTGCTTTTGGTGTTTTAGACATGAAGTCCTTGCCCATGCCTATGTCCTGAATGGTATTACCTAGGTTTTCTTCTAGGGTTTTTATGGTTTTAGGTCTAACATTTAAGTCTTTAATCCATCTTGAATTAATTTTTGTATAAGGTGTAAGGAAGGGATCCAGTTTCAGCTTTCTACCTATGGCTAGCAAGTTTTCCCAGCACCATTTGTTAAATAGGGAATCCTTTCCACATTTCTTGTTTTTGTCAGGTTTATCAAAGATCAGATAGTTGTAGATGTGTGGTATTATTTCTGAGGGCTCTGTTCTGTTCCATTGGTCTATATCTCTGTTTTGGTACCAGTACCATGCTGTTTTAGTTACTGTATCCTTGTAGTATAGTTTGAACTCAGGTAGCCATATCCAGCCAAACTAAGCTTCATAAGTGAAGGAGAAATAAAATCCCTTACAGACAAGCAAATGCTGAGAGATTTTGTTTGTTCGTTTGAGATAGAGTCTCACTCTTGTCTCCCAGACTGGAGTGCAATGGTGTGATCTCAGCTCACTACAGTCTCCACCTCCTGGGTTCAAGCGATTCTCCTGCCTCAGCCTCCTGAGTAGCTGGGATTACAAGTGCCCACCACCACGCCCAGCTAATTTTTGTATTTTTAGTAAAGACAGGATTTCACTGTGTTGGCCAGGCCATTATAGTAGTTCTTAATTCCACAGGCCAAGGAACTAATGTAGGGGTTATTCTGAATACCAAGTATGTCTATATGGAGACTGCTATAAATACCACTAAATGGAATCTGTGGAATTATTGAGCCTACCATGGGCCAGACTTGGGCCAGGACTCAATTTATTACTTATTTTCTATATAACCCCAATTTAAAAGTGGGGTTATGATGATACTGGGATTTTCAGTGTCACTGTCAACTAGGTACATTGTGTCCAATAGTTCTTAAAATGTGTGGGTTATTTCCTTTCCTGTGTTTACTGTTACCTGAGAAAACAGCTGAATTCACTTTCCATGATGTTAGAGTTCTTCCTCCTGGCAACTCATCCTTTCTTTCAGTCACAGGATTCCATGTCTGAAAACTGGTTTAGATCCAGAAACTATGCAAGGAGTTTTGTCTTGTTATTGGGGTGGTTTCCCTTAGCCTCCTGATTATCCATAATTTTTGTTTTGATTATATAGATTGGGCATATCTTCATTAGTTGCGCATCTGTCTTGCCCCCAGGGACGCTGTGCTCAATGATCTTCTCCTTAGCAATGTGTATCCATACTCTGTGGCTACCACTCCTACCTTGACACTCATTATAATAATGGCATACTCACTATGTATTTGATTGCTAATAGCTGTCACCTGGCCTCTATTTCAGGCTCCTCTTTATCTGATTGTTTTTGGGGAGCCCAGATAAGTAACAACATCTCTTACTGTCAGCCCTATCAGTAAGAGGAAAGCCAACACTGGTATTCTCAATGATGCTGGTGTCTGCCTCAGCAGTGTGTTTCTTATTTCTTTAGCAAATGGAGGGGCATCTGAATCCTCAGATTCAGAGGGTTCAGGGGATCTAGTTTTAGGAATTTCAAGTACATGCAGCTAAGATGTCCCCATTCCATGCCTCAGGTTTCCCTACTTTCAGGAATCTGCCCTTAGTGTGGCAAACTTGCTGACATTGAGAATTTTACTTTCTTTAGAGCATTGTTACCTTTATAATTAACACTTGGGCTTGATACTTAGCTGTTTATGCCCACTAGTTGCAGGAAATGAGACTATATGCTTCCAAAGAAATCTATATACATATTTAAATTATATATTTTACTTGTCTATCTTTCTAGAATGTGAATTTCTTAAGCTCCTATTTGTACCTGTGGAACCTAGAACAGTTTCAAATTGTGTAATTATTAAGATGAATTCTAATATATGCCATATATACAATCATTTCATCAATTACATGTTTTTAAAGAAGAATATGTTGGTAATACCAAAAGAGCAAGATTTTAAAAAATAAGCTAATTATGGATAATGTTTATCATCCTATTTCAAATTCTACTGTACTTTAGCCAGCCATGCTTTTGTATTGGAGCTTAAGACTTGGTCTAAGCACATGGGGCCTCTAGATCTACTGACATTTTGGTTTGGTTCCTATTCTAAAATCTGCTGCTTTCAGAGCTGGCAGTGAATTAAGAGCAAATTGCCAGACACTTAGCAGCTTAAAACAACAACACATGTTTATTATCTCACAGTTTCTGTTGGTTAGGAGTCTTAGCATGGCTAAGCTAGGTTTCCTACAGTTACAATCAAGTTGTCATCTGTGCTGCATTTCTATCTGGACACTTGATGCAGGGAAGAATCTGATTCCAAGTTTAATAAGATTGTTGGCAGAATTTATTTCCTTTTGACAAGAAGCTGCCATCAGCTCCCCCACATCTCCTAAAGGCTGTTAGTAGTTCCTAGAAGGTATCCACAGTTCCTAAAGGCTGCCTGCATTTCCTTTGTAACATGTGCTTTACATCATGGCTGCTTACTTCGTTAAGCCAGCAAAGAGAGTATCTAAAACAAGCTGACTAGCAAGGCAAAGTCTTATGAAACTTAACAGTGTCATGGGAGTAAGATCCCATCACCTTGCCATCCCCCTACCTTGTTTATGAGCAAGTCACAGGTCATATGACTTGTGACTCATATACAAAGCCATGAATACCATGAGGTGGGGATTATGGGCTACAATCAGTCCTCTGCACAGTGTCCAACAGTTTTCTCTGAAGCAACTCCATGGAACATAGTTTGCAAACCATTGCCTTACATAATATACCCTATATATGACCTTTTTTAGTTGGACTTTGTGTTTAATAGTTTACTAGAACATTTTCTTTGGAATGGGAAAGACTTAAGACTTATTATCAGTTTTAGTGACTATCTTATGAGAGGAAATGACCCTCCAGGAAGGCTTCAGCAATATGTCTCAAAATATAGTTCCTGGGACACTTGTCCTCTGAGAAATCTTCTGTGTTTCAATTAAGTTTGTGGAAACAATATATTATATAATCCTCTTAGTGAAGCATATTGTCGTTATTATTTGAAAAAAGTCCTACACTCAAGAAACCTATTTAATTGTACTTAAATTAGAGTTTTCCAAAGTTATTTGATTAGAGAACTTTTAAATTACTCAGTGCCCTTTAACATTTTGCAGAACCAGTATTCCATGCAATACACATTGGGAAATGCCACATGTATAACTTGACAAGTTGAAAAGGAGGACAGAATACCAAGAAGAGAAATAAAAAACATAAAAGAGTCATAGTTAAATGTTCCCTACCTAATTAGAATGAAAGTTAATATTTTTTTAAAAAATGATGATGAGATCATGAACTTGGTATGACTACACTTTGCAAAGAGCTTTCATGACTATCTTATTTAAAACTCTCAGCAATCTGTTAGATATCACAACTAATTTTTTTCAAAACCGATGAGAAAATGAGGCCCATGACTTGTACAAGTCATAAAATTGATAAGGGGTGAAGTCAGTATATTAGTATAGCTTTTCTAGCTTCAACTATAAAACTCTTTCTGTTACAACATGTTATTACTTTATAAACATGATGAAGTTGAAAATGAGGTTGTTGAAGAATGCCTTTATGTACTATGTGATTTAATTTTTAAGTATTTATTAACCCAAAGTAATGAAAAACAATGATATAAAATAGTTAATGAACTATTGTCTTAATGTAATGACTGTATGACAAAATGTTGTAAATAGAATATATGAACATTTTTTCTCTGTGTATAGAACACACATACACACATAATTAGGTTTGTTTGTATTTTACAATAGAAGTAAGTGAAGGGGAAATTTTAGTCAAAGGTTCAAATTTTTAGATTATTTTTTGTCAGGTCCTCATATTTAAGTATGTTTAACTTGTGTTAATAGAATAACTGAATACCAGAGTTAGACAGGATTTAGTGTGCTTCTTGTGTAACTTCCTATCTGAAGCATTGACCCTTCTCTACATCGTGCTGACAAGTGATACTCTAGCCTTTTCTTTGAACACCTGTTGTGATGGGGTGGTGACAGTCTATGAAGGCAGCAAGACATTTAGATTTTTACTTTGAAGTATTTATAGATTTGTAGGAAGTTGGAAAGATAGTTCAGTGAGATCCTATATATGCTTCACCGAGTTTCCTCAGTGGTTATATCTTGCTTAGCTATAATTAAGAAACTAATACTGGAACAATGTTTTTATAGTTCTAGGACATCTTATCACATATATGGATTCATATAACCACCACTTCTATAAAGATGAAGAACTACTATATTACCACAAAGATTGTTCTTACGCTTCCTCTTTCTAATGACATCTTACTCCTTCTCCACCATCCCTGATGTCTGCCAACCACTAATTTGTACTTTATGTCTAGATTTTTATCATTTAGAGAATGATATATGAATGAAATCATACAGTATGTGACATTTTGAGTTTTTTTCCAATTCATATAATGCCCTTGAGGTCTATCCATGTTGTGTGTATAGTTTTTTCCTTTTTATTATAAGTAGCATTCCATGGTATAGATATACCACAACTATTAATGGATATTTTGGTTGTTTCCACTTTTTGCCTGTTATAAATGAAGATATCTTCTTTGGTGAAATTTCTGTTTATATAAAGCATTCAGCCTTTTATCATTAAGTATGATCTTAGCTGTTGGATTTTTATTGTTGTTCTATGTTAGTTTGAGCCAGTTCCCCTCAATTTTTTTTTAGAGTTTTTAAAAACCATGAATGCATTTTCTACATCAGCGCTCAATGGATAAGATCATGTAATTATTTTCCTTTAACTTTTTAATATGTGGATCACACTGATTTTCAAATATTCAACCAGTCTTGCATTCCAGGAATAAACTTCATTTGGTCATAGTGTATAATTCTTTTTACATGTCACTGGATTCTCTTTGCTAATATTTTGTTAAGGATTTCTATGTTTATAATCATGAACAATATTGGTCTACAGCTCATTTATAGTTTGTCATTTTCTTTTTTGTTTTCTGTTTGTTCCTTCTATTGTTCATTTTGTTGTTTTCTTTTCCTTGCCTTCCTACAGGTTATTTGAACTTTTTTTTTAAACATTTTGTGAATTGTGTTTTGATTGAGCTAGAATGTTTAAGTGTATTTCTTTTTGTAGGTTTTTTTGTGTGGTTGCTTTAGGTAATATATTACATGTACACAACTTATCACCTTGTATTGGTGCTGACGTTTAACTAGACTGGAATGTAGAAACCTTAAGTCATTTAAATTCCTTTATTTTCTCCCTTATCTCATAATGGACTTGTCTTAAATATTTTCTTTATATATGTTGAAAACCACATCAGACAATGTATGTTCTGCACTTTAAATATCAGAAACATAATTTAGAAAACTCAAGAGGAGAAGAAAACCCATATTTTTGTTTAGTATCTTTATTTCTTCTTGATACTTTCAGATTCCTTCTTTTTTTGTTTCTCTTTTGTTTCAAGAACTTCCTTTAGTTATTTTTTTAGGATAGATCTGCTGGTGACAGATTGTCTTTGTTTTCTTTTGCCTGAGAATGTATTTCTCATTCATTTCTGAGAGATAATTTCATCATATTTAGAATTCAGGTTGACATTTCTCTTATTTTAGCAATTGAAAAATATTGTGCCACTTCCTTTTGGCCTCTGTTTCTGATGAGGGGTTGGCTATCATTTGAATTGTTTTTCCCCTTTAGGTAAGGTGTTGCTTTTTTCTTGGAGCTTTTAAGATATTTCGTTTTTAGTTTTAGTTTGATTATGGTGTATCTTGTAACAGATATCTTTGGGTATTGTTTGTATAGGGTTTTACATAGTTTTTCAATCTGTAGGCTTATATCTTTGGCCAAATTTGGGAAATTTTCAGTCTTTATTTCTTTGAATACTTTTTTTTTTTTTAGCCCATTCACTTTCTTTTCTCCTGGACTTACAATGATATGAGTGTTAGACTTTTTGCTATAGTTTCTTAGGCCCTTGAGGCTCCGTTCATTTTCTTTTCTTTTTTTTTTTTTTCTGTAGTCTGTTTTCTGTCTGTTTTTCAGATTGGGTCATTTTTATTGTTCCATCTTCAAGTTCATTGAGTCATTCCTCTGTCCTCTCCATTCTGTGGTTGAGCCCATCAATTTGCTTTTTGTATTTCAGTAATTTTTTAGTTCTAAAATTTCCATTTGGTTCTTTATGTGCTTTCTAGTTCTTGTTCTAGAACTGGAAAGCCCAATAATACATTTTTGTACTGTTACTAAAGAAAGATATTTTATTATCTTAGTTCTGTACTATTAAGCTGCAAAAAATAAGAATATCCAGTGGAAACTATTATTAGGTCTATAATAATAGTCTTAATAGTTTTTAGGACTATTTTCTATATGAATTACCATTAATTATCTTATTCTTACAGGGACACTAATTTTACTTATTCAACAAGTGTTTAGTTAGTACTTATACATGACAGTTTTTTGTTTTGTTTTGTTTTGTTTTTGTTTTTGGAGATGAAGTCTCGTTCTGTTGTTGCCCAGGCTGGAGTGCAATGGCACTGTCTCAGCTTACTGCAACCTCCGCCTTCCGGGTTCAAATGATTCTCTTGCCTCAGCCTCCCAAGTAGCTGGGACTGGGAGCTACATGCCACCATGCCCAGCTAGTTTTCGTATTTTTATTAGAGATGGAGTTTCATCAGGTTGGCCAGGCTGGTTTCAAACTCCTGACCTCAGGTGATCCACCTGCCTCAGCCTCACTAAGTGCTGGGATTACAGGCGTGAGCCACTGCACCCAGCATATATGACAGGTTTTTTTGTCAATCAGATGTTTTTGCTTTAGTTTCAAATGGTTAAACAGCTTATGTTTTTTTATTTTCAGAGAAAAAGAATTACATTTCTGCCTTTTTGGTAGGTTGCAAGCACAGAGGGAGAAGAGAAATTTTGAGCTGAATTTTCTTACTGTCACACAAACCAGTTAAGAATTTTTATTTACAGGCTTCAGGCTTCTACTGTTTTATCTCTAGTGCACAGATTTGTCAATGCTTTGTTATGGGACAATACTGTATTTTGAAAGGGCTACAGGTTTTCTGAGACATAGATACACTTAGCTTTTTGGGCAGCCATCCAGGCATGGGCATTAAGTATCCCATGTACTGGTCATCTCCATATACTCCAGTGTGTTTTACCAATATTGTAATTATTTGTGCCATGAAAAAGCTTGGGAAGCACTTCTCTAGCCCACAGAAAGAATGGGGTTCTTTCTACAAATTGCATATTGTGTGTGTTAGGTAATAAAGCCTATTCTCTTTTATAAATTAGTTTCTTAAAAGAATTGCCTCCAGTAATTCTGAAACATCTAACCATAATCATCTGGAAGGCTTGTTAAAATATAGACTGCTAGGCCCACCAACAGTTTCTGATTCATTAAGTCTAGGGTGGCACCCAAGAATTTACAGTTCTAACATGTTCCCAGGTGTTGCTGATGATGCTATTTTGAGGAATGCAATTTGAGAACCATTCATTTACACACAACTTTTTCTACTTTTTTACTTCCCTTGGTTCTTCAGTTTCTTCAACCTGGTTTTAATTTTCATCATTCTATCCAATTGTTCTTCCTGACATCTTTTCTAATCTTCATGATTGCCAAATCCAATGCATATTTTTCACCTCCTCATCTTATTTGATAAGTAAAAATCATTCAGTATAGTTGATTTCTTCTTTGTTTTAGGAAACTCTATTTGATTTGTAGACCTCCCTCTGTCTCCCTCCTTCCTTCCTTTTTTTTCTCTGCATGCTGTTTCTGAATCTTTTCTCTTTTTTGTTTTTTCTCAAATCAAACCCTAAATGTTAGAATTCAGTTTGGATTCTCTTCATACCTTATTTTACCCTCTATTTCTAAATGATCTCACATACTCCTGTCTATATGTTAATTATTGCCAATTTATGTCTCCAGATCAAAACTTTGAATTTTTTGTTTTTTTTATTTTATTTTATTTTTATTTTTTATGTTTTTTTTTTGAGACGGAGTCGCTCTGTCGCCCAGGCTGGAGTGCAGTGGTGCGCTCCCGGCTCACTGCAAGTTCCGCCTCCCGGGTTCACGCTATTCTCCTGCCTCAGCCTCCTGAATAGCTGGGACTACATGCACCCGCCACCATGCCCGGCTAACTTTTTGTATTTTTTTTAGTAGAGACGGGGTTTCACCGTGTTAGCCAGGATGGTCTCGATCTCCTGACCTCGAGATCCGCCCGCCTCGGCCTCCCAAAGTGCTGGGATTACAGGCGTAAGCCACCGCGCCCGGCCTTTGTTTTCTTTCTTGAGACAGTCTCGCTCTGTCTCCAGGCTGGAGTGCAGTGGCGCAATCTCAGCTCACTGCAACCTCCGCCTCCCAGGTTCAAGAAATCCTCCTGCCTCAGCCTCCCGAATAGCTTGGACTACAGGCGTGCACCACCATGCCCAGCTAATTTTTTGTATTTTTAGTAGAGATGGGACTTTACCATGTTGGCCAGGATGATCTCCATCTCTTGACCTCGTGATCCGTCTGCATCAGCCTCCCAAAGTGTTGCGATTACAGGCGTGAGCCACCATGCCTGGCCAAAACTTTAAGTTTTATTACACCTTGACCAGATTCCTTCTTATATGTCCACTAGGTTCAAATAATATATCAAAAATCAACCACCATATTTAATACATTCTCAGATGTACATTTTTATCATTTTATATCCTGAAAGTTATGAATCCTATAGTCAATGGCATCATATATTTTATGAAATAGAGTAATTCCCTGTTACCCTTCCCTAACAAGAAGTGCTCTTCCTCCAGTCGTCTCCATCTCATAAATTTTTTCTTCCATTCAGTTATTAATGCCAGAAACCGGGGAGTTAACCTTGACTCTTTAGTCTTTCTTAACACTGTTATTTCTACTTCAAAAACATCTCTCAATCCCTCTTTTCTTACCATGTCTATTGCTATTATCTTTATTCAAGCCATAATTACCTTTCCCAAGGGTTATTGTAAATGTCTTTTAACTTTTGGTGTCATACAACCTAGTCTCTATATAGTACTTATATTCATCCTTTTTAAAATGTTAATCAGATTATGTCACCATTTCACTTAAAATCCTTCAGTGTTTGAAATTTAAAATCTTTAATATGAAATAGAAAGACCTACCTAAGTTGTTCTGTGCTGCCTTACCAGTTTCATTTAATACTATATTCTTCTTCATTCTTTTTGGTTCAGAAACCATGGTGTTCCTTCAGTTCTTTTATAGCACCATGTCACATCTTTCAGTTCTCATCTTAAACATTACTTGAGGGGTGTTTGCTGACCCCAAAGTCTAAATTAGATCTTATTGTATTCTTTCGTAGTGTCTTGTATTTTTCTATATGACACTGATGATCTGTTTCTCTATCCCTACTCTGTTGTAAGCATATTTCATTGTTTTACCCTTTCAAGTAGAGCTTAGCACAATACATACCAAATGGAAGGTGTTCAGTATTTTTAGAAAAATAAAATTATAAATAGAATTTTAAAAGATATATGTACATATATAGACTAAAAAATTTAAGATAAAAATATTTTATATTTTGAAATACTGAGCAAATAAGCATGTAAGTTTGGGAAATGGTGGATATACATTCTTAGTTGCCAATTACATAAATTGTCTGACAAAATTTTTTGTAATTTACTTATTATAAGAATGTGATTTCTGAAAAATGTGGAAAAATTATTTCAAAATATTAAGTGATTCATGATGTTTAAGTAAAGTTTATTTTTACTAATAGATATTGAATGAACCTGTTTTATAATTTTCATACAAATTAATCTTTTGTGAAAACAATTTTTTTAACGACACAAATTTCTTAGGAGGTTTTAGCATGATGAAGAATATCATACTGCATTTCAGAAATGACTTTTAATTATTTGGCTTTTTAAAATACTGGCTATTGCAAACCAATGTAAACTTTTTAAATGTCCCTTAATCTTTGGAGAACAAACTCATGTCTTTAGACCAGCACAGGAGTAAAAAAAATATATGGCATGAATAACAGTCATAGCTAATAGTCTTTTTCAGCATATACATTTTTTGTTTCTATTTCTGTTTATTATTTCTGTTTATTATTAGCTTTTTCTCTTTTTGCAGGACTTTTGTAGGGTCTGTCTAGAGATATAAACTTTATATTATACTTTCTATAAATTTTACTTTTTGAATATTAGCTTTCTTTTGGCATATATATAGCACTCACTATATATATATATATATAGTGAGTGCTACAGACAAAGTTCTTGAGACCAGACAGGATCACACAGTTTAAAATGTTTATAATGTCTCTGTCTGTCCCTTTTTTCACCATCTCCTTTACTGCACTCTTTTGTCTGACTCTCACAGGAGACATGGATTACAACTGGTTGGATCATACGTCTTGGCATAGCAGTGAGGCATCCCCAATGTCTTTGGTGAGACATGTGGAGCCTTACTATTTAATTTTCGTTATCATTTCACTTTTCCTTTTTTATTTACACCTTTGCATGTTTCTTTTTTGTATCTTTTTTTTTTTTTTATCCCATACCTGTAGGGGACAGTCAAAAGGGAAAAAGAAAAACTAGTGAGCAGGCAGTTTTGTCGGACTCTAACACCAGGTCTGAGAGACAAAAGGAAATGATGTACTTTGGTGGCCACTCTTTGGAAGAGGATTTGGAATGGTCTGAACCTCAGATTAAGGACTCTGGGGTAGATACGTGTAGTAGCACAACCCTTAACGAGGAGCATAGCCATAGTGATAAGGTACTGAGATTGTGGAGCCTGCCTTTTAACCTGCTCATTTGGTCTTCGTTTGCTCTCTGTCACTCATTAAAACAGAACATAATAAAAGGACAGGGCATCTCAAGGGTCACTGTAGCATTTCTTAAGGTGCAGAAAAGAAAAACAAAACCAAACTAAACAAACAACAAACCAAAAAAAACCTCTTGCTTGCTTTGCTGTTTTTATTGTTTGACGGCATACCAAAAAATAAGTATATGAAAATAAAACTTAGGAACAAAGGAATGTTTTGTCTTTTGTCGCATGAGAGAACTTTGTAATGTTATTAAAAACCACAAATAATAAATAAGTTTTGGATTGGCTTATTTGATTGTTTGCATATATTTTCCTTGGGATGAAAATTAAATTATTAATAGTTTGAATCCCAGGCAAAAGGGAGATAATTGGGTCTGTTTGCACAGAAAAAGTTGTTTTTCTTTTTTCCCTTTCACTGTCATTTTGGTCTTTTGTTTTATTGTCATAGCATTTTAATGTGGTATTAATTAGTATTAGAGCCCTTGCCATCTGCTTTGATATTTATCATTGTTGCTCTTAGGATAGTGGGACTTTTGATATCTTTTTACAATATAGATGTAATTGACTGGAACTTATGTTTTGCCTGCTAAATTTTGCATGAAGATATGCCTGTTACTTTTTGATAACTGTGAAACTATGATTACACAAATCATTTACTTTCTTTACTTAGAATATCATTCATAACAGAATACTGTCATTATTTACAGAGGCCTTGGTTCAGCCCTGAGAAAGAAAGAATAATGTTTTCAAGGTTATTTAACAATGAATATCATTGAATTATCTAGTAAAGGTAATTTACTAAATAGATCAAAGACCTGAAAGAATCATGAAAGAACCTCTGAGAAATGAGAACTGTAATCTATTCTCACCTGTAGATGAAGCCTATTTCTCCCATGCAGATTCAACTGGGAATTTATTGGGGCTTGTGTACACTTTATTATTTTAATCTAGAAACCTATGCAAAAAAGCCCTCATCATAGGCTCAAATGTAATGTTTTAATATGATTTGACTTTTAAATTTTTACTGTAATACAGGCTTTCAAAATCTTCCAAAAGTGTTTGAAGAGGAAATTTTCATTTTTAAATGAATTCACTTGCGTAGAATTTCAATGCATCTTTTCTTCCCGTGAATTTTTATTTTTCAGCATGTAGATAATTAGAGTTGCATGCATTTTCAAAATTTCTCAGATTTTGTAGAGCTATATAACTTCAGTATTGTGTTAGAGAACTGTAAGAATTGGAAGTAATTGGATTTTGAAAAAAACTTTGAGATTATATTGAGGTTATAAGCATAATATAGTACACCCTTATGATCAGTGCTTTGAAATGAAAGCTGGTTTGTGTAATCATAACACTGAAATTCTGAAGTTTAGAGAGGTCGTACAATCAGAGATCATTTGTCATAAAACGATAAATAAAATCATTTATTTATTTTGTATTTATTTATTTTGTTTGTTGATGCAAAATGTCAGCACCCTGTAACCTGGCAACCATCTAAAGATGGAGATCGTTTAATTGGTCGCATTTTATTAAATAAGCGTCTAAAAGATGGAAGTGTACCTCGAGATTCAGGAGCAATGCTTGGCTTGAAGGTATGTAATAAAAAGTATGAGATTTTGGCTCTATACTCTTACAGATTTACCAGAAAAGCAAAGGATAACTCTTTCAACCTGTACCAATTTAGTAGTGTATTTTTCCATTTTCAATAGTTTGTGAAGATTCGCACTCATTATCTAAAACATTTCATTTTCCCACTATTATTTAAGAAGTTGCCATAATTCCACAGTAATACTTGTATATATATAAATTTGGAAGACATTAAAAGTAACCTAATTAAGATCTACTTGAATCTTAAATACAGTGGTCGAATGTATTTTAATTATACAGTTTATTCTTTAAGTCAAAATCTATGTTTATATTTTATTAAAGTGATAGTTTTTTAATAATTACTGAAAATGAAAACTTGGGAAATGTAATATGTATATATATGTATATTGCATATGTGTATATATATAATTTTGTATAAATGCTGTAAAATGTGTGTGTGCATGTGTATGTGCATATGTGCACTTAAGAGAGAGTACTGTTTGAATTCTAAAAACAAAAATAATTATGCTGGGAGATTAAATACAAATATTGATTTATGTTTTACAGTAAAATACCAGAAAATTATTTGGTAAATACATTAAATAGAGCTTTGTTTGTTTTTTGTGCATGTAGTATAACCAATTAAAACCTGAAATGAATAAAGAATATGCTGGGTGTCATGGTTCATGCCTGTAATCACAACACTTTGGAAGGCCCAGGTGGGAAAATTGCTTTAGACCAGGAGTTTGAGACCGACCTAGACAACATAGTGAAGTCCTGTCTCTAGCAAACTTTTTTTGTTGTTTTTTTTTTTTTTTTTTTTGAGATGGAGTCTCGCTGTATGTCCCAGGCTGGAGTGCAGTGGCATGATCTCGGGTCACTGCAACCTTCGCCTCTTGGATTCAAGTGATTCTCCTGCCTCAGCCTCCCAAGTAGCTGTGACTATAGGCGCGCACCACCATACCCAGCTATTTTTTTTTTTTTGTATTTTTAGTAGAGACGGGGTTTCACCATGTTGGCCAGGATGATCTTGATCTCTTGACCTTGTGATCCGCCCACCATGACCTCCCAGCATGCTGGGATTACAGGCGTGAGCCACTGCGCTCAGCCCAAAAAATTTTAAATTAGTTGGACATAGCAGCACATGCCTGGAGTCCTAGCTACTGAGGAGGCTGAGGCAGGAGGATTGCCAGGAGTTCGAGGTTACAGTGGGCTGTGATCACACCACTGAATTCCAGCCTGGGCAACAGAGTGAGACTCTGTCTCTCTCTAAAAAAAGTAAATGTTTTAGAGCTAAGCCATTCCTATAAAAATTGTCCTGTAGAATATAAGAGATATTAGGAAACTTTGGATGTAGGTAGAATTGGGCTGTGTATTAGGTCTTTCTTGCATTGCTGTAAAGAAATACCTGACTGGGTAATTTATAAAGAAAAGAGGTTTAATCAGCTCATAGTTCTGCAGGCTTTAAAGGAAGCATGATGCCAACATCTGCTTGGCTTCTGGGGAGGCCTCAGGAAGCTTACAATTATGGTCAAAGGTGAAGGGAGAGTACGCATGTCACATGGCAAAAGCAGGAGCAAGAGAGAGTGGGAGTGGGAAGCAAGGTGCCACATAGGTTTAAATGACCAGATCTTGCAAGAACTCACTATCACAAAGACAGCACCAAGCCACAAGGGATCTGTCCCATGATCCAAACACCTCTCCTCAGGTTCTACCTCCAGCATTGGGGATTACAATTCAACATGAGATTTGCGCAGGGACAAACATCCAAACTATATCAGACTACTAACATTTATTGTGTGGCATCCATGTGCTTGCACTCAACCTGAGCATTTTATATCTGTTATCCTAGAACACTCACAATAGATGAGAAATAGGCCCAGAAAGGTGTTTAACTTACCCATGGTCACAAGATGGTGACAATGGTGGGATTTAAATTCAGATTTGACCATTTCCAGGGACAGTGAGATGTGCCTATAGTCCCAGCTACTTGGAAGGCTAAGGCAGGAGGATTGCTTGAGCCCAGGGTTTCAAGTCCAGCCTGAGCAAAATAGTGAGACCCTTTGTCTTAAAAACAATTTTTTTAATCCAGATATGCCTATTATAGTGTTAGAATAAAGGTTAGCAAGTCTTGGCTTCAATTCCAAATACAGGAGTTACTAGTTACGTGAAACCGGACAAATAAACTTCTCTTAGCTTTAGATTTCTTACCTGTTCGATGAGGATAATTGAATTGTTGTAATATGATTAAATAAATCAACATACAAACATTTAGTAAAGTGTCTGGCAAGCTTTAAGATATCAATAATCATTATAGCCAGTATAATTAATTATTATTAATGTTTGTTAAGCCAAAAAGTTTTTAAATATTTACTTAAGGATATAAGTCAATAAGAGCTATACATATAATTTTCAGAATTAAACATAGGACTAATTAGTTTATTAACTGAATTGAAGCTATGTGCAAGTCACTGTAATTATGGAAAAAATGCATGGAATAAGATACACCCCGTGATTTTTGAATTCAAATAACTTTCACTCTATTTAGAAGAGAAAAACCAATTCATTTCAGTCAGTGAGTTGCTATTATTTGCTTCACTTGCCATCAAATTGAGATATTGACTGAATGGCAGTTGATTAGAATCAAAGCATTAATTTTGTAAGGTATACAAGTATACATATGACTCCACAGCAGGTATACATATGACTCCACAGCATTATTCCTAACATTTTTATTCATTTTCTAAAAGTTATATTTTAATAGAAACATAAAAATGAAAAATTGGGATTCAGATGGTCTGAATTTTATGTTACTTCTGATGCGATTACGTAAATTTTGTAATTTTTTTCAAGAAAGATCCATCATCATTAAGCACATTATCAGTGTTTCTAAAAGATTATCAATGAAAATTTGGTGGTATATCCTAATTATAGTAAAAGAAACAAAAATTTTGTATTAAAGTATTTACATCTATAACTAGAAATGTTTATATAATTAATGATACTGTAAAATGTTTTTGTAAATGACAAAAGCAAGAATTCCTGAATCAGGACAAAAATTACCAATTGTTATGTTGTTTCTAAGTTATGCAACACTTCAGCAAATTATGGATTAAATGGCAAAACAGTTGGAATATGTGAAAAAGACCTAGCTCTTAGGGCATGTGCTAACCTAATAGAGACAATAAATTATTTAAGAAATCATTTTCTGTACATTAAATTAGCGTTTTAGGTGTTGCAAATTGTTCTAGGTATTCTTTTACCTGAATCTTCAACCATGCTCATTTTAACAATATTCCCATGTTAATACTTTCCTCTTTTAAACAGGTTGTAGGAGGAAAGATGACTGAATCAGGTCGGCTTTGTGCATTTATTACTAAAGTAAAAAAAGGAAGTTTAGCTGATACTGTAGGACATCTTAGACCAGGTAGGGTTTTACCTTTGATTATTTACATTTAAACCATTCAACTTTAGTAGTTATGAGTTATTTTCATTTATTTAGAAGTGATTTGACAATAACAAAGAGCTCATTTAACTTAGATATAAATCTCTATTCATTAATGGAAAGGCAAAACTATTATTTCTTGAGTCATAGTAGATAAAAATCATTTTTATTTGACTTTATCTTACTTTTTTCTGATTGGTGTTCTAATCTGTATCTAATATTAACCTGTTTTGTTTCCCCTAAGACCTTTTTCTTTTGAGAAAATTCCAACATAGTTTAGAATAAACTTTATGGATAAAGGCATATTTCCTACCGTGTGTGTCACCCCTTATCTCTTTGTTAATGGATACTGTTGGAGAAATCCTTGAGTACCTTAAAGAGGATTTGATAATATACTAATTATTAAGGTTTTTACAAGAGAATTTAGATACTGGAAACCCTTTACAAAAAAACAAGGTGCTCAGTTGCACATATATTGAGAAACCTGGAGTATAGAGTCATAAAATCTTTAAGGAGGCAACTGATTTTGATAGTTGCTTAGAATTCGAATTTCTATTAAGAAATCCCATAGAGATAATGTTTACATAATTTTTTCCTCCGATCATTGTCCTTTCCTGTGAAATATACTAATCAACATGGTCATCAAATTTTGTGTCACTGGAACTGTTGTTCTCAGTATGTTTCGTATTGTATAATGGTTATTTTATCCTATGGAGTTTATTGAAGTTTAAGATGCTCTTAAGTGTAATTTGTCAGATCAAATTTTCTGTATAAGATTATTATTACTGACACCCACTATAGGTGATGAAGTATTAGAATGGAATGGAAGACTACTGCAAGGAGCCACATTTGAGGAAGTGTACAACATCATTCTAGAATCCAAACCTGAACCACAAGTAGAACTTGTAGTTTCAAGGCCTATTGGGTAAGTTGGTTTCAGTATTTTATATGTGTGTGAAGTTGAATAGTGTTAAACAATATGTAATGTGCCATTTAATAATTTCTGATTGCTTTATGGAAATGAATTATTTTGTAGACAATAACTTTTTCTCTTTCCTTAACAAAAGCACCACACCAAAAATAATGATATCTCTTTATCTGATCATATAGATGGTAGAATATATAGTTAATTACAAAAGAAGAAGAAATATTTAGGTGTTTATTCATTTTGTTGTAACACTTTAGAAGGTGGTTATAGGATTTAGTAGGGGAAGGAGACTATAAATCATCTATAGTCTATAAATTTTACATTTTTCAAAATAGAGATTTCAACATAGGAAAGAAAGGGCCAAAGGACATACAATTCCTACATAGAGGTAATAGTTTATGGAAAAACATGAAATCTTTTTTAACAAGGTAGACAAACAGACCAAAAATAAGCAAACACCAAAGTACTCTTTGGCTTTGTAATTTATACCTCTGTTTTATAATGCCTATGCATTAAATATAATGCCTATAAATTAAAATTGACAGTTTCCAAACATTAGCAATAAATATTAAAGAGGCAAGTGAATTACATTACATGCCAAGGTAAAATATATACCTATATCAGAGTAAAAGCAACAGAAAAATACTACTGTTAGTGAATTATTACATGCAGATTTGGGGTAAGAGCATTCTAGGGTGAAGCCTACAGAAATCCTTTGTTGTAGAATGGTAATGTCCAGTTTTAATTCATTTAGGAAATGATGGGCCTGTATTATTTTTATCTCTTTTTTAAAAATGCTGAAGAAAACGACTTAGGGTGGTAGCTTAGTTTTATTGAAATGTTCCTTTTAAAGTATTAAATCTGGCACTTGAAATTGTATTCATTTTTTATTTTGTCCTTTCATAGTTTTATATTATGGTAAAACTGCAGTGCATAAGATTTGTGTATTGATCAAATATATTTCTTGGTATTAAAGGATCTTCAAGTCATATTTTTGTTTAATATTTTAAAGAATTTATAGTTCTTTATGTAATTTACTGAATGAATGTAACCATTAATGTTTACCCCTTGTGTCAAATCTCAAATAAAAAGATACACTTACTTTTGGTGTAAATATAGTTCCAAGGTAATGTTGAGATTCCCCATAAGAAACATGTTTGCCTTTTTCTCAATGATGTTACTACATTTTAAAAGTTTCCGGTGGCTCATGCCTGTAATCCCAGCACTTTGGGAGGGCGAGGCGGAAGGATCACTTGAAGTCAGGAGTTCAAAACCAGCCTGGCCAACATGGTGAAACCTCGTCTCTGCTAAAAATACAAAAATTAGGCTGAGGCAGGAGAATTGCTTGAACCCAGAAAGTGGAGGTTGCAGTGAGCTGAGATCGCGGCACTGCACTCCAGCCTGGTGACAGAGTGAGACTCCATCTTAAAAAAATAAAAATAAATAAAATAAAATGAGTTTTAATCACAATATGAATATCTTACTTTTTATTTTGGTGATATTTTATTTGCACTTTAATGTTACTCATTTAGAATAGCAGGTAAAACCAAAGAGCAGAATAGAATAAAAATGTATCTGTAAAACTTATCTTGTTGAATGCAAATTTTTTATAATGGGTAATTGTGTAGTGAGGCACATAGAAAATAAAGTCTGTTTTTAAAAGTATGCTATGGATGCATGTGAATTTTAATTCCTTTTAAATAGTTGGGGTTAGCCCAGGATACTTTTATTAGCAATAAGTACTAAGGCTTGTTTGTTTCTTATTTATATAATGCCACTATTATACACAGTTTTCTTCATTTTACACTCTCCTATTAATAGGTTGATAATAATAAAAAATATGAGTTGCATTAATTGTTGAAACAGTTTCTGTCTTTCTTTTTTTTTTTAATCATTTCAGAGATATACCGCGAATACCTGATAGCACACATGCACAACTGGAGTCCAGTAAGTTTTATTTATGCTGGAAGAAAACGTTATTTATAATTGCATTCATCAGAGATCAGATGAAGTATTTAACTAGTAATGTGAAGTAAGAAATATGATAACCTTGTTATCAAGTCTGTAAGCATATAAAGATGGAAAATTTAGTATTATTTCATGTCACTGTGGGAAAAACAAAAATGTAGAATATTTTAAGTTTTTTTTAAACATGTCTTATTACAGATTTTTAGATAGCATTATTAAGGTATACTACAATAAACTGCATATACTTAAAGTACACAATTAGGTAAGTTTTGAAATACATATATACCTGTGAAACCATCATCCCAACAAAAAATCATGAATATATTCACTACTCCCAAAAATTCATCCCCAAAACTTCCCCTAGTTTTAAAATTTGCTATTTGTAACCTCATCCTCATTAAGTGGGGGGAAATGCTTGGAATAAACTAGTGAATAATTACATTTATTCTAATTTCTATTTTTGGAAAGTGGGATAACAGTTCTGATTTAACGTCAGAGCAGTAGTGGAACAATAAATACAGAAGTTTAATGTCAAATTTATCTATAATTTAAAAAATTATTTTGAGTGCTATTTCCAATGTTAAATTAATTTTTTCCAATGAACTAAGTTACTTTATTGATTGAGAGTACAGTAAGGGATATTGGGAGAGAGGAAAAAAAGGATTGCAGTTTGAAATATGTTGATCAGGATAGACCACACTGAGAAGGAAGGATTGAAGGAAACATTTGGAGTGGCTGCCTGGGGGGAAATCTTTCCAGGTACAGGATAGGTGGATGCAATGGCAAGAAAGCCTAAGGTGCATTTAAGGAAATTCAACGAGGCCAGTGTAGCTGAATGGAGTGAGCAAGAGGAAGAATGGTATGAATGAGGACAGAGGAATAATGGGCAAATTGCATAGTCTATATAACCCACTGTAAGGACTTTGACTTTTACTTTCAGGAAAATTGGGAGCTATCTAGGATGGTTTTGAGTAGATACTTAGTGTTAAAATCTGGCTACTAGATTGCAAATAGATTAAATAGAGTCGAGGGTAAAACCAGAGAGACTAGTGAGAAGGCTAATCTAGTGGCAAGATAGTGGTGACTTAAACCGTGGTGGTAGCAATGAGGATGGTGAGAAGTGGTCAGATTCTCTATATACCACAATAGTTGAGAATGTACTATTAAAATAGATGTTTTTTACTTTCATATTTACAATTACAAGTTTCTTTAAAGTTTTTATCAGAGTAGTCCTTTGAATGCCATAGCTCTATACTTTACAATATGGTCCCATGGCTTATTTGATTTAGTATCTTTGGCTACGTGCTAAATGATTTTATCCAAAGTAATATCATGATCACATAAAACTCTAACATAAATAATAAAATTATAATTATTATAAAATGATATTATCATCATTATCCTTATTGCTCCCATTTTATTTAGTACTTGTAACTGTGCTTGATGTTGTACCTATACCATCACATTTAATTTTTACAACAATCCTATGGGGTAGGTTAAAATTTTTATTCACCTTTATTACATCTCTCAGATACTGCATGAGCAGCATGGAAACCTTTATCTTATTTTAGCTATTTAAAAAGACCCTAGACTATAATTCCAAAATCGTTTCTGAGGAGACAGGGGTCCTTTCTCAGATTAGATCCAATCTTTTATTCTTTAAACATTGAGTTTTTTTCCAAGCCCCTGTCCTTAACCCTCTTTATTCCTGGTTCCTCAATAAATTATTTTCTTCTTATGGTTGTAATTGCCAGCTGTATGACTTCCAAGTTTACATTACCAAAAGGAGCTATCATTGTCCCTACATGCCTGGATGTTCAAAGAATACATTCTGTTGTGTCTTCCTGCTACCTAAAGCTTAACAACCTTTATTGTAAAAAACAACAACGACAACAACAACAACAAAAAAAACCCAGCTTATTTCTTAGTAGAAAGCTTTCATTCTTTCTACTTGCTAGTAATATAAAAGGTATCACCATTACTTCTAATCCCAAGGCTTGCAGTTTCCCCTCATTTCCAATTAGGCATACCACTCTACAGGTTAATTTCCAACACTAGTCTCTACTTTGACATTTGGTCCCATCTGTACTTCCACATACCTGCTTTACATCTCCCATTGGATGTCCCAGAGGTGTTGTAGGTTCACTGTGTTCCCAATTAAGTTTTTATACATCCATTCCCTTAAATATAGGTCTTCCTGGCCTAGCGTGGTGGCTCACGCGTGTAATCCCAGCACTTTGGGAGGCCGAGGCGGGCGGATCACGAGGTCAGGAGATCGAGACCATCCTGGCTAACACGGTGAAACCCCGTCTCTACTAAAAAAAAAAAAAAATACAAAAAATTATCCGGACGTGGTGGCAGGCGCCTGTAGTCCCAGCTACTTGGGAGGCTGAGGCAGGAGAATGGCGTGAACCCGGGAGGCGGAGCTTGCAGTGAGCCGAGATCACGCCACCGCACTCCAGCCTGGGCCACAGAATGAGATTCTGTCTCAAAGCAACAACAACAACAACAACAACAACAACAACAACAACAACAACAAAAACAGGTCTTCCCCAGTGTTCTGAATCTCAATGAATATCAGCAATGTTCTGTCGAGAGAACACGACAGACATACAGGGAATGTTCTTGTCCCCAAGAATCAAAATAGTGACAATAAATATTTAACATTTTATTCCTTTTTTTCATGCCCCTCACTTCTTTCTGCCAGTTTGTTATATTCTGCCAGACATCGTTTTAAAAATTTAATAATTTTGCACTTATTTTCTTAATGTTTGCAAATGTAGTCTGTCTTTCAGTTGCTTTAATGATTTATGTTTTGATTACTCCTTGTTTCTACTTTTAAATTTTTCTTAATATGTCATTGTAAGATATGAATATAGTACACTTAACAGATAATAACTAAGTCCTGAGGTAGAGGTCTGTCTCTACTATAACTGGCACAGAAAATGGTTCACTGTTAGTCTTAAGAGAATCCCTATAGTGCCCTTTGGCTTCCAAAAAAACCCTTTAAGAATATTTGGAATGTTTTGTCTAAGAAATGGTCTATATAATGACACCTTGTGGACATCAAAAAAATAAATAATTTAAAAGATATATGGCAAAACTTACTAAATACTTGTGAAGAGCCATTGTTATTATTCGTTATGTGTAATTATCGTTTCAGGTTCTAGCTCCTTTGAATCTCAAAAAATGGATCGTCCTTCTATTTCTGTTACCTCTCCCATGAGTCCTGGAATGTTGAGGGATGTCCCACAGTTCTTATCAGGACAACTTTCAGTATGTAGTCATTACGTTTACTCTTCTTTTTGGAATATCAAATAGTGTTTTTAAAATATGATGCTTGTTTTTTACAAACCAAGTTATTCCTAGAACATAATTGTGCTTTTAACCTCCCACTTTCTCATTCTTTTAATTTTTGAAATCCAATTTTGATTATTTATCATACTGCTTCATTTATTAAGAGTTAGATTTACTGAAATTTAATAAAAGTTACATTTTGTAAAGGTACCTAAACTTTTTTATGTTAGTAATTATAACAAAATTCAAGTTCATAATTTTTGCTCTATACCTTAAGATGACTATAAATTGTCATAGATTTTTAAGAGAAATAAAAATGTTGCACTATATAAAGATGGTATTTCAGATAAAAGTAAACATGTATTCTTCACTGCTTTTCAACTTTAAGGATATTTGGTGTCAGCTCATAGTAATCATTGGAGTTGAATATTGCTATGAAATAAAATGATACTTGAGATATTTTTGTCAATAGACAAAATGAAATAGAGAAATATATAATGGATTGCTAAATACTTCAGATAACTTTGCACATTAAGTGATCCCTGATTTGAACATTTTAAAATAAAACTTAAATGTTCATTTATGAATTTTATATTGTGTTGATATTAGAGAAACTTTACAAATCTAAGTCTTTACTTTTTATTCGTTTGTTCTGTTGTAATTCCCTCATTAAACCATTTTAAAATAGTGAAATAATAAATTTATTGTTATATATTAGAAAAATACAGGTTAATATTACCAGTATTGTTGTTGATTACTAAACTTGAAATTTCATGAGTATTAAAAAGCTGTTTAGGTTGTCAAAATTCAGACCTTGAATTTTGGATTAAAAAAAAGTTACAGTTAAAAACTAAATTATTTGAGGCTGATATTTTAAGCCCAAAAAAGATAGCTTTTTGTTAAATTAGCTATGAAATTTCTCCTTTGGTTTTTTTTGGGGGTGGGTGGGGAGGAAAGGGTAGTATTTGATTTTTCTGAAGTATTTTCATTAATTAAAAGGAGTTATAGGAAGTATATGCAAAAAGGAAAAAAGTTCATTTGAAGTTATTAAAAAAATCATTAGACATGTCTTTTTTAGAATGATTTTGACCATAAAGGTGACAATAACAGAAAAGTTATGTAAGGAATATGTGATGCTATTAGGAGATTGTAAATGTTCCACTAAAATATATTTCTTCCTTTATTATCTTTTTTCCTTTGTATTTCATAAACAGAGTGAACTTTTTCATTTGAGGCCAGTGGTCTTTTTTCAAGTCTACAAAATAAGTAGCATCTTTCTACTTATTCTTACATATATCGACAGCCCATATGTTGTCATTTATAGTTAAAAATGTGTATTTTCTTCTACTATACTATAAAATGCTAATAAATGTTGTTTCTTATTATGGATCCATTTCAATAGTTCGTCCTTAAATAATGTTTTTGGGGCTGGATGATCCCAGTCCATAAATAAAACTGTGTGTGTGTGTGCGTGCGTGTCTGTCTGTCTGTGTCTGTGTGTATGTATAGTTTGCTTGAGTTGGTAAAGAAGGAGTGGAAGTTAGATTTCTATAATAAGTAAGTATCACTTTGTTATCTCATTTGAATCCCAAGGTCTTATTACAGATTGGACTAGGAGGGGAGGATGAGAAGCATAGGTCAGGGATTTAGACAAATTTCAAATTCAACTATTTTTCTTCATGGTTCAAAATTAATATGGTAAAAGGTACATCTGTTAAATATTTGGGGGAAATATAAATGTAGAAGTTTCACTTCTAAATTTATGTATAATGATGTAAAGTTATAGTCTTTAGATTTATAAGTGATTTTGTAATTTAAAATGTGTACTATTTTCTCCTTTTCTTATGACTTGGAAGGAATATGTTCCACTATGATATTAGTAGTAAAACTTTTAGCTGTATATGTTTTGAAATTGTTCACACATATACCCATACCCCACCCACATATATAAAAAATATTGGTTATAAATATACTGCATATTTATTGTGGGAAATCTGGAAAGTACAGAAAATTAATAAGACATAAAATCACCTATAATCCTGACACTGAAATATAACCATTCACTACATATAAATTTTTAAACAAAACTAAAAAGAAATACTCTTTCGAATCCTGATTTTTCTCTTAGTAATATTGTGGACTTTTTCCTGTCCTTAAAAATTCCTCTTAAAATTGTTTTAATAGCCATTTTAATACTTCATTGCAACCTAAATCACTATTATAGGTTATCTTGCTTGTTTCTAACTTATATTTTTATGAATAATGATACTGTGGAAATCCTTGAATATAAATCTGGAATATTTTTGTTAGGACAAAATTCAATTGTCAGAATAACCTTCCAGAAATAAAATTACAATATAAAAGGCAAAGGAAAATTTTAGGATTCTTGAAATCTATTTTCAAATTTTTCCTTCAGAAATGATTTTACCTAATTAAACTCCAATCATCTACTTAAGAAATATATGTTAAGTTTTGACCCCCACATCAGGTATAGTGCTAGTCACTGCAAATACAAGTTTTTACCTTCATGTAATTTATGAATTTTATTCTTATATTTTTGCATCCAGGAAAACATAACTAAGATGCTATCTTGTATATAATAGTTCCCTTTATATTTAATCCTGTCTCTATCAGCCTGGAGACAATTTTGGTTTGCTCTAATGATGTAGAGGTTGGAAAAATATATCTACATATATCAACCCTAAGGAAAACTAGGAAGTCATAAACCAACATGACAATTCCTTTTTCATTCTTTTCTACCTTTGGACATTTTTGCTTTTGGTTAGTTTTTACTTGGGCCCATACTTCACTTACAAAATTATGAAACTGCTAATGCCTGAGAACAATGATAATTTCTATAGTATGTGAGCTGACCTTCCTAATATTCTGTCAGTTCATGTCTCAAATAGAAAATATATACATATAATATCATTCTCAAAGGAGGTGATTATAAAAAAACATGTAATGTAAATTCGTTGTTTACATTTTCATGCTCAAGGCTGTTGATTTTTTTAAATGTATGCAATTTATTTTTTCTCCATGCTTGAATTGTCCTGCTGCTTATTATTCTAGAGCATAACAGTGAAAATGCCATTAATGTTTTTGGTGAAGAAAATCAGCATGAGTTCGGGTTTATGCCAAGTAGGCTGTTTGTTAGCATTTTCACTGACAGCACTCCCTTATTAGGACTCCATTTTTAATATGTGTTCTTCCAGAATTTAGCAGTTTTTTCCTTCTGTGGATTACTTTTGTAGTTCTTAATAGTTTTAATTAGTTTGTAGTCTTTGGCTAGTTTTATAATAGGGCGTTATAAGAAAATATAGCTTTCAATTATTTTCAAAGTGAGAAAAGGCTCAGAATTCTCTTTCTGTGGAAACATATTACACAGTTGATACTATTGATAATCATATTTTATTTCATTCACTTCATGATCTGTGGTTGATTTACGGTTGCAGTGTTTTTCCAAGTTACTTTTAAAAATATCTTTTGACTCCATTTTAAGTAAATATTACAAATATCCATTTTATATGCCCATTTAAAAGGAATACATAATTTAAGGAGAGGTATGTGTCCTTTCTATCTCCCTAGAAACTCCATAGCCTTTTAAAAACTTTCTATAAATGACAGGTTTTTTTGAGCTTTTATCTTTTACATTTCATTGTCATAACTTTGTTATTCTGAAAGTATTGTATGAAAGGAATGTTCTAAAGATAGTAGTGCAATTAATAGTGGAAAGTGACATTAAAAATGCAAAATGAATTGTGGGGTACAAATTCAGATTCTTCATTTGTATGAAGCCTGAATTGTTATAGAGATCATCAGGTCTCTCATGCTTACAATAAATGAATTAATAGTAATTACAAATTACAGTGAGACACATAGTAGTTTGCCATCCCTATCTGAAATATCCATAGAGACAGAAAGCAGTGGTTACTAATGGACAGCGAGATGGAAAAGTAGGGAGTGATTACGTAAAGTTCAGAGTGTTCTGGGATGATGAAAATATTTTGAAACTGGAAGGAGGTGGTGATTCCACAGAATTCTGAACACAGTAATTGCCACTGAATTGTATACTTTAAAATAGTCAGTTGTATGTTTTGTGAATTTTACCTTAATTGAAAAAATATTGTCAACGCAAAAATATATTTTTATAGCCATATTTAAAATATAAACTCATGGGTGAAGATTAGGTGTAAATTGCCATAGGTTTCAGAAGGTTGATTTCAGAAGTCTGTGAGATGCATGTCTGAGTTCATTTTAGAACATGGAAAAATGTTTGCTTTTAAAGGATTAATTTATTTGAAAGTATTCCTTTTAAAGTGAATCTTTTATTTTATGACATAATATTTACTTGTAAAAATATTCTGTAACGTTAATATTTTTGGTCTAAAACAAAACAGGTAGGAAGACAGGGGAAATAAAATGTATTTCTAAAGTACCTTGTTTAGTCCCTTTCTTCAACATGCCAAATTTCTCTATGAATTTCATATATCCCCTCTGTCATTTGCTAAAGCATTATAATAGCCTGTGGTTATGCCAACAGACATCAGTAACACACTCCACATCTGAATATTTCTTTCTTCCTTTGGGAATATTTCCACATAAAAAGGAAGACAGCTTAGATTTGAAACTGCCTTGGTTTTGAAAGAGACAGAGACAGAGAGAGAGAGATTGAGAGAGAGAGAAAGATGACTCATGACTGAATGACAGTCTGCTTTTAAGTCTGCTTTCCTTTGGGTTTTAGATTTATGTCTTAAATAAACGTGTCTGTTCAATGCCAACTGAATTGAGCAAAAGTACTCCTAGTACTCATTATCTGTTTCCAGTTAGCAGTGGAAAGAGAGAAGCCTTTAACTATTTATGATTTTGAAGTAGGCAAGAGAGACATCCATAAGAAATGTGAGGAATGGGATGGAATCTTGGTGATAGAAGCAGAATTAAATGCCTTGAAATCCATTCCCAAACCTGATTATGTTCTGATTAACTGTTGGAATGCCTAATAAAGGCACAACATTCTGATTATTGTGATGTCTTTTGGAAACTGTTTCAACATGAAAACAAAAGTCAGTAAGAGAAAAGAAATTTGATTTGATTCTGAGAGTTTGATTTAGTTATTTAATTAGAACTGGGTTATATTTTCTGTCTTTACACTATCTTGCTTTTTGTTTGAGTATGGGCAAGTATGACTAGCCCTTTTCTGTGTTTCCTCATCTACAAATTGTAAGTAGAAGCAACTACCTCATAAGGTTGTTGGACATACCATGAGGCAATAAACTTACAATAAACTGTCAATAAAGGCTTGGAAAAGTATAACGAACTGTATAAGCAAAAAGAAACAAGATATTGTCATTAATAGGTGTGATTAGCAGTAAGCAGTGTTATCTTGAGTGATACATAATAAATATCTGATGATGGTGTTTCAATACTAGAACCTGATAGGGATTCACCAAGTATGAATCAACTAATTAGTCCAACGTATTTCTGCACACTTTTATTTTAATGTGTTTATTCTTTTAAGAAATTCTAAAGCCAACTTGGCTAATAGTTTTTGGACTTTGGGTAGACATACTTTGGAGAAGTCACACAATTACTTCCACAGATGGCTTTTCACTAATGACTCTGTAATACATTTTCAACTAACTTCTTTTTGCACTATTCTATTTTTTATGTAGTGTGTTTAAGGATAAAATATGAAATTTATTGATTCTTGGGTTATGCTTATAATCATTCTTTCAAAGTACATGAGCCCAAATATATTATTTTATATCCAGTCTTAATTCTTGTTATGTGAACTACATTTGAAAAATTGGATTATACAAATTCTAATATTTTGTATAGTTTTTAATGTTTTTTGGCATTGGACAAAATTAATTTATTCATCACACTGAAGTACTTAATTTTGATAAATATTGTCATGGAAAAATTGTATTTAAGGGATAGTTGTATGTGTTTGTTTTTACTTTTGGTCTTTTAGTTCCAGCGTGTTGTCCTTTTTGGTTTTGTTTTATTGCTTTTTTCTTTAATTTTGCTTACCAGAGCCAAAGCCTTAGTAGAAGAACAACGCCTTTTGTTCCTAGGGTTCAGGTAAAGGCCTTGTCTGCCTGATAGAAACTAAAGTTGTGTTTAACCCTATTTGTATGTTTTTGGAAAATGCGTTAGTAGGAAAACTTTTTTTGTTATGTTGCTCCAAATCATATTATTGACTTTCAAATCATTTTATTAGCCAGCTTGTAAAATTTTGCATGGGGATTAGAATATTGAATAAAAATTTAAAGAGACAATCTTTGTTAGTGATTTTATATGATAAACTAAATATTAAACCTTATAGATTTCAAAATGGCATTTAATGTAGATTTAATGTAGATTCTACATATATATGACATTTACAGAAATAGCTAATTTTATGCTGTTGATATTTTCCTTTATTACACTAAGGTTGCTGTCTCTTTAAATCACTCATTATGTCACTTAACATCTATATTCTCTTGCATTTTCCAAGTTATAACTCCTTGAGGAGATTGGCAAATAAATTTGTACCTTACTTAAAATATGAATTTTACACATATTATATATAAGGTTCAGTTTTTGGAAAGTATTTTGCTTTGAAAGAACAAAATTATAATCCAAATAAAATAAGTTGGATTTATTTTGTTAACATTTTGCCATTGTTTTATTTAATTTTATGTAATACTTGGGTACAAGTTGTTTGCCTCTTTTCATTAGGAAACCCTTATATGGTAAAGTAATGGCAATATAGTTTTTTTTAAGTAGTATTATGCTCTCCTTGCTTTGCTGCATGTTGTTTTTAAAAAATTTGTTGCTTCTGAGTAATACTTATTTTGTTTAAATTTTTAAAATTAAATTATTCTTGTTAATATTATACAATATAAAATATTTACCTATGCTGCTTAGGTCCTACTTAGGAAAATTAAAAATAGTTACATGCTAAAGCCAGAATGAGAAATATTTTAAAACAATTTAAATTATACTAATATTTTTATTAATGAAATTGGGGCTGAACAGGAACTATGTCAGGACCAGAATTGTGAAGATATGTTTGTTATATTTGGGGGAATCAACAGCTATATTTTAAACACTTATTTAAAAAGCACAGATAAGAAATTAAGAATGTTATAAAGTGATGTACCTAATAAAATCTGTTTTGATTATGTGAACTGGATATCTATAAAAAACTTCAATGCAAGTCCTATAATATAAATAAAAATTAGTGCTATATTCAAATACTCAGTTTAAGGCAGTCTATTAAAAGGTGTAATTTTGGTCAAATAATTAGTAAAGTTAAAATATGCCTATTTGCTATTTAAATTACTTTAATATTTGCACATTTGTAATTTATACTTTAGTAAACTCTAAAATATTATACCAAAAATATGAAAGCCATATGTTTACTCTGTATGAGAAATTGATAATATTAGTAACTGATAATATTCAGGTTTTCCATGGCATAAGGAAATCTGAAAAGAATACTCTCTATCAGACTTTTGAAATATATATCTCAAATGCTAGTTTTAATGATTTTAAAGGAGAAAAAATGTTGATGGTGGAGATGGCAACAAGTACTTAGTTTAACCCCCCAAAAGGTTCTCATAGAAATCAATAATTTGCTCTAATAATTTTTAGCTTAGTCTCATAATAATTATTATTTGTTTCTTAAATGTAACATTTATTGGAAATAAATTGCAGAATTTTTTTTTCCTTTGAGGCCTTAATATTCATGTCATGACCCTCAGAGAAAGCTTTTTAATGTCTCAGAAAAAATGAAGCCATAAACTCTTTAAAACTGGTGAAAATAGAGAATACCATAGAAATCAGTTGGGTTTTTGTCACACATTTAGAACCATGATACTATCTATAACACCTCTTTGATCTCATATACAATTAAACACTCCTGCATTTCTTTCTTTGTTTTTCACTTATGTCTTTTGCCAGAAGAATAGTCTCTTTTTTGCCCGTTTTTCTTATCTGTATCTATGTTCTAATATTATTAGACAAGCAAATATTTGAACTGTTTTCCTTTAGTATTTTGGAGACTTTTTTCTTCAAGTTGTTAATCTCTTAATCTAAGGCAGTGGTTCTCAAATTTTAATGCACTTGAGGATCACCAGAGGACTTGTTAAAATCCAACTTCCAGGGCCTCATTCTGATTCAGTAGGTGAGAAGTGGGCCCCAGGAATTTATAACTTTATAATAAATAAGTGAGATAATACTGACATGGAAAGTTTATTAATCACAATTTGAGAAATACTTGTCTAGGGTCTATTTTTGTATTTAGCAGCTAAATTGGTAACTATAATTTAAATAATTTGGATATTTCTTACTCTTATTCCTATAAAAGGGCTGATTCCATTTGGCAAAAAAAAAGATAGAAATAATTTTATATACTTTTTTGGGCTGTCAGTTTACCTTTTCTGACTCAAAAGTTGCTCGGTGTCTCATACTCTAGGATATGAAGTGAGGGACTCGACAAAGCTATGTTGGAATTGGAACTGAACTGCCAGTGTTTCATGTATAACCAGTAGTGGTTTTTAACTGTTATTCTCAAGTTCCAAATTTCTGTCCATTTCAGTCTCAACATAGTGGTTAGGTATGTGCTGAGTTCTGGGCCAAGATATGGATCAGAGCCGTAATTATCATAGATCCTGACATAGAATCAGACAGCTAGGTGTGCAGGTGTGAGGTATGTGTGTGGGAGGTGATAACTGTTAAATCAAGTGAATTCAGCAGTTGGATATGAAGTTCCCTTCCCTAATTATGGCACAGGGAAATTGTTCTCATTTTCTTATCTCAAATAATAAAATGTACTCTTTTATCCTAAGGATATTATTCATCAACTTCACAAAAGAATGAGACTTAATGTCTGAATAAGGAAAAATTTTAAAGATGAATTCATTATCATTTTAAGTTCAAACTGAAGGAATCTATTGACTAAAGCTACTAGTAAATCCCTTTTGCCTATAATATTTTAAATGTTTTTAACTGTGAAACAACATAAAACATTTACTTAAAAATTCCCTATGAATGTTATATAAACAGGATACTATCTACTCAATTCATTTTGAGCACTTATTCTGAACTCAGTATTGTAGGGGAACCAAAATGAACTAGTGATTCTTGCATAAGTAAAGATACAGATCAGTCATTGTATATAAAGTCCTTAATTATGATAATGTAATTATTTGCATGTTAATAAGCAATCACATTAAGATAATAAAAAGCCCACATGCTTGATCAGTCAAACTGAAATGTCTGAATCATTCTTTTATTCATTGAAGTTATTATAGTATATCCTTTTATTTTAACTAGCCACAATTTACTAAGTAAAGTTTATATTCTGTGCTAATGTTATTGTAAGAGAATGGGGTGAAGATTGGAAAAGTAAACATTGTGTTTGTGTAGTAAATGTTTGAATTGATAAATGAATATTTTTGCTTTTCAGATAAAACTATGGTTTGACAAGGTTGGTCACCAATTAATAGTTACAATTTTGGGAGCAAAAGATCTCCCTTCCAGGGAAGATGGGAGGCCAAGGAATCCTTATGTTAAAATTTACTTTCTTCCAGACAGAAGGTAAGGATATAAAACAAAATAAATGTTCTGGAAAATAAATGAGAAAATGTTCATAGCAATGGGTATTTCAATTCTGTATCATTTATTGGTATCATACTAGTGAGATATGTGAAGTTTAACATAAACGTGATGTTCTTAGGAAACAAAATAGTGACAGTAAATAAGATTTTTTAAAACTCACATGTCGTATATGTGATTTTGAATATTAATTTTAGGCATGTGTGTATTATTTCTTGTATATATTTTCATTATTCAAAATCATTAAAAGTTATGCTTCCTAAAATCAAATTTTTAACACAAATTATAGAATCAAAAAGCTAAAATACTAGAATTTTTAGTCAAAAATACTAGCTTTTTTAGTAAAAAAGCTAAAAATACTACTAAAAAGTACTCATTTTAATACAATTTCTACTTCCTCTTACCAAGATATTATTTCTCTCTATTCTATAAATTTAACAAGTTGTTTTGTATCATCACCTTATATCGTCAAGAAAACTTACCACAAGTCCCAGAATCACCTTCTTCAAGCATTATTTGTTTTGTGTCTCTTCTAATCAATATAAATGGTATTGTTCTACCCTTATTTTTTTTTCTTTTTGTTCTACCCTGATTTGATTGGAGAAATATTTTATCTGAAAACAAATCTAATCACTCTGAATTTCAGGCATATAAAAAATAAAAGAGACTATTCAATAGGCATCATGAAAAAAGAAAGAAGAAATAATACCAGTTACCTTTCCCCAATTATCTGTCTGCATCCCTGCCTCCCACGGCAGAGTGCTCTCAAGATCTCTTTATTTTTTCTCAGGTTGAAAGTGGATAGGCACAGATGTGATGTTAAATATGTTTATACGCTTTTGGAATCTCATTGATTTAGTTATTTAGTTCAAGTAGAAAGTCAAGGTTGAGTTGGGTACCAAAGTGTCACCTGAACAACAATCTCAGCAAAGAAAAGGACAAAAGAATAGACAATGAACAAAGGCTTTGCATTTTATTTGATACATATTTTGAAGTCAAAGCTGTATATCAGATTCTTCAGGATATATCAAGATGCCACAACATCAAAAGTTATTAGAAACTGTTTGCTATATAATTTTATCTTATAAAGTTTGATTAAGAAAGCTGTTTTTAACAATTTAGGTTGTCTTTTGGAGAGAGATACATGTGGAACTATAAGGGAAGAGGTCATCCATAATCATCTATGCTTTTGTGCACATTACTTAAGTTTCTACTTACTCAAAATTTTGAAGAGAAACATATTTTTAAGACGATTAAAGTCTTGCAAATTACTGAATTTCTTTCGTGACTATTTTTGCTTAGTTTTATTTTTATGTAACCCCTCTTTCTGTATTCTGACCAGATAGAGCTAAAATGGAAGCTCTTCTAGGCTGGGTGCAGTGGCTCATGCCTGTAATCACAGGATCACTTGGGGTGAGGAGTTCAAGACCAGCCTGAGCACCGTAATGTGACCCTATCTCTATGGCCGGGTGTGGTGGCTCATGCCTGTAATCCCAGCACTTTGGGAGGCCGAGGCGGGTGGATTACCTGAGGTCAGGAGTTTGAGACCAGTCTGGCCAACATGGTGAAACACTGTCTCTACTAAAAATACAAAAAATTGGCCAGGCGCGGTGGCTCATGCCTGTAACCCCAGCACTTTGGGAGGCCGAGGTGGGCAGATCACGAGGTCAGGAGATCGAGCCCATCCTGGCTAACAAGGTGAAACCCCGTCTCTACTAAAAAATACAAAAAGTTAGCCAGGCGTGGTGGCAGGTGCCTATAGTCCCAGCTACTCGGGAGGCTGAGGCAGGAGAATTGCTTTAACCTGGGAGACAGACGTTGCAGTGAGCCGAGATCGCACCACTGCACTCCAGCCTGGGCAACAGATCGAGACTCTGACACACACACACACACACACACACACACACACACACACACACACACAATTAGCCAGGAGTGGTGGCAGGTGCCTGTAATCCCAGCTACTCGGGAGGCTGAGACAGGAGAATTGCTTTAACCTGCGAGGCATAAGTTGCAGTGAGCTGAGATTGCATGCGGCATTGCACTGCAGCCTGACAACAGAGCAAGAATCCATCTCAAATAAAAAAAAGAGTAAAAGATGAAATGGAAGCTCTTCTTAACCAGTCCTTTATATTCCGGATGTAGTATTTTTTATCTTTTGTCAACACCAAGGAATGTGAGAGGCATTTCAGTGTTTCCTTCTCAGATTATTTCTTAGCTGAGTTCCTTGTTATTTATCAGGAATTTGAAGATTCTTTAGATAAATTTTATAGCTTACTTTATTGATTAGGTTGTGTCAAGGTTTCATCTGTAATAGTGAAAAGAATTCTCTGCCTAACTCAAAAAGTTACATTATCATCTTAACAATTTTTTATTTGTGGTTGACACAAGTTTTTACACATTAATAAAGGATTGTTTGTGCTTTTGTTATGAATTATTAATTTTTTTGACAATTTTTTTGAAAGAAATACTTGAACAAGTAAACAGAAAACAATTGATGCCTTTTTATTGATGAGTCTTTTTAGAGGGGCCAGGGAGACTACATAGAAGAAATCTAGTATAGAATTTCAGTTAAGCCATGTGAAAATTATTTTCTAGGTAATGTACTGTGTACTCTAAAAAATAACTGGGCTTGTTTTATACTCTTTTTTTGTATCTTGAAGTTAGTTACTAGTTCAAATATATTTCTTCTTCTAATTTTAAGTAAAAACATCAAGTGTTTGCATGCTGTTACTAAATTACATTTAATGGAAACCAAAGTCCTAGTAACGTGAAAATAAATTTTTAAAAAAGGATTAGGTTGGATTTTATTTTTTAAAAAAAAGTTAACTACCTTCTTAGCAATTTGATGATTCATTAAAAGATCATTTATTTTATTATAATTAGGCTTTTATTTTAAAATGATCTCTATAGCATGCTTATTGATCTTAGTGTTTAAATATTTTTAGCAACTTTTCAGTGTTTGACTTATGCAGTATGCTTTGATTCTAAAGGCTTTATTTATACTTCTAGAGAAAGTAAAACTCATTTTTTTAACTTGCTGAAGATAAGGTTATTTTTCATAGTTCTTTTTGTGAATTGGTGCTTGGGTACATACTAAATTGCCTTATTAAATTGTAATCATATATAACTTATAAGAAACCTCAGAGATTGTCTATTCCTCTTCCTATCCAATATAGAAATCCTGTCTAAAATTTTCATTCTTTATCTGAGAACTTTTTTCTGTCCTTACGAGGAAGTTCATGACTTACTTTTCTTTTTCCTTTCAGATTTTGATATAAACCATTCTTTTTTTTTTTTTTTGAGACAGAGTTTCACTCTTTTTGCCCAGGCTGGAGTGCAATGGCACGATCTCGGCTCACTGCAACCTCCACCTCCCGGGTTCAAGCAATTCTCCTGCCTCAGCCTCCCTAGTAGCTGGGATTACAGGCACCTGCCACCGTTCCTGGCTAATTTTTTGTATTTTTGGTAGAGACGGGGTTTCACCATGTTGGCCAGGATGATCTCGAGTTCTTGACCTCGTGATCCACCCGCCTCGGCCTCCCAAAGTGCTGGGATTACAGGTGTGAGCCACCACCCCCAGCCAGATAAACCATTCTCGAATTAAATAGCAAGGCTCTGGTTAAATACTTTCATCCTGGCCTTCGTGGAAGGAACTTTATCTTTTGACAGGGTCTCAGAATTCATTCTTCGTCAATGATATATGAGTAGATGTTAAATAAATATTTGTTAAAGCTATAAACGAAAGGAGGGAGAGAAAGATCATACATCACAGTCCTTGTTTCAGATAAGTTATTCCCATACACATTATCACTTCTTTCCATGTATAGAGATAAAATCTCCTACATGGGTTTGCATTGTCATTTTTCTGCCAATGCCTTCGTGGTTAATAAAGCTACATTGCATGTTATCTTTTCCATGTGTATTAGCAAAATTCATTATTAATTAGTGTATTTAATGTCATCTTTCTGCCATGTTATATATGTGTGCTCTGGAAACATATAATACCTCTTCATCATTCAAGTAAAATCTATATTAAACTTAAAATTCCAATGAGAAGAAGTTGCATTACTTCCCAATTTCAGAAACAGTTCTACCCCTTCTTTGTTCTCTCTCCTCCCTGTTTCCCAAAACTCTTGGAACTGTGTTGTGCTGAGATAATTTGTAGCAGTTGATACTGTTCTAATTGGAGTTTGTCTGTCATTTTAAATAGTTCTCTTAGGTAGCTTAAATTGTATTTCCTAGAAAATTGTATTCCTATCCAGCCAGTGATCCTGTCTAATAAGCAAGAGTAATGATCTCCAAATAGGTTGGATGTACCCTAGGTGATATATAGGATAATCCTTTCATGGTCAGGAAGAAATATTTGAATGTTTAAAAATTTTTACTTTATTATTTTTGGTTTCTGTTTTAGTATATTTCCCAATATGGACAATATATTAGTATAACAGTATGGTAACACATGTACAGAGATATACAACGAAAAAGAACATGAAAACCTCTGAGCTGGCAATGCCATTTATTGGGATGGTTATCTTGCATTTTCAACCCACATTGTGGTGACTAGCTCACATAGAAATAAATGTACAGTGTTTTAAAATACCAGATGTATGTCAAATAAATATGAATTTCTTATATTTAAAAAAGTATCTTTATAAAAAATAAATTATCATTGGTCATTAGCTAGAACTTTATAGATAAGAAGTTGTGAATATCACAATTTACTCATCTTTTTGTAACATGACTTCTGTAGTTTAAGTGAATAGTATATGTAATGTTACTGGTTAATTATCATTTAGAAGATTTTCAATAGGGTGATATTTTAAAAAAATTATAGAGTTAAGATTCTCAAGTCTGGTTTTATTTAGATTTTGAGAAATATTCAGTTTTCAATAATATGTCATGGAAAAAATTTAACATTTATTGAAACATTGCTATTATTGTCATACCTATAAAGTGTGATATAGTATACACCTTAAAATTTTCATAATAATTTTAAAGGTTATAACATTTGCAATGTATGATAATTTTATGGTAAAACTTCACCTGACTTGTCTCCTGAGAAATTTTAAATTAAAAAATTTTAGGACAAAACTTATAGTTCTATGTAAGTTCATAATTCATTGTTTTTTTCCATAGTGATAAAAACAAGAGAAGAACTAAAACAGTAAAGAAAACATTGGAACCCAAATGGAACCAAACATTCATTTATTCTCCAGTCCACCGAAGAGAATTTCGGGAACGAATGCTAGAGATTACCCTTTGGGATCAAGCTCGTGTTCGAGAGGAAGAAAGTGAATTCTTAGGCGAGGTATCTGGAGTTGTTTTAAAGTTTATGCTATTCATGTTATCCTGAATACTTTTATTTATATAACTGTCAGTATAATTTCATTTGTAGAATAGGCCAGGCATGGTGGCTCATGCCTGTAATCTCAGCACTTTGGGAGGCCGAGGGGGGCGGATCACGAGGTCAGAAGATTGAGACCATCCTGGCTAACATGGTGAAACCCCGTCTCTACTACAGATACAAAAATAAATTAGCCGGGCATGGTGGTGGGCGCCTGTAGTCCCAGCTACTCGGGAGGCTGAGGCAGGAGAATGGCGTGAGCCCGGGAGGCAGAGGTTGCAGTGAGCCGAGATCGCGCCACTGCACTCCAGTCTGGGTGACAGAGCGAGACTCTGTCTCAAAAAAAAAATAATTAAAGATAAATAAATAAATAAATAAATAAATAATAGATGTAGAATATCTGCAAAGGTAGGCACAATTTCTTTAATGGAATGTATTTCAGCTGCTGCTTTAGGACAAAAGTTGATACTATAGAAAACAGTGGTTCTACGTATTCTGACAGTTTTTACATGTCAGTTCTTATTTTAGAACTCTCAGTGTTGAATGATAAAAGGTTTGTATTTCACAAATATATTGCTTTGTTTTATAGTGATATGTATATATCTTGGTAGTTTACTGAACAGACTGTACCACTAATAAGTAGTTAAACCATTTATTTATGAATTATTTTCAAGCCCTACAATGTAACAGGCACTGTGCTATAGACTGAGCGTTCAAAGGTAAATAAGGAGTGTTACTTACTTCAAGGAATTTACAATTCATTGGTGATACAGACACATGAATAGCAATTAGAATATAACATGCCAATTGATATGAAGAGGAAAATGCAATAGGAATACGTAATTGCTGTGCAGAGGAGGGCAGGTGGTCAAAGGAAGTCTTCACAAAGAGAGAGGAATTTAGCAAATTCAAGGGGAGTGAAATTCCTGAAGAGGAAATAAGAAGGCATCAGGGTGAGGAGATCTTGGTCAATTGCATTGAAATTGGAAGGGAATATGGTAAGAAATGAGGTTTGAGACTTAAACTGAGACCAGGGCATGTCCCTTAATATATAAACAAATTTGGATTTATCTGGTCGATAATAGGAACCAATGACTAATAACCAATTATCTCTTTCCCTTCTCTATGGAGTCTTGCTTTGTCACAGTGGCACAGTCATAGCTCACTGCTGCCTCAAGCTCTTGGGCTCAAGTAATTCTTCTGCCTCAGCTTCCCAAGTAGCTGGGGCTACAGGCACCCACCCCCATGCCCAGCTAATTTTGTTTTTTTGTAGGGATGGGGTCTCATCATCTTGCCCAGTCTCATATTTTCTTTAAAAAGAAAATGGTTCGATTGTACTTGAGAAAAGTATTTCCAGCTGTAATGTGGAGAATGATTGAAGAGGGGCAAGATGGGAAGCAATTATCCAGCTATTAGCATGCTAAGTTACTCACTTTCAGCTTTTTTCAGTGTGGTTGGTATATTAATTCATTTTCACGCTGCTGATAAAGACATACCCGAGACTGGGAAGAAAAAGGGATTTAATGTACTTACAGTTCACATGGCAGAAGGCAAGGAGGAGCAAGTCACGTCTTACATGGATGGTGGCAGGCAAAGAGAGAGAGAGATTGTGCAGGGGAACTCCTCTTTATAAAACCATCAGATCTCGTGAGATTTATTCACTATGAGGAGAACAGCATGAGAAAGACCCACCCCCATAATTTGATTACCTCCCACTGGGTCCTTCCCACGACACATGGGAATTGTGGAAATTACAATTCAAGAGGAGATTTGGGTGGGGACACAGCCAAACCATATCATTCCATTCTGTCCCCTCCCAAATCTCATGTCGTCACATTTCAAAACCAATCATGCCTTCCCAATAGTCTCCAAAGTCTTAACTCAGAATTAACTCAAAAGTCCAGAGTCCAGAGTCCAAAGTCCAAAGTCTCATCTGAGACAAGGTAAGTCCTTTCTGCCTATGAGACTGTGTAATCAAAAGCAAGTTAGTTACTTCCTAGATACAATGGGGGTACACGCATTGGGTAAATACAGCCATTACAAATAGGAGAAATTGCCCAAAACAAAGCCCCATGCAAGTCTGAAATCCAGTGAGGCTGTCAAATCTTAAAACTCTAAAATAATCTCCTTTGACTCCATGTCTCACATCCAGGTCACGCTGATGCAAGAGGTGGGTTCCCATGGTCTTGGGCAGCTCTACCCCTGTGGCTTTGCAGAGTATAACCCCCCTCCTGGCTGCTTTCATGGGCTGGCGCTGAGTGTCTGTTGGTTTCCCAGGTGCACAGTGCAAGCTGTAGATGGATCTACCATTCTGGGGTCTGGAGGTTGGTGGCCATCTTCTCACAGCTCCACTAGGTGGTGCCCCAGTAGGGACTCTGTACCGGGGCTCTGACCCCACATTTCCCTTCTGCACTGCCCTAGCAGAGGTTCTCCATGAGAGCCCCACCCCAGCAACAAACTTTTACCTGGACATCCAGGCATTTCCATACATCCTCTGAAATCTAGGCAGAGGTTCCCAAATCCCAATTCTTGACTTCTGTGCACCTGCAGGCTCAACACCATGTGGAAGCTGCCAAGCTTGGGCTTGCACCCTCTGACGCCATGGCCCAAGCTGTAGCTTGGCTCCTTCTTGTCACAGCTGGAGCAACTGGGATGCACATCACCAAGTCCCTATACTTGGTGTCACAGCACAGGGACCGTGGGGCCAGCCCACAAAACCATTTCTTCTTCCTAGGCCTCCAGGCCTGTGATGGGAGGGGCTGCCGTGAAGACCTCTGACATGCCCTGGAGACATTTTCCACATTGCGGATAGGCGATTAACATTTGGCCCCTCATTACTTATGCAAATTTCTGCAGCTGGCTTGAATTTTTCCTCAGAAAATGGGATTTTCTTTTCTATCGCATTGTCAGGATACAAGTTTTCCAAACTTTTATGCTCTGCTTCCCTTATAAAACTAAATGCCTTTAACAGAACCCAAGTCACATCTTGAATGCTTTGCTGCTTCAACATTTGTTCCACCAGATAGCCTAAATCATCTCCCTCAAGTTCAAAATTCCACAAATCTCTAGGGCAGGGGTAAAGTGCCACCAGTCTCTTTGCTAAAACATAACAAGAATCACCTTTGCTGCAGTTCCCAAAAAATTCCTCCTTTCCATATGAGAATAACTCAGCCTGGACTTTATTGTCCATATAGCTATCAGCATTTTGGGCAAAGTCATTCAACAAGTCTCTAGGAAGTTCCAAACTTTCCTACATTTTCCTGTCTTCTGAGCCCTCCAAACTGTTCCAACCCCTGCCCATTACCCAGTTCCAAAGCACTTCCACATTTTCAGGTATTTTTTTTAGCAGTGTCTCACTGTACTAGTACCAATTTATTGTATTAGTTCGTTTTCATGCTGCTGATAAAGACATTCTTGAGACTGGGAAGAAAAAGAGTTTTAACAGACTTACAGTTCCACATGACTGGGGAGGCCTCACAGTCATGGTGGAAGGCAAGGAGGAGCAAGTCATGTCTTACATGGATGGCAGCAGGCAAAGAGAGAGAGAACTTGTGCAGGAGAACTCCTCTATAAAACAATCAGATCTTGTGAGATTTATTCATTATGATGAGAGCAGCACGAGAAAGACCCACCTCCATTATTCAATTACCTCCCACTGGGTCTCTCCCATGACACAAGGGTATTGTGGGAGTTAAAATTCAAGATGAGATTTGGGTGGGAACACAACCAAACTATATCAGTTTTTTTTTTCTGAGTAAATTAAATGGTAATCTCATGGGAAAAACAACAATCTGTAGAAATATTGAAGTGAATGTTGTCAGCTAAGGAACCAAAGAGTGGTAAAACTAAAAACCCTTCTGTATTTCCAGCACTTTGGGAGGCCGAGGGGGGCAGATCACCTGAGGTCAGGAGTTCGAGACCAGCCTGACCAGTGTGGCAAAAACCTGTCTCTACTAAAAATACAAAAATTAGCTGGGCACAGTGGTGGGCTCCTGTAATTCCAACTACTTGGGAGTCTGAGGCAAGAGAATCACTTGAGCCCGGGAGGCGGAGCTTGCAGTGAGCCAGGATCGTGCCACTGCACTCCAGCCTGGGCGACAGAGTGAGACTCCATCTCAAAAAAAAAAAAAAAAAGCTAAAATCCCTTGTGTGACCTTTGGGAGGAAGGGTCACACAGTTGTTAGGAGCAGAGATTCTGGAGCTAGCTGCCTGGGTTTATATTCCTGGCACTACCACTTCTTAGCCTTGTGTCTTTGAACAAGTTATTTAACCCATCTGTGCTTCAGTTTCTTCTTCAGCCAAGTAGGAATAATACTAGTATGCAACTCAGGGTTAATATGAGAATTAAATAAGTGTGTTGTATTGTGTGTTTGTAATCCTTTCGAACACAGTACCTATAATTTTGAAAATGACTAGAGAAAATTTAGGAAGAATGAAACAACTCCAGGCATGGTGGCTCACACTTGTAATACCAATCCTTTGGGAAGCGGAGACAGGGGGATAGCTTGAGACCAGGAGTCCAAGACCAGCCTGGGTAACACAGCAAGAACCCCATGTCTAAAAATAAATAAAAAAAGAAATTAGCCAGGCATGGTGGTGCATACAGTAGTGCCAGCTACTCAGGAGGCTGAGGTGGGAGAATTGCTTTACCCTAGGAGTTTGAGGCTGCAGTTAGCTGTGATTGCACCCCTGCACTCCAGCCTGGGTGACATAGCAAGACCCTGTCTCAAAAACAAAAAATAAAGAATGAAATATTAACTTGGCTGTATTGCTTCTTTACCTCCCTTAGATAAATAGTAATTTATCTTTATGTGGCAGTTCTTGTAAACACAAAGCACAAACACTGTCACTTGCACAACCTCCTAAAAAAAATAGACATTCATTTCTACAGACTTACATTTTGGGTAAATTTTAAAAATATTCCTATTATAAAATTTATATTATAATATGGTTCATATTTAAAATCCGTTCTTGTTTTTTTCTTTTCTTGTTTTAAATCTTTAGCAGGATAGTATGATAAATACAGAATTTTAAATAAGACAGGCTGATTCAGTTTACACCTCTTTCACTTACAAGCTGGTGTGACCTTAGACAAGTTCTTTTAACCTTTGTTAGCCTTGGTACTTTTGCTTATGAAAATTAAACAATAAGACGAAGCTAGTAATTTTTTAATAATTATGACAGAGAATATGGCACGGTTCTTAATACACAGTAGGCACTTCAATTGTAAGAGTTAATTTTTTTTAACTTTTAAGTTCAGGGATACATGTGGAGGTTTGTTACATGGGTAAACATGTTTCATGGGGTTTGTTGTGCAGATTATTTCATTACCGAGGTATTAAGCTTAATACCAATTAGTATTTTTCCTGATACTTTCCCTCCTCCTACCCTCTACCCTCCGGTAGGCCCCAGTACGTGTTATTTGCCTCTGTGGGTCCATGTGTTTCTCATCATTTAGCTCCCACTTAAAAGTGAGAATGCGTGGTATTTGGTTTTTTGTTCACACATTAGTTTGCTAAGGATAATGGCCTCCAGCTCCATCCATGTCCCTGCAAAGAACATGATCTTGTTCTTTTTTATGGCTGCTTAGTATTCCATGGTGTATATGTACCATATTTTCTTTATCCAGTCGTCACTGATGGCCATTTAGGTTGACTCTAAATAAAAATGCTTTTTAAATTCTAAAATGATATACAAATATTAGTTATTATTACAGTCATTTAAAATGAAAAGTGTTATTTTTGTAATGGTAAATTTGATAGACTCTAGTAGTGGGTAGTCAAGGGTCAACAAAATAAATGTCTTAGATATTTAAAACTATTAAATCACTAAGAAGTTATAAAAGTTTATTTTTTGTCAAGAACATATTGACAATTTTGCAACGTCTAAATGACCTTGTTTTTCATGTAATAGCATTACTATTATAATTATTACTACAAAAGTTATAGGACCATTTAACATAATTTCTTTATTATTGGTATATTATAACCGTCCTTTGTCTCTTGGGTTTGTAGATTTTAATTGAATTAGAAACAGCATTATTAGATGATGAGCCACATTGGTACAAACTTCAGACGCATGATGTCTCTTCATTGCCACTTCCCCACCCTTCTCCATATATGCCACGAAGACAGCTCCATGGAGAGAGCCCAACACGGAGGTTGCAAAGTAAGTTTTACTAAAATTCTTTCATATTTTTATTGTATTTTCCTAATCTTGAGTGATGTATGTGATAAAGAACTTGAAGATATCTTTGTGAATATTAATAGTCATTTGTTAGTGTTTCCATAGCTATGAATTGTTTGAAAACAATTGTTTGAAGCTTTTGAATTGTTTGAAACACTAAAATAAGGTTGTACCCATAGCATTCACCTATCACAATGTTGAAGTGGTTTATATTTGTATTTTGGATGATATGACACCAAATAAGCATATTTACATTTAAATCTTAGTGCTTAGAATCCTAAATATAGGAATAAGATGGCTAATATGAGTTTAGCCACATAGTTGTATACACAAAATTATCATTTCCTCCTTTATTATTCTAGGTATTTTATGAATATGTAGTATACCAAGTATACTATAGTGGTTGAAACCATGAACTTTAATTCCAGACTACCCTGAGTTTAAATATTAATTCTTACACTTTAGAACTGTATGTCTTGTGGCAGATCCTCTCTCTATGCCTCACTTTCTTTGTTTATAAAAGGGAAATAGTAATACCTGCATTACAGGGTAGTTATAAGAATTAATTAGTCTCAATAATATAAACTGATGTTATTATTACTATTGTTATTATCATCTACCTGCACATTTTGCCCTGGATTTTACAGTCTGAAATATGAAATAGAATTACATCACTCCATAGATGCTTAAAATAAACTCAGAAATATTTTCCAGATTGAATAATGACATTGTAGGCTTTTCGCCCCTAAAACTCAGGTCATTATTTTTCTAATGAATCTACTATTGGAGACTGAGGTGTATGCATACTGTTTTGCATAGTATTCATGGGGTAGTTATATCTTTACGGAGACAGCATGCTCCAGTTTTAGCAACATTTTGTCAAGTGCTGCAGGACTGATTGACATTAACCAAATTTTAGAAGTATAAATTTATAAACACAAATGCCATGTCATTTATTAATCATGGGAAGTATAGCTGGTAACTTAACAAATGAGTATTGTGTATATGGATCACACCCTTCTGCTGAATAGAAGAATACATTATATATGTTAGAAGTCTGCTTGATTAGTAGAGAATTAGAGGTAAGGATTGATCTTATGGGATACTTAGTAGTCATAGGAAAGCCTAGAGAATTATTTTCACTCCTTTTTAAAATAACCTCTCTAATTACTGGAATTTTATTTCCACTTAATACAGTCTTGTACCTTTGGATGGTATTAATTGAGCACTAATTCTACAGTGTCAATGTCTTTCAGCCTCCCCACATAGTAAACACCCATACACTTCTATTTTCAAATGTCATTACGACATCCTTTGTTGTAATAATTACATTACAATGAATTGTATGTAAATTAATTTTATTCTTTGTGACCATTGTATCTATTCAGTACTTTCTCTCTGAATTACAGTGTAGGATGGTGGGTTATTACATGATGATTACTACTGTATGTACCAACCTAATATATTTTATGTACTAATTCTTAAAGTTTATAGGCTGCTAACACTTGCCAGCATCTTCTTTTCATTCGGGACTGGCCTTCAGTTTTTATTGCAATAGGTAATAGATTGAGGACTCTGAATACCTGAAACGCTTAAATCTACCAACATTTTTCATTTTTTTCCCCACACTACTTAGGGATAGTGGATATGAGAAACAATGAGATTAGAGTACTGGTTAGCTGTATGTGTCATGGATTTTCATGGAATTATTATAATTTATCTTGTAGCTTTTAATATTTTCACATCCCCATATGATCTTTCTGGTATTTAGTAATAGTATTAAACTTACCCATGGGTAATATAATGGCTGCATGTAGTACCATGTCAGTCTTGTCACTATCAACTAACCTCTAATAAATAATTTATTAATGATATGTAAGCCTGAAGATAAGTAAAAACATGTGCATACACATAAAAGAAAGAAACAAGAACTAGGAAATAACATTTATGAATAGATAGAAAGCTAAAAACAACATTACCTTTGGCTAATTAGGCTAATAGGATGTATTAGTCATAATGGAAGGTACAAGTCAGAATATGAATAAATAAATCTACTAATATGTTATAAACTCCTTTGATGACAAGAACCTCCTTAAGGGTTTTTCTTCATCCAGTGGATAAATATTGCATTTAATTTTAAGTATATGTATCATATTTCAAAGATCGTGATCATATTTGATAGAACATACAGATGAACAGTTATCATTAAAAGTGTGTAATTCCCCTTTGGGGAATTACATTGGAATACAATGAACAACTCTATGCCAAAAAGTTAAACAACATTACAGAAACTGATCCATAAAAAGCTAAAAATCTGAATAAACCTGTAATAAGTAAAGAAGTTGAATTAATGAATTGATAATGAAAAAATCTTCCCACAAAGAAAAACCTAGGCTTCATTCTTGAATTCTTTTAAACCTAAGAAAAGAAACACTAATGTTTCTCAAATTCCTTGATAAGAAAGAGAAAGGGAATACCCACCAAATCATTCTATAAGGCCAGTATTTTCCTCATACCAAAGTCAGACAAACACATTAAAAGAAAAGAAAACTACAGACCAATATTCCTCATGAACATACACACAGACATCTTCAACAAACTATTAATAAATCGAATCCAACAGTGTATACAAAAGATTATACACCATAACCAAAAGGGATTTATCCTAGTAATGTAGAGTTGATTTATTATCCAAAAGTCAATTAATATAATTCAACATATTAACAGAAAAAAGAACAAAAACCACATGAATATATGAAAATATGAAGATAAAGCTTTGGCAGAATTCAATGCTCATTCACAATTAAAAAAAAAAAAAAGTGAATGGTCATAGAAGAGAACACAGTAGGCCTAGAAGAGAACCCTCCACAAAGTAGGCATAGAAGAGAACTTTCTGATGAAGACCACCTATGAACACCCTTTAGATGACAAACCGTATTTCATGGTAATAAATGCTTTCCCTCTAATATTGATAACTAGGAAAGGATGTCTCTTCTTATCACTTCTATTCAGCAGTGCACTAGAGATTGTAGTTAGGACAGTCAGGCAAGAAAAATACATAAAAGGCATTCAGAATGGTGAGGGAGAAGAGAGAGAAACTGCCTTTATTCACAGATGACGTGATTCTATATGTAGAAAATTCTAAAGAACCCACACAAAAACTACTAGAACTAATAAACAAGGAGAGCAAGGTCCCGAGATACATGAACAATATACTAGAATCTATTCATTAACATTTTAATACTGAAATTAAGAAAACATTTTTGACCAGGTGCAGTGGCTCATGCCTGTAATCCCAGCACTTTGGGAGGCTGAGGCAGGCAGATCACTTGAAGTCAGGAGTTTGAGACCAGCCTGGCCAACATGGTGAAACCCCATCTTTACTAACAGTAGAAAAATTAGCCTGGCGTGGTGGCAGGCGCCTGTAATCACAGCTACTCAGGAAGCTGAAGCAGGATAATCGCTTGAACTTGGGAGGCAGAAGTTGCAGTGAGCCAAAATCATGCCACTGCACTCCAGCCTGGGTGAGAGAGCGAGACTCCATCTCAAAACAAACAAATGAAAAACAAAAACAAAACAACAAAAAAATAAGAATGAATTAAATTTTACAAAAGATGTTCAAACTCGTACAATAAAAAATCACAAAACATTGTTCAGAGAAATGAAAAAGAGATATAAATAAATGGAGATGTATTCCACATGCATGAATTAGAACACCCAGTATTATTAAGATGGTAGCTCTTCCCCCAATTAGTCTACAGATTAAACCCAATTCCTATCAAAATCTAAGCAGGATATTTTGCTGAAATTAGTAAGCAGATTCTAGCCTTTATATGCAAAAGTATAAGATCCAGAGCAGCCAAAACAAATCTGGAAGATGTATATTTCCTCATTTCCATACTTATTGTACAGCTACAGTAATTGCAGTGGTGTAATACTGACATAATGATAGACCTATAGATAAATTGAACCTAATTTAGAATTAAAAATTATATTCATGGTCAGTTGATTCTCAACAAAGGATCCAAAGCAAATCAATGGGGGGGAATAGTTTTTTGTTGTTGTTGTCTTTTTACTAATAATGCTGTAACAATTTAATATCCACATACAAAATAGTTAATTTAGACCTGACCTCACACTATACACAAAAATTAACTTAAAATGGATAATAGACCCAGCTGTAAGAGTTAAGACTATAAAAGTCTTCAAAGAAAACATAGGAGAAAAATCTTCATTCCTTTGGGTTAGGCAGAGTTTTCCCCAAAACACCACCAAAAGCTTGATCAATAAAAAATAATACATTGGACTGCATCAAAATTTAAAATATTTGCTTTTCAAGACATCATTAAGAAGATTTTTTTAAAGCCTCAGGCTGGGAGAAAATACAGTCATGTGGCAGCTAATGACCAGGTTACTTTCTGAGAAATGTGCCATTAAACATTGTCATCATTGTATGAACATCATAGAGTGCACTTACACAAGCCTAGGTGGTGTAGCCTACTATACACCTCAGCAATGTGTTATAATCTGTTGCTTGTAGGCTACAAACCTGTACGAGCATGTTACTGTGCTGAATACTATAAGCAATTGTAACGCAATGATAAGTATTTGTTTATCTAAACGTATGTAAATATAGAAAAGGTACAGTCAAAATATGGTATAAAAGATTAAAAAATGATATACGTGAATAGGGTACTTATCATGAGTGGAGCTTGCAGGACTGGAAGTTGTTCAGGGTGAGTCAATGAGCAACTTGGTAAGTTAATGCAAAGGCCTAGGACATTACTGTATACTATAGTAGACTTTATAAACATCGAACACTTAGGCTACACTTTATTTATTAAAAAAGTAATTATACTGTGACATTGTGATGGCTATGACATCAATAGGGAATTTTTCAGCTCCATCATAATTGTATGGGACCGCTATCTTATATACAGTTAGTTGTTTACTGAAACATCATTATACAGCACATAATGTTTATTTGTGAGTCATATATTTGACAGAGGACTTGCATCCATGATATATAAGGAGCCCTTAAAATGCAATAATAATAAGATAATAGTGCTGTCAAAAAGTGGGCAAATACTTGATAGTTATTTGAAAGATTAAAATATATGGATCACAAATAAGGCCATGAAAAGCTGCCCAACATCGTTAGTTATTAGTGAAATGCAAGTTATGCCACAATTACATTACTTAACACCCACTAGAATGAATGTAATAAAAAAGAAAGATGATAACAAATTTTTGCAAGAATGTGGAGAAATTGGAACCCTCATCCATTTGCTGATGTAAATGTGAAATGGTACAACCACTTTGGAAAACAGTTTGGTCTTTGTTAAAAAGTTAAAAATAAATTTACCGTATGACCACTAATTCACCTTCAAGAGAAATGAAAGTGAATGTTCACTGAAAGACTTGTACGTGAATGTTCACAGCAGCATTATTCACAATGATTAAAAGGTAGAAATAGTCCAAATATTCATCAACCTGTGAATGGATAATAAAATGTGGTATATCCTCACAATTGATTTCTATATATAACAAGAAAGAAGATACGGCTACATACTACAATATAGTCAAACCTCAAAAATATTATGCTAAATGCTGAATGAAAGATGATACATGCAAAAGGCCATGTGTTCTATGATTCTACTTATATAACATATATAGAAGTGACAAATCTATTGAGACAGATTAAGTTAGCAGTTGGCTGGAAGTAGCAATAGACACTGACTGAAAATGGGTGTGAACAATCTTTTGGGGGTGAAGGAGATATTCCAACATTAGATTGTAGTGATGTATACACAAATTTTAGAATTTACTGAAAATTTCTGAACTGTATACTTAAAACAAATATTTATGTTATATAAATTATACCTCAATTTTAGTCAAAGCCAGGCATGATGGCTCACACCTGTAATCTCAGCCTCTTTGGGAGGCTGAGGTGGGAGAATTGATTGAGCCCGAGAGTTCGAGACCAACCTGTACAACATAATGAGACCCCATTTTTACAAAAAAAAAAAATAATTAGCCGGGTTCAGTGGCATGCACCTGCAGTTCCAGCTACTTGAGAGGATGAGGTGGTAAGATGGCTTGAGCCTGGGAGGTCGAGGCTGCAGTGAGCCATGATCACACCACTACACTCCAGCCTGGGCAACAGAGTGAGACTCTGTCAAAAAAAAAAAAAAAAAAAAAAAGGGAAAGGGAAAGGGAAAGGGAAAGGGAAGGAAAGGGAGAAGAGAAGAGAAAAGAAAATGCAGTAATAAAACTACAGAATAGATACAATCTCAATTACAGTAAGAGATTTTAGTACTCCGCTGTCAATGTTTGTAGAACAAATAGAAGGCTTGAAGGTTTTATCTGACATTTACAAAACATTCTACAAGTCAGAAAACACCTTCTCTCCAAGTTCATTGAGAACATTCACTAAGGTAGACCTTAGTCCTGCCCAAACAAGTATCGATAAGTTTAAAAGTACTCAAGTCAAAGTTTGTTATCTGATCACGATAGAAATAAATTAGAAATCAATAACAGAAAATCTCTGGACAAGCTTGAAATATTTATAAATGAAATAACACTTCTAAATAGCCATGAATCAAAGGAGAAGTTAAACAGGAAATTAAAAATTATTTTGAACTGAATGAAATGAACACCTAATGTATCGATATTCATGGGATACAACTAAAGCAGAACAGTAGGGAAATGTATAGCATTAAAGACTTATATTATTAATACCAAAAAAATTCTCAAATCAGTGACATGTTTTCACCTTAACAAACGTCAAAAAGAAGAACAAAATAGACTCAAATTAAGTAGAAGAAAGGGAATAAAAGTCAAAATAGAAATAAGTGAAATAAAGACAGAAAGTCAATTGAGAAAGTAAATCGAACCAAAGGTTGGATCTATGAAATTATCAATATAATTGATAAGCCTTTAGGCAAAATGATCAGCAAAGAAAGAAGACAAATTATCAATATCTGGAAAAAGGTGATATCAGTACACATTCTACAAATATTAAAAAGACAGTAAGGGAAAATTGTGAACAACTTGATGCAAATACATTTGACAACCTAGGTGAAATAGAAAATTTCCTTGAAACACACAAACTTGAGTCTCTCCCAAGAAGAAAGAAATAACTTGAGTAGCCCAATATCTATTTGAGAAATGGAATTTGTAGCTAAAAATTTTCCCTCAAAAAAAATTTCAGGCCCAGATGACTTTATCAATAAAGTCTGCCTAACATGTAAGGGTGATAAAATACCAATTCTTTACAAACTCTTGCAGAATATTATAACGTTGGGAATACCATCCAGCTCATTTTATGAAACAAACATTACTCTAATACCAACAACTAACATATTAAAAGAAATCTGCAGACCAATAAACCTCATGAAAATTTTAGCAAATTTAGCATATTAAATTTAGAAATATTTTGCAAAATAAAAATACAGAAAATTGAATCCACAATACATAAAAGGGATAATATATCATGACCAAATGTTTTTTATACCACGGATGCAATGTTTAACATTTGAAAAACAGAATGTGACTCACCATATTAAACTAAAAAAGAAAAAAATTATATCATAATCTCAAGAGATCATCTCAAGAAAGAGCATTTGATAAAATCCAATGTTCATCCCTGTAAAAGACCCTAAGCAAAGTAGGATAGAAAGGAACTTCCTCAATCCAATAAAGAACATGTATCAAACCCTACAGCTAAATCATATTGGTAAAAGACTGCATTCTTTCCTCCCAAGGTCACAAATGAGAAATGATGTCTGCCCTCCCAGCTGTTATTGAAAGTTGTAATTGTGATTCTAGCTTGTATCATAAGGCAAGAAAAATCAAATGCATCCAGATTGAAAAAGAAGTAAAAGGGTGCTTATTTGCATACATGTTCATTCATATAGAAAGTCAAATGGGATCTATACAAAAACTATTATAAGAAGTGAATCTATCAAGGTTACTGGATATAAGATCAAGATACAATATCAATTATTTCTATGTACCAGCAATAAACAATTGAAAATTGAAAAATACAGTGCCACATCAAAAAGTCAATTCACCACAATCAAGTATTCTTTATCCCTGGGATGCAAGATTGGTTCAACATGCACAAATCAATAAATGTGATTCATCACATAATCAAAACTAAATACAAAAATCACATAATCATTTCAATAGATGCAGAAGTGGCTTTCAATAACATTCCACGTTTCTTCATGTTTAAAACTCTCAATAAACTAGGCATTGAAGGAACATACTTCAAAATAATGAGAGCCACCTATGACAAACCCATAGCCAACTTCATAGTGAATGGGCAAAAGCTGGAAGCATTTCCCTTGAAAACTGGCACAATTGCTGGCAAGATGACCGAATAGGAACACCTCTGGTTTGCAGCTCCCAGCGAGATCGACGCAGAAGGCGGGTGATTTCTGCATTTCCAACTGAGGTACCCAGTTCATCTCATTGGGACTGCTTGGAAGTGGGTGCAGCCTAAGGTGGGCAAGCCAAAGCAGGATGGGGCGTTGCCTCACCCAGGAAGTGCAAGGGGTTGGAGAACTCCCTTTCCCAGCCAAGGGAACCCATTAGGGACTGTACCTTGGACTCTGGCCCAGATACTGTGCTTTTCCCATGGTCTTCACATCCCGCAGACCAGGAGATTCACTGCAGTGCCCATGCTACCAGGGCCCTGGGTTTCCAGCACAAAACTAGGTAGCCATTTGGGCAGACACTGAGCTAGCCACAGGAGTTTTGCTTTTCATACTCCAGTGGCACCCAGAATGCCAGCAAGACAGAACCATTCACTCTCCTGGAAAGTGGGCTGAAGCCAGGGAGCCAAGTGGTCTGGCTCAGCGGATCCCACCTCAATGGAGCCCAGCAAGCTAAGATACACTGTCTTGAAATTCTTGCTGCTTGCACAGCAGTCTGAGTTCTACCTGGGACGCTTGAGCTTGGTGTGGGGAGTTGCATCCACCATTGCTGAGCCTTGAGTAGGCGGTTTCGACCTCACAGTGTAAACAAAGCGGCCAGGAAGTTTGAACTGGGTGGAGCCCACCACAGCTCAGCAAGGCCACTGTGGCCAGACTGCCTCCGCAGATTCCCTCCTCCCTGGGAAGGGCATCTCTGAAAAAAAGGCAGCAGCCCCAGTCAGGGACTTACGGATAAAACCTTCACCTCCCTGGGACAGAGCACCTGGGGGAAGGAGCGGTTGGGGGCGCAGCTTCAGCAGACTTAAACGTTCCTGCCTGGCAGCTCAGCTCTGAAGAGAGGAGCAGATCTCCCAGCACAGTGTTTGAGCTCCGATAAGGGACAGACTGCCTCCTCAAGTGGGTCCCTGACCCCCATGTATCCTGACTAGGAGACACCTCCCAGTAGGAGCTGACAGACACCTCATACAGGAGAACTCTGGCTGGCATCTGGTGGGTGCCCCTCTGGGACAAAGCTTCCAGAGGAAGGAACAGGCATCAATCTTCGCTGATCTGCAGCCTCTGCTGGTGACACCCAGGCAAACAGGGTATGCAGCAGACCTCTAGCAAACTCCAGCAGACCTGCAGCAGAGGAGCCTGACTGTTGGAAGGAAACCGACAAACAGAAAGGAATAGTATTAACATCAACAAAAAGGACGTCCACTCAGAGACCCCATCTGAAGGTCACTGACTTCAAAGACCAAAGATAGATAAATCCATGAAGATGGGGGAGAAACCAGTGCAAAAAGGCTGAAAATTCCAAAAACCAGAACGCTTCTTCTCCTTCAAAGGATCACAACTCCTTGCCAGCAAGGGAACTAAACTGGATAGAGAATGAGTTTGACGAATTGACAGAAGTCGACTTCAGAAAGTGGGTAATAACAAACTCCTCCAAGCTAAAGGAACATGTCCTCACCCACTGCAAGGAAGCTAAGAACCTTGAAAAAAGGTTAGACGAATTGCTAACTAGAATAACCAGTTTAGAGAAGAACATAAATGACCTGATGGAGCTGAAAAACACATCATGAGCATTTTGTGAAGCATACATGAGTATGATTAGCTGAATTTATCAAGTGGAAGAAAGGATATCAGAGATTGAAGATCAACTCAATGAAATAAAACAAGATTAAAGGAAAAAGAGTGAAAAATGAACAAAGACTCCAAGAAGTATGGGATGATGTTAAAAGACCAAATCTATGTTTGATTGGTGTACCTGAAAGTGACGGGAGAACAGAACCAAGTTGGAAAACACTCTTCAGGATATTATCCAGGAGAACTTCCCCAGCCTGGCAAGGCAGGCCAACATTCAAATTCGGAAATACAAACAACATCACAAAGATACTCCTTGAGAAGAGCAACCCCAAGGCACATAATTGTCAGATTCACCAAGGTTGAAATGAAGGAAAAACTGTTAAGGGCAGCCAGAGAGAAAGGGCGAGTTACCCACAAAGGGAAGCCCATCAGAGTAACAGTGGCTATCTCGGCAGAAACCCTGCAAGCCAGAAGAGAGTGGGGGCCAATATTCAACATTCTTAAAGAAAGGATTTTTCAAGCCAGATTTTCATATCCAGCCAAACTAAGCTTCATAAGTGAAGCAGAAATAAAATCCTTTGCAGACAAGGAAATGCTGAGAGATTTTGTCACCACCAGGCCTGTCCTACGAGAGCTCCTGAAGGAATCACTAAACATGGAAAGGAACAACCGATACCAGCCACTGCAAAAACACACCAAATTGTAAAGACCATCGACATTATGAAGAAACTGCATAAACTCATGGGCAAGATAACCCATTAGGGTCATAATGGCAGGATCAAATTCACACATAACAATATTAACCTTAAATGTAAAACAGGCTAAATGCCCCAGTTAAAAGACACAGACTGGCAAATTGGATAAAGAGTCAAGACCCATCAGTGTGCTGTATTCAGGAGACCCATCTCATGTGCAGAGACACATATAGGCTCAAAATAAAGGGATGGAGGAAGATCTACCAAGCAGATGGAAAGCAAAAAAAAAGCAGGGGTTGCAATCCTAGTCTCTGATGAAACAGACTTTAAACCAACAAAGATCAAAAGAGACAAAGAAGGCCATTACATAATGGTAAAGGGTTCAATGCAACAAGAAGAGCTAACTATTCTAACAATATATGCATCCAATACCAGAGCACCCAGATTCATAAAGCAAGTTCTTAGAGACCTACAAAGAGACTTATACTCCCACACAATAATAGTGGGAGACTTTAACACCCCACTGTCAACATTAGACAGATCAACGAGACAGAAAATTAACAAGGATATTCAGGACTTGAACCCAACTCTGACCAAGCGGCCTAATAGACATCTACAGAACTCTCCACCCCACATCAACAGAATATACATTCTTCTCAGCACCACATCACACTTATTCTAAAATTGACCACCTAATTGGAAGTAAAACACTCCTCAGCAAATGCAAGAGAACGGAAATCATAACAAACAGTCTCTCAGACCACAGTGCAATCAAATTAGAATTCAGGATTAAGAAACTCACTCAAAACCACACAACTACATGGAAACTGAACAACCTGCTCCTGAATGACTACTGGGTAAATAACGAAATGAAGGCAGAAATAAAGATGTTCTTTGAAACCAATGAGAGCAAAGACACAACGTACCAGAATTTCTGAGACACATTTAAAGCAGTGTGTAGAGGGAAATTTATAGCACTAAATGCCCACAAGAGAAAGCAGGAAAGATCTAAAATTTACACCCTAACATCGCAATTAAAAGAACTAGAGAAGCAAGAGCAAACAAATCCAAAAGCTAGCAGAAGACAAGAAATAACTGAGATCGGAGCAGAACTGAAGGAGACAGAGACACGAAAAAACATTCAAAAAAATCAACAAATCCAGGAGCTGGTTTTTTGAAAAGACAAACAAAACAGACTACTAGCCAGACTAATAAACAAGAAAATAGAGAAGAATAAAATAGATGCAGTAAAAAATGATAAAGGGGATATCACTACCAATCCCACAGAAATACAAAGTACCATCAGAGAATACTATAAACACCTCAATGCAAACAAACTAGAAAATCTAGAATAAATGGATAAATTCCTGGGCACATACACCCTCCCAAGACTAACCTAGAAGAAGTCAAATCCCTGAATAGACCAATAACAAGTTCTGAAATTGAGGCAGCAATTAATAGCCTACCCAATCAAAAAAAGTCCAGGACCAAATGGATTCACAGCCAAATTCTACCAGAGGTACAAAGAGGAGCTGGTACCATTCCTTCTGAAACTACCCCAAACAGTAGAAAAAGAGGGAATCCTCCTTAACTCATTTTATGGGGCCAGCATCATCCCGATAACAAAACCTGGCAGAGACACAACAAAAAAAGACAATTTCAGGCCAATATCCCTGATGAACATCAATGTGAAAATCCTCAGTAAAATACTGACAAACTGAATCCAGCAGCACATCAAGAAGGTTGTCCACCACAATCAAGTTGGATTCATCCCTGGGATTCAAGGCTGGTTCAACATACCCATATCAATAAACATAATCCATCACATAAACAGAACCAATGATAAAAACCACATGATTATCTCAATAGATGCAGAAAAGGCCTTAAACAAAATTCAACACCCCTTCATGCTAAAAAGTCTCAATAAACTAGGCACTGATGGAACATATCTCAAAATAATACAAGCAATTTGTGACAAACCCACAGCCAATATCATACTGAATTGTCAAAAACTGGAAGCATTCCCTTTGAAAACTGGCACAAGACAAGGATGCCCTCTCTCACCACTCCTATTCAAGGTAGTATTGGAAGTTCTGGCCAGGGCAATCAGGCAAGAGAAAGAAACAAAGGGTACTCAAGTAGGAAAAAGAGAAGTCAGATTATCTCTGTTTGCAGATGACATGATTGTGTATTTAGAAAACCCCATCATGTCAGCCCAAAATCTCCTTAAGCTAATAAGCAACTTCAGCAAAGTCTCAGGATACAAAATCAATGTGCAAAAATCACAAGCATTCCTATACACTAATAACAGACAAACATAGAGCCAAATGATGAGTGAAATCCCATTCACAATTGCTACAAAGAGAAAAAAGATACGTAGGAATCCAACTTACAAGGGATGTGAAGGACCTCTTCAAGGAGAACTACAAACCACTGCTCAAGGAAGTAAGAGAGGACACAAACAAATGGAAAAACATTCCATGCTCATGGATAGGAAGAACCAAAACTCAAAATGGCCATACTGCCCAAAGTAATTTATACATTTAATGCTATCCCAATCAAGCTACCATTGACTTTCTTCACAGAATTGGAAAAAACTACTTTAAATTTCATATGGAACCAAAAAAGAGTCCACATAGCCAAGACAACCATAAGCAGAAAGAACAAAGCTGGAGGCACCACGCTACCTGACTTCAAACTACACTGCAGGGCTACAGTAACCAAAAGAGCATGGCACTGGTACCAAAACAGATATATAGACCAATGGGACAGAACAGAAGCCTCAGAAATAATGCCACACATCTACAACCATCTGATCTTTGACAAACCTGACAAAAACAAGCAATGGGAAAAGGATTCCCTATATAATAAATAGTGTTCAGAAAAGTGGCTAGCCATATGCAGAAAGCTGAAACTAGATCCTTTCCTGACACCTTATACAAAAATTAACTCAAGATGGATTAAAGACTTAAACATAAGACCTAAAACCATAAAAACCCTAGAATAAAACCTACACAATACCATTCAGGACATTGGCATGGGCAAAGACTTCATGACTAAAACACCAAAAGCAATGGCAACAAAAGCCAAAATAGACAAATAGGATCTGACTAAACTAAAGGGCTTCTGCACAGCAAAAGAAGCTATCATCAGAGTGAACAGGCAACCTACAGAATGGGAGAAAACTTTTGCAATCTGTCCATTTGTCAAAGGGCTAATATCCAGAATCTACAAAGAACTTAAACAGATTTACAAGAAAAAAACAAACAAATGCATCAAAAAGTGGAGGAAGGATATAAACAGACACTTATCAAAAGAATACATTTATGTGGCCAACAAACATATAAAAAAACTCATTATCACTGGTAATTAGGGAAATGTAAATCAAAACCACAGTAAGGTACCATCTCATGCCAGTTAGAATGGCGATCATTAAAAAGTAAGGAAATAACAGATGCTGGAGAGGATATCGAGAAATAGGAACGCTTTTACACTGTTTGTGGGAGTGTAAATTAGTTCAACCATTGTGGAAGACAGTGTGACAATTCCTCAAGGATCTAGAACTAGAAATACCACTTGACCCAGCAATCCCATTACTGGTTATATACCCAAAGGATTATGAATCATTCTAATGTAAGGACACATGTACATGTATGTTTATTGCAGCACTGTTCACAATAGCAAAGACTTGGAACCAACCCAAATGCTCATCAATGAATCAATGATAGACTGGATAAAGAAAATGTGGCACATACACACCATGGAATACTATGCAGCCATAAAAAGGATGAGTTCATGTCCTTTGCAGGGACATGGATGGCATTGGAAACCATCATTCTCAGTAAACTAACACAAGAACAGAAAATGAAACACCGCATGTTCTCATTCATAACTGGGAGTTAAACATTGAGAACACATAGACACAGGGAGGGGAACCTCACACAGCGGGGCCTGTTGGGGAGTGAGGGGCTAGAGGAGGGATAGCATTAGGAGAAATACCTTATGTAGTTGATGGTTTGATGGATGCCACAAACCACCATGGCATGTGTATACCTATGTAACAAACCTGCACGTTGTTCACATGTACCCCAGAACTTAAAGTGTAATAATAAAAAAAGAAGACATGCATGCGGCCAACAAGCATATAAAATAAGCTCAATATCACTAATCATTAGGGCAATGCAAATCAAAACTACAATGAGATACCATCGCACACCAGACAAAATGGCTATCATTAAAAAGTCAAAGAATAACAGATGCTGGCAAGGTTGTGGAGAAAAGGGAACACTTACACATTGTTGGTGGGAGTGTAAATTAGTTCAACTGTTGTGTAAAGCAGTATGGTGATTCCTCATAGAGCTAAATGTAGAACTACCATTTGACCCAGCAATCCCATTACTGGGTATATTCCCAGGTGAATATAAATCATTCTACCATAATGACACATGCATGTGAATGTTCTTTGTAGCACTATTCGCAATAGCAAAGACATGGAATTAACCTAGATGCCCATCAATGACAGATTGGATAAAGAAAATGTGGTACATATACACCATAGAATACTATGACGCCATAAAAAAGAACAACATCATGTCTTTAGCAGGAACATGGATGGAACTGTAAGGCCATTATACTTAGCAAACTAATGCAGGAACAGAAGACCAAATACCACATGTTCTCACTTGAAAGTGGGAGCTAAATAAAGAAAACTCATGAACACAAGGAAAGGAACAACAGACCCTGGGGTCTACTTGAGGGTGGAGGGTGGGAGGATAGAAAGGAGCAGAAAACATAACTGTTAGATACTGAGCTTAATACCTGGGTGATGAAATATTCTGTAAAACAAACTCTCGGGACACGAGTTGACCTATGTAACAAACCTTCACATATACCTTCAAACCTAAAATAAAAGTTTAAAAAAGAATAAATGAGCTTGAAAAAATGCTATTCATAAAGAAAAGAAAATAGAACTTGATCTTTTTCTTGCACCATGTACAAAAAACTAAACTCTAGGTGGATTAATGACTGAAATATAATTTAAGCCTCAGTGAGGAAGCCAAAGCATTTAGTGCTGAAGTACTACCAAATAAGATATTTATTTTAAAGATTAAACTTTACAAAGTGGTGGGAGAAACTGGGAATTGTTTTAGGAAGGTTGTAAGACAATGGTTGAGGAGTCTGAGAAAAGTCACTTGCCAAAGACCACGAAGAGGAGCTAGTGAAAAAGTCTGTGAAAGTCTGTTGCCTGTTCATATAGTAGTGATTCTGGAAGTCTCTGTGGGACAGAAGGATAGACTGGTTAGGAAAAACGCATCCAAAAAGGAAAATCAAAGAAAACTAGAACCCATGCAGACAAACTGGAACCTGTGTTTATCTCTCATCCCCTTGCACCCTGATTTTGTGGGCCATCTACAGAAGCAACTGCAACTGATGTCCTTGTCATGAATCTCCAGGTGTGCTTAGCTCAGGTCTGGGAGAAGATTCAAAAAGGGTATTTATCAGGATCAGAGAAGCATCTAAAATCCTAGACTTTGGTTTTATCACACCTGTATTAAAAACCAGAAGGAAGTGAAAGAGAAATTGCAAAATTACAATTATAGTGACAATATCTCAAAAATGCACACACAGACAAATGTATATGGATTATTATTTTTTATTTTTTGTATCATAAATAGGGACATGTTATTACTATTTTTATACTCTGCTTTCTGTCTGCTTTTAATCTCTATTGTTTTAGTGGTTACTTTTGAAATATTAACATGCATACCTAAAAAAGTAATTTTTTTTTTTTGAGATGGAATCGCACTCTGTCACCCAGGCTGTAGTGCAGTGGCGTGATCTTGGCTCACTGCAACCTCCGCCTCCTGCCTCAACCTCCCTAGTAGCTGGGACTACAGGTGCATGCCGCCATGCCTGACTAATATTTTTTTTCTTTTTTTATTTTTTTGTATTTTAGTAGAGATGGGGTTTTACTATGTTGCCCAGGCTGGTCTCGAATGCCTAAGCTCAGTCAGTCTGCCTGCCTCAGCTTCCCAGAGTGCTAGGATTACAGGCGTGAGCCACCGTGTATCTCTACCTTTTCTTCCAAACCATATACAATTTTGCAATTTGATAAGCACCCTCTTCCCTATCATCTAACATATTACAGAATTGTACCTTTGGCTTCCTCACTGAGGCTCAAATTATATTTCAGTCTTTAAAGCAGTGTGTAGAGGGAAATTTATAGCACTAAATGCCCACAAGAGAAAGCAGAAAAGATCTAAAATTGACACCCTAACATCACAATTAAAAGAACTAGAGAAGCAAGAGCAAACACATTCAAAAGCTAGCAGAAGGCAAGAAATAGCTAAGATCAGAGCAGAACTGAAGGAGATAGAGACACAAAAAACCCGTCAAAAAATCAATGAATCCAGGAGCTGGATTTTTTTAAAAGATCGACAAAATTGATAGACCGCTAGCAAGACTAATAAAGAATTCTGTTGTGTGGGGTGTGTCTGTTCCTGAAACACATGGAGGTGAAAACAAATTAAAAACAAATAACAACGTTTGTTTTTATATGCAATAATTTCATATATAAGCGTGTAGTCACAATCTACTTTAGTCCTCAAAGCTCTGGTTGATTCAATTTGATGCTATTTTTGCCACAGTAAGATTCACATTTAAAAATTTTGCTATAGATTTGTTATGTGAGGAAAAACACAAACATGGTGCTCTTGAATTGTAATAACTATGAGTGCCTTTCCTAGTCTATTTCTTAGAAAACATAACAAAACTCACAATTTTGATGTATTAGTATTGTGGATGACTTTTTTCTTATTGTCTTTTCAAAGCAATAGACAAATAGCTAAACTACATAGTTTTTTTAAAAAGGATATTTAAGATGTCTTAAGTGAGTTTGCTTTTCTGAATTATACTTTCTCTCCATGAGCATGAAAAATAAGGAACTGACTATATTCAATGTATTGGTGATGCATATTAGAAAAAGACACATTCATGCATTTGAATATAACACATTGTGTTTTGAAATTTATCTGGTCTTAAGTGTCTTTGTCCATAAGCATCTAAAATTAACTTGACTTATCTATTTTCTAATAGATTTTATCAGTGTTGGATAACTTACACATATTATTTAGTATTTAATGTTATTTTAAGCTTTAAACCATTTAGGAACTTTATCTTATACATCTGCAGAATAATAATTGTATAAATTGTTAACTCCTCATCACCCATATCCTCACGTCATGAAATGCATGTGAAAATAAATGACAAAAAGCTCATAAGGACTTTTCTTCTGTACATATTTTTTGTTATTAACTGATTCACTCAGAATATTTTCGTTTGTTTTTCAGGTGTTTGAGGAATTTTCTTCCTTAGAGAATCAGAATTTTTAATTATTGCTATTGTTTACTTTATAGGGTCAAAGAGAATAAGTGATAGTGAAGTCTCTGACTATGACTGTGATGATGGAATTGGTGTAGTATCAGGTAAGAATTTTAGAATTATTTTATAGTATTAAAAAGGGAGTGCAATTCATCATCATTTACCATAAAAGTAAATAAATAAAAGAGAAAGATATAACTCGTCTTCTCACCCTCCAAAACAGCCTATGGCAACCTATGACAACTTAAACCCCTGAGTAATCCCAATTGCTGGAACACCTGTACCAATTAGATTGGATAGTCTTGAAAGATACCAGATACGTAGATGTCAATAAATTTTCTATTTTAAGACAATAATAAGGATTTTACAATAAATTGGAGGAGTTCTTGCATAATCAGACTTTTTTATACTGCACTAATATGGTGGAAAAAAGATGAAATCTTTTTTATGTAACCACCATATCTAAATATGTCAAATGTTTAAATGGGAGTTTTTGAAACTTTAAAATTGTTTTTATATGAAGTATCATGTACAGCTACGTTTTGAAATTATAGTATTGTAGTTTAAAATATTTGCCTCATTTTAAAGTTAGAAACTTATCCAATGGTTTAATATTTTAGGTAAGTATATATCTTTTCTGCAAGTTCTGATGACAATGTTTACATGTAATACCTTTAATATTGTAAAATAAAGTATTCTATTCCTTTTGAAGGTTAAATAACCTAATAGATTTCATAATTATGACTAATTTTACTCTAAACAAAATGTATGCAAGGCATGCCACAGTTGCATTAGTGATTGATAACAATATTTTTTTGCCAATTTTTGTTAAGAGTCAGTTAGCATGCCTTTATCAGTGTACCACTTTTTAAAAACTCAATGATTATTTTTTCCCTTTCTTTGTACTAAGGGTGAACAATATAAGACTACAAAAATACTCTTCATGTATTGTGGTTTAGAAGAGCTAAAACTCATAAAGTAGTTTTGAGAAATATTTCTCATGATTGCTTTCTTGGAGATCATTAATTTTTTTTTCTATTTGTATTCTATTCCTTTGTTATTTGACTATTCCATTTCTTATCTTTTGTAAATATCTAGTCCATTAGGTTTTCTTCTTCCAAATTCTTTCCATTCAGATCGTTCATCTTGATGCCATTTTTGGATGTTTCTGTCCTTTCATTTTCTGTTTTCAAGATGACAGAAATATTTCTTTATTTAATATGATCATTTTAAGTTTTTCCCTCCTATAAAAGGAGTTGTATCTTTTGAAAAAGTTGTATATTTTTTCATTTATTTGGGTTAATAGTCTCTGGAATAATTTTCTGGCACTACAGAATTGTGTTTAGAAACCCTACCCCACTCAAAGTGCTTACTCTGGATTCATTAAGTTTCTTCATATGAAAAACATTCTTTCCTATCTGGACATTATTGTTCTTATTATTTTGCCAGTCAGAAACTGTCTGGTGAATCGTTTAATAAGACACTGAAAAGACTGCCATGAAATATACTATATTTTGCTACTTTGAAATCCAATGCGATTTTGAGAAATAGATTTTTCGTAATATACTACACTTTATTTTTTATTGATTGATTGATTGATTGATTGGTTTTTGAGACTGGGTCTCACTCTGTTGCCCAGGCTGGAGTGCAGTAGTGCAATCACAGCTCACTGCATCCTCAACTTCCCCAGGCTCATTTGACCCTCTCAGCTCAGCTTCCCCAGTAGCTGGGACTACAGGTGCACACTACCTAGTGTGTGTACTAACTAGGGTTACTAACTAGGGCACGATACCTATTGAGTGTACTAACTAGGACTAACTAATCCCTTATTTTTTCTAAACCCAGCTAAATTTTGGATATGCTACACTTTAACAATACCTTTAGTACTCAAAAATTAGGATGATGGTATTGTAGTTTCTGAAATTATGGTATATGTAGTTTTTTTTCATAACCCATCACTTTAGTAAATGCTGTAGGAATTACATTTACATAAGACTTATGATCACCAAGACTTAAATATATATTAGTTCTGTTAAATATTTTCCTTACATTTCCTCTTTATAGCCTTTTCATTTTACAACTCCAATATTAAAACTAGTTTTAATAGAGAATAAATTTTTTAATCAATAGCTTATCAAATAATTTAAGGACCACCAGATAAAATAAATAATATATTTTCTGGGTAAAGCAACTCAGATGTGAAATGCAATGTATACATATACAAAATGCGCACCCCTACCTCTCTTAATAATATTTAAACACATAGTATGAGTCAACAAACCAGCAAAATCTATTGATAGTTTGTTGCTTATATGCAGAGATTTCTTTCCAATTGCACATTGAATAAAGTCAAATTCAGAGTATCAATTACAATCATTCATAATAAACCTGAACTATCAAAACTGTTCTTAAGTAGGAACTGTTTCGACTAACTTATTCAGTTTTTCTAAGCTTGCAAGGCAGATGTCTTGAATATTAACTATGCCAGAAGTAATATTTTCTATGTGTTTTTTTAAATTTTAGGGCAGCATTAGGTTTATAGCAAAATTGAGAGGAAGGTATACAGATTTCCCATATGTCTTCCTACCCCAACACATTCATAGCCTCTCCCATTATCAACCTCCTCCACCAAACTGGTATGTTTGTTACAACTGATGAACCTACTTTGACACATCATAATCACCCATGGTCCATAGTTTACATTGGGGCTCACTCTTGGTGTCAAATATTCATTGGATTTGGACAAATTGATAATGACATGTATCCATCATTATATTATCATGCAGAATATTTCCACTACCTTAAAAATTCATCTTTCCCTTTCTCCTAACCCCTGGCAATTATTGATCTTCTTACTGTCTCCATAGTTTTGCCTTTTCCAGAATGTCACATAGTTGGAATCATACAGTTTGTAGCCTTTCAGATAGGCATCTTTCACTTAGTAATATGCTTTGTCTTTTCATGGTTTGATAGCTCATTTATTTTTAGTGCTGAATAATATTCCATTGTCTGGATATACCACAGTTTGTTTATTGATTCATCTGCTGAAGGACATCTTGGTTGCTTCTGAGTTTTGGCAATTATAAATAAAGCTGCTATAAACATCTGTGTGCAGGTTTTTGTGTGGACATGTTTTCAACTCCTTTTCGCAAACGCCAACCAGCACAATTGCTGGATCGTATGCTAAGAGTATAGTTTTGTTAGAAAGTTCCAAAACGTCTGTACCATTTTGCATTCCCACCAGCAATGAATGAGAGTTCCTGTTGAATGAGAGCTCCTGTTGTTCCACATCTTGCCAGCATTTGGTGTTGTCAGTGTTCTGACCATTCCAATAGGTGTATAGTGGTATCTTGTTGTTTTTATTTGCATTTCCCTGATGACATATGAGGTTGAACATCTTTTCATATGCTTATTTGCCATCTGTTTAATTTCTTTGGTGATGTGTCTGCTCAGGTCTTTGGCCCATTATTTTTTAATTGGGTTGTTTGTTTTCTTATTGTTGAGTTTTAAGAGTTCTCTGTATATTTTGGACAACAGTCCTTTATAAAATGTGTCTTTTACACATATTTTCTCTCTTCTGTGGCTTCTTAAAGCAGGGATTGTCTTGACATTGTCTTTTGCAGAGCAGTTTTAATTTCATTGAAATTCAGGTTATTAATCATTTCTTTCATCAATCATGCCTATGGTGTTATATCTAAAAATTTATTGCCATACCCAAGGTTATCTATGATTTCTCCTATGTTATCTTCTAGGAGTTTTATTATTTTGCATTTTATATTTACATATCTGATGCATTTTTGAAGAGTGTAATGTCTGTGTCTAGGTTCCCTATTTTGCATGTGGACATCCAATTGTTCCAGCACCATTTGTTGAAAAGACCATCATTGCTCCATTGTATTGCCTTTGCTTTTATGTTGCCAGAGATCAGTTCAATATATGTATATCAGTTTATTTCTAGGCTGTCTATATGTTCCATTGATTTATTTGTCTATTCGTTGACCAAAGAGTACCACAGTGTCCTGATTACTGTAGTTTCATAGTAAGTATTGAAAAGTCAGGGTCAATTCTCCAACTTCATTCTTCTCCTTCAATACTGTGTTGAATCTTCTGTCTTTTACTTCTCCATATGAGGTCTGGAATCTGGTTATCAGACTCCACAAATTGATATGCTGAGAAGTTGATTGAGATTGCTTTGAATCTGTAGGTCAAGTTGGGAAGATTGGACATCTTGACAATATTGAGTATTCCTTTATATGGAATATCTATTTATTTAGTTCTTTTTTATTTCATTCATCAGAGTTTTGTTGTTTTTCTCATGTAGATCTTATACATATTTTGTTAGATTATACCTAAGTATTTCGTTGTTGGGAATTGCTAATGTAAATGGTGTTGCATTTTTAATTTCACTTGTTCATTGTTGATATATGGGAAAGTTATTGACTTTGGAATATTAACCTTATATCCTACAACATTTCTATAATCACTTATTAGTTCCTGGAGCTTTTTGTTTCTTTGTTTCAATTCTTTTGGGTTTTTACATAGACAATCATGGCATCACAAAAAGAGTTTTATTTCTTTCTCCCTAATCTGTATGCATGTATTTTCTTTTCTTCCTTATTGAATTATCTAAGTACTTCCAGTACAGTGTTGAATACAAGTGGTGAGAGTGGACATCCTTACCTTGTTTCTGATCTCAGTGGGAAAGTTTTGAGCTTTTTTTAACTGGTAAATATGATGTTAGCTGTAGGTTTTTGGTAGATATTCTACATCAACTTGAGGAAGATCCCCCATATTCCTAGTGTACTGGGAGTTTTTAGTAAATTCAGGATGTTAGATTTTGTCAAACTGTCTTTTCTCCGTCTATTGATTTAGTCATGTGATTTTTTTTTATAGCCTGTTGATGTGGTGGATTACATTAATTGATTTTTGAATGTGGAAACAGCTTTGTGTATCCAAGATTAATCCCACTTATTGTGTATAATTCTTTTTATACATTGTTGGATTCAGTGTGCTAACATTACATTGATAATTTTTGCAGTAATGTTCATGAGAGATGTATTCTTTTCTTTTAATGTCTTTGTCTGGTTTTGATATTGAGGTAATACTGGCCTTATAAAATGAGTTAGAGAGTAGTCTCTCTGATTCTGTTCTCTGAAAGAGATTGTAGAAAAATTGAATAATTTCTTTCTTGTTTGGTAGAATTTACCAGTGAATCGATCTAAACTGTGTTGCTTTCCATTTTAGGAGGATATTAATTATTGATTCAATTTATTTAATAGATGTAGGCCTGTTCAGGTTATCTGTTTTTGTTTGAATTTGACATAACTGTGTCTTTCAAGGAATTGGTCCAGTTTCATCTACATTATCAAATTTGTGGGCATAGAGTTTTCATAATAGTCCTTTATTATCCTTTTAATGTCCGTGGGATCTGTAGTGATGTCCTCTTTTTCATTTCTGATATTAGTAATTTTTATACCCTGTTTCTCTTAATTAGCCTGTCTAGAGGCTAATTTGTTCTATTAATCTTTTTAAAGAACCAGATTCTGATTTTGTTGATTTTCTCTATTGATTTTCTGTTTTCAATTTTACTGACTCTAATTCTACTATTTATTTTGTAACTGCTTACTTTGCATTTAATTTGCTCTTCTTTTTCTAGATTCCTGAGGTAGAAATTTAGATGACTGATTTTAGGTATTGCTTTTTTTCTAATATACATATACATTCAGTACTATAAATTTTCTTCTAAGTACTGCTTTCACTGCATCCCACAAATTTTGTTGTTTTCATTTTTATTTATTTAAAGATATATTTAAATTTCCCTTGAGATTTTTTTCTTGACCCATGTGTTATTTAGAAATATATTATTGGGTTTTGCAGTTATCTTTCTGTTACTGCTTTCTAATTTATTTTCATTGTGGACTCAGAGCAGCATTGTATGTTTTAAAAAATTTGCTAAGGTGTGTTTTATGGCCCAGAATATGCTCTATTTTAGTGAATGGTTCCAGGTGAACTTGAGAAGAATGTATATGCTGCTAATTTTTGATGATGAAGTAGTCCATAAATGTTGATTATATTCAGTTGATGGTGTTTTTGAGTTCACTTATCTTCTTACTGATTTTCTGCCTGCTTGATCTGTTCTTGTTTTTTTTTTTTTTTTTTTTTTTTTTTTTTGAGATAGAGTTTCACTCTTGTTGCCCAGGCTGGAGTGCAACAGTGCGATCTTGGCTCACTGCAACCTCTGCCTCCCAGGTTCAAGGTTCAAGTGATTCTTCTGCCTCAGCCTCCTGAGTAGCTGGGATTACAGGCATGTGCCACTACATCTGGCTAATTTGTTTTGTATTTTTAGTAGAGACAGGATTTCTCCATGTTGGTCAGGCTGGTCTCAAACTCCTGACCCCACGTAATCCACCAGCCTCGGCCTCCCACAGTGCTGGGATTATGGGCATGAACCACCATGCCCAGCCTGTTTGTTTTGTTTTTTGAGACAGGGTCTGGCTCTGTCACCCAGGCTGGAATGCAGTGGTGCAATCTTGGCTCACTGCAACCTCTGCATCTCAGGCTCAAGCAGATCTGTTCATTTCTGATAGAGTGGTACGGTAATCTCCAACTATAATGGTGGATTCATCTATTTCTCTATGCACTTCTATTAGTTTTTGCCTGACATATTTTGATACTCTCTTGTTAGATGCATACACATTAAGAATTGTTATCTCTTCTTGAAGACTTGGCTCCTTTTTCTTTATAGAATGTCCTTCTTTATCCCTGATAACTTTTTTTTGCTGTGGTGTCAGCTTTGTCTAAAATTAGTGTACCTACTCCTGCTTTTTTTTTTTTTTTTTTTTGAGACAGAGTCTGGCTCTGTCACCTAGGCCCCAGGCTGCAATGCAGTGGCACAATCTCAGCTCACTGCAGACTCCACCTCCTGGGTTCAAGCAATTCTCTCACCTCAGCCTCCTGAGTAGCTGAGACTACAGGCACATGCCACCACATCTGGCTAATTTTTGTATTTTTAGTAGAGACAAGGTTTCACCATGTTGGCCAGGCTGGTCTCAAACTCCTGACCTTAGGTGATCTGCCCGCCTTAGCCTCCCAAAGTGCTGGGATTACAGGCATGGTGAGCCATCATGCCTGGCCTACTCCTAACTTCTTTTGATTAGTGTTACCATAGTACATTTTTTTCCATCCATTTAATTTATATGATTGTTTCCATTTAAAGTGGGTTTCTTATACAGTTGAGCCTCATTTTTTTAATCGAATCTGACAGTCTCTTTTAGTTAGTGCATGTAAATGAGTGACATTTAAAGTGATTATTGATATAGTGGGATTAATATCTACTGTTTTTGTTACCCTTATTCATTGTTTATTTTTGTCTTCTATTCTTTTTCAGTGTTTTTTTTTTAATTGAGCATTTCATATGATTCCTTCCTTCCTTCATATCATATGTCTTTCCTTCCTTGGCATATCAGTTATACTTCTTTTTCTTACCTTTTTTTTTGGGTAGGTACTCTAGAGTTTGTAGTATACATTTGCAATTCATGCAAGTCTGCTTTCAAGTAATACTTCATAGGTAATGTTATATCATATACTTAGAAAATCCCAATTTCTTCCTCCCACTTCTTGTATCATTGCTGTCATTCGACTTAAATTTAAGCATACATAATTGAATACATTGTTGCTATTATTACTTTGAATTAATTCTTATCTGTTAGATAAATTAAGAATAAGAAAAATACAAGCTTTTGATTTTACCTTCATTTATTCCTTTTTCAATGCTCTTTCTTTCTATATGTAGCTTTGAAATTCTGACCTATATCTTTTTCATTCTTTCTAAAAAAAAATTACTTTAATATTTCTTGTAATATTGTTCTACTGGCAACAAAATCCAAATTTTTGTTTGTCTGTGAAAGTCTTTCTTTCTCCTTCACTTTTGAAGGATAATTTCACAGGTCCTAGGATTCTAGGTTGGTGGTTTTTTTCTTCCAAGCCTTCAAATATTTCACTCCACTCTCTTCTTACTTGCATGGCTTCTCTAGAGAACTCATATGTAATTCTTATCTTTGTTCTATAGAGGAGGAGTGTTTTCTTCTTTTTCTCTGTCTTCTTTCAAGGGTTTTTCTTTTTTCTCTTTGTTGTTATTATTTTGCATTTGTCCTACTTGGTATTCTCTGAGCTCCCTAGATCTGTGGTCTGTGGCTTGGTTCCTGACATTAGTTTGGGGAAATTTTCAATCATTATTCTTTCAAATCTTTCTTCTGTTTCTTTCTCTTTTTCTTCTCTTTCTGGTATTCTCATTACAAATATGTTATACCTTGTGTAGTTGTCCCACAATTCTTGGATGTTCTTTTCTGTTATTTTTTCAGTCCTTGTTCTCTTTGCTTTTCAGTTTTTGAAGTTTTTATTCATATATCCTGAAGTTCAGAGATTCTTTTCTCAACCGTGTTCAGTCTACTAATAAGCCCATCAAAGGCATTCTTCATTTCTATTACAGGTATTTCTTTTGTCTCTGGCATTTCTTTTTAGCTCTTTCTTAGAATTTCTTTCTGCTTACATTGCTCATCTATTCCTGCAGGCTGTCCACTTTATTTATTAGAGCCCTTTGTATATTAATCATAGTGGTTTTAAATTCTCAGTCTTATAAATCCAGCATTCCTGCTATATCTGATTCTGACACTTGCTCTTTTTATCCAAATTGTGTTTTTTGCCTTTTGGTATGTAATTTTTTTCTTTCTTTTTTTTTAGACAGGGACTCGCTCAGTCGCCCAGGATGGAGGGCAGTGGCACGATCCCAACTCACTGCAACCTCTGCCTACTGGGCTCAAGTGAGTCCCCCAGCTTCAGCCTCCTTACTAGCTGGGACTATGGGTGTGCACCATCATGTCCAGTTTATTTTTGTATTTTTTAGTAGAGACAGGTTTTCTCCATGTTTCCCAGACAGGTCTTCAACTCCTGACCTCAAGTAATCCACCTGCCTTGGCCTCCCAAAATGCTGAGATTACAGGTGTGAGCCACTATCCCCAGCCTGTAGTTGTTTTTTCTTGATAATTTTTTTATTGATAGGCAGATATGATGTGCTGGTTAAAAGAAATTGCTGTAAATAGGCCTTTAGTAATGTGCTGGTAAGGTCGGGGAAGGGAAACATTCTATATTCCTATGATTAGGTCTCAGTCTTAGTGAGCCTCTGGATTGTGAAAATTTCAAGTGGTTCTCATTTTTTCCCTCCTCCCTTAGGTGGAACAAGATGGTTAGAGTGGGCTGGAAATGTTTTCTTTCTCCTGTGTGGAAAGCTAGAGTGGACTAGATTTGGGTATTTCCCTTCTCCCAGATTGGTTAGGCTTTGGTTAATTAGTTTCCCCTGAGGGAAAGTCTTGTTAAGAAAAGTAGGGCATTCTGGAGTATTTCAAAATGGTTCCTGTTTCCCTCTCCCTCTTGGAAGCATGAGGAGATTTTTCTTCAATATTTACTGTGGGAACCTGGTGGAGCTCCTGGAGGTGAGTCTCACAATATTGTAAGAGACCTCAATGACTGGGTTCCTGTGGAGTTTATAACTCTCAGACTTGTTCTTAACTGATCCTCTAGCAATTTGTCATTTGAAGGTCAAGTTTTCCTACTCTGGCACTGGTTCCCACACTGCTTTCCCCTCATAAGTATCTTCTCCATAAGCTGTGACTCCCTGTTTTTGCCTGTCTCTTCAATCTTGGGGGCAGTTGTTTGCCCTGTGTCATCCCTCTTTTACAGATCCAAGATAATTTGTCGCTTTTTCAGTCTGTTCAGCTTTTTATTTGTTGTTAGGACAGTGAAAACATTACAAGCTCCTTACAAACAGAAACAGAAACTAGAAGTTCCTCCATGTGCTCTTTATTTGGCTTATTCTGATACCAAGTCTTTAAGTCAGAGGTAACTTTGATATTTGCATTGTTAATGTTCTTTAAAGTAAGTTGAAACTTTGGTATGGAAATTTTTCTCAAGTAAGCAATTCTAGGCATGGAGTTTTCCCCCCCATAGTATACTGAGCAACAGGAATGGGAATGGTTATAAACCATTCCTTTTAACCTATTGATGCACTTCACAACTTGAATAAATAGACTATATATAGATAAAATATCAAACCTAGTCATGTACAATTTTAGAATTATTTTCTACTCTGACCTGAAACAATACACACAAATGTAAATAATTTATTTCCCATTGAAAATGTTGAGGGTTTAATTATGTCTTAATTTTGGACAGATGTTTGTTTATTTTTAATCTCCATGTGACTGCATAATTTGAGTTCTTGAATTAACTTCTCCTTTTCTCAGTGGTATCTCTTAAACTCAATAATCAGACTTCTTTTCTATCTATATATGTAATCTTTCCTTGGGTTACAATGATGATCTCTTTATAAATGACTTTCAAATGTTTAGCAACAATCCTAACATCTTTCTCAAGATTCTTTTCCACATATTTAATATTTGACCTACGCAACTGAAACTACCCTCATTTCCCCTTCTCCAAGCTAGTCAACCTTAATAAACTTTTCTTACTCTTATCTTAGTAGCATAGTTTTTTTTTTTTCTTTTTGAGACAGAGTCTTGCTCTGTCATCCTGGCTGGAGTGTAGTGGTGTGATCTCAGCTCACTGCAACCTCCACCTCCCGGGTTCAAGCAATGCGTCTGCCTCAGCCTCCCGAGTAGCTGGCATTACAGGCACATGCCACCATTCCCAGCTAATTTTTGTATTTTTAGTAGAGATGGGGTTTCACCATTTGGCCAGTCTGGTCTTGAACTCCTGACCTCAAGTGATCTTCCCACCTTGGCCTCCCAAAGTGCTGGGATTAGAGGTATGAGCCACCACAGCTGGCCAGTAGTATACTCTGACTTCCTAATAGGCTAACTTAAAAAGTTAAGGTGCATTAATTTTTGCTCTTTTTTTGCTTTTTCATCTAGTCACAAAATGTTACTGATTCATGTTGGCATGGCCTGAACTCTATTCTTGGATCTTTTCTCTATCTTACTCCTTCTCCTAGTGATCTCAAGTCCCATGTTTAAAGTCCCATGGCTTTAAATAGTTATCTATATGCTAAAACTCCCAAATGTATATCTCCAGTCAATTCTACTTATTTTTTCTTTAAATTCTTATAGTTTACTGCCCACCTGACATCTTCACTTGGAAATGTAGTAGGTATCTCCAGCTTAACATGTCCAAAACTAAACTTTTGATCTTTTCCACCAAACCATGTCATTTGATAACTTCATTATTTTACTTAAGTCAGAATTTTAGATTTGTTCTTGTCTCTTCTCTTTCTCTCATGTCCCTCAAATCTTTCACAAAATTGTCTTTATTGCTATTCCTTCAAAATATATCCACTTCTATAATCTCTGTTATTATCCTAGTTAAAGCTGCTGTTATTGCCTGTATGACTTACTACCTTGTCTAGCCTTAAGCAAAAGTTAAATCATGCACAATTTCTGCTTAAAACCCACGAATGGGTTAAAATCACTCAGATTAAATGCCACAATGTTTGCAATAATTTACAAGCGTCTACATAATCTTCCCCCTTCCCTCCAAATGTCTCCAATAGCTGTTCTTCATCACTTGCTCCACTCCAAGCACCCTATCCTCCTTGCTGTTCTGTGAACATGTGAGACGCACTGCTACCTTGGGGCCTTTTCACTTGTCTTAGAACCTTTCTCTCTGTGTTTATCAGCTTGGAAAACCATCTCATTCAATTCTTTCTGAAATGTCACCTTCTCAATTTGTGTTACCTAGTCTAACCACCCTATATAAAATTGCAAAATGCCCTCCTCTTCTGGCATTTTGATTTTCCTTTTTCTTGTTCTATTTTACTAAATGTATAGTATATATAGCCACTAGCTGTATGTGGTTATTTAAATGAATTTAAAATAAACATGTTTAAAATTTAGATTCTCATTAATACCATCCAGATTTCAAATGCTCAGTAGTCATGTGTCTAGTGGCTACCAAATTGGACAGCACTGATAGAAGAACATTCCATCATTTTAGAGTTCTATTGGACAATACTGTTCTAAGTTTTGTAAGAACAATTAATCTTCTTGCTGCAATCTCTCTATCCTTCAATATGAATTGTATACTGCTATCAGCTTCATTTTCCTAAAGTATTACTTCCATCATCAGAGCAGAATGTACTATTGGGACACAGTGAGAGCACTGGAGTCAGAAGTATCTTCTTTTAAGTCTCAACTGTGGTATTGACACTTAATTTAGATTTTTTTTACCTCTGTTTTCTCAAATGGAAATGGAGGTAATATCTTGGCAGAGTTGTTTTGTATTACATAATATATGTGTTCCTGAGGAAACCTTGTGCTGTGCATAATCATGGACTAAAAACAGCAGGGCTTCTGGGAAAGAAAGGTTAGGAAAGACCATTCAAAACCCATGCAGCTTTGAAAACTGAAGAGTAAAAAATAAAATAACACAATTAAAAAGTCATGTTAAATTTTATGCAATAAAAATATTTACTATATAATAGGAGTCTAAAATAAAATGAAGATATCTAGATGAAAGGAGTATATCTAGATGGAAAGAAGGATAAGTCTGCAAAGTTATGAACTCAAGGGGACTATCCACAAACATCAGTAAAGACCCACCAAGTACATATATCTAAGACAGAGTTTGTGACCAAAGAGCCAAGAGGAGGAACATGAGATTCTTGGGATGAATGAGCATTGTGTGCAGTTCTGTATTTCTCTGGTTTGCTGCATCCCGCTGTGTTAGTGAACTTTACATTCAACTGCAATTATTTGGAAGTTGTAGTGGACACTGTTGATGTTCCACCCATATCCTCTTTACCAGCTGGTTTACTCATCCTCAGTTATGGGGAGTGTTGGTTGTTAACAACTCACAGCTGTCCCTCTCTCTCTGGAGAATTGCCTGGTCAAATGGAAACCACCTCATCCATGAGGTTAAACACCTTGCTGACTCTCCACTGGCAGTCTTTAGCCAGTGAATGGCTAACACAGGAGTACAAAAATCCAGGCCTCTTACCTCAAAGTCAGACCAACCCTGGGCAATTGTTCATGTTTCAGAGCATACAGTTGGATCAGACTGAGAATACATCATTGCTTAGTTTCTTCCCTTTTTTCTTGCCCTATTCTGCTCTTCTCCTTCTTCCTGAGGGCACTACTTCACTTATTCATGTACAGGTGAATCCTTGTTTCTAGGGAATCTAATGTGAGTTAATATTGTAAAGTATTATCATGATAGGAAATATTACATATGAACAGTTGTTTTTCTGAGTTATTTCTGAAACGAATGTTGTAATGGAACACTTTTTTAAAGTGCATAGCAGAGTTCCTAGCACGTAGTAAAAGGTCAATTACTAATAGCCACAAAGAGTATGATGAAGATAATGGTGGTAGTGGTGATAATATTACTTCCTGCTCAGAAATTTTCAGGCTCTTTCCATTATCAACCTTATGATGTTTTAGATATCTACAACTTGAGTCAAACGTACTTTTCCTGCTCATTTCCCCACATTGAACTGTTGTTTTCCTACCAACTTAGAAGTCCTTCTACTTTCCTTCCATCTCTCCACATACCAGTTGCTTTCTGCTACTCTTTTAGATAGTATCTCTTCTAATATACTTTGTATAAATGTGTCAGATCATTGGGTTGTTACTCTCTTCTGATTTGTCATATTTTTATTCTCAGAATTCTACTGTATCTCAGCCCTGTCATATACTGTAAGAAAAATGATAGGTGCAGTGGCACGGGCCTGTAGTCCCAGCTACTTGGGAGACTGAGGTGGGAGGGTCATTTGAGGCTAGTCTAAGCAACATAGTGAGACCCCCATCTCATTTTTTAAAAAAAGCAAAAGCCGTTTACACATCTACTACAAAAGGTATTCAGCATGTTTTCTAAAACTTTTTATCACTGAAAAAAAAGATGTTAATGTTTAGGAGTTTTTATGAGCTTAATAATTTTAAATAATTGATAAGAATTATTTGAAGCTTTTCTAGGTCATTGAAGAGATGAAAATATTTTTAGAATAAATTTGAGTCTTCTATTGGAGATAATTAACTGTATGTAAAATTTTACTCTAAGTTTATATAAAAGCTTTACGCAGCACAATGCCTTGGATATAGTAACTGTCTAAATATTTGAATATCTGTCATTCCTTTTTAATTTCTGTTTTCATAAAATATTTTGTCTTAATATCATGGTTTATTCACTATACTTTATATTTAATATATTAGAAGTCTTTAAATTTCACCAACATTTTGTTTTTGAGTAAAGTAGAAGAGACGCAAAGGACTTTGTACATACATAACTATAATATTTATTAATTTTCTACCTTTAGATTATCGACATGATGGTCGAGATCTTCAAAGCTCAACATTATCAGTGCCAGAACAAGTAATGTCATCAAACCACTGTTCACCATCAGGGTCTCCTCATCGAGTAGATGTTATAGGAAGGACTAGATCATGGTCACCCAGTGTCCCTCCTCCACAAAGGTAAGATAGACTACTTATTTTATTTGTAGGGTGGCTGTATTAGTCAGTGTTCTCCAGAGGGACAAAACTAATAGGATATATGTATATACGAAAGGGAGTTTATTAGGGAGAATTGGCTCATATGATTATAAGACAAAGTCCCACCATAGAATTTCTGCAAGCTGGGGAAGGGAGAAGCCAGTAGTGGCTTAGTCCAAGTGTGAGTCCATTTTGAAAGGCTTAAAACCAGGGAAGCTGACAGGACAGGCTTCAGTCTGTGGTCAAAGGCCTGAGAGCCACCAGCAAGCCACTGGTGCAAGTTCCAGAGTCCAAAGGCCAAAGAACCTAGTGTTGGATGTCCAAGGGCAGGAAGAGTGAAAGGAATCATCCAGCACAGGAAAAAGAAAGAAGCCAGAAAACTTAGCAAGCAAGGTTATCCCACCTTCTTCACCCGCTTTGTTCCAGCTGCATTGGCAGCCGACTGGATGGTGGATTGGGTGAGTCTTCCTCTCCTAGTCCACATATTCAAATGTCAGTCTCCTCTGGCAACACCTTACAGACACATCTAGAAACAATACTTTACCAGCCTAGGCTTCCTTCATTCCATTCAAGTTGACACGTAATGTTAATCATCAAAATGGCATTACAGACCTATTTATCACATATCGGTAATAATCTCTAAAGATAAGAGATTCTTGTGGAAAAAGAATTTAAGGAAAGCAAGATGGTTTTGTTTATTTAAGGAAAAACAAAATGCTATTCAAGGAAAAACAAGATGCTATACAATAACCTATGTAACGAGAGTAAAATGAAACATGACTTGTTTTGTAATTTTAGACAACCTATATGTTATTTTATTGTAAGAGTTCAAAATAATTCAGAAGAACCAGTTTTCAATCACATATTGATATGAGTATATCTAGGTAGAACCAACTAATTATACTCATGAATGATATAGATAATCGGTAATTTAATATATAGGAAATAATGAAAATCTGACTGATATTTAAAATTAGTAACAAATATCAGAATACTAATTTTTTTCTTTTTCTTTTTCTTTTTCTTTTTTTTTTTTTTTTTTGAGACAGAGTCCTGCTCTGTCACCAGGCTGGAGTGCAGTGGTGCGATCTCGGCTCACTGCAACCTCCGCCTCCTGGGTTCAAGCGATTCCCCTGCCTCAGCCTCCCAAGTAGCTGGGATTACAAGCGCACACCACCATGCCTGGCTAATTTTTTGTATTTCAGTAGAGACGGGGTTTCACCATGTTGGCCAGGATGGTCTTGATCTCCTGACCTGGTGATCCGCCCACCTTGGCCTCCCAAAGTGCTGGGATTACAGGCGAGAATAATAATTTTTAAAAGCATGTGCAGTGGGAAGAATGGCTCAGAAAATCTGCAGCTACAGGTCTTAAGCTTACTGGAAATCTCTGATCAACCTGGTTAAGTACAGACAAGCTTAATGGAATAAGAATCACGGAAATAATAGTTGAAGCTAACAAGAAATATGTGCATAATTTACATTGTACATACTTGGAATGTTTAAGAAATTTTGACCAGTTAGAATGACACACTTATACATCCTATTTTAAATAAATGATTATTTGACTTAGAATTTTAATTGAGTCTTAATTTTACACAGAATATTGGAATGTCTAAGACAGCTTTAGATTTATTATGTTTGAAGGATATAAGACACTAAAATAAGATTTATGTAACTTAGACAATTGCAGAAATTAAACAATATCTGACATATTAAGTTGACAAACATGGTTTAAAGTGTTTGAAGATGTTGAATTAACAAAGTTTATAAATGGGACCAAAATTATTAAACATTTTTTAAAAGTACTTAAATGTGATACACTTATCAATAGAATAACGTGTAATCTGAAATTTAAAGTTTGAGAACTAGTTTTAAATTTGTAACTTTAATAAATTGAACCCTTCCCTCCTCTAGGAAAATAAAAGAATACCTATGTAAAAGGAAAAACCAAAATGTTTTTGTTCTTTGTACATTCTACTCAACACAGAACACCTCTGTGAACAGATTTGTGGGGATTTTTTCCCACACCAAGCGACTTGCCAGCAGAAAGCACCTGAGTATCCTGTAATTCAGTTCAATTCTGACACTGTAATCTGGAAATTGTATCAGATTTCACATTTTAAAGGGATAAAGGCTCAGTCCCACAAGGCTGTCCCCTATTTCAAATGCCAATTGCAAGTCCCAGATTGTGACCTATCCAGTTATAAATTGGAGTTTCCATAGCCCCTCTCCTTAGTTTGATAGTTTGCTTGGACAGCTCACAGAACTCAGTTAAACACTTTAATCATGTTTACCAGTTTATTATAAAAGATATTTTTAAAAATGCAGATGAAGAAATGCATAGGATGAGATTTGGGCAACCTGGAAACTCATCAAATCTTGTTCAAAAGTTTCTATGGAGTTTAATCTCCAGCCCTCAACCCTCTTTCTGTAGGTCAGTAGGTGGGGCTGAAAGTTCCAGCCCTGTAATCACCTGGTCCCTCTGTAGCTCTGTAGACTGGTCCTATCATGAGGATACCCAGGGGACCCACCCTTAGTAATCATTAGCATAAACTCAAAAGTTATCAGAGGTGATCAGTAACAAAAGACATTCTATCACTTAAGAAATTCCGATGGTTTTAGGAACTCAAGACAAAGACCAAATGTATTTCATATTATACCACACTTTACTTTTATCAGGGAAAGAACATTTGAACAGTCCAATAGAAGATAGGAATACATTTTAGATCAGATTCTCTTTCATATGATAGCCCATCATAACAGGGGCTCAAACATAAAATGTTTATTCCATGATAAAACAGAAGTGTGTAACTAGACAATCTAGGGCAAAAATGGTAGTCAGAGGAAAAAAAAATGAATGCAATGTCAAAAGTGTCATAAAGGACAAAGAAATATATGTTCTAGAAAAAATTACTAAATTTAAAATATGTAACCACTACTACCACTTTGAATTAGACAGTCTGTACTTTGCACAAAGACTGGACCAAGGGCCAAGAAAGGGTCAAACTGCAGCTAGAATTTTGCTCAATTGTATGCTCATAAGGCCATTTCTGTAAAGAAGCAGTACTTTTTCAAATTTGCCCTAAGGCATTATAAAAACTAATAAAAATACCTGGGTATAATGATCATGGACAAATTTGTTCCTTAATGTATAAAGAGCTTTTAAAGATAGGAAGCAACAACTGACAGGGTTATAGAAAGAAAGAAATAAACAATTGTAGTTGGAGATTTTAACATATCCCTAACAGAAATCAATAATCAGACCCCCCCAAAAAAATTAGCAATGGCTTAGAAAATTTGAATAATGTCAAATTTATTGTGCGACTCAAATATGCTATATTTTGTATATATATCTTTTTGTGTATCTCAGTATAAAATTACATAACATTAAAGCAAAGAATACAAATTATTTTTAACAAAACATAACTTTACAAAAAATAACTGGTAACAAAAACTTGTTAAAAAGTAAACCTCAATAAATCCCAGATAAAACATTGTCTCTGAATATTATTCAATAAACTTATAAAGCAATTTTAAAAAGATAGTTTTTAAATTCCTGGAACTTATCTAAAATACTGTGAAATAACTTTCAATTATAAGTGAAATAATTGAGATATTAGGAAATATTAGGATTGAATGACAATGAAAATGATGCAAGCATTTGGGGGACAAAAGCAGTATTTAGGAAATTTTTACCTTAAAGGGTATTCATCAAAAAATAGGGATGCTTCAAAATGATGAAATAGGATATTACCTCACAACTGTTAGAATGGCTCTTATCAAAAGGCAAAAAATAATATGAGATGGCAAGGACGTGGAGAAAAGGGAACCCTGGTACACTATTGGTTGCAATGTAAACTAATACAGTCATTATTTAATGAAAACAGTATGGAGGTACCTCCAAAAACTTAAAATGGAACTACCATATGATTCAGCAGTTCCACTACTGAGTATCAAAGGATATGAAATCAGTATGTCAAAAAGATACCTGTGAGGGGACAAAGCAAGATGGGGAATACGTGCACCATTCATATCTTCACTGGAATACCAAATTTTACCAGCTATCTGCACACTGAAAAACACTATCACAAGACCCAAAAATCAGGTGAGCAAACACAGTACCTGGTTTTAACTTCATATGATTGGAAGTGACATTGAGGAGGGTTGGAGAGACAGTCTTTAATCACCAATGCCATCCTTCTCCTAACCCCCAGCAACAGTTGTTCAACATGGAGAGTCTGTGCATTTGGGAGAGGAAGAGCGCAGTGACTGGGGAACTTTACATTGAACTCAGTGTTGCCCTGTCATGGCAGAGAGCAAAGCTTTGCTGGGCTCAGCCAGTGCCTGGATATGGAGGGAGCATTTGGACCAGATTTAGCCAGAGAGGAATCACCCATTCCATCAGTCAGAACTTAAGTTTCTTAGCAAGCTACGCCACAGTGGGACAAAGTGCTCTGGAGTCCTAGGTAAACTGGAAAGGACACAAGGACTACAACTCCTAGGCAACACCTAGTGCCAGGCTGGGCTCAGAGCCAGAGGACTAGGATGGCACATGACCTAAGGAGATACCAGCTGGCATGGCTAAAGGAGTGCTAGTACCACTCCTCCTCCAACCCCAGGCAGTGCAACTCACAGCAATTAAAGTGTCTCTTTCCTTCTCTTTAAGGGGAGGAGAGCAAAGAGTAAAGAGGGCTTTGTCTTGCATCTTGCATACCAGCTCAGCCACAGTAGGAGAGAGAACGAGGCAGAGTCAAGAAGCCCCCGTTCTAGGCCCTAGCTCTGGCACATTTCTAGACAAACATGGGCTAAAAGGAAGTTGCTGCCTTGAAGGGAAGGACCCAGTCCTGCAGGATTAATCACCTGCTGAATAAAGACCCCCTGGGCGCTGAATAACCAGCAATGATACCCAGGAACTATGCTGTGGGCATTGGGCTCTGAGATGTGCAGGCTTCACAGGTGACTCAGCACATTCCCACCAGTGGTGGCTGTGATGAAAGACTGCTTCTGTTTGAGAAAAACAGAGAGAAAACTAAGGTGACTTTGTCTTGCACCTTAGATGTCAGCTCAGCCACAGTGGGTTAGAGCAAAAAGCAGGCTCATGGAGTCCCTGAGTACAAGCTTAGTACAAGCTCAGCATTTCAGTACCTGCCCTGGCCCAGAGGGGAGCCTATTGCCCTGAAGGGTGAGTCACAGGCCTGGCAGCATTTACCACAAACTGACAGAGGAAACCTTGGGCTTTCAGTGAACATTGCAGTGGCCTGACGGAACCCCCTTGTGGTCCAGTGGTGGTAGATCCCACAGGGAGAGGCTCTTCTGCCTGTGGTAAGGGGAGGGAAGAGCAGGAAGGACTTTATATTGTGGTTTGAGTGCCACCTTAGCCACAGTAGAATAGAACATCAGGCAAATTTCTAAGGTGTTTGACCCCAATCCCTAGCTCCCAGATAGCATCTGTGGATCTGATCAGGGCCTAGGGGAACTTACCACCCCGAAGAGAAGTACCCAAACCTGGCTGGCTTTGCCACCTACTGATTGTAGAGTCCTAGGACCTTGAGTGAACATAGGTGATAGTAGCCAAGTAGTGGTTACAGTCGGCCTTGGGCAAGACCCAATGCTGTTCTGGCTTCAGGTCTGACCCTGTGCAGAACCAGCGGTGGTAGCCACAGGGGTGCTTGCATCACCACAACCCCAGTTCCAGGCAGCTCAGCAGAGAGAGAGAAAGAGACTCCATTTGTCTGGGAGAAAGTAAGGGAAAAGAATAAGAGTCTCTGGTGATCCAGAGAATTATTCTGGATCTTATCAAAGACCACCAAGGTGGTACCTCTATGAGTCTGCAAAAAACACAGCATTATTGGGCTTGGGGCCAAGTCACTTTGAATACCTGGAAAACCTTCCCAAGAAGGATGGGCACAACAAGCCAAGACTGCAATAAATACCTAACTCTTCAATGCCAAGACACCAAAGACCGTCTATAAGCATTAGGATCATCCAGGAAAACAAGACTTCACCAAATGAACTAAATAAGGCACCAGGGACCAATACTTGAGAAACAGATGTGACCTTTCAGATAGAAAATTCAAAACTGCTATTTTGAGGGAACTCAATGAAATTCTATATAACACAGAGAAGGAATTCCAAATTTTTTGATAAATTTAACAACGAGATTGAAATAATTAAAAATAATCAAGTGGATATTCTAGTGTTGAAATATGCAGTTGAAATACTAAAGAACGCATCAATGTCCCTTCAGAGCAGAATAGATCAAGCAGAAGAATTAGTGACCTTCAAGAGGCCATTTGAAAATGCAAAGAGCAAACAAAAGAAAAACAAATAAAAAACAGTGAAGCACACCTACAAGATCTAAAAAACAGACTCAAAAGAGCAAATCTAAGAGTTATTGGCTTTAAGATAGATAGAAAACAATACAAAAGATCAATGAAACAGGTTTGTTTTTTTAAAGATAAGCAAAGTTGACAAACTTTCAGCCAGACTAACAGAGGAAAAAAGAGAGAAGACCCAAATAAACAAAATCAGGGATGAATAAGGACACATTACAATTGATACCACAGAAATTCAAAGGATAATTAGTGGCTGCTGTGAGCAACTATATGCCAATAAATTGGAAAATATAGAGGAAATGCATAAACTCCTAGACACTTACTAGATTGGGCCACAAAGAAACCCAATAGCTTAACAGATCAATAACAAATAACAAGATCAAAGCCATAATGAACAGTCTCCCAGTAAAGAAAAGCCTGAACCCAATGGCTTCAATGCTAAATTCTAACAAACATTTAAAGAAGAACCAATACCAACTCTACTCAAACTATTTCAAAAAATAAAGAAGGAGAGAATACTTCCAAACTCGTTCTACAAGGCCGTTATTACTTTGATACCAAAAGCAGACAAAGACACATAAAAAAAAAAAACTACAGACCAATATCTCTAATGAATATTGATGCAGAAATCCAAAAAAAAAAAAAAATACTAGCAAACCAAATTCAACAATACATTAAAAAGGTCGTTCATCAAGACCAAGTAAAATTTATCCCTGGGATGCAAGGATGATTCAACATATACAAACCAATTAATGTGATATATCATATCATCAGAATGAAGTACTAAAACCATATGATTATTTTAATTGTTTCTGAAAAAGCATTTGATAAAATTCAATATCCCTTCAAGATAAAAACCCTCAAAAAACTGGGGATGCAAGGAACATACCTCAACATGATGAAAGCCATATACAACAGACTCACAGCTAGTATCATACTGAATGCAGAAAAACTGAAAGCCTTTCCTCTAAGATCTGGAACATGGCAAGGACGCCCAGTTTCACCACTCTTATTCAGCATAGTACTGGAAGTCCTAACTAGTGCAATCAGCCAAGAGAAATAAATAAAGGGCATCTAAATTGGAAAGTTAGAAGTCAAGTTATCCTTGCTTGCAGATGACATGATCTTATATTTGGAAAAACCTAAAGGCTCCACCAAAAACTATTAGAACTGATAAATTCAGTAAAGTTTCAGGATACATGATCAACATAAAAAATCAGTAGCATTTCTATATGGCAACAGTGAACAATCTGAAAAAGAAATCAAGAAAGTAATTCCACTTATAACAATCACAAATAAAATTAAATACCTAGAAATTGACTTAACCAAAGAAATGAAAGATCTCTACAATGAAAACTATAAAACATTGGCGCAAGAAATTGAAGATGGCACACACAAAAATAGAAAGATGTTCCATGTTCATGGATTGGTATAATCAATGATGTTAAACTTTCTATACTACCCAAAGAATTCTACAGATTCAGTGCAATCCCTATCAGAATACCAATGACATTCATCACAGAAATTGAAGAAATAATTCTAAAATTCATGTGGAGCCACAAAAGACACAGAATAGCCAAAGCTATCCTGAGCAAAAAGAACAAAACTGAAGGAATCACATTGCCTTTCTTCAAATTATACTACAGCGCTATAGTAACTGAAAAAGCATGGTACTGCCATAAAAACAGACACGTAGACCAATGGAACACAATAGAGAACCCAGAAACAAATCCATACACCTACAGTGAACTCATTTTTGACAAAGGTGCCAAGAGTATACATTGGAGAAAGGAAGGTCTCTTCAATAAATCGTGCTGGGAACACTGGATATCTATATGAATAATAATGAAACTTGACCCCTATCTCTTGCCATATACAAAAATCAAATTAAAACGGATTAAAGACCTAAATCTAATACCTAAATCTATGAAACTATTACAAGAAAACATTCAAGAAACCCCCTGAGACATTCATCTTGGCAACAATTTCTTGAGTAATACCCCACACACAGGCAAACAAAGCAAAAGTAGACAAAAGGGCACAGTGGCTCGCGCCTGTAATCCCAGCACTTTGGGAGGCCAAGGCGGGCGGATCACGAGGTCAGGAGATCGAGACCATCCTGGCTAACACGGTGAAACCCCGTCTCTACTAAAAATACAAAAAAAAATAGCAGGCGTGGTGGCGGGCACCTGTAGTCCCAGCTACTCGGAAGGCTGAGGCAGGAGAATGGCGTGAACCTGGGAGGCGGAGCTTGCAGTGAGCCGAGATCGCGCCACTGCACTCCAGCCTGGGCGACAGAGCGAGACTCCATCTCAGAACAAAAAAGGAAAAAAAAAAGTAGACAAAAGGGATCATATCAAGTTAAAAAGCTTCTGCACAGCAAAGGAAATAATGAAGATACAACCCACAGAATGGGAGGAAATATTTGCAAAGAAACTATCCATCTCAGAAGGGATTAATAGCCAGAATGTATTAGGAACTCAAACAACTGTATAGGAAAAAAATCCAATAAGCCAGTTAAAAAATAGGTAAAAGATTTTAATAGAGATTTCTCAAAAGAAGACATACAAATAGCAACCGGGCATATCAGAAGATTCTCAACATCATTGATCATCAGAGAAATGCAAATCAAAACTACAATGACATGTTATCTCACTCCAGTCAAAATGGCTTATATCCTAAAACAATAACAAATGCTGGTAAATATGTGGAGAAAAGGGAACCCTTGTACACTATTGGTTGGAATGTAAATTAGTACACCCTCTATGGAGAACAGTTTGGAGGTTCCTCAAAAAACTAAAAATAGAGCTACCATATGATCCACTATCCCACTGGTGGGTATATACCCAAAAGAAGGGAAATCGGTATATCAAAGGCATATTTGCCCTGTCATATTTGTTGCAGTACTGTTCACAATAGCCAAGATTTGGAAGCAACCTACATGTCCATAATGGATACAGAAAATGTATTTATGCATGGTGGAGTACTATTCAGCCAGAAAGAAATGAGATCCTGTCACTTGTAACAACATGGATGGAACTGGAGGTCGTTATATCAAGTGAAATAAGCCAGGCACAGAAACACAAACATTGCATGTTGTCACTTATTTGTGGGATATAAAAATCAAAACAATTTAACATATGGAGATGGAGACTAGTAGGATGATTACCAGAGGCTGGGATGGGTCGCAGTGGGTGAAGGGGATGTGGCAATGGTTAACGGGTACAAATAATAGAAATAATAAATAGAACCTAGTATTTGATAGCACAACAGGGTGACTATAGTCAAAATAATTTAATTGTGCATTTAAAAATAACTAAAAGAGTATAATCGGGGCCAGGCACGGTGGCTTACACCTGTAATCCCAGCACTTTGGGAGGCCAAGGCAGATGGATAATGAGGTCAGGAGTTCGAGACCAGCCTGGCCAATATGGTGAAACCCCGTCTCTACTAAAAATACAAAAATTAGCCGAGCATGGTGGTGCGCGCCTGTAGTCCCAGCTACTTGGAAGGCTGAGTCAGGAAAATCACTTGAATCTGGGAGGCGGAGGTTGCAGTGAGCCAGGATTGTGCCACTGCACTCCAGCCTGGGCAACAAAGCAAGACTCTGTCTCAAAAAAAAAAAAAAAAAAAAAAAAAAAAAAGAGTATAATTGGATTCTGTGTAACACAAAAGATGAATGCTTGAAGGGATGGATTTGGGATTATTAAGTATTTTGTGCCCTTATCAATATATCTCCTGTACTCCATAAATACATACACCTACTATGTACTCACAAAGTTAAAAAATTAAAATTAAAAAAGATATCTGCACTCCCATGATCATTGCAACGTTAGCCACAACAGAATTGATATGGAATGAAACTGTCATCAACAGATGTACAGGTAATAAAAATGTAAATATACACAATGAAATACTATTCAACTTCTAAAAAGAAGAAAATTCTATCATTTCTGACAACATAGTTGAACCTAGAGGGCATTATGTTAGGTGAAATAAGCCAGGTATAGAAAATAAATACCACATGATCTAACTTATATATAGAATCTAAAAAGTTGCAGTTTCTGAAGCAGAGAAAAGAGCCTGGTGGGGTGAGAAGATTGGGGAGATATAGGTCAAAAGACCTAAAATTTCACTTAGACAAGAGGAATAAGTTCAAGAGATCTATTGTATATAATGGCAACTATAGTTAATATATACTTGAAAATTTCTGAGAGGGTAGATTTAAAGTGTTCTCACACAAAAGAATAAATATTTGAGGTAGTACAAATGTTAAATAGCTTGATTTAGCCATGCTGCAATGTATACACTTATCAAAACATCATGTATACCATAAATATGTGCAATGTTTACTTGACAAAAAAATTTTTAACGAAAATAGAGAGCTAAATAAACACTGAATTTAGGAAACAGTACAGAACAATGGAGAAAGTCCTGAAAAAATGTGAAGGATGGAATTAATAAAGATTAGGGAAAAATCAGTGAAACTGAAACAAAATGAGGCACAGACAGTAAGAAAAAGAAGTGAAAGATAAGAATGTATGTTAACCCACAAGTTAGTTATTTGAAAAGATTGGTGACATCAATACAATAAAAGGATTGTACATGGAAAATGAGAGGTATAAATAAATAAAACATTGAAAAAGGGAAACAACTACAGATAAGAAAAAGACTTTAAAAATAGCAACCATTATGAAATTATGTTATTAAATTTGTTAATCTAGGTGAAATGGTTAAATTTCTGAAATTGATATAAAATATTAAAATTGACACAAGAAGAAATGAAAGTTAAAATAACAACTAGTGTTCATGACCAGCCTGGCCAACCTGGTGAAACCCCATCTCTACTAAAAATACAAAACAATTAACCAGGCGTGGTGAAAGGCACCTCTAATCCCAGCTACCCAAGAGGCTGATGCAGGAGAATCGCTTGTACCTGGGAGGTGGAGGTTGCAGTGAGCCGAGATCCTGCCATTGCACTCCAACCTGGGCAAGAAGAGTGAAACTCCGTCTCAAAAAAAAAAACAGTAAAATAAAATTAAAAAAAAAACAACCAGCAAATAGGTTGAAATGGTACTCAAAGACAAACTACTCTCTTCCCGCCATCCACCCATAAAGAGAATTCCAGACTAAAAAGTACTATGGGTAAGTTTTAACCAAGTTTTTGAGAACTAATATCTGTTCTATACAACTGGCTCTAAAACCAGATAAAAAAGGAAAGTTGCCTAATTCTTTTTCTGGAACTAACATAACCTTAGTTCTAATTCTTAGAGTATAATAAAATATATATGTATTCCTTTTTCATTTTTTTTTTCAAGGACAAAGTCTCACTATGTTGCCCAGGCTAGACTCGAACTCCTGGGCTCAAGCAATCCTCTAGGCTCAGATACCGGGACTATGTGCCTCTGTGCCCAGCTTAAGAAGCCCATTTTAGTTACAAACGTATGTAAAAAATCTTACTTTAAGTAAACCTTACCATGAATTTAAATCATGTCGGTGAGACACCAGAAAAATTGTTATGGTAATTCATCATATTAATGGACTAATGGGGAAATAAATCTTATCAGAGGCAGAAAAAGAATTTTATTGTTCAACTTATATTCACATAAGATACTAAACTAGAAGAGAACCACCTACACTTCATAAAGGCTTAATAAAGCAAGCATTATACTTAATGGAAAAACTTTAGAGAAATTTACATTAATAGCAGAAATAAGAGATGGATGTTCATTAATATTGTCACTGTTTAAAATAGTACTTCAGGTCCTGAAAAATGTTGAGAAAAGGAAATAAGAGGTTTCAGGATTGAAAGAGAAGAGATGAAAACCATCATTATTTGTTAATGACAGGATTATCTCCACAGGAAACCCAACATAACCAAAATATTAAAACTAATATAGGAGTTCTGTCAAGTAGCTGTCCATAGATCAACTTATGAGTAATTACTAATTGGAAAATATAGTAAAATGTAAGTACTGTTCTCAAAAGTAACCCAAAGTATCCAACAATTCATGTACTAAGAATTCACAGGATCTTTTCAAGTAAGAGGTAAAACTTTGGGTAAGGAATTAATGAGAGATATGCCCTATGCATGGGTCAAATTACTTCCTATAATAAAGATATCAATTTTCCATAAATTAATTTATAAATCTAATGCCATAACAATCAAAAGTTTGTGTGCAATTTTACAAACTTGTTCTAGGCATTATGTGGAAGGATAAAGACATACCAATAAATCCATTTTGAAAAAAGAAGAGAAAAATTTGCCAGCAGGCAAAAATAATTAAAACTAGGATGGAACTTGAATAACAGCAGCAAAATAGACATATTGAAGGGAATCGACAGTAAAATAATAATATATATACATTTACAGCGATATTTGTATGTGAACTTGACATATGATGATAAAGTGGCACCACAATTAATATGCAAAGGGTGGGTCAGACAGGGTAGGAAAATTAGCTCACCAATGGAATAAATTAAAAACTGGACTCCTATCTTTCATCCTACAATATGACATGCCATGTCTTAATTGTGTTTTAAAGGGCTGTTGCGTGTCATCATGGATGAGGTAAGAATTGAAGCCAGAGATTACTTAGGTAGCTTTTTTATTTTTTGAGATGGAGTTTCGCTCTTGTTGCCCAGGCTAAAGTGCAATGGTGGGATCTCTGCTCACTGCAGCCTCCACCTCCCGGGTTCAAGCGATTCTTCTGCCTTGGCCACCCGAGTAGCTGGGATTGCAGGCATGCACCACCACACCTTGCTGATTTTTTATTTTTTAGTAGAGACAGGGTTTCTCCATGTTGGTCAGGCTGGTCTCGAACTCCCGACCTCACGTGATCTGCCCACCTCAGCCTCCCAAAGTGCTGGAATTACAAGCATGAGCCACCACACCCAGCCTAGGTAGCTATTTTATGGTATATTCACAAAGATGGTAGTTTGGACTGGAGTGGTATCAAGGGAGATGGCGCAAAGTGTGCAAATTTTGACTTGTTCCCCTAAGCTCCGAACTCATGTCCAACCACCTATGAGGCATCTCTATCTGCAATCCTATAGGTCATGTATGCAAATGTGTCTAACACTGAACATATTTTCTCCATACAAATCTTCTCCTCTTGAGTATATTATTGAGTATCAGTACTAGAGACCTGGTAGTCATCCATATGATGGTTATATATAAGGATATATGATAGTCCTTATCATATCCCCACTGTTATTAGTTTAATTTGAGCTCCTTGTGCTGCATCTCTTGTAGCAGTAATCTTACTTAACTGTCAACCTTCCACTGAAACTTATACCTTTAGTTAGAGATGCAATTAATTAAAACAAAATTTGGACTTCACCATATAGTGACTTTGTCTTTTTCTACTGTGCTTTAAAATAAACCTCGTTTCTTAGTGTTTCAAATGGTTTACTAAGATATTGAATAGATCTTGTTGTTTTAGTCGGAATGTGGAACAGGGGCTTCGAGGGACCCGCACTATGACCGGACATTATAATACAATTAGCCGAATGGACAGACATCGTGTCATGGATGACCATTATTCTCCAGATAGAGACAGGTAAATATGATTAAATACTATTAGACCTTATTATTAATATAATCACTGCTTTCAGGAAGGGGTTACCATAAAATATTTTCACATATTCCTTTTTCTTAGTTTCTGAAACAATGTTTTTCTCTTACAACGCTTACATTATTTCTTATGACTGCCACATTGTTAAAGGTAAATAAATACAAACAACCTTTTCTCTGGTAAGAAAAAAACAAAATTATCTTTCTCCTGCCATTTTGTTTTTGGTTTAATCAAACCAGTTAAGTTAGTGAATCTGTATAAGTGATTATAATGTTAATTATAGTGAAACCAAGATGTTTTATTATTTTTCTTGTCATAAACAATTATATATATAAATACTTTCATGAGACAAAAGATTTTAAAGTCTTTTACATTCATCAGAGAAATTGGTGTGACTTTTCACATATGGAAGTATTGAGACGGAGTCTGATTTGTTTAGGAAACATTTTATGATTCATGAAGAGGTTTTTCCTCATGGCTTTCAGTAAACCTTTTAAGCATCTTAAAGATTGTTTGCTGTATTTGGAAGAGCTCTCTGAATTTGCTCCATTAAATGTCACAAACTTGGAAGTAACATGGTATGTTACAATGCTTACATTAGCTGCTATTAATATTTTTAACTTAAGCAAATCGATAAACTCTCTAATTCATGCTTTGGTTATACATGAAGTAAATGCCATTATGTTTCCCAAACTATTCAAAGATATGATAAAATAACGAAGGAACTCAGAAGTCCCTTTGTATGCATCCTAAACCGATTTTAGGAAGAACATTTGAGGGCTTTTAAATAAGCTGATATGAGAAATTACTGTTTACATTTAAACACTTAATTTTTTTGTCTAAATTAAGATTATACTTAATTCATGCTTAATTTCACTGTGATTTAGTATACTTCTCCAGAACTAAAGAGGGGATATCATAGTCTTCAATAGTGTCTAACAAGTATTGGCTTTTGTGCCTGAGATCTAAGAAGAAATTATATGTAAGAAGTTATTAAATTAATACTGCTTTTAGTGATAAATGAAAGCTAATGTAGTATTTTATTTTCTTTTAATTTGCTTAACTTTTTCATAGTAATCTGTGTCTTTAGGGGTAATTATAGACATGCTACATGTAGAAGTTGATGCTTATCAAGTACAATACTGTAATAGAAAGAAGGGTAACTATGTTGGCATGATTAGGAGTTGAAAGGAGTCATATTAGGATGAATGAAGAGGTATTTTAGTTGCCTAATATAGCATTTTAATGAGCTTGATTGTTTCTGGAAATTATTTATATACCAAGTCATAAAATCCTTGTTCCTTGAAGGTTTGTTAATGGAAATGATGAGAGAGAAAATTCTGAAATGAATTTAAACTTTGTTCAATTTTATGTAAAGTTTTATTTTAATGAAAAAATGGACTTTGTTTTCTTTAAGACAAATAAATGCTGTCTAAATCTTGAAGAAAAATAAAATTAACATCTAGAATTATAAATAAAAATGATTGCTATCATGTCAAATGCATAATACTTTATAAATATTTAAAGGCAAATGACCCTAGGTTTAATGGCAGCAAAGCTTCCTATTAAAGCCTAGATGATTAATCCTTGGTATTAGTTAATATGGTCATATTAGGTAATTATCATGTCAGAGATATCCTACAATGTGCATTTTTATGGTCTGTCCCAATTTATGTCTGCAACTGAAACATCATTATATTTTTATTTTTTATTTAAAAAATTTATAAATCTTTTAGTTTAGCAAAAATGTTCATATAATTATTTTCTGAAGTTTTCAAGAAAATTGATCCATGTGGTTTTTATTTCTCTTTTAGAGCACTGTCAATGCCAGATCACAATTCCTCTTAATTGTGAGCTGCCTTAAATCCTTTTTTCAAATAAATAAAATAGAATTTTATTTAAATAGAAATATAAAACCATTTCTAATATTATTTATCTGTGTAATTATTTATTAACATGAGGAATAAAAAATTTAAAAGTTCAATATTATATATGTGGTCTGTCACATTAAGCAACAAATTCTTAATCTCTGTTTTATCTTAATATTCTAAGAGTTTTGGTAATAAAATGCATATGTCTGCATTATGATTTTTAGAAGATAAGAATACTCTAGAACTCTTACAGTGAATTTTCATGAATAGCATTTTAATCAATAATAATGTTGATTAAAAAGCCTAAGAGAGAATTTCCTTTGAGATAATAATAGTAATTTAGGTCTTTTGAGAGGTACAATAACTAACCTTTCTTGTCAGTAAGAATTGATGCACTGGACTAGAATAGTATTTTATTGAATGTATATATTTTATTGAATCTTTTTTATAGGATTTGAAACCAAATGGCCTTGATTTTGAATGCAGGATTTAACCTCTTGCTACCTGTGTCTTTGGGAAAATTAACCTCTTTGACACTTGATTTTCTTATCTGTAAAATTAGAATATCAGTATCAACTTTACTGAGTTGTGTAGATTAAATGACTCGTATCAACTTTATTGAGTTGTGTAGATTAAATGACACTGCCTCCAATTGTATAGTAGGTATTGAAAATACGTGCTTTAACCTTACCATTTTAAAAGGATATATTCACTTGCAAATAATTTACATTTAATGTGCTTAGTAAACAAGAAAAAAAGAGAGATAGAGAAATCAGCCAGTTCACTTAGTGTTGTTGTTGTTTTGTTTGTTTGTTTTTTGAGACAGTGTCTCACTGGGTCACCCAGGCTGGAGTTCAATGGCGTTTTCTCAGCTCACTGCAACCTCTGCCTCCCAGGTTCAAGCGATTCTCCTGCCTCAGCCTCCAAAATAGCTGGGATTACAGGCATGTGCCACCATGTCCAGCTATTTTTTTTTTTTTTTTTTTTTTTGTATTTTTAGTGGAAACGGGGTTTCGCCATGTTGGCCAGCCTGGTCTTGAACTCCTGACTTCAGGTGATCCACCTGCCTGGGTATCCCAAAGTGCTGGGATTACAGGCATGAGCCACCGCGCCTGGCCCATGTAGTTTTTTGTTTGTTTGTTTGTTTGTTTTTTAAGTTTTGTGTAGAATGAATGTAGGGCATGAATTGGACCTTGAAAAATGGGCATGTTTATTCAGGCAAGACCAAGAGCAAGGATAGACTATAATGAGTGAGAAAAGATGCTATTTGATATTCATTAATAGTACTTGGTTAAACTTGGGTGGTGTAAGGAGAAGATATAGTATTTATATCCTTTCTATAGGTAATGTAAAAATAATTTACACTTTAAATTTTTATTAGGTCTTTGTTTCTCTGCCTATCTCACTGTGTTATCATTAGTCAAAATCCTATTCTGCTTTGCAAAGTAGATAGATTCTTCACAAGTAATTTAGTAACCTGGATGCAAGGACTCAGCTAAAACAAGGAATTATTAAGCATATCTTTCATCTCCTACTTCCATTCCACCGCTTTTTATACCATTGTTTTTCTGATAAGTCCTGGTAACTACTACAACTAGGAACATAATTTTTCCTGAGGCAGACTATGTGGCCTTAGTATTAGAAATCAATACAAAAATTAGCCAGGCACGGTGGCAGATGCCTATAATCCCAGCTACTCAGGAGGCTGAGGCAGGAGAATCGCTTGAACCCGAGTGGCAGAGGTTGCAGTGAGGCGAGATCGCGCCACTGCACTCCAGCCTGGGTGACAGAGTAAGACTGTCTCAAAAAAATATATATATATTTTAAGAGCTTTTTGTTTACTTGAGTTAGTTTACTATTAGAATAAGTATAGAGTATTAGATAATATTTCTGTAACATGTCAGAAGTACTCCACAGTATGCATTTTTATGTCTATCCTGGAGGCCAAAATACATTAGATGCATTTATTTCCATGGAGTGTACTTTTAGCATCATAAGAATACAATTAATGTTGGCAAAAGATAAATTACTTTATAAGCTTTTTTTCTCCTATACATTCAGTTAATAGATATATATTCTAAAAAGGAAAATGCCCTATTATATGGACCACTGGCATACCTTACACACTCATGCTATTTATCTATTCCTTGTCAGGAAGTCAGCTACCAGAAAGTGTAACTCGTACTCATAACTATTTCACCAAAAAGAATAGTCTCTTTTTTCCTTTCAGTTATCAACTATGAAGGAAACATATCTCTGATAGTTTAAAATTATGAAGTAAATGAAAAAAGAAAATTCACTTTACAAAAATAATATAACGTTTTATTTTACTTATTTTATTTGCTGTATTTCGGAAACATTTTAAGACAGTTAAATCATACTGAGTAGAATGTAGGGACTACAACATAAGGAAAGCATTAACAATATTAAAGACACATGCCAGGCACAGTGGCTCATGCCTGTAATGCCAGAACTTTGGGAGGTTTAAGCAGGCACATCACTTGAGCCCAGGAGTTCTCAACCAGTCTAGGCCATATAGTGAGACCCTATCTCCACAAACACACACAAAAAATAAAAAATAAATAAAATTAGCCCAGGTGTGGTGGTGTGCACCTTTTTTTTATTCCAGCTACTCAGGAGGCTGAGGTGGGAGGATTGCATGAGCCTAGGGAAGTCAAGGCTGCAGTGAGCTGAGATCGCACCACTGCAGTCCAGCCAGGGTGACAGAGCAAGACCCTGTCTCAAAAAAAAAAAAAAAAAAAGAATAAAAAAAATGTTTTTGCATTAAGTAAGGGTTTTTGGAAGCTATAGTTTTACTTAAGAATGGAATACTTTATCTCCCATTTTTGCAGTTCTTTTTTGTATGGACTAAAGTGATTCCTAAAGGGGACATTCGGCTAATTTCATATAGTGGAAGGACAATTCATTATAAATATAATTTTGTGTTGTCTTTAAAGGTTATATTGCTTAAGAATCAAAGTGTCTAGAAATTGGATTAGTAATCTAGTTTAATACTTTGAATAGTAATTTTTTATCATGAGCCTTAGAATCTATGACTTCTTTATTTTGTTTTTGCTTTTTAAAATTTAGTAAATGTATTGTTTTTCTATTTTTTTCTTTTACAGTGATTTACTGCTCAGATTGGACTAACTGCAGTTTTAATATAACTTACTTTATTTGTTTAGTCATTATGCATATTTAAGACACTATGCATACTTATTGCTCAAATTTAATAATGTCCATTAATTTTGGAAGAAAAGTAAGCATGGTTCAGTGGAGAAGTGTAATATGTTTTAAGGTTGTACCAAGTGGATGCAGCAAAGGACCTTGAGTATGGCTGTGGACCTTAGGTAGATTTTAGAGGGCTTACTAAAACACAATGGTAAATTTTGTATAATGTTCATGCATGAGTTTTTATAGTTTTCAACAGAATCTCAAGGAGGGTCATGACCAGATAAGGTTAAGAACTAACATGACTAGAGACAGAAAAGAGAAATAAAATAAATTGATGCTTGATAAAGGTGATTCTTGCTTAATGGCTGCTTTGGCTTTATAGGGACAAAGTTAATTATAAGACTCTTCAAGGAAACTATTAGAAATTGGATGATTTTATATATATATTTTATAAATTTATAAATTTTAGCAAGCTTTGAAATTTACATATTTTCTGTTATTCTTAAGTAATTTTGGAGAAAACCTATTCCTTTTAAAGCAGTAAAGCCCAACATCACAACTGTTGGGTATTATTTCTCTTCTTCATAAAGCTATGTATACTTTTTTAAATATTTCCTTACATAGGCTCATAATCTTCTGTTTATGTTTCTAGAATGTTCTATAATTATATGAACCACTGCTCTTTTTTGAGAGAAGGCTCATCGTGAAAACAGTATAATTTTGATTTTACTTTTTAGTGCAATCCAAAATATATTTGAGTGGGTCAGCCATTGTGCACAAAGATTTAAAACAGACATTATCCTGGTCTAGCCAGACAAATTATCCTATATCAACTAATTTTAAAATGTTGAAGACTGTGTGGCAGAAGGATAACAATACTGGAACAGATTGGAGAGAAAATTACTTGATTGGGTGAACTGGAAAAGGCATCACAGAGAAGTTGGGCTTTAAAGATTGAATAAGATTGTGAAAAGTGAAGCAGTGGAGACAGAGGGAGAATGGTGGGCATTCTTGACAGAATGATGAACATGAACAAATTCTTGGAGTCAGGAAAACACATGATAATTTAGAGAATCTTAGGTAGTCTGTTGTACCTAGATAAGAGGTAGTGGTATGGGGAATGGAAAGTGATAGAAGATGAAGATTGAAAGTAGTTTAGAACTTTTAGGGAATTTATACTTGTTTTTTGATATCAGGAACCAGTGAAGGATTTTTAGTAAGGTACCTATGTGATCAGAAAGCATAATATGCAAATAAACTTCTGTAGACAAGATGAAGATTGTATTTAGTCAGGGGAAGACTGGGGTCTGAAGGTAGGAAGTCCTAAGAGAAGGTTGTTTCAATAGACATAGTAAACCTGATTTAAGGTGGTGGCAGGAGAAAAGGTAAAGGAGAGAAATCTGAGTTATTTAGGCATCAGAATAAGCAAGGCTTGTAAATCCATTGAATGTGAAAAATGAGGAAATGGAGGAGTTAAATTTTGAGACTGTAAAACTTGGTTTATTAAATAAATATTTTAATCCTTACTTGAAGCTGGAATTGCAAGAGATTACAAAAAAAGGAATAGCTGAAGTATTATATTAAGTTCTAAAGGGGGATTAAAGAATTACGTTAGAAATTAGAAGGGACTTTAGAGATGATGGACTCCTGTGTTTTGTAGAGGTACCTGAGAGACTGCTATGACAGGTAAAAATGAGGCCAAATGGATAGAGATCTAGGCTTCTTACTCTCTTTAGCCAGCATCATCCTGATATTATTTGATTACTGTATATTGATTCTATATCAAATTTTGTTTGGAAAAAAAGTGATGTGCTAAAAAAAAAATAGAGTTTGAAAACCACTGCTTGAACCTCCTCGTAAATAGGCAAAGGGTATTGTTCTAGTCTCACAATGAACATATGTTTTCCTGAAGTGTCTACATGTCACTCAAGCATTATGTGGAGAGCCCAGAAGCAGATGGAAAAGTGTTGTGCAACCCAAAGAATAATCAGTAATAAAGCAGAGTTATTGTTTACACCATAAAAACAATTGCATTATTTAGAAAGAATGTGTTGGAATATAAGATCAGGAAATGAATCTTGGGAAAATCACTGCCTCTCTACAGAGAAAGGAAATCCAGTACATTAAATGCATGAAGAACCACTCATATAGGTGAGAGACCAGGCTGTATGTACAAATGTGTTAAGAGCCTGAGTTTTGAATTAAGAAAGCCCTGAGTTTGAAACCCAGTCCTGCCACTTACTATATAGCTCTGAACAAGCACTCATATCCTCAGTTTATCTGTCTGTGCAAAAGTGGGAATAGTAGAACCTACCTCAAAGAGTTGTTTTGAGAAGTAAATGAGATAATGTAGGCAAAGCTTTTAATGGAGTACTCGGCATATAGTTCAGTGTATATGAACTGAACTATAAGTTAAATAAAGACTATTTTTAATAGCTAGAGAGGTTTCAGAAACCAAAAAAGGAGAGAGTATTAAAAAATAGAGGTTTGAAAATCAATGTCTAATACCAAACGTAAGTGGAGTATGATGAGGATTAAGAGGAGACGAAAGAATTTTGGGGGAATTGCACATTCATAAGACAGCTTCGAGAGTGTGGTAGAAGCAGAAGTCAAATTACAGTAAGCTTAAAGCATGAAAGCAAACTCTAGCAGAGGTGGCAAGAATTGTAGATATGTATTTTAAGATGTTCTATGTTGAAAAGAAAATGAGCGAGATACAGTGGCTTGAGAGGAAGGAAAGATTAGCAAGGGTTTTATTTTTAGGATTAAGTGCAGTTGAGGAAGGGAATAATAAATGAAGCAAGGTCATATGGGAAGCAGGATTACAAGTAGAGGCATCTCTTTTGGTGCAGAAGACAAGAACAAGTGAAGATTTAAATGTATGTTTACTTTATATTTAGAGATAGAATTGTGGAATTTGAGAGAGTTCAAGGTTCATTTCCATTGTTTATGGAAACATAATGATAATCTGCTAAGATTAATTGTTTTAGTATTAAAGGTTCTAAGAAAGTAGGAAATTTTAAATTAGTGCTGTGGAAAGAAGAGATGGGTAAAAGATCAGTGTGCTGCTTGGATTGCTTATGGTAGTTATGAGGCATGAAAGGTAGCAAAGCCAATAGCATGTAATACATAATACATAATAAACATAGTGAATGGAAAAATGAATAGCACCCAATAAATTTAATAAATACAATTAATAATCAAAGTAATTTGGATCAGTTTACTCTTTATTAAATGGAATTGTTAAGGCCCTTTGTAGTTATTTTTAATTATTAATAATTAAAAGAGAAATAGTTACCTTTTAAATTTCCCAACTTTTATAAGTATTTGAAATTACCTCATTTATTATTTCCTTCTTAAACTTTCTGCTTATTTTATTTTTCTCATCTCATCTTTCCTCATAAAAAATGGTAAAGCATCTCTATCATATAACATTCTAGGTGGTGCTAAAGATGTTTGAGTAATAACTGATGTTATATTGTTGTTGCATTTTATTTTAAAATATTTAGAATATTTTAACCTTTGGCACTGTCATATTACAGTGAACATTGGGAGGAGGGGGCAAGCTTTCCAATAACAGTTTCCATGTGCTTTGCTTACTGTCTGCCTATCTTTTAAAATCTCACTTTTTAAATTAAACTATACTTTTTTTTCACTTCTTTCTTGAGTCTTATTTATATTCTTGTTTCTGCCATGCTTGCAGTCATTTTCTTACTCTACCTCGCTCCAGATACAGTCAGACCATTGACCATCATCACAGGGATGGCAGGTATATTTTTCTTACAATTGAGTCTGTTTGTGGAATTGCTTGTGCCTGTGTATTGATATGATATAGTTCACTTTTATTTCTGTTTTTATGTATATACATATATGGTTGTTAATGAAATATAGAAATATCACCCACATAAAATAACATGAAATAAAACGTATTAACTAATTGTAGTAGGACATAAAAAATACAGTGTCCCTTTTGTAAATTAGGAGAATCTCTTTGGTGATTCTAAAAATTTAGTTCATCAGGAATTACAGTTAACTCTCTATTTATCTACAAATATAGAATAACAGTATTATCTTTAAATTAACTCCAGTTGACTACTCACCTTCCTCAGCAGAGTCCATAATTAGGTATTTAGATGGCATAGGTCTTGAAAACTCACTTTCCCACCTCCAGAGTAGAGGAATCTGTCCTTGAAGTGCTTAGGTTGAACTGATTTGTTTGTGGTTGCCTTGTCAGAGGTGGCTGTAATCTACTCCTTTGTCATAGTAGATAATCCTTATCTGCAGAGAATACTGAGTCTGTGAGAAAACACTTGTTCATTTCTACCCTACCACCATTTCTCTTTCCAAAGTGGGAATTTGCAGTGAATCATAGATAGTACAGCTACAATGCCTTAAGGAAATATAATTTACATTGGAGGGAAATCTCAGTTACCTGGCATATAATAGCAAGAAGGGTTAACTAGAAAGAGGGGTTAATTAGAAAGAAAAGAGAGAGAAGATCTCTAAAATCTGAAAAGTTCTCAAGGCTGTATGGAGATTTAGAGATTTGAGCCAGTGACAACATTTGAGATCCTTTAGGTAAAGAAATAATGTGGTGGAAGGCTTAGCTAGTATAAATTAGGAATTATGTGCCATGGTTGGTCACCTTGACTGTTGTTTCTAAGTGATTTAGAGTTATGTGTGACTTCCTTCATCCCTATGAAATTAACTAAGAGTTGATAATAAAATAGTTTATAAAATTGATTAAAAACTAAAGAGTAAATTTATAAGTATTTTATTTATGTGGGTTAATGTGAAAGGAAACATAAGAGGTAATAGCAACAGTAATTTACTAGTAACTTTTGTAATGTCTTTCAGCAAATATGATTGAAATTTAGTGCCTTCCAGTTTATTATATGATAATGGTTATTGCTATATTTAATTTTCTTTTGCATTTTTTCACTCTTTTTTGTTATTCTGCTTCAATCCTAAATAATTATCTTTTGTTGTTTTTTGTTTTTACTGTTGCTATATGTTGCATTCCGACTATTTTTTACTTTCAGTAATTATACATTTACCTTACAAAAATATGGAAAAGTAGTTATATAACTGTATTTTGATAATTGGCTAAACTTAAAGGTGGGTGACATACATGAATGAGACATTACTGATTATAGACTTACTGTATATACTCTGGTGTCTCTTCATTTCATGCTAAGTTAAAGTCATATCACATCACTTTTTCAATAGTTTGTATTTTCTTAGTCTCAGTTATCAACAGATAGGTTATCTGCTTCATGTTACTTAGTTTTTCCATTCAGCAATGTAGCTAGAATTAGTTCTTGATCATCTCAATTTTGTACTTTTCCCCAAATTCTCAACTTCGGCCTAATTGGCCCATTTTGAAGAAGACATTTATGAATTGTCTTTCTGTGCCACAATTTGGTTTGTGCTGAGAAAACAGAGATCATTAATGTTTATATTAAAATATAACATGGAAAAATCTGTTTCCACAAGCAAGTTATCAAATATCTAATGTAGGATTTAGTATGTATATTTACATGTATATGTAATATTTATTTTATATGTATTAAAGTATTTGCCTTGCCCTAGTGCAACAGAAACTCTTGAGGACCTAAGTCTAGTGACCTAGACAATATGGGTAGAATTTGTAAGAATGAAGTTCCTTTGTTTTTTTAAAAAATATTTTGTACCCATTAACCAACCCCTCTTCATCTCCTTCTCTCTACTATCCTTCCCAGTCTTTGGTAACTACCATTCTATTCACTGCCTCCATGAGATCAATTTTTAGCTCCCATATATGAGTGGAAACATGCAATATTTGTCTTTCCGTGCCTAGCTTATTTCGTTTAATATAATGTCCTCCATTTTCATTCTTCTTGCTAATCATGCATTTCATACCTGATTTTATTCTTTCTGTTTTAGCTGATACTCCATTGTGTGTATACATATCACATTTTATTTATGCATTCATTTGTTGATGGACAATTAGGTTGATTCCATATCTTGGCTATTGTAAATAGTGCTGCAGTAAACATGGGAGTGCAGGTATCTCTTCAACATACTGATTTCCTTTCTCATGAATATATACCTAGCAAAGGGATTGCTAGATCATATGATAGTTCCATGTTTAGATTTTTAGGAACCTCCATACTGTTTTCTATACTGGTTGTATTAATTTATATTTCCACCAGCAGTGTACAAGCACTCCCCTTTCTCTTCATTCTCTCCAGCACTTGTTATTTTCAGAATTTTTTTATAATAGGCATTTTAACCTGGGTGAAATGATATCTCATTGTGGTTTTGATTTGCATTTCTCTGATAATTAGTGATGTTGAGCATTTTTTTATATACCTGTTGGCCATTGTATGTCTTCTTTTGAGAAATGTCTATTCAAATATTTTATCCATTTTAAAAAATCAGATTATTATTGTTATTTTGTGCTATTGAGTTGTTTGAGTTCCTTATATATTCTGTTTATTAATCCCTTGTTGGAAGAATAGCTTGCAAATTTTTTCTTCCATTCTGTAGGTGTCACTTCACTTTGTTTATTGTTTTCTAAACTGTACAGAAGCTTTTCACCTTGATAGAATCTCATTTGTCAATTTTTGCTTTGGTTGCCTGTGTTTTTGAGGTCTTACTCAAGAAATCTTTGCTAGATAGAAGGAATAAAATCTAGTGTTCAATAGCACAGTCAGGCAACTATAATTAACAATAGCTTACTGTATATTTTAAAATATCTGGAAGAGAAGATTTGAAATGTTCCCAACACAATGAAATGTAAATGTTTGAAGTGATGTATATCCCAATTACCCAAATTTGATCATTACATATTATATATTTGTATCAAAATGTAACAGTACCCCATAAATATGTACAACTATTATGTATCCATAAATTTTTTAAAAATATTAGCTTTCATTCCAATTTTGCTACATATAAATGAATGTGTATTAGTTACAACACAATGTAATAACATGAACATCCTTGAATCTACCACCCAAACCAAGAACAGAACATCTAATTATGTATCTTATATTTCCCTGCACTCTCCTTGCCTGTTATATCCTTGTGCCTCTTTCACAGAAGTAATAAATGCTATGCTGAGTTTGCAGTGTAACTTTCTCTTTTTTTTATCTTTTTTAAGGGACTTTGATCATTTGTTATTTACTCTACTAACTTTCTAAGTTTCTCTTCCCTCTGACCTCCATCCCAATCCACTTTGAGATTCTTGGACTGACCTTTTTTTGGACATTTGTTGAACATGTGAATGCTGACCTAGTAATCTATCCATTCTCCTGTATTTATTTCTGTAATGTTTCGTGATTGTTATTTTTATATCTTGTACCTTTGTATGTAATGCAACTAAACACAACCACCCACTACCCTTCCTTGTTGCTGTCATTTGTTGAGCTCTTAGTAATATCATTTTATTCACGGATGATTTTAGAACCTGGCTGTAGTCTTCCTAAACTTCACAGTTCCTGCCATCAAGCCTGAGTAATGTCAGCATTTACCTGAATAATCTATTTAGCACCCACTCACTTCCTTAACTTTCTCTAATGTAGCAAGCTTTACCTCCAATTCTACTTTGGTCGGTCACTCTCATGACCATACTTTACATTTTATTATCAGTAGAAATTGTTCTAGCTCTAAAATCTTAATTTGAATACTATGCCCTTGGACTCCATGATTGCACACTTTTTTTTTCTTATTGTTTCATTAAGTTATTTCTACTTCACTTGTTCTTCTGTCTCAGTAGAGAATGCTACTCTCTTGATCCCTTTATTCTTGCTGTTAGCCTCCATCTTTATTTATCTACTTACATATCCAGAAGTTGAATCCATTCTCAAAAATATCCTCAATTCTCTTGCTGCATTGTTCTTCTTTTACCTATTTAACAAAGTTCAAACCTGGATTACTCTCTTTCTCTTGTAGAATTGTTTTTGGACTAGATTATCCAAATTTTTACTTACTTGAGTCAAAATAATTGACCACATAAAAGTGGACAATAAAAAGTAACTTTTTTATTGAGAGCTGTGGAAAAAGAAAGTAGCATCAGTATCTAAGTATTCAGTTCTCTAGCCTCGTTTTCAAGGTAGCATATACTTTCAACTGGAAATTGTTTCCTAGGAATAAAATATGTATTAATAGCTTCAGTTGGGCCATAGTTTGGCTATATGATATCTGGAACTTTCTAAATGAATGGGATGAAGGTAGTAAATTTAACATGGCATCCCCAGTTATGCCCACTCCATTAGAAGAAGCTGGGCTTTCACTGGTCTCTCTACCCTGGGGTATAACATGAAAAGTTATGAGGACTACCTCTTTGGGAACAGGAGAGTAGAGACTTAAATAATGTTTGCTAAGCTTTTTTTATATTACTTCAAGAGACAATATTAACTAACACTAGAAATCAAAGCATGTCTTCTGTCCAGGTTATGCTAACTAGTATGAAATAATATTTGATTCATTGTGCATTTTTAAATTCACTCATTTGAACAAACATGTTTAGGATGGATATCATGTTACCCTTTATTAATATCTCTTTATTAAAATATACCCTTTATTTTAATAAATATAACCTTTTTTAACATTTACCTTTGTACCCTACTTATTTTTCTAGTACTTATCCCTGCTTAGAGCTATACACAACATATTAAGGAACTACTAACATCTATGGTGGGCAGCTAGATTTTTATGTAAAGTATCATGGAAGACACAACAACTCAGCTGTATCTTAAAGAATAAATAGGAATTATTTAGATTGATGTGGAGGTGAGGGAGGATATTTGTGACATTTTAAAGAAATGTATGAACAGGGTCACAGAAGTAATAAATATCGTATTTTAGAATTGTTGTAACATTATTGGCAAGGCAGGAAATAGCAAGAAATGAATCTGGAATGATAGAGAGTGTTCCACTTGTGAAGAATCTTTTTTTTTTTTTTGCAATGGAGTCTCACTCTGTCACCAGGCTGGAGTGCCAATGGCATGATCTTGGCTCACTGCAACCTCCACCTCCCAGGTTCAAGCGATTCTCCTGCCTCAGCCTCCTGAGTAGCTGAGATTACAAGCATGTGCCACTGCATCTGGCTAATTTTTGTATTTTTAGTAGAGATGGTTTTTCCCCATGTTGGCCAGGCTAGTCTCGAACTCCTGACCTCAGGTGATCCGCCTGCTTTGGCCTCCCAAAGCACTGGGATTATAGGTGTGAGCCACCATTCCTAGCCTGAAGAATCTTATATACTCTTCATAAATGTTAAGGAACTTAGATCAAAGACTGTAGGTTCTAGAGGTACTTGGAAGGGATTTAATTAGAAATGGTGATAACAAGTTCATTCACCTTAGAGTACCTACCTATAGACTACGTGAATGATCGATTTGAAGAGAAAAAAGCAAAAGAGAGACATGTAGTAGATGGAAGAACAGAGAGAAAATAGTGGTTTTAATAAATTAAAATCAGCAATACTTGATAAATAATGGAATTTGGATTTTGAGAGAGTGCAGAGTCATGAAAAATTCCCAGTCTTATATCTTCAATAACTAGATTCATAAGGTACCTTAACAGGGTCCAAGTGGGTTCTTAGGGGAGGAATCAGTTTAGGTGTGAGACAAGTTCAGTTTTGGAATTACTGAGAAAGCTAAGAGGAAATATCTAGCAGGAACAGAGTAAACAATTTTTGAACTTGAAGTTACCTAAGCTACAGAGTAATTTCAGAGTAAATTCACTACTAATGGTAAGCAGTCATAAAAAGTAAGTGAAATCAGTCTGAGAAACAACCCATGAAATGAGGGCTTAGAAGTTTTTCCCTGCCTGAGGAACATTAACATTAAGTGGCAGAGGGAGGAAGAGGAGCTTCTGAGTGACATAAAGAATGAGAAAAGTGGAATGACGAGAGCTAAAGGAATAGTTTCAAGAAGAAAGTAATAACATTACAGTAAAAATAATGAATGAAAAATGCCTGTTGGATATGTCAAGTGAGGTGTCATGGATGACTTTAGCTGGGGTAATTTTAGAAGGATGGTGAGGGGGGAAAAAACAGGTTGCAGTAGCCTAAGTATGACCAGGAGATAAGAAAATGAACTTATCAAGAAAGTGTGAAGGAGAAAAATTAGATAGCATATGTGATATCAAAAGATATTTCTTTCCCTTCGAGTAAGAAATATGTCCATGTGTTCCCACACTGGAGCAAAGAATGTTTTAGAGAAAGATAAGTCAAAAATACAGAAAAAAGACAGAATGATTGGAAGAAGAGTCTTAGGGGAGGTAGGAGGTCATCAGACTAAACACACAGATGGATTTTGTGAACAGAAAGAAGCTATTATTTACCACTGAGACAGGAAGAAAATAGATGGGAGAAGTGAAGCTGAGTAAAAGGATGCTAATAGAGAGAAATTAAGTTTGTTATTAAACCATTGTTAGTGTTTTAATGACTGTGTGAGTAGGAAGATTGGTTAGAAGGGAATCTGAGCGCTGTATGGGAGTGGTTCAGATGATCAGTCATAGAGTCCAGGGTGGATAAGGAAAGAAGAAAGTCAAAGATGGTGATATATACTGCCAGGAATTGGTGGGACTGATGCCAGAATAAGGTAAGGGTTATTGCAGTCTTGAAAATCTGGAGACTGGGGTTCATGATTGTTCAATGATTTTCTGCCTTTGCATTGAAATCTTCTAGCACTACCATAGTCAATCCCTAAAATTACCAATGACTAAGGGATAGTGATTGGAAGTTGGATAGATAATAGCAACCTGTATTAATAATGAATGTTACTGCCAAGTGGAATGCTTAAGAGAAGTAAGGACTATGTCCATTATGATTCGGGGGGTAATTGTCAGAAATGTCTCTAGGGAGCCAGCTTCCCCTCCTGGATTCCTGGACTGTGAAATGTGAAAGAATAAGTAGCTTCTGCAGATGAAGGCTACAATGGAAGCAGAGGCTACACAGTTGAACTAAATGTTATTTAAGGCAAGAATATGCAAAAACCATCCTGCAGGAAGGTTGATGTTTAAGGAAGTTTATTAACAATGGAGTAAGGATTCTCAAAAATACAGAAGAGAATTAGAAGAGATTAAGAATGGTATGGAAGAGAGTATAGTAAATGAAGAATTTTGAGAGAAGATATCAGGGGGCAGTGGGGATAGCCTTTTACTTGATAGCCAAGAATCACAGAGATAACATACTTGAATAGAACTGATTAAATTAAAATATTCTAAGTTAATTGTCAGTTGTTTTAATACCAGAACTGGCTGAGGGTCCCTGGACAGGTTTGACCTGTGTCCAGATTAATGATGAGGGCTGCTATGAAGTTTGAAGAGAGGCAATGATGGTCCTTTGTCAAGATGGGTAACATAACTAGAACCCTGGTTAAAGAAAGGATTCTGACAAAGCTAGTGGAGTCATGGTAAAGGACGAAAACAGTCTATGTAGAACATAGACTATGTTCTATGTTCTACGTAGACTGTTTTCTTAAAGATTCCCTACATGTAAGGTAGTGCTGAGAACTCTTAGTCAATGTGATGTAAGCCAATAACACACTTTCCCAACTGCTATCATTTTTAATCTTAATTTCTCTACATTACAAATCATCTTCTGTCCTCTTACAACTGTTTTGTTCTCCATCAAAACTAAGTTCTATTTACATTTCTGACTCTAGCCTATCTTAGTTTCTCTAGAATTTTCCTGCATTTATTATTTCTTGTTTCTGTTGTATTTCAATCTTTCTTCCTTTACTGATTTTATTTCTCCGCAAATTACTGTTGAAATTGTCTTAATAATACCTTCTGGCTGGGCGCGGTAGCTCACGCCTGTAATCCCAGCACTTTGGGAGGCCGAGGTGGGCGGATCACCTTGAGGTCGGGAGTTTGAGACCAGCCTGACCAACATGGAGAAACCCTATCTCTACTAAAAATACAAAATTAGCCGGGCGTGGTGGTGCATGCCTGTAATCCCAGCTGCTCAGGAGGCTGAGGCAGGAGAATCACTTGAACCTGGGAGGTGGAGGTTGTGGTGAGCTGAGATGGTGCCATTGTACTCCAGCCTGGGCAACAAGAGCAAAACTCCTCAAAAATAAAAATAAACAATAATAATAATACCTTCTTTCTGTTCTGCTACCCCTTCAAGCTAACTTGAGAGTGATCTATTTCTCTCTCTCTCTCTCTCTCTCTCTCTCTCTCTCTCTCTCTCTGTGTCTCTCTCTTTTTACTTAGGTCAGATATCTCAAGTGTGTATTTTTACATATGCTTCCTTCACTCCATCAGCTCCTAAGCCTTAACCTTCTACAATTTGACCTCTACCTCCAGTGCTTTACTGATAATATATATATATATTTGGGTTTGGGTTTTTGTATGTGCCTTTTTTGAACTATTTAATTTCTGTTAATAGATCATCATTTCATTTCTGAGGCTGAAAATTTTAAAGGTTTTTTTATATTTAATTTATATGGTGATTTGTCAAACATTATTGAGAGAAAAAACTATCCCTGCTATCAAAGAAAACACAGTTCAGTGAAATTAACAGGCTTAGAATAAAGACAGCCCAGTTCAAGTTCCAGCCCAGAAAATATCAAATTATGTGAATTCATTCAAGCTTCTATAAGCCTTAGTTTGCTCATTTCTAAAGTGAGAGAGTTTGGATTATATAACTTCTGAGATTCCTTCTATCACTAACATTGTTTGTATGCTTCTGAATATTATGTATGTTCTCTATATTTTATATTACATATTTTGTATATTGTGATTTGTAATGTTTATCATTCATACCTTCTTCTCTATTTCCACCCTCATTACTACAAGTCAGAGCCTTTTCCTAATCTAGCTCATTCTCTGCGCTACTGCTGAATTATTCTTCTTAATTTATTACTTGGAAATTACCTTTGTTCAGAAGTTTTTCTTATTACTCTCATTGAAAATTAAACTGTTTAAACCTCTTAACTAGACATTAAAAATTGTCATAAACGGATTCCGATCTAATTTTTTAACTAACATTTTACATATTCTGCTTTCTGTTATTCCTAGCATTTCCATTTGACTATTTTATCTTCCATCATCTATGTGTCTGCTGAAATTTCCCCATCTGTTCATGCATGCTGTTCATCTTTTTTACTACAGTCTTTACCATATCAAGCAGACTTATTTCAAATTCCCCATTTGATAGATTCAACATCTATACCATCTCTTAGTTGGCCTCTGTTGGTGGCTTTGTCCTTAACAGTAGGTCTTATTTGTCATGCTTTTTTTGTGTTTCCAATAAATTGGTATTGAATGTTGAGATCATATGATCAGTAATGACTGAGGCAGATAGTATTTATGCTTGAAAATGAGCACAAATTTTGTTCTGTTAGTTGGGGTGTTGGGGAGCATTAAACAACCTTCAGACTGCTACATCTGAGTATGAGATTTGGACTTATTATGAAGTGACTGCTACTGGCAGCAGGCAACAGTGCATATGAGGGATTTGTATTATACCCATTTCTCTATCCACGTAAAAACAGCAAAACAAAAGGAATGCTGGTGAATTGTTCAAAATTGATCAGTGAAACTATTGAATCTGTATTCTAGCTTGAGAGCCATACCTCATCAGATATACTGATATAATACAATAGCAATTCATAATTATATTGTTTAGAGATATACTTTTAAAAATGTTTGCTATTTTATGGAATCTGAGAATCTGGGAAGTGATAAAGTAGGGCCAGTACCTTGGTGGAATAACTTTAATTTTTACATTTGACAAATCATTATTAAATTCAAACATTCACTGAATATGGGAACCTATTTCATAAAAATAAGGATTTTACAGGTAACATGTCATATTATCTCTCAGTATTCTTAAAATTTATATTTTAAAGATTTATTAATTTGTTCTGTATTAATTATTATGGGTAAATATTCCTGCTTATTTGTGGTTTTGTTTCTGTTATTTTTTAAATAAAAATTAACAATGAAAATTATAAATATTTAATATACTAAAAATATCTTCAAAATATTTACATCTTATATGTTTGTGTGTGTGTGTGTGTGTGTGTGTTTAATAATACAGTATATGTTACTGTTCAGTATTGTATTTGTCCCTAATTTTCTTGAGGAAATTGGGACGTTTGGTCATTTCTTCATGCAATTTTCAATAATGAATATATTTTTTAAATACCTTTGTAGATGTGAGAATACTTCTCTTTTTGATAATAAAATAATAGGCTTGTGGGTAATAGTAATTTTTTTCTACGTGAATGGTGTCTTGCTTTGTCACATCAATATATATATTATACCATTTTCACATTTTATATTGTTATTAACTTGGCTGACTCTAAATATTGTTGTCATCTTTGAATAAGCTTATTTACTTTTAACTAACATAGAGTCTTTACATCTAACTCAACAGAAAGATTCTGTAGAATAATGCTATTACACCCAAGGATAAATTAATCTTCCTCCAAAATAATATAATATTCGTATTCGTGCACATTACCTATTTGCTTATTTACCATGATTTCTATGGCAAATATTTTGTATCTTGCAATCCTCATAACATTAGAAACGATGCTAAAATAATGAGCTAGAATTTTTAAAAAGTTAATCTTGCACATTAATGATGAACATGAGAATTGTAATTTTAAAGTTGTCATAATTACTTTAAGTTATTTATTATATACAAATATGTATATATGCTATATTAATTATTCTAAAATGTTTCATTTTTAATGTTTTCTAGTATATTTTATCATATATTTATACTTCAGTTATGCAGTTAACGCCCAGAAAATCTGTAGACATTCAAGATATTTTAACAAAAATATAATGTTTCTGCTGGTTTTTTTTTTTATTATTTTTTGAGACAGGGTCTCACTCTGTCACCCAGACTGGAATGCAATGGTATGATCACAGCTCACTGCAGCCTCGACCTCCTGAGCTCAAGCAATCCTCCCACTTTAGCCTCCTGAACAACTAGGACTATAGGTGTTTGCCACCACACCCGCTATTTTTTATTTTTATTTTTTGTAGATACAGGGTTTCACCATGTTGCCCAGTCTGGTCTCAAACACCTAAGCTCAAGCCATCTGTCTGCCTCAATCTGAAAGTGTTGAGATTACAGACATGAGCCACTGTGTCAGGCACTTCTGCTATTGATCAGCTTATTCTATACAGTATGGATATAGAGAAGTCATTTCTTGCCCAAACCTGAGACCATACTTGTTCTTCAGAGATATATCCAATTTTTTTAAATTTAAGATGTCAGCTTTATAAAGGAAAAGAATAATTCCTAAGTAGCTTTACTTTTTACAAATTTACTTTTCAAGAAAACCTATTACATTTACTTATGACATCTTTCCAATATAAACATGAAATAAGTCTGATTTAATACAGACTAGGTCCTGAGTTACATATTGGGGAAATTTTCATTGATTTCTGAGTTTTAGTATTCTTAGTATTTATCATACCTGTAGAGATACTCTACATTGAGCTTACTTTGATCTGGAGTTGTATCATTGTGAAAGATATGGATGGATAGATGGATGGATGGATGGATGGATGGACGGACGGATGGACGGACGGACGGATGACAGGCAATAACATTGGGTTATAGACAAGAGTTCCCACTACTAGAGGGAAATCCCTTGCAAGACAATTCCCTTGCATACAATCCCTTGCATACAAATCCCTTGTCCTTTCATTGAATTAAGAAACCTAAAGTACATCGCAAAACTGAAAAAATAGGTAGGAAGTTGCATCAAATACTTGGAAATTTTAAAAAATCTTTTATGAGCAACTATGTTGACCCAAAAAAATGATTCAAAACTGACAACTTTGCTGGATGATTATAAAATTATTTTTCCCTTAGAATGACTGAAAATAAATACTGAACACTTTCAGTTTTAGTTTTTCTTATGCATAAAGATTGCTGTTTAAGACAAAGGCCTTCTAAGTTGTTCTCTTTATTATTGTGGCCTATTGTCAGTTCATCCTCATCTCAAAATCTGCATATGCTAATAATGTGCTTTTAAGACTGGGTTGTTAACAATAGTATGTATTGTTATAACATTGTTAGTCAATGTAAATTAGTGGAGGGGCTGATACACAGTATCCTTTGTGAACGCATGCAGTTTAGAATAGCACCCATTAGATAATGATGGACAGTAGCCTAGATCAATTCAAGTACAAAAAAAAGAACTATAAATAGAGATTAGAAAATATAAACTATTCAAAAAATGTAACAGTGATAGATATTAAATCACTTTTTAAAAGACAATGGAATTATTTACCTAAGAAAGATTTAAATTTACAGGTGAGGGGGCCCTGGCTTTTTCAGTGGCTTACCCTTTGGTAATCTGATAAAACCATGGCCACTCTTTTTGGAATAATATTTTATATGCATAACATAAAATAAGGTAAATAAAATGGTTACAGAGGAAATGACTTATATTGAAATAAACACTCCAAGTTAAGAACCCCAAGTGGGCCCTAAAATATTTTAAGCCTTGCAAGTATTTATTATTTCCCACTTTTCAGTTGCTGCTATTCAAAATTAATTATATATTCTCATCTTAAAATTAAAACTAATTCAGAATTTTGGTGGGAGTTTGTGAGTACTATATCTCAATCCCTTTAAGGGACCTGATGTAAGACTGTGTAATTTAGGCATTGCTGCTTTAAATTTTCATAGCAGTAACATTGTGTCTAAGCTAGTCAGACCTATTTTTATCCAATGTGGGAGCAGGAGCCTGTGTCAGCCTTCTCTTATGTGCTGTCAAAGTTTAAAATGTGGTAGCTTTCCATTCCCCTTAACTGTGTTGGGACATTTGGGGAAATTTCTACCTTCTACTGTGGTTCTTTTCATTTTTCATTTATTAACCTATTTTCATTTCACACTATGGTATTTATTTAATATATACTTTGTATTTACGGAGAAAAATATATAAGTAAAATGTAAAAGATGGGTTAATTTTCAAACAACTTTTTTATAACGAGACATTTTTTGTAAGAGCTACTTCCTAAGGAGTGACCTCTGTTTTATAAATAATGGTCTCCTTTTGAGGACATAGGACATAGCAACACATTTAAAATAATTCTCTGGTTTTCACTCATTATCATATTTTTCAATTATTAAAAATGATTCTTCACAAAGAAGTGAAATTGCATATCCTAACATTTACTCCACTTTCCACTTGGAAAAATTTCTTGATGGAATCAGAATAAATGAAATTGTATATAAATACATGAAATATTAGTCTAACTTTCTGCTAGGGTAATTGTAGCTATTTCCCAAAGATTTGTTATATAATAAGATGTTTATAATTAATGTAAGATGAATCTTTAAATAAATGTAAAGATTGGTACTCTTAAAAATAGGCTTTAAGCAATTTAAGAAATAATACATAGATATACCCTTTGTTTCTGTTGATTGTGATGAAGATATATAAAGATGTTAGACTAAAAACATGCAGCAAACTACTGAACACACTTATTTGTAAAGAAAAGTGTTCCTTTAAAATAGTTTTTCAGAAACAAAAAGACAGCTGTGATATTTACACTATGAGGTTACCTTTTCATTTCTCTTACCATTTAACTGTTACTAGTAATTAAATATTTTTTATATATTTACATTTAATGTCAGTTAATTTGACATGTTCCTGAGGCACTTATATGAAAATACTAAACTTAGAAAGTAAATCACATGATAGTATATGGACTTAAAAGTATTTAAAAATGCTCTGACTTTTATGTTACCCTATGACTTTAAAATGTAAAATAATCACAAGATATGGTGTAGAATAAAGCCAATATTCACTTTCTAAAGTCACCTAATCTAATATCAAGTAGTACAAAATTGTTTGCCATATAATTCATGACATTTGGGAAATTATGTCCTTTTTTTCTTTTTTTTTTTTTTAAATTACTTGCACTTTTCATTATCCAAAATAAGGTTGAGATAACTTATAGGTAAAGTGGATGTCATTGAAACATTAGCTTTGAGGGAGACTAATGCTTTCTTGACTGTCTATATTATATAAGCATTTCCATTTTTGTGCTTACAACTGGATGGGGAGGTGATAATTTTATTTGAAATATACTTTGACATATGTTTTACTTTTGAATTCTGGAGCCAAAGCTAGTGTTTTTAAAGTCATCTCCCAAATTGTGGGGCTGATGTTAGGAAACATTTATTGATCATGTTAAATGTAAAAGTATTATGCTAGGTTCCAGGGATAGAAAGGTCAACAATGAGAGGTTGCTTAAATTTAAGGATACTTCCTTCAACAAGGATTAAGTTTTGGTATTAGATTTGTTTGTGGTCAAAGAGATCATGTTGTTTCAGAATTATTATTTCAATTAATACCCACTCTGAATTGAATCAGTTGGCATAGCTAAAGTGCACCAAGATAGACAGCCAGTTAACCAGTTTTCTACAGAGTGATTTTTCTTGTGGATCAGGTTTAAATATGGCTACAGACTTCACAGTCACCCTATTTTCTTATAACCTCATTTTGATTCTTCTGTTTAAATGTTCAGGTGTATAGTGTTTTCTGAAAGCCTTTTTATATCTTAGTTGGTATAGTACTAAACAGCTTCAGGTGCTACAGAATTAATGCTTATATGGTTTTCTTCACTCTTGAAAATGTTAGGAAAAGTCATTGAATTCTTTTAAAATAGAATAATTCACATATTTCACGTATTCCATTTAGGGAATTCATTTTGGAAAGCAGGCAGTTTTGTTTGTTGTTTATTATAACTGAGCAACTATTATCTTTGCTGGGAATTACTTTGAAAGGCAGATTTTGGTTTTTTAGAAATTCTTAACAAGTTTCGTTTGAAATTGCTCAGAATATGTTGGGGAAAAGAAAAATTTTTACATACTCCATAATTTTAAACAATTACCTTTTTCAAAATCAGTTTGATGCATCATAACCAAATAGCAGAAGGGCACTAAAGATCAACTGAGCTGCTTTTTGACTAACGTTTCAGGGATTGTGAAGCAGCAGATAGACAGCCATATCACAGATCCAGATCAACAGAACAACGGCCTCTCCTTGAGCGGACCACCACCCGCTCCAGATCCACTGAACGTCCTGATACAAACCTCATGAGGTCGATGCCTTCATTAATGACTGGAAGATCTGCCCCTCCTTCACCTGCCTTATCGAGGTGAAAGATAAATCAATCAGACTAATTTCCCCTTTGCCCCACCAGCACACCATTTTATTTTCCCAACAGTTAACTGGTCTCTTCTATCATCTTTGGCTGATCACTAGTAACAATCGATACTAACCTTTTCAATGTAAACACACTATTTATATTCACTGGATATAATAGTGTGTGGCTACCATTGTAATTTGTTTATTAACTGTCCTGACTGCATTTGTTTTGTGATTTCTCATTAATCAGGAGTCCTGGGTAAATTCTGTCATTAACTGTCATGTTCCTCTCCTACAGAATGAGAAACTATCTGTGTCCATTACACATCACTTTTCAAATCATCATAATGATTATAAATAAAACTAGATTTTTTAAGTTTCTTTCTATCGATACTAATATTATGTATTAACCAGTATTTTCCTTAGTTGAATCTTGAATTGTTCAGGATTTTATTTGTAGTTTCATGCAATGTTTTCTAATAAAGGGATATTTAATATAAGCCTGAGTAAAAATCTCTGGATCAAGGGAGAAAGGTTAGTGCTGAAAGTTTGAAATCTGGTAGAAAGAAAAGTACTACCTTTTCTTTCTTGAGCAGCGAAATTCTCCTCTTGCTTTCAATGGATAGAGTACTAATTTACATTAATAATTCCATGGATGTTACTGTAGGGTTTTGTGTGCATGTATGTGTATGTATGCATATTACACCAAAAATAAACATCTTTTGCTATTTAATCATTCAGATATCCATATTTTGTCCAGTTTTCCTAACCTTTTAATCTGCAGCTAAACTTCTTTTTAAATTGTATTTATACAGCTATCATATGAACCAAATGTAGGTATTAAAAATATGTAACTCATTATACTGAAAATGAATATTAATGGTGTGTCTTTAGGTCTCATCCTCGTACTGGGTCTGTCCAGACAAGCCCATCAAGTACTCCAGTCGCAGGACGAAGGGGCCGACAGCTTCCACAGCTTCCACCAAAGGGAACGTTGGATAGAAGTAAGTTTTATTTCTAATTGTCTCGTTTAGGAAATACACATGGAAGCTAAGGTGAATCAAGATTTTCTTATTACCTTTGTGTTAATTTTCTTCTTTTGTTAATTGTATGCCTTGTCTGTATTTGATAATAGTTATATTTATAAATATTATGTATTTTTGAATAAAAATTTGTAATATTTCCAGGTAAAATAAGGTATCTTTATTGCTCTTGCACATTTTTAAATTTGAATAAATGCATCTTAAAAAGTAAACAATACTCTTAAATAAGTTGTTGGATAATATTTCTTTGCTACAAATAAGTTTATGTAATTGTTGATAGTTATATAAAGTTTATTAGTAACTAGCCAAATCAATTTTCACACACTGCAAAGGACTGGTTAGCTGATGCACAATGGTGATCCTTCTCAAAACTGGAGAACAAGAAAAAGGTAATCATGAATATACAATGAAAGATGCATGTTGTACTGATGTTTTATTAATTTTACATTTTTGCATAAGAAGCACTATTTGCTGACACTCACATGAACATACTTCCCAAACATCTATAAATTCTTGGATAAAGGACCTCTAAAAGCATGGATAACTGAATATAATGGTTTTTAAGATCATTTTTTAAATGATCCCTTTATTTAGTAACTGGATGTGCTTTGCAAATAATACATATAAGTTTAAATCATTTAACTTTTCTCTAGTAGATAATACATTCTGTGCTTTTGGAAATTTCTGTTGTTTTTAACCCCTGTGCTTTGGTTCCCTTTTTGTTTGTTTGTTTTTGTTCTGTTTTTTGTTTTTATTTTGTTTTCCCTAGACAATGGAGTCAAGGAGATAGAACCTTATGAAGGTCTGTACATAAAAGAGGGTTTGTTTTGTGCTAACAGCCTTTTTGGGGGGCTAGTAAGCAAAAATAAACCCAACTGCAATTGATGTCCTTTCGTTGTGTAGACTTAAATACAGTAAAATTATTTTGTTTTATGATATCTGACAAAGTATTCAACTTTTTTTTAACTTGGAAATTATACCAAGGAGTTAAATATCTTTGATTCATCAAATAAGAATGCAAAGAGTTTAAATTCTTTTAAATGACCAGATAAAATGTGCTCTTTCATAAAATTTTTATGTACCTTTTAACCAGAAACTAGATTTCGAGTAAGACTTTAACCAAAGATATCAATTGCAGTCTACGTTTACATCATTGAGGATGTACACATAGTGTAGTTATATTTACCATCATATATTTCATTTTTTATGATGATGTTTTTAATTATTAAATTTGGCTTTCTAGAAAAGAAAGTTGTTGAATTAGAAAGTGATTGTGGCTTGCGTTTCCAACATCATTTTTCATGTTGTAGCAAGACTGCTTACAGTATATCAGAGTTAAATATGATATAGTTTTATTATCAAACACTACATTATGACTCAGAAGAAAATACTGAATGGTGATATATGGAGTGTCATACATTTGCTAGATCAATACAAAATCCTCTACCAGTTATGGAAATCTGAAATTAACTTTGTATCTTTAAAAACTTGTTGACTGTTTACTTATGAATCTCTAGCACATAGAATAATGCCTGGCACATTGTAGACCCTCAATAAATCTTTGTTGAATGAATTCATGAAATATTTATTTAAAAAGGGAAAAGCTACCTCAAATAGTATACAAAGTACCACTAAAATAATCTCGTCATTATATATATGTTTATATTAAATTCGTATTTCTGTAACCTATTTGTAACAAATTTGTAAGCGTGCTGCATTCGAGCAGCAATATTTTATACCCTTATATAACTTGTTGATATAAGTTGTGTTCTTGTTAACTGGATGATGGTCAACTTCTGTTTTGTCGTTCTTTCTATTTCCAAGTACCATAATTTTGAACAATCCAGTGATATTGTGACTGATGGTCTGTTATGCTGCCTGAGAAAAAGACTTCACAGCATTTTTATAGTTCTTAATTATTTGCTTAAAATTGGGGGCATAGAATTTTAAATCACTTTTCCTAAGGAAAGTTTAGTAATATTTATGGAACTTTTTGTCTCTTCAGTGTTTTTAAAGATGGAGTTTCAACATCATTTATTGGCATTTAAAGTCAGAAACTATAATTTATGCACATTTTTAAAATTGAATTTTTAATGTTGTTCATAGCAATAGTCTATTGAAATATAAGTAGCTCTATTCTTTGTAATAGCAAGTATCCTAGAAAACAGAGCCTATTGGTAATACTGAAATTCAGAGATGGTGAAGTTTCTGATGGGCTTCTCAATAAAGATTATCTTTACTATTGTTTTTGTCCCTATAAAATTAATTAAAACCACAGTTTTCCTTTAAAGTCCCCAATTGTGATTTTTCCATTTTTTTTATTTCATAAAACAAAGAGGAGCCAAAACCTCCCTTATCCTTTTTAGTATGAAATAAAAGGGGTTTTGTTTTTTAGTTTTGTTTTATATAAAAGTATGGATGATTTTTTAAAGTGTTTTTATAAATGTTGATATGGAGACTTCAGTAGATTATGCAATTTTTTTTTTAGTTTTAAAGAAGATATATAATATCTCTTTTAGAAATCGCAACTTCAGTTAATCTTCAGTAAGTAACACAAAATAGACTATCAGTTGATGGTCTAAATCAAATTATGTTTGGATTATCACCTAAAAAGTTAATTATGAGAAGTTGTAATTTAATGGCATTATTTTAGAATTAAAGTATTGAAATATTTATTTTCAAATCCTTTTCAACAGCCAAAATATGAGCAAGTCATAATTTAACTCTTTATGATTTTGATTATTTTATATTTTAGTCTGTTATATATTTAGCCATTTATCTTTGTTTAGAACCAGAGAAGTAAAATAAGAATAATATAGAAAGCACAATGTACTAAAAACTATAAGGCATTATTATTATTTTTCCCTAACTTTTATGTACTGCCATTTTGTAAAATGTCATTTTCTCTTTTTCTAGAAGAAAAGTTATATAACTTTTTTTAGTAATAGACCAAGTTTATATATAAAGTATTTTGCCTACTTTACCCAGTTATCCACATATTACAAATATTTTAAAAGTCACAATTTCTCTTTTACAAATCAAAGTCATCATAAAAGCAATGTGATAATTAACCAGTAAATTTATTTACTTTTCTATAGCATGTCAGAAACGTATCAAAAATAACCTATTGGGCCAGTTGCAGTGGCCCACGTGGCTCACGTCTGTAATCCCAGCACTTTGGGAGGCTGAGGTGGGTGGATTGCTTGAGCTCGGGAGTTCAAGACCAGCCTCGGTAACATGGTGAAACCCCATCGCTATAAAAAATATAAAATTAGCCAGGCATGATGGCCCACTCCCATAGTCCCAGCTACTCGGGAGGCTGAGGTGGGAGGATCACTTGAGCCCAGGAGACGCAGGTTGCAGTGAGCCGTGATTGTGCCACTGCACTCCAGCCTGGGTGACAGTGAGACTCCGTTTCTAAATAATAAGTATCTATTGGAGTCTTTATCATTCTGAATAATTTAGAATTTGTTATTTGTTTAGTTTCATTGAAGAGTAACAGATATACCTATTTGGTCTTATATTTTTCTTTACTTTTGCTTCTGCAAGTACAGAAGTTAATGAAGAAACTGAGCATGTGGAAGAGCAGGGGGAAGAAAAGCAGGGAGAAGAGGTCAAGGCAGGTCTGTCTGACTGTGTATCTAAAATAAATAAGTGATTGTTTTCAAATATGACTTTACAATTTTACATAAGACTTTAGGCTCCAAATTTATAAATGCACAATGAAGAATAGATTGTTTTTCACAACTAACTTTAAGATAAATTACCTCATTTTATTAATGAATGGGTATTACTTAAGCTATCTAGGCAATTTGTCAGAATATTTAATTTACCCAACTGGCTAAATATTTTCCCTGATGTTTAAATCAAACTAGAATTATAGGTAGTGCCCCTGACCAAGACATACACCTACCCTTTACCCAGCTTTACATTCAGTTCATTTGTTTATTCAAAAATATTTAATGAGTACCTACTAGAAAACTATATTTTATCATGTGTTATGGTGAGTACAGTTTTGTTGAAGCTTTAGCCCATTCTCCTATGGATTTTGAATCTAGTAGAAGCAAATTATAAAGAAATATAGAACGGAATATAAATTCCATTAAAACATTTATAGACCATGATCATTTTTTCCATTATATTTTTTTCCTAAAATAAAGCAATTACAGGCTTCTCTTCTTCATCCCAGTTCAATATTACTCTAACATTTATTGTCAATCATAATTTCTCCCCATCTTTCTAAATGAAATGCATACCTTTTATTTTTGTTGTTTTTAAAGTCCCTATTATGTTTATATACCATAATGTTTAATGTTCTTGAAAGGATTTTAAAACTTAAAAGATCCCAGCCTGGCCAACATGGCAAAACCCCATCTCTACTAAAAATAAAAAAATTAGCTGGGCATGGTGGTGCGTGCCTGTAGTCCCAGCTACTTGGGAGACTGAAGCAGGAGAGTCACTTGAACCTGGGAGGCAGAGGTTGCAGTGAGCCAAGATCACATCACTACACTCCAGCCTGGGCAGCAGAGCGAGACTGTGTCTCAAAAAAGTTAAAACATTATATAATCAGTAAATCAGTATATTTTTATATACTTCTTTTATCAAATTTTCACTATTTTTATTTGAAACTCAGAATTGAATACTAATCTTACCAATTATCAAGTTTAATTGTAACTTTCTTTGAATAATACAGAATACCTTTAATTTTGTCAAGTGTTTAACTGACCACTTTTTATTTATGAATAATAGAGTGTACTTTTTGTGCCTTTTTTTCCTCTGGTTTTCATGGTGTGAAAGCAATGCCATTACATATATTGTACATAAGATATATTTTCATGGAAGCATTCTCTCAATGGAGTTTTTAGTTTTACAACTGAAAACATCTCTTAAGCTACTAGAATTACTCATTATCAGTAACTTTTTAATGTCATAAAGGCGACAAATATCATCAGTCATCTGTAATGGAAACAGGCAAGTTTAATTGCATATTTCTAGACATGTAGAATTGCTTTGGTTCTGAATATCTACTATCTAACTTTTAGAATGTCACCCTTCTTCCATTTTCCTGCAATAATTTAGGAATTGCATTTTTATGGAATACTATAAGAATGAATTTCATTTTAGCTTAGCTGTTAAGTTAATGTTTTCCCATTAGCTCATTCCTCTGTATCTCATATAGTCCATACAAACACTGCAGCCTTTCACACTGTTAATTGTCTTCCACATTAAAGTCATTTTTTAAGGTAGCATTAGTTTGGGGACTTCAGCAATAGTTAATATCACTTTTATTTATTTTAAATTCATTAAGATAAAGAAGCCCATGTGCTAAACCAGTTTGTTGCTGCTGTTTTATTGTCAAAAGTAATTAGTAAGTTGCATCAGTTTTTAAATTAACATAAAAGCATAACCATATACTATAAAAATGATTTTTCATTTATTTGGTTTTTTTTACTTTTCCTATGAGATAGGAAGTATATACTTTTCTCTTGTGTTCATTAATACAGAGTGTCATGTTTAGTGCATGGATTTGTTTCCCTATTGTGTGATTTCATCTTTTTTGATGTGCTTGGTTTTTATTTTGGTTATTAATGATCTTAATCATTAATCACTATTGTCTATTTTCAATATTATAAAGACAATGAGGGAGAAACATCAACACCACCTACTAATGGGAAAAAAGGCAAGTCTTAAAATGAAGTTTATGGTGTCTTTCTAGATATTAGACACTCCATACTGACATTTGTAATATATTTGAATATGCTTTTTAAAATAAGCATAAGTATTAGTCTCAATTTAAGTTATCCAGTATTTAAAATGTCTATTCTTTTTTATTTCTGAATATGAAATTAGTCTTCAAAATACTTACCTTTAATGATTCTGATGCAATTCTATTTTATTGAATGTAATGGCATTAAAATTGGAAGATTTACTTTGTTGATCATGTTAAGGGAAAGGATTCTGAGGAAGATACTAGTGGTCATGTTATACATTTACAAAATCACAGCATGGATATTTTTCAATCCAGAAATTGTTTTAAAATTGAATTATTTTAAAAACATTTTAAAGTAGAAGTTTAAAGTAGAAAATGAGACAAATTTAATCATAAGTTAAACAATAATATAAAAGGAAGATTTATAACATTTGTAGATTTTTCATAGTTCTATACACATGAATTAATATTGCCTGGAAAGTAAAAAGATGATTGATTTTAATACTTAGATTTGATTTTCCTATAATTATTGCTGACATAATTCTGTAATCTACCACAACCAAATTCTATCAAAATGGTAGGACTGTGTATGTTTTGCAGTAATTGATAATCAAATATGTCTACATATATTGATTTAGAATATTAGCATTTTAAAATGATTTTATCAAAAAAGTAACATCCCGTTCTATATCATAAAATTTGGCCCATTACTGGACCAAATTAAGAAATAAGTAGTTTTATGCTTCATTAATTTCATTGAAATGGTTTTTAGTCTTGAATGTATTCTTCCCTGTCTTCATCTTTTATAAAGAATGTCTACAGTGTTATTTGTAAAACCTAATTAACACTAAAATACAGTTTTTCTTACTGCGAAGTATTAATTATTCTTTAATGCACATTCTAGAATATGATTTAAAAGATAATGTAACAAAATAAAGTTAAATCATGTAAATATGAATAGTATTCATAAGACAATAAACATTTAAATGACTTCTCAACATCTCAACATGTTTTTACATATTTGTCATTTTTACCTATTTCACGAGCTCCATGATTTTTGATTAGTAATTATGAAAGGAAATGTTGATATGTACTTAAATATATGTCGGCAATCTGAAATAATAAATATATCTTCCTAAATATTCAACAAGTTTTGAGAACATTTAATGCCATTTTGTATTTAGGTGCATTTAAATGTGTCAAGATCGTATCTTTTCACATGAACTCACTAGGCTAAATATTTTAACTAACTGAGGAAGTATTATCATAAGGTTTTTTTGTCTTCTTGACTTCTAGTTGGCCCTGAATACTTTCACATCTTTTACCTTCAGACTGTTATGCTTTCTTCTTATTTCCTATGATCTTGCATGTGCAATTACCATGACAGATTCTTCCTGCCTCCCGCACAGACAAAACCAGTTCATTAAGACAGTGGTACTGCAGGCAGAATAACGAGTTAGAGTCACTCAAACCAGTCTCCCTGAAGGCTAAGAGATTAAGGCTTTTCAAAGATAGTTTGGTGGGCATGGAGTAGGGAATGGGGAATGTTGATTGGTCGGGGATGAAATTGTAAGGCTGTGGAAAATGGTTCTTATGTGCTGAGTTAATCTCTGGGTGGGGGCCACAGGATGTGGATTCAGTCATCAGTCGCAGGTCTGGATGGAATCAGTCAATCCTCCAAAATGCAAAAGTCTGAAAAATATCTCAAAAGACCATATTAGGTTTACAATAGTGATGTTATCTACAGAAGTAACTGGAGAAGTTAAAATCTTGTGACATCTGGAACAATGGCTGGTTATTATTTAAGCCTACATTTTAGCAGAAGTCAGGCCCGTCTCATAATCCTAACTTTATGGCCTTTGATTGGTTTTACAAAGGCAGTTTTGTTTTGGGGAAGGGCTGTTTTTATCCTTGCTTTGAAGTTAAACTATAAATTAAATTCCTCCCACACACAGGAATGATTAAAGACAGCTTGGAGATTAGAAGCAAGATGGGGTCAACTGTGTCAGATTTCTCTCTTTTTTTGTTTTTTTTAAGACAGGGTCTTGCTCTCTCGCCCAGGCTGGAGTGCAGTGGCGCACAGTCTCAGCTCACTGCAACCTCCCCCTCCCGGCTCAAGGGATTCTCCTGCCTCAGCCTTCTGAGTAGCTGGGATTACAGGTGCCTGCCACCACACCCAGCTAAGTTTTCTATTTCTAGTAAAGACGGGTTTCACTACCTTGGCCAGGCTGGTCTCAAACTCCTGACCTCAGGTGATCCTCCCGCCTCGTCTCGGCCTCCCAAAGTGCTGGGATTACAGGTGTGAGCCACCACTCCCAGCCTCAGATTTCTCTTAATGTCTTGATTTTGCACAGGCAGTTTCACATGTAAAGTTTTCTAGTGACAATGATTATTGGAACCTCAGTTATAAATTTGTTTTTATACACACACTTATAAATTTGTTTTTATCATTTATATGAAATCCTCTCCACTGCAAAATATTGCTATTGCTATATAAATCAATCCAACATATGATATAGTTGAACCTAGAAATTAATGAATAAATTTGTAAGATGAGAACTCTGTACATATTTCACATACGCTAACTTGGTTTAACTTGGCTTAATATTTTGATTATTTACCTGTAATTAAGATTTGGTTATTCAGTTTGTCCTTTTGCTATCTTCTGAGAGAATGGCTTTTTATTTACAGTTTATTTTATGTATCACAATAAAGTTCATGAGTAAGTTTAAGGGAGGACATTGTTTTTTTAATTGGTTAAAGCATTTCGTGGATATGTTAAAGTATATTGTTGTAGCAGGTGCAGTCAGAAGGATAGTTGAAGCTAGAGGGGTGACTCATATATGAACTTACAGATCATATTTAGGATTTTGGTTTTTATCACATAAAATGGGAAAGTTTGGATTAAAGTGACACAATACCACTTTTTTTTTTTTTAGTAAGATGATGTCAATTACTACATTGAGAATACCCTGAAGAATTAAGATTGCAAACAGGGAACATTGTTAGAAGGTTTTGCACTAACCCAGGAAAGAGATGATAGTGGCTTAGACCAGCATGATAGCAGTATAAGTAGCTGGATTCTGAATAGATATTGAAGATAGAGCCAACAAAATTTCCTAACAAGGTAAAAGAGAAAGAAAGATTCAATAATGACATCCAGGTTTTTAGCCTGAATAGAAAAATAATGGAGTTTCTATTAACTAATACAGGGAAATACTTGAGAATAATAGGTTGAGTGGGAATATCAGGTGCTCAGTTTTGGATATGATAAGTTAGAGATGCTGTTAGACATCCAAGTGAAGATGCCAAATTAAATATGGTCTACATTTCATATTAGAGGTGTGGACTGTAGCTATAAATCTGGGACTCATCCTTATAAAGAGGTATTTACCACCGTAAGACTGGTTATCAAGAGGACAAGTGGACACATGTAGGTAGATAATGAAGAGGTCCAAGAAGTGTAAACTGGACCACTTTGATATTTTGAAGTTGGGAAGATGAAGCAACCAGAGATGAAAAAAGTGGGAGAAGAGGGACAAGTTAAGAAATTACTTGAAGGAGAGAATTTATCAAGAATATGAAATGATTATCGGACTTAGCAAGTAGGAAGTCACTATGTTGACCTTTATTAAGAGCAGTTTCAGTGGAGTGATAAGGGCTAAAGGACTGATTAGAGGGGATTCAAGGAAAGAGAGGAATGGAGACAGCAAGTGCAGACACCTTTGAAAGGCTGTAAAGGGAAGAAAAGAAAAATATCTAGAGCCGTGAGGAGAGGTCAAAGAAACAGAATACATGAAGGATATGTGGGAAACTTCTTGTTCACTTGGCTTCTTCTGATCCAGGTCTGCCACTTGGCTGTGTAATGCCACGTGGCCTCGAACCTTTTGCTTGTAGTTTACCAAGATATCTATCAGTGTTCTGTGACTTAGCTCCTTGATTTAGAATCAAAGACTTTTAGATTTGGAAGGGACATTATAAATCTTTTGTTAAAACTATTTTCCCTTATAGATAAAGGAGGAGAATTCTGGAGGATAACTACCTTTCTTCAATCCACATAGCAGCAGATCTGTAGTCTAGACTGTTAATCTCATGTGTTGATATACCATGCCTCTTCATAGCATTCTATGACACTGTTGTAGATTGTGTTCTCTTTGCATGGACTTCAACCGGTTTCGTTGTTGTTGTTGTTGTTGTTGTTGTTTTTAGACATTAGCTAAAGATGTAGTTCAACCAATGTCTGCTATTTTAAATGTGTTGTATTAGGTAGCCATTGAGGATGCAAAGATGAACAAGATATATTTCTTGCCTTTGGGGAGCTCCCAAGGGAAAAAATAATATAATGATAAGAAATAAAACATAGCTGGTAAAATTACTCTATAATGTGTAACTTATATAAAGTGTCTTAAGATTGTGGTACATATTCAGGGTCAATTTTATAAGGAGAAGGTAAGTTTTGAGAGGTTCTGGGTAGGTTTTCAGTCCTAAATATTTCTCCTATTACCTGTCATAGTATTTCATATTCCGCTATTACCTAATGGCTTATTTTCATAATACAAAGCTTTTAGCCTTTCTGGAACACTGAAATATAAATATTCCTGAGGGCACTATCCCAAGCTATTGTCACATACAAATCTTCATAGAAAGCAAGTGGGTGGAGAAAATCAAGTGTAGGAAAAAGGATGCTGAAAGATGTGGTAGAGTGCTAGTTGTCTTGGAAGGGTTATAATGGCAAAATCTGTTCATTCTAAATTTTATTATTTGCCGTGTAGATATGCTATAAATCTACTTTTTAAAATAACTTGGTATGTTAAAATTGCTTAGAACAAATAGTTGTCACATAATAGGCCAGGTGCAGTGGCTCACAGCTGTAATCCCAAAGCTTTAGGAGACTTGCTTGAGGAAAGGAGTTTGAGACCAGCCTGGACAACCTAATAAGACCCTGCCTCTACCAAAAACAAAAAAATTTAAAAATTACGCAGGCATAGTGTTGCACACCTCTAGTCCCAGCTACTTGGGAGCTTGAGGCAGGAAGATCGCTGAGCCCAGGAGTTTGAGGCTCCAGTGAGCTGTGACTGCACCACCACACTCCAGCCTGGGTGACAGAGGGTGACTCTGTCTGTAAAGCAAATATACAAACAAAAAAGTTTGAAGTTGGGAAGATGAAGTGAAACGATACTTGTTGCATAATAATTACTATATAAATGTTAGTTATTACTGTAATTTCTTAGTAATGTCTTGCTATAATTTTGTATTTGTGGCACAAAATCTGAAAATTTTTGTTTTATATTTGAAGTCAAATTAAGTCTGATTATGATCACCCTGAAGCAGTTGTTAAACGTATACACACACACACACACACACACACAGTAATGTACCACATAATGCTGTTTTGGTCAATAACAGACTCCATATACAACAATAGTCTCATAATATTATCATACTGTGCTTTTCCTGTACCTTTTCTATATTTAGATATGTTTAAATACATATATACTTATTGTGTTGTAATTGCCTGCAGTATTTAGTATGGTAACAAGCTGTACAGGTTTGTAGTCTAGGAGCAATAAGCTATATCAAATAGCCTAGGTATATAATAGGCTACCCCATCTAGGTTTGTGTGAGTACACTCTGTAATCTTTGCACAATGACGAAATCACCTAACAATGCATTTCTCAGAACATATCCCTGTCGTTGAGCAATGTATGACTGTATATAGTTTAGTAGATTTTTGGAAATTAGTAATCATGATGCTATTTTTAATCAAATGACTTGCATAAGAAACAATACCAGGGTGGAAATAAATAGAATTGGATTGCAGTATAAGTTATTTCATAATGTGCTAATACATTTCTACATATTTCAATGCATGTGTAAAAATCAATATGCAAATTTTAGGATACTTTTCTCTAGGCCAGAGAACTGTTTAATCCATTAGGATTTAACAAAAAGTAAGAATTTTTGGAGATGTGGCTGATAAAGTCTAAAGTCTCAAATAGTTTTGTTTCCATTTTATTGTTTATGTTTCATTATTGTTTGTTAATTTTGTTTGGTTTTGGAAAGTTAACATCTACAACCTTCCTAATTGGCTGTTAGTGATTAATTCTTTGCCAGGATTATATAGACTAAAGCCTACCGTATCACCTATTAAAAAGTCAGATCCCTGAAAATACACAATGAGATGGAAAAAAAAATTGTGTTCCTTTAATGTGTACAATTTCTACATTGTTTCAAATACAGATAACCTTATAAATAAGAAAGAAAGAAATGGAAAGAGGAGAGGGGGAAAAATAAAAACAAACAAACATATTTAAAAAGTTTACAAAGGAACCAAAAGTGATAGTTATTTTGACAGTCTTTGTAATTAATGATTGCTTCTGCAGGCATTCTAGGTATTGGATACCATTTAGGGTGACAGGATACAACAGTGATGAAGGAGCTTGGCTTTGTTTTGTTGCCTCTTTCTATTCTCATGAATGCTACTAGGGCAGGGAGAATGTTAGCACCCATATCTTAATTTCCAAATTTGATTAATATGTAGCTAGGAATGGATTTTATGGTGGAATTGGTGGATATTTCCTAAGTATATCATTCCCTCCCAACTTAGATAAATGACCATGTGTCCAAAATTAATATGAGAGAGATTCAGGGATACTTTAAAATACCAAGGGATTTATCATATGTTTTTGAGCAGGATGGACATTCAGTCACATCTGTATTAAGAAAAGTAACTTGGTGACAGCAAGCAAGATGGACTTGAAAGAGGAGAAACTGAGGGCATAGGACCATTTAGGGCAATTCAGTCATCCGGTATTTGATGGCCTGAACTAAAGCAGAGGTTGGAATAAAGAGGAAGGAATGCACTTAAGATTTCCTCTCCCCATTCATAATCCATAAACTTAAGTGTACCTGTTGTTTAAGTGAAATACTTGTAAATGAATATTTCTAATTTCTTTTCCTAACCTTTCCTTTCATTCTGGGAGCCTTTCCCCTTTAATTTACTTTTGTTTCCCTTTTCTCATCTTATTTCTTCTATGCTTCGAAAGTCCCAACTGACTAAACAAATTTAGAAAAGAACTCCCTTTCACCTCATACCTTCCTGCAAACTTAGTCATTCTTCAAGGCCATATCATTGTTGACTTCCTAAATGCAATCCTTAAATCATCTTCTCTTTGTTGTTGAAAGTAACTTAATCTTAGGAAGGTGATATGATACAAGAGAAAGAGTGTAGTTCTTGAAACTTTGCCTCAGGGCCTGCTTTACAATGTACTAACTGTGTGACTCTAGACCCTTGCCCCAAGTTAGTTCATCTGAGAAAAGGAAATTGTAACATATTTCTCTCATTCCCAGTATGCTACTATGAAAATCAAGTGATGTAATGAGTATGAAATTGTAAACTAAGATAATTTTTCAGTGCTTATCCTTATCTGTCAGTTCTATTTTCTCACCTGTATAAACCACCTAATAGAAGGTCCCATCTGTGTTTTGTAGGGTCAAATGTGATGCCATCTGTGAAAGCATATTGGAACATATAATATTATACAAATCTTACTAATAAATGAATTTATGCTATTTTATTTTATTTAGAGAAAGGGTCTCACTGTCACTCAGGCTGGAGTGGAATGGTGTGATAATAACTCACTGCAGCCTTGACCTCCTGGGCTCAACTGATTCTCACACCTCAGCCTTCCAAGTAGCTGAACTACAGGCATATGCCACTATGCCTGGCTAATTTTTAAAAGTTTTTTTAGAGATAGAATCTCTAAAAAAAAAAAGATCTAAAGAAAGAGAACCTATGTTGTCCAGGCTGGTCTCAAACTGTATGCTCTTTAAATTATAGTGTTCAGATAGAATTTGCTACATGTTGTGATGAAGACTAGCTAGAATATAATTACTTTGCAGATGTATGGGTTTCTTAAATATTACTTACTAAAAAGTCACCTCTTAGTTAAGTCTCCATGAATATAATCACTCTTCAAATTACCTAATATTTATTAAATCAAGCTTTAATCTACAAGTTAAAGATGGGATACATATAATGATCATTTAAGAATTTCAAATCTTAAAGCTTGTTCTTCTGTATTTTATTGAATTTTAAAAACAAATTAACTTTTAATTACATGCCATTTTAATTAATTCTGTTCTTTTTATGACTTTAATTATGTTTTAAAAATAGATGCTTGAGTTTCAGTATAAAGCTTAATAGTAGCCACATTTGGAACTTCTGGAAAATCTTGTAAACTCTCAGTGCCTCAATTTCACCATCTCTGTTATAGGTACTCTTCTATAAAATCCCATTTGACAAATCAACTTAAGATCAAAAGATGTAAGAGTAATTTTAGAGGTGGAAATAACCTTATAAATTTTCAAGACCAGCTTTATCCCATCAAATATAACAAATCTAGATGTCATAGAGGTTATCAAGATGTTACTGGAAGGGAGCCCTGATCCAGACTCCAAGAGAGGATTCTCGTATCTCAAACAAGAAAGAATTCAAGGCAAGTCCACAAAGTGAAAGCAAGTCTATTAAGAAAGTAAAAGAATAGAGAATGGTTACTACATAGGCAGAGCAGCCTGCTGCTGGTTGCCTATTTTTATGGTTATTTTTGATTATATGCTAAACAAGAGGTGGATTATTCATGAATTTTCCAAGAAAGGGGTGGACAATTCCCAGAACTGAGGGATTCTCCCCTTTTTAGACCATATAGGGTAACTTCCTGACATTGCCATGCCATTTGTAAACTGAAATGGCACTGGAGTAAGTGCCTTTTAGCATGCTAATGCATTCTAACTAGCATATGAACCGTGAGGACAAAGAAGTCACTCTCGTTGCCATCTTGGTTTTGGTGGGATTTGGCTGGCTTCTTTACTGCATGCTGTTTTATTAGCAAGGTCTTCATGATCTCCTGTCTCATCCTGTGACTTAGAATGCCTAACATCCTGGGAATGTAGCCCAGCAAATCTCAGCCTTATTTTACCCAGCCCCTATTCAACATGCAGTTGCTCTGGTTCAAATTCTTCTGACAAAACTTGCCTAAAGTTATAGGCCTAGTTAATGGCAGAGATATTCCGACCAGCCAGCTTTCCTGGCTCAATATGGTGACATATATATTACCTTTTCTATCAATCATTGATAGCTTTGATCTAGTTCTTTCATTGTCTTAAGCTGATATTCATAAATTTATGGTTATTGGAACTTTTCTGTTACCAGCATATGTTACTTTTCAACAAATATTTGCTAATTTCAAAGGTTTATTTTTTCCTCCACATTTCAGAAAATGCTGTCTGCCAATTTACAGATAGGCTGACTATTTTTAAAACAGCCTATTTCTTCTTCTGTGTACTCAATCTTGCTTCAGAAGATAGAATGTCATCTATTTTTTGGAACATCACAAATTTATGAAATGGCAAAAGGTGAAATAGCTTTTAAAAATGATAACCATGTAGCATTTGATTTTGGGAACAACTCTGTAACACTTGTAAAATCTTTCTTAATTATTCGTAGATAACAAAAAGTGTAGGTAATTCAGAATCAACAAATACTTTAATATTAATGAGATTATTTTTCCCAACGTGGGGGAAATACTCTGTTGTTTTTTGCATTACCGCAGATTAATGCTGATCAGGGAGCAGTAGTGTATCCAAAATCACCTATATTTGATGTTACAGTATAGCATATTTTTCCATTTTTGGCAGTGGTTTCATCTTTCCAGTTATGTTTTACTTAGCTTGATATTATAAAATATGTTAGTATTCCACTATTTATGGCTAAAGGTAGATAGGATACCAGAGCATTGTGTATGGCATGGTGAAACTCTATAGGGATTAAAATACACATAGAGCCTGGCAAGGTGGCTCATGCCATAATCCCAGCTACTCGGGAAGCTGAAGCGGGAGGATAACTTGAGACCAGAAGTTCAAGACCAGCCTGAGCAACATAGCAAGATCGTGTGGCTAAAATATTTCTTAAATAAAAATCAAATATATATAATTAATAACTAATTGACTTATAGTATGGCTTTAGAAACATATAAATAAAAAGAAAGACAAGTTATAAGATATATAATTATTTGTGAATGCTACTATGAGAATAAGATTAAATGGTGGCCAGTGAATCTTTTGTTCCATGGCCTATAAGGCCCTACATGACCTGTGCTCCCCCACTTCCCATCTCCATTACTACTTCAATCTTATCTATTACTTTTTTCTTTGTTTGTTATGCCCCAGCCAAAGTGACCTCCATGCTTTTCTGGAACATATCAGACATGCTTCTAACTCAGGACATTTGCACATGCTGCTCCTCTGCCTGGAATACCTTCTCTTTAAATAACCATATGGCTAACTCCCTTACTATCTTAAGTTCTGTACTCAAAAGTTGCCTTCTTAGAGAAGACTTCCCTTCCTGCCTTATCAAAAATTTCATTACCTCTGGATATTTTATTTCCTTCTTACCTACTTTGTTTGTCTTTTTAGCATTTATCAATATTTAGGTCATAGTATATTTTACTTATCTTGTTTATAATCACTCTCTCCCATTAAAATATAAACTTTATGAATGTATGGGGTTTTGCCTGTTTTGTTTGTTGTTATATCCCTGTACCCAGACATGCCTGGATTATAGTAGGTGCTGAATATATATTTATTAAATGAATGATTGTTAACCACATGAGAAATAATTGTAGATAATCTTAGATGAGCCAAGTAACTCATATTCAATGATACCAAGCTGTTACTACTAAATATCTTTGTCTTCCTTTATCAAGATTTTTATCAAAATAATATCTCATAGCATATAAATGTTTGTCATTTATGAAGATACTAAATATGGTAATAAAATAGCCGTTTTATCTCATGTATTGAAATGTATTTATGAATTTTCTCTTGATGTTTCAAAATTTCTACATTGTAATTCTATATAAACATTTCATTTCATCACAATAAAACAAAGTTTAGTAAAATGCTTATTTCTAAAATAAGCTAGTATGTATTATTTAACATAAACTAAGAAAAGACCTTGTCAAACCATTTTAATTATTAGTTTATTCATACCTTGACTGCATTCATTTTATTGAAAATGAAGTTTGGGATATACTAGAAGTAAATTTTGTGCTTTGGAATTTGAAATCTATTAAGCAAAATTTTAATGTCACATTTCTATATTTAAAATGTTAACTGCATATTACATAGTTTATGTGAGAATTTAGGAAAAATATCCCCCAAAATCCCATAGATCCCTGAAGTATATTTAGATTCTTGTTATGCATATTATCTAATGTTTCTGATAAGCCCTGATTATTATTTTTGATTTATACTAGAAGTTACATGGGAAGACCAGCAGAAAAAGGTGAATGGTACAATAAGTGATGACAAACCATTGCCGAAAAAGAAACACCAGTCTGAGACAGGTTTGTCAGGGTTTGGAAACCATATGAAAGCATGAGACTACAAGCATTGCATTTCATGCTTTTTAAAATGCGTGTGTGCTTGTTGTACCTCATTTTTCTCATTTTGGTGTGGACTTGATAGTGTGTAGATTCCATTTAGATTAGTGTGGTAAATACTTTATTTCAAGATTTGTTTAGAAAACTAATTACACATATTTTGGGAAAAAATATAATTATTTTATTATTATGAAGATTAGTCCTTTAGGGAAAAAATGACTAATTTAAATACAGATGGTCATCCACTTTACATATTTGATTATGTTGACTAAAATTGAAGTACTTTAATGCAGAGGTACTTGCTTCCCTAAAAAGTACAATAAAAGCTCAATATACTATCTAAAGTTTGTCTTTGTAGGATATTTCCATTATTTAATTGCAAATGCTATTGAGATATTTATACCATATATTGGTAATTATTTATTTACAATCTCTGGAGATAAAAAATATCACCAACCACAAGGAAGAGGGTTAGCATAGTATGTGAATTCAATAAGGAGTCTCTTCAAACTGTTAATTCTACCAGTGAATTGAAACAAAGTGTTTTTGTTTTCCTCTCCCTTCCTTATTTTTTTGTGGAGAGATATAATTAACCCATTTATGCTGGAGGTTACACATTTTTTTGTGTGAAAATCAGACCTTGGCAATGACCTTAAGCAGTAGGATATAAATAACTCCCACAAGCTTAGCATTCCAATTATGGAACACTAGGCGTAAATGGATTAAGTAGAAGACAAAACTTGAACCAAGAATAAAATGAAAAAAGACAAAGTGCAGAGATAATTGATTAACTAAAAAACCAGTACTACTTTTAATTAGTAATTGGATGAGAATACATTGAAATTTTCATTGAAAATTTAAAACTTCAAGGGGAGTTTTACTAATGATATTATAATTAAAAATAGTTGTGTCTGTAGTAATAATGTTAAAGTATTTTTATGTGCTGACTCATTATTTCATGTTACAGCTCTAAGACCCATATTTTAAAAGATGTCAATGTAAAAATTAAACTAGTCTTTAACAAGTATTTGTTGCCATCCTTCTGTATTCCAAACATTATACTTGGCACTGACCTATTAGAGTAGACAAGACAGATACAGCAGTTACCCTCACACAGCATATTATGTCTGTGAAAATACATAATTTAAATATAATTATAATAATGATTAAGCTATTACAATTGTAGTAAGTGCTATTAAGGAGAATAGGATGCTTTGAGAAAATGTATCATGTAACATAAGTCTGAAGAGCAAAGAAAGATGGCGTAGTGCTAATATTAATCTATGAATTATTTTTTAGTAAAACAGTACCTACTGAAAATGTAATAAAATAAACTGGAATTCACATTGGGAATTTAAATTTTTTCATAAAGTTGTAAGAAAATATATATTTTTTCAAATCTTCAGTTCATATCAGTTTATTGGGAAAATAGTGATTAGCTTAATATATTTAAGGATATTTTTAAGTAAACAAGATAAATATAAAATTAATGTTTTATGTTATGATTTATATATCAAAAATTATTACTGTAAACCTCTCCCCTTGCTACATTGTGTGATACAGGTTATCCTTGATCATAAGCTATTATTTATTTGTTGTCCACTTTGTCATCATGTCCAATACATGAATATGTTTGTGGCCATATGTATCTATGTAAATAAGTTACATTGTATATTAAAACACAAAACAATGCAATATTTAAAAAATATTTTGACATCTCAGAAACACAACATTTTAAAGATCTATTTTAAATATTTTACTTAGTTGAATTTAACTATAGTGTCTTAATGTCATAGTTGAAAATGATTATAGTTTTTTTTTTGTTTTGGCGATTTTTTTTTTCCTGTATACTAGGAAAATTGGTCCTGGAAATTGAAACCCTAAATGTCATGAGTAAGTATGCAATATTCTAAGGCAGTAAAAACAATGTTAAATTTTAGTGCTTCATAAATATTCTTATCTGTTTGTTTCTAAAAGGAAATTGGGATATTTAAAGAATATTTTTAATTATCAAAACTTTGGAGTGATAAAATGGGAGGAAAGTAGTAGGATGTAGGTATAGCAGATGATATTTCAACAACATGTTTATATATGCCTATGCTTTACAGAAGACATGTTTGGAGTTATTTCTCTTATGTTTAAGTGCATTTATGATATTAATAATCTATTGAATATAAAGTGCTTAATGTATAATTTTTATGTGCTGAAATCTAAGAAACCCACTTCAATAAATTGTCAAAGATTCCTTGTCAAAGGGTTAATGGGGCAAACTTGTGGCATCAGAAAAACTGTATGGGAATGAGCCCAAACTTGAGATGGAAAGTTGGCTGTGCATCAATAGCATATATTGTTTTCTTTTTCAATTGGTGTTTTATGAAAATCTATGCTAGAACAATTTATAATACCTGGGAATTTGCCATTTCTGGGATGTTTACTAGCAATACAAATAACACTTGAAATTTTTATTTTAAATGTGAGACTATAGAACCAAGGAGCTAAATGGTATGACATGGACTAGAAAACGAGTTAACAAGTATTTGGATGAATTTTGAGTACTATGACTAGTAATTGCTTTTTTTAAAGAATGATCTTGGTATTTCTGAACTGGGATGTCTTGAGAGGATTATCAGCAAAACAAGTGATTTACTTGCAGTATCTTTTTTTTTTTTTTTTTTTTTTTTTGAAACAGAGTTTCACTCTTGTTGCCCAGGCTGGAGTGCAATGGGGTGATCTCGGCTCACTGTAGCCTCCACCTCCTGGTTCAAGCGATTCTCCTGCCTCAGCCTACCAAGTAGCTGGGATTATAGGCACCCGCCACCACGCCTGGATAATTTTTGTATTTTTAGTAGAGACGGGGTTTCACCATGTTGGCCAGGATGGTCTCAAACTCCTGAACTCAGGTGATCCACCCACCTCAGCCTCCCAAAGTGCTGGAATTACAGGCATGAGCTACGGTGCCCAGCCCTACTTGCAGTATTTTTACCTTAATTGACATCAGTATAGATAAAGATCACTGGGAAATGTAATATTTATCATATTAATAATTTTAACTTGTGAGTTTATCTTTCCTTATAGTAATTAGAAATGTTTATGAGAAAAGAGCACATTTACACATAAAATATTTTAAGCTGATATTTTAATTACCACACAAAAAAGTAGTGGGAAAGCTCCCTTAAATTAGAAGTTCTTCAGGCTTAATGAATGTTTTGGAAGAGTTACAATTTTGCCTATTCTCCAAAATTAGTCTTAGAAACTAATCTTGGACTTATATAGTTCAGAATTTATTTATTTGGACATATAACTTTAAAATGATTATGAGCTTTGATTTGTTATTTTCTGAGTGTAAGTTATGCTACATCTAGGAAAATCTTGAATTGACACAGCTATTGTTATTGCAACTGAAACCATAACGTGCTCTTATCTTGTATCTTATATGGAAAATAACTGTTTTTTTTTTTGTAAAAGTGAAGGCAACTAAACCCTTTGCTGATATACTGTATGATTTAACAGTATTTTTGAAAATTGAAAATATTCAGAGTAACAAATTGTGTTTTACAACTTACTATAATATTTTAATGTGTACATAAGCTCCCAGATTTGGCATTATTTGCTTTAATTAATATATTAATCTTTAATTTTTTTCTAACATGTACATTTCCATATTGTGTTCTTTATGGAATATATAAGTATAGTGTAGGTAGGTTTTTTTTTTTACTTAATTTTACCTTTGGAATTATGTTTTGTAAAATGTATCTTTAGGAAAAGTAAATATTCAATTAAGTATTTTGTTAGTGAATTTTATACTGTGAAATTTTTTTTGAGTATTTTGATACTTTGTACTTTTGTTTCTTTTTATTCTTGAATGTTTAAGATTTTTTGAAAGTAGAAAAAATTTATTTTAGTCTAAAGCAGTATTCCACATCAGTCTTCTTATTAAATGCTAGTTTAAGCCATCCAGTCTGGAAAAAGGAATTAGGGTTCTGTTCTTGGTCATTATCAGCAGCTTGATAATTTCTGAATTGTTGTAAAATAAACATATTTTATTCTTAATTGAAAAAATTTATGTAAGACAAACAAATGTTTTATATGACAAATCAGGTGATAGAATTTGGAATAACTACTACTAGTATCTTAAGAAGTAAATAACACATTCTTTCATTGTAACCATGAAGTGAAATTTCATGATTTATGAAGTTAGTTGCTCATTTAAAATTAGTTCAGTTTTCTCTGCACATACAGATAAGTTTGTAATGCCAAGCCTATTTTTCAGTAACCATCCTTCTTATGATAAACAGCATGCTATAGTTTCAAAATAAAATTTATTTTATTTTATTTATTTATTTATTTATTTATTTATTTATTTGAGATGGGGTCTCTCTCTGTCACCCAGGCTGGAGTGCGGTGGTGCATTCTCGGCTCACTGCAAGCTCCGCCTCCTGGGTTCACCCCATTCTCCTGCCTCAGCCTCCCATGTAGCTGGCACTACAGGTGCCGGCCACCATGCCTAGCTAATTTTTTTGTATTTTTAGTAGAGACAGGGTTTCACCATGTTAGCCAGGATGGTCTCTATCTCCTGACCTCGTGATCCGCCTGCCTCGGCCTCCCAAAGTGCTGGGATTACAGGCATGAGCCACACCACCCGGTCTGGAAATAAATTATTTTAAACTCCCTCAGTACATACTCTCTTTTTTTCTGCATTTAAAAATGTATTATATGTTGGATTTCAAAGATAAAGTCAGGGAAAAACAGCACAGCTCAAAATAGGAAGGCATTTAAAAAATAACCTTTTTAGGCTGGGCACAAGAGCTCATACCTGTAATCCCAGCACTTTAGGAGGCCGAGGTGGGCAGATCATGAGGTCAGGAGTTCGAGACCAGACTGACCAACATGGTGAAACCCTGTCTCTACTAAAAATACAAAAGTTAGCTGGGTGTGGTGGCGTGCACCTGTAATCCCAGCTACTCAGGAGGCTGAGGCAGGAGAATCGCTTGAACCCGGGAGGCGGAGCTTGCAGTGAGCCAAGATCGTGCCACTTCAGTCCAGCCTGGGCAACAGAGTGAGACTCCTTCTAAAAACAAAAAAGTAAATAAAAAATAACCTTTTTATGTAAGTATAGTGAATTTTTAAAAATAGCAAAGTATTTGAAAATACGGCACCTAATTTAATAGATGGCCATTTAATAGGTTGAAATTATTGTAAATGTTCAGTAATTTTATGGTTGTAGACAAAATTATTGGAAATAATCAGTTTAGAAATGATTAGTTCACATCATTTGGATTGAGAAATTTTTCAAAAAGGTTTTGTCACTGTGGAGATGTTCTAGTTTGTCATCTGTAAACTTGGTAAGCATTTAGTTTTTATAGGAGACTTCTATTCTGATCTTTGTATCACTGAGGTCCTCCTACTAGGTTCTTACTTAGGCTTATTTTTTGAAAGGTATCTCTCCTTCCCCCAAAGGAAACATTCTAAGACTCTGTGACCTTTAATGAGCCCTCACACTATGATTAGCTTCTAATTATGTTCAAATTCTAATATACACTTAGAATCTTCATGCTTCTGTTTCATTGTGTCAGGAACGTTTTTAACATAATGCTTGTTTCTATGAGACATAGACACATAGACACATATTGTTCAACTACAATTAAATCTGGTAACAGTACCAAGTGTATGCCTGTTGTAAATGGTGGTAAGTGAGAACATTAGCCAATCAGCAGAATTTCAGATAGATATCAAACACCCTTGGTGAAAACTGCGTTTGTGGATAAAGAGGCCCCAAGTGTTTGTCTTTTTTAAGTTGATTACAGATGATCATTTCTGTTTGAACTTGAGACATGTGTTCAGTTGAAACATAACAATAGTTAAAACATTTTACTTTGGCAAGGAAAGAATTCTTAGTTTGCACAAAATTTTACATAAAATCTCACATCATATTCTCATGAGCTTACTATATTACCAAATATGCTTGATGAAAGTGATTTTATACATGCATTAATATCTATATATGTAGATATGTAGATATACAGTCATGCATCACATAATGACAGTTCAGTCAAGGATGGATGCATATATGACAGTGGTTCCATAACATTATAATACTGTATTTTTACTGTATGTTTTCTATGTTTGGATATACAAAATACAATTGTGTCACAGTTGCCTATAGTATTGAATAGAATAACATGCTGTACAGGTTTGTAGCCTAGGCACAACAGGACTATATCATAGCCTGGGTGTGTAGTAGGCTATACCATGTAGGTTTGTGTAATTACACTCTATAATACACAATAATGAAATCACACCCATCTTGCTTTTTATATTAAATAGTTTGCAACTTGATGGTATCTTAAATTTCAAAATATTTGTTGTAATATAATTTACCGTAAGTGATGAAATGGTGCTTATGAGTTTATTCATTATATTTTATATATCTTTTATTTCATTGTAATTTGTGAAAATATTTTATTTTGTATGATGGAATGAACAAAAAATACCGCACTTGTTTTTGTTTTTACAAAGAAATTCTTTATATTTTCTGTCTGAAACAAAGATCCAGCCATAATTTTGATAGTACCTGGACACCTAAAAGAGGGAATACTTTTACTATCCTTAATCAGTCTTAACTGGTTATTGATTAGATGAAAAGTTGGGTTTGTTAGTTATAGAAGAGTCTGGTAACTGGTTATTGGATAAATGAAAAAGAAAGAGTTCTCATTAGAACCCTTCATTAACTGCACTAAAAAGTAGAATATTTGACTGTGGCATGGTAATGAGAAATATGGGAGAAGTAGAGGGGATACTCTTAGCTTCTTCCAAGTTTCACTGAAGTCTGCTATTCATTATAATACTATATGCAAAATAAATACTTACAGCATATTATCATTTGCCTAAGACATGGCTGCTTACGTAAGGGAGTTGACTATAAGTTTCTCTTTTAAAATGAGGCTGTTTAAATGCAATAGTACATAATAAAACTATAACCACAGGAAATCCAAAAAACCAAAAATGTTTTAAATATATCTGATACAACTATAGTTATATATTGAGATTTTATGCATTACATGAATTTTTATTTGCTAAAGTTATATTTTTATGTAGGCTTAGTTATGGACTAATTATTAATGGATCATATTCAGATAAACTATGGCAAATGACTTAATTGATACTTTTAGTAGTGAAATCATTTTCAAAATATTTCATTTTCATCACCTTATTAATCATATAAATTTTGTACTTCCTGAAAAAAAAATTTTTATTGTTGATTCTAAGATAAGTTTTGCCATATTCCTTATAAGAATGAAAGCATTGGTGAATTACTTGACAGTTGTAGAATGTGCCACTTTGAAAAAAACTGTTTCCAATTAAATACTATATAATAAAATATCCAGTTCAGGCGTCACCATGAGAGAATTATTTTTTCTTCTTTGTTTGATTTTGTATTTTACATGTTTTTATTGGGTCATATAGTACCTAGTCCAAAGAAAATTGACCTGGTAATCAGGAGACCTGTGTTCTATTTCTGGCTCTGCAACTGAACTTGTTTTGTATCATTGGGTAAGTCACTGGAACTATGTGTGCCTCTGCTATTCACTAAAATTAATTCATGAGTGAATTGAGAATAATTTTTCATGTTTGGATCCACATAATATGAAAACCATTGCATTGATGACACATAAAGTAATTCAAAATATAGGAAAATACTAGATGAAGAAAAAAGCTTCATTTGTTTACGTAGTTTTTATACTTTCTGCAAACAATAAGATCTTTTCTTAGAGATGGAATATATGGAAGCCATTATTTCATCCACTTCATACCAATTTCATTTTTACTTGTGAGGGAACTATTTTAGTAGTATGGAAAATGTGTATCTAGGGAAATTTTGTGTATAAAAACACAATGCAACATACGAAAGTCGGCATTTGCCTAGGGTATTAATAAACTGTGATTATCCTACCTTATTCTTCTTTGAGAAGCAGGTGGATTGATGATGGAAACAAAAATATAGCATGTGTCATTTTAATGTGTATTAGTATATTTCTGGAGAATCTGAAGATTTTTTTTCTAGGGGTTAATCCTGTTAGCAGTATGATTTGTAATTTAATTGTGATGAGATTTAATGTCTTATTTTCAACAGGTGAAAAAATGTGTTCATATAATAATAAAAATGATATTAAATTTCCAAATGTCATTTCTTTTCCAGTTTTCTATAATTCATGCTAAGATTTCTGGTTTTTTCCTAAGAAAAATTGTTTTGGTCATCTTAGCACTAATGGACTTAATCTAATGGAATGTTTTCATTTTATCACTATTCATATAAAGAGACAAATTTGTCATAGGAAATCATTCTCTAAAGAGCTATAATTTTAATATGTTGATATTGCAAGTATATTTTGATGCAATATGCTTTGCTATATAAGTCAACTCAAAAATAATGATGCAACTCTTGCAGAACTTAAATGTGGTGTTTGATTTTAGAATTTGTAGTATCTGATTCAAAGCTAAGTGTTTAAATTAAAATAGGAGATTTTGGTTTTGTGGCATATTGTTCATCTGTGTCAATCATACTAGTACACTAATATCTTTGGAAGAAATTTTTTCTTAGAATGCTCAGTTTAACAGACATTTTTCTGTTTCCAAGTCACTGTATAAAATGTTATTTGAACTTCTTCACTAGCACTAGGGAAAAAAGTTTTTCCAAAACATATCATGTCATATCTGTTATAGTTGATGGATTTGGATGGATACATTTTAGCGTAAATTTTAATAATCTATAAAGTGGCATTTGTAAGAATCTGTTGAATGAATAGGCATTAAAAGGGAATATGATCAAAGAAAATTTGTCTACATTGAAGTTTAGTTTGGATTTTTAATGCTGAAATGAAGCCATGTATTTCAGCTACTCTTCTAGTAAAGACTTGTACTATAATTATTACTTCATAAAATTTTAATGATATTTTGCTGTATTGAAATAATTCAATTAAATATTGGCCTGATGACCATTCTTTGTTTTTGTGTGCACACTGGTTTACTGGGGAAACATAAAAGGAATAGAAATCTGTTGAAACTATTTTTATTGCTCTTTTTGGTGATGACTCAATTAAATCTTTTCTTCAGATAATTAAAAGTTTGAAAGCATTGTAACAGACTTTAAATTGACTCAGTAATGTCTTGAACAATGTGGTCATGCAACTAACACTGTTTTTACTAATGGTATCTTTCTTCAGCATTGGTGTTCAGGATTTGCTGTACGTAAATAATTGTAAACTTCTGGATCTTCTTTATTTCTACACTAACTTTATTTTTCTGAATCCGCTAACCTATAGTAACAAAATCAACTTGCCATCAGTTCTTACGTATTTTTTGTGGAATGCATTTGATTATATCTTCCCTAAAACTGTACACAGGATTCTTTCTCAAAATGATCTGAGGCCCTTTCCATCAGTGTCACTTTTTACCTTTTGAGTACATCCACTCACTCCCATCTCCTTTGTCTATGTCTGTCCATTACACGATGTGATCACAGAAGAACTGGACTCTACAAGGAGAAGATATGCAGGTCTGTCTCTTCTGCTTTTTTTGTTATTATTTTATTTATCTAACTTGTCCTAGAAATGTTTAATCATTTTTTTACTCATTTCATAGTTTTTCATTCCTTTGTAATATAACAAAATATTAAATCTTATGAGCATTTTAATTTAGGTATTTGTGTATTCAACTATCAACAGCAACTGCTCCAATTAGATGGATAAAAGTAAAATAATTAATTTTTATGTAATATGTATAGATGTAATTTTTCCATAAACTGAATAACTAAAGGCAAATAGGATGTGTATGTATGCGTATGTATATTTAGGTACACACACACACATATGTTTGGTTTCAAGCATTTTAGACTTAAAACTAGTTTTTTGCTTTTTAAAATAATTCCAAAAGTATTTGATTTCTAACATGAGTTCATCAGTGTTCTACACTGTGGAGAATACCAAAGACCTAATACCCTAAAAAAGCTATCAATATCACTGAAGAGTTAAGAGATGTGGATAACATGCACTGTTTATGTGTCAAGGCAGCTTATTCTGACAATATATTCTACAGAGATATAAACTCAAATGAAGTTTATTTCAACTAGACAGTCAGAAAAAGTGTCTTGGATGAGGTAACATTTGAGCTGAAACTTGAACACATGTGGTACTGTTCTAGGTGCTGGAAGTAACAGGAGACACACAATAGCTCCCTATCCTTGCAGGCGTTTCCTAGTGTGAGTGTATATATTTTATATATATATAAAATATGTATGTACATGTATATACACACATATATAAAATATAATGGAATCAGAAAAGGTGGTATGATTCCTTTCCCCTGGGGAGGATGGATATTAGTTCAAGAAAGACTTCATAGAAGAATTTAGTTGAATATTAAACGCTAGAACACTGTTAGCTTCTTTTGTAGAGAGCATTTCAGGCAGAGGAAACAGTATGGCCAGTAGCTTCACACAAGTTTGGCGAAAGTAGGCAGAGACCGATTTATGAAGATTATGTAGGTTACTGACACATATAAAGCAACAGAATAGGTCAGATGTTTGTTTCTAGAAAGATTACTTTGGCAGTTATATAAAAGATGGACCGGAGCAATATAAGCAGAAAGATCATATATGGGAATAGTGTAATGAATCAGTTAAGAAATGATAATGGTCTGAATTAAGGTATCAGTAGAGGCAGTCAATACATGAGAAGTTATATAAAGATGTAGAACCTACAAGTCCTGGTCACTGATCAGACTAGATATTATTGATGCAGAAAGAGGAGGAATAAGATGATTTCAGGTGACTGAAATGTTTGATGGTACATTTTATCAGGATAGAGAATATATGTTATACAAGTTTCAGGGGAAAGATAGAGTTCACTTTTAGGATAGGTAAAATTTAAGCCTCATTTGAAATATTCAAGTATAAATATCTTATAGAGGTGATTGGTGGTCTGGAATTCAGGAGAGAAGTCTGGGCTAGAGACATAGATTAGGGTAGCATATCAGCATTCAAGTGATGCCATTGGAATTAATGGAATTGTCAGTAGCATATGAAGAGTAATAAGAGAGACAAGAATCAAAATTTGGGGATCACCAGCACTTATTTACATTTAAGGAATGGATGAAAGAACAAAAGCCAGAAAAGTATGTTGAAAATGATTAAAGACGGATATTCATGAAAGAAGAGAATTTAAAAAAATCTGTGATAGAAGTGAATCTTAAGAAAGGGGTACAATCAGCAGAGACAAATTCCAGAGAAGACAAATATGTTGTTAAATGGTAGAACTAGACAGTAATGATCTTTGCCTTATTGATTCAGTCAAGTTGTAGGTAGAAACCAAATAGAAGAGAAGGGAAAGGAGATGGAAAAGAAAAAAATGAAGGTAGTTAATATAAACTAGGCTTCTTGATGGCTTGGGGAAATTTTAAAGTTAAGAATACCATGGGAAATAAGACAGGAAGGTCCCCAAGGATATCCTGAAGAATGGTTATAGTTTAGCTGAGTGGAGACCCTAAATTTGTGATGGCATTGGTTCTCTAAGATTGTGTAATGATTGGCTCATTAGCACACTTCGGATGTAGTAATTAATCATTTGGATCACAGTTGGAACTTTGTGGGCGGTTATATAGAAAGAAGAAAAGAATAGGGATGTCAAGGGTGGTTGGCAAGGGAAGTAGTTGAAGTAATGTTCAAATGGATTGGGAAGGATGTTAGTTGTGTTAAATCATGTTTTCATGTGAAATCATGCAGAATTTTTCATGAATTGGGAGATAAGGTCTCAATGATAGAACTGAAATTTGTAGCGATATCTAAGGCAATAGAAGCAAACTGAGCAGGTTATTATGAGAGACAATTTAATTATCTTAAGAATTTTCAGATGTTGGACAATTCCAAATAATGTGAAGATACAATGTTTGTTTCAAGGAGTGAGTTTCCAAGATGGAGCATGGATTACAGTTTGGGAATGCAAATAAAGCTACAAATTTTGATGCTAGCATTTTTATACAGACAATGAAATTATTGAGGGCCTCAGCTTGATAGATATGTGAAGGAAATTGCCTAGAATATAGATGGTAGCAACAAGGAAGAATAATGCTATGAACATAAAAGGCATAGACTTCACATAGATTAGAAAAGTAAACATGTGGAAGGAGCAATTTATACCAAGAATGCTGATACCGTTTCTGGGATTGTATAGCATATATGTAAGTTAAAGGATTTTGAGCGGCTTCCCCTCAGAATGTTTCCCTCAGGGAAGATAGTATTCTTGAAGGGTCAACATTCCATTCATGATACGAAAGGAAATGAACGTTCTCTGATGAAGCTGAGGGATATATTGTATTTAAGTAAAAGCAATAGGGTTTCAGACCACAGTAGAAAAGATTAGGAGGTCTCTAAGCAATGCAGAAAGAATTAGAGAAAGAAGCTCAGGATAGTAGGGTTTTGACAGTACCGACTGGAAAATGTTAAGAACGAATGCTGGTTGGAAGGAATGAACCATGTAATTTAGTAGTAGCAAAACAAGGAGAATAATAAGGAATTTAAGCTTAGAGGGGGAAGAAAATTCAGAGGTACAACTTAGAGGTTGAGCAAAGGAATCTTTATGATATGCATAAAGGCAGAGGAAAAGGACTTGGTTGGGAGAATTTGAAGACTCCAAAGAGGAGAGGATTAATAATGGAAGCAACTTTTCTTACAAAAAAAAAAATGGTATCTAGGATGTATGTGGGATGTTTAAATTTATGGAGGCAAAAATGTTTTATTGTCTTCAAATATTAAGTTCTAAATTAATTATCATAGTTAACTAAACATAATTTGAAGTCTTTCTTAACATACACTTTTAAAATTGTAATGGTAGCTATAGATCTATAATACCCCTTTTCTTCCTAGTATGAGGAAGTTGAAACCTGAGCTTTCTGGATTTCTGTTACAGACCCCTAATACTGTAAGGGAGACATGGTCTATGTTAACCAGCATTGTGTTTTGGATTCTACAAACTCACATAAGCCTAGAGATAAATAAAGACTAATGCATTCTCTTCCAAAGTAAGAGTAAAGAGAGAATAATACAGACGATAAGAAAACATTCAGAGAAAAAGGAAATTATTTTAGAAAAGGAAGCAGTAAATTTTGTGACAAGCAATTCAGAATGTATTTCACCTGTTTAATAAAAGCAAACTAAAGTTAAGGCTTTTCAAAAACTGACTGTAGTATGTGACCAATAAAAGGTAATATCTTTATTAGCCTGTCACTCACATCTCCAATTAATATGCAAGTTGGTTATCTTTCTTTATAAATTTTAGCCCAAAATATGATGGAGAAATAATTTCACAAGTCCAATTACTTCACTAATATATTTGGTCAAAATGTATGTTTTATGTTTAAACCACAATTATAAGACCTTCAATTGCATTACGAGGTCCAATTACAGTCACTACAACATCTTCTACACAATAAATGGAGGAATTGATTACACATTTTGAAGCAGCAAAATATGTTGACTTAGCACTTGCAAATCATAATGAAGTTTATTTTAAATGAGAAGTAGCATGCTTTATTAGGGTGTATTATACCTTTTCTTACTCATATGAAATTTCATATGACAATTTTTTAAAATAATTGTTAAACAAGTCTAATACAAAATAAATTTTAAAATACTATTTGTTAAGTTACATGAAACAACATCTTAAGTTTCAGCTACACAAATTTTTAGAATTACTTCCAGACCTGATTTAGAGCATCTGACAAGATTAGTGCTTGTGTAATATATCAGTTTTACTCATAAGTAGATCTCAACATAAAAAATGTTTTGTCAGCTATGTTTCTCACCAGTCTCTTAGATCAATTATTATTATTGTGATATTTATTTTTGTTATGATATGTTAATAATTATTAAATTATTATTACAGTTGGGTCTGTGCTACCTTAAGAGTTTGAGAAAATATGTTATAAATTACTATTTCAGACTGATCCATTTGTCTTCCAGATACTAATGTTAATTTGAAAAGCTTAACAATTCAAATTGAATAGATTTCAAACATTTCTTAATAAAAATACAGTTGGGAATAAGTAACATATATTTTGTGTTGTAATATAATGTTTAGTAAAATCACTTCCTGTTAGGGTTAGCTAAGTGAAACTTCTAAAAATTAATACAATTACAGTATTCTTTTCTGTTTTGGTTCTCTGATTATTCTGAATGTTGCCCATTGATATGTATTATCTTAGTCCATACAGACTGCTGTAACAAAATGTCATAAGCTAGGTGGCTTATAATTCACAAAAATTTATTTCTTACAATTCTGGGGACTGGAAAGTCTAAGTAAGATCAAGGCACCAACAAATTTAGTGTCTGGCTAGGGCCTGCTTTCTGGTTCATGGACCACCATCTTTTTTTCCCTTTGTCTTAATATGAGAGAAGGGGCAATGGATCTCTCTTGGCCTCTTTCATTATGGCACAAATCCCACAACACCCTCATGACCTAATTACCCACCAAAAGCTCCATCTGCTAATATGCTCATTTTAGTTGTTAGGGTTTCAACATGAATTTTGAGGAGACACAAATATTCAGACTAGCATGTATTATTTCAAACTTGTATATCAATTCTTGTCAGATTTGAGTGGCATATATGACATATTTTGAATGCTCTGTGCTTTTATATGGCATGTTGTTATACTTATGTCCTAAAAAGTGAAGAGAAGTAACATTCATTATAGTAGTAATTTAATATATGTGCATGTACGGACACATATAAATGCACATATAAGCTGTTCTTGAAATTTTCCAAAATCTTCATTATTATTATCAATTATATTTCACATTCTATCCATTTTATAGATACTCTGTGTGCATTGATTACATCCTTTATTTGATTAACTCAGTATTATTGATGAAAGTCAAAGACAGAGATACTCATGATGGCTCAGTCATGAAAACCTTATATAACCCTAGTACCCTGAAATCTTGAAAATGCAAATCACTCAGTCTATAAGGAGGCACAAAGTGTCAATGCTATGTTCAATACTGGGCTAGATACTTTAAATGTTAGTATATAGGAATATTTTATATAAGCTTAAGCTTAAATATTTTATTAAGTATTCTTATGATACATCTAAACAAAAGTCTCAAATGAAATATATGTACGTATAATATAAAAATATATCACAAATTATATGACAGCTTCTATTGATAAAGTATGATACTTAAGCTCAATTTACTAAAGCTTATAAATATTCAAATAAAAGAAAAGAGTTAAAGCTCTTGGGACTCAAAAGAGTAAGGATGCCCCAACATGGAACAAATAGCTGTGGAACAAGTAGCTATTTAGTGATTAAGTAAGTCATTTAAAATGAGGTTTGGAATGCAACATTTTTTAGTTCTTTTTAGATATAAAATTTTGTCTACATTGGAAATTAAAGGATGTTACTGCTAAATTATTAATATATTACTCATACATTCTGAAAACTATAACATTCTGTTTTACCTATGCCTATCACCCACCTTAACTCTGTGTCCTAAAAATTTCAGCTGTTAGGGAAAATATTTGTTCCTGTAAGAAATATTGGTCTGAGAAGCAGTATAAGAGCAGATTCTGGAACTAAACTGCCTCATCAGCTCCACCACTTACTTGCTCCATGATCTTGTGAAAGTTACACTGTTCCTCAGATTCCTCATCTGTAAAATGGGAATAATTATAGTACTACCTCAAATGGTTATTGCAAAGATTAAGTTAGCCAAAATGTAGTGTACAAAACACATGAAAACTGTGTCCAGTACAGAGCAAGCACCATAAATGAAGAATTTTATTTTTTATAAAAATACATGAAAACTGAATTTTTATTTCAAATCATCTGCATTTTGATGTGTATGCATTATTTCTATGATCTAGAATTAATTCTTTGTTATATGCATTACAAATATACTAGTTTGTGACTGCTAGTTTAGGAGATAACTGACAAGCAAATCTATGCATCAAGCTTATTGCACCTGTACTCTTAAGCTTTATCATTTCTGAAAAACATAGTTGGGTGGAAGGAGCAAGAGCATTGAAATCAGACAGGTACGAATTATTATTCAGGTTCTGCCAGTCAGTAGGGATATGACTTTGGGCTGGTTGCTTAACACTTCTTATTAATCTTAATAAACTCCAGCTAGATTAAGGGGTTAATTATGTTTTAATGAAAGCACAAAATATTTATTTCTGTGAAAAAAGAAAGCCATCCTAAAAATAAAAGCAATTAAATAAATTTAAAAAGAGGAAGAATCCTGAGTACAATGTGGCAGGTATAAACTTCAGAATATCAAAATCATCATAAATAAAAGGCACACAAGTTGGGAAGATATTTGCTGCAACTCAGATAAAATATTAAAAGCCTTAACATCTGAATAACTTTTACAAAGTATATATTAAATAAAACTCTAATAGACAAAATGGGCAAAGGATATATACAGACATTTCTCCAAACAAGAAATGCAGTGGTAAGTAAATATATGAAAACATTTTATTTCAGTCATGACCCAATAAATACTATTTTAAATGAGATATCATGCCCACCTATTTAAAACACCATGGTGATGCCTGTATGTGGAGAGAAAAAATTATAAAAAAACCATGGTAAGAGTGTGATAACAGAGTAGCAGTGAAATTTAGCATAACCTTTCTAAAAGCACTTCTGCAATATAAATGAAGAACCTTAAAAATGTTCATAGACTTTTGACTGTGTAGAAATAGAAATTCAAATAAAAACATATGTATGATATGTTCACTAAGCATTATTTGTAACAATAAAAACGATCTTACAATGAATATTAAATAATGGGGCAATGGCTAAATAAGTTATATGCATATACAGCCATTTAAATGAAGAATTTTTTTGACATATACATTAGAAACACATTTCTTTTTTTGTAATTTGAAAGAAATTGAAAGTAATGTCTGTAAAAAACTTGTTACAAAGTTTCATCCATAGTAAATAATCAAAGAATGGTAGCTCTTATTAATTATTACACAACTCAAATTATGCCGAGGTTATTTTTTAGATAAATATCATTAACTCTTTATGATTTATGTTTGTTATAAGCAAAATCAGTAGGATTTTGAATCCAGATTTAATACATCAGTAACCTGTAATGATGAATTAGTAAGGAGTTTGGATAATACCCACTTCTAGGATTATTTTTAAAAAGAGAAAATTTCTTTTAATAGTAGAACTGGGCATCGGACTATAGCTTGGACACTTCATGTGTTCATCTGTGGCACCAGAAACAAGACAAATTACTTCTAGATTTTTCTTTAAAAAAAAAAAAAAAAGGCCGGGCGGTGGCTCACGCCTGTATTCCCAACACTTTGGGAGGCCGAGGCGGGTGGATCACGAGGTCAGGAGATCGAGACCATCCTGGCTAACACGGTGAAACCCCATCTCTACTAAAAATACAAAAAATTACCCGGGGTGGGCGTGTGCCTGTAGTCCCAGCTACTCGGGAGGCTGAGGCAGGAGAATGGCGTGAACCCGAACCCGGGAGGCGGAGCTTGCAGTGAGCCGAGATCGCGCCACTGCACTCCAGCCTGGGCGACAGAGCGGAGACTCCATCTCAAAAAACAAAAAACAAACAAACAAAAAAACCCGAAGCCATGCTTTTGTTAAAGAACAATAAAACAAGTAATGTTTTATTCTCTGTTGCCCTGTTTAGAGGCATGTTGGTACAGGCAATAAAACAAGAAATTAGAAGGCCAATGCGATCTTGGACAAGTTTCCTAATTTCTCCAATCTCAGTTTCATCATTGTTAAAAAAATGAGGTTGAGGGTTGATAATTTGTGTGTATGTGTGCATGTGTGTATACTTTCAACCAACAGAAAAATAAAAATAAATGACCAGCCAAAATGAAAAATTTTCCACTTCAATAGCAAGCAAATAAATTTCAAAAAAGGAAAACACACAAAAAGACATAGTCTACCACTTTTCTCATTTAGGATTGAAGAGTTGTGTTTAAAATTAGATAAATTTTTCATTAAATGTCTAGCAGGTGGCCAAAAGCAAATTGTTAATAAAAATCATTTTAAACTATTCAAATTCCTTCTTTAAATATGTTTCTAATGCCCAAATGTATATTTTGTGCTCAGAATTATAGTCAATTCTAGATTTCAGGTGTTAGTAGTGAATATATGAGTCTTTATTAAGATAGGAATAACATTCCAAGACAGACTATTAAAATCTCCTTATAAAATAGCCAAATAACCAGCAAATTTGGCTATGCTAGACTCAAATCATTCCTGGTTATTATATGGTATATTAAACTGTAATACAATATAATTGCTCTCCATAAAGGAAAGGTTATTTCTGAAATTCTTATTCTACTATAAAGATATTTTATATTCCAAAAATTTTATTTGTTCAACAAGCAGCTACTAAATATATACGTATCAGGCCTTATTCTAGGTGCTGGAGACATAACAGTGACATAGACATACAAGATCTCCCCTCATGGAAATTCTCTTTTTGAGAGAAAGTAGTCCCTAAAACGTTAAACTTAGTTTTAAGTGCTCTTATTTAAAATTCTTATGTAACCTAGTGGGATTGGGGTGGGGAAGGAGCTATTTTTGATGGAATAATCCAGGAAGTCTTATCTAAGGAGGTGATGTTTGAACTAAACCAGAAGACTAAACCAGAAGAGTAAGAAGAAACCAGCTATGTAAAGTAGCCAGGAAATACATCATACTAAAGACCATTAAACAGAAGATAAACTAAGGGAATTAAAGTTTAGAAAAGGAGAATAATTTATGCTATAAAGTATTTTTGCAAGCAGGCATTTAAGCATCAGTGAAGGATAAGGGAGTTTTCAAACTTTAAGTTTTACAGGAAGATGAATAAGTAAAGCGTAGCACTGGACGGTAGTTATGATTAAAATATATTTGTTAAATTTTCTGAGTTGAAATGAAAGAGTACATTTGTAATAAGCCAAGTTTGTGATCAAATATTTAGTAAATATTAACATGTAACAATACTTAATATTCATTAGAACATAGTGAATTTATGATTTTTTTGAATCCCTTACTCTTTGCCCATTTAAAGCTCTATACTTCTATATCTGTGATGAAAACATAATATATAAGAAGGTAAATTGGCCATGCGTGGTAGTGCATGCTTGTAATCCCAGCACTTCAGGAGTCCAAGGCAGGGAGGATCACTTGCGTCCAGGAGTTTGAGACCAGACTGGACAACACAGCAAGACCCCATCTCTACAAAAATATTTAAAAACTTAGCTGGGTGTGGTGGCACAAGCCTGTAGTCCCTGCTACTTAGGAGGCTGAAGTGGGAGGATGTCTTGAGCCTAGGAGTTGGAGGCTGCAGTGAGCCATAATTGCAGCGCTGCACTCCAGCCTGGATAATGCAGCAAGACCCTGTCTCAAAACAAGTGTGTGTGTATATATATATATATGTATGTGTGTGTATATATATACACTCACACACACATATATATATTTCAAAATAAGGTAAGTTGACATGAAGAAAGCTATGTAAAGTAATTTGATTAATACATTATGTTGCATAACTTATGGGAAGAACATAGTTATAGATTATAGATCGTGCTGAGTATGAAGGAGGTTGATAGGCTTGTTTAGAGTAAAGGGGTGAGAATTTAAGGAAATCTGTAAAAATATTAAAGAATGACCATATTATAGTCCAAGGTTGGGTTCATAGGGAAATCAGATGAAATATTACCAAAAAAAATGGACAGAGGAGAAACTGCTCAAAAAGAAAAGGGAGAAGATGTCAAAAGGAAGGAAAGATGCTGGAAAAAGAGAAAAGAATGAAATAAAATTTGACTCTTTGCATGTGTGTGTGAGAGAGAGAAAGAAGGTTCATTTCATGACAATATTTTTGATCATAAGTTCTGGAGAAGGGCACGTCAATCTCTGCCACCTACTAGTTATATGACCTTGTGTAAATTATCTAATAAGTAAAATTGAGAAAAAAATAAGTCCTAGCACATATAGTTGTGCTGATTAAGTGACAGACATAATACATGCAAAGCTCTTAGCACAATTCCTGGGATATACAGAGTATTATTCTTTTTAAGAATTTAATTTTTCAGAGAACAGTATTACTGAATTCTAAAATAGATTTTAACTGTGTAGTCTCTACAGCTTTGTTATATTTCATTTTCTATGCCTTCAGCAAGTAAAATTCTAGACTGAAAACATTACTGAAGAAAAAGAAAAAGCTAGACATAAATATGATCAGTGGTTACCTGGGCAAGCAAGAAGAGGATTGACATCAAAGCAGCATCAGGAAATTTTTAGGGTGATAGAAATACTCTGTATATTGATTGTGGTGAGTTTACATGACTAAATCCATTTGTCAAATGTCACAGAACTTTGTACTAAGTTGTGTGAATTTTACTTTATGTAAATTATACCTCAATAAATCTGACTTTTAAAATTATTGAAAATATAGAAAATTAAAATGGATTTTATATGTTACTCAAATGGTTCTAATATGCTAATAGAAAAAATAATTTACCTAATCTAACACATCCCAAGCAACTAAGATCCCCTCCCAAGATAGGGGTCCACAGGGGCATGGTCATGGGTGGGGTTAGCCTGCAGCTTCAGAACTCAAAGTGAAAGGACAAGATGACTAAGGGGTTTAGCTAGAAATCAAAGAAGGGACTAAAGCTTTGAATCTAAAGCAGTGGGCAAGAAACCAAAAAAGATCAAGAGATATTTAGGGCTAACATAGTGTCCAAGAATAGGCAAGACAGTTAACAAAGAAATAGATTCTAGGTATTGTAGATATTCATTGATAATGATTATAGGAGAAGAATAGATAGGAGATATAATTTTAATTTGTTTGGGGCAAGCTGGGTTTTAGGTGCTAAGGGGGCCCACTTGGGGATGACTAGGAGACAACTGGAAATGTGCGTCTTAGAGCTTACAGGAAAGGTAGAAGCTGAAGGATAGAGCCTTCAGCATTGATGGGACATTGAAGATATGGAATTAAATAAAAAAACACTCAAGGATAGAATAAAGCGGAAAGCTATAGCAACACTTTGGGAAATGCATAAATTTGAAAAATCAGCTGAGAAAGATGAGCCGGCAAAGTAGCTTGATAAAGAGTGAACTGAGAGAAAAGTACAGGGCCAAACAGTTGAATAAAATGTCAAGGACAGTGTAATAATTTTAGCAAATGCTGAAGTAAGGTCCAATAGAATGGTGCTGAGGAATGATCAGTTGATTTGGCAAATAGGGTTTTTCTAGTAACCTTTGAGAGATATGTTTTACAATATCCATTTAGCTACAGCAATCAATGATTAGGTTTTTCTTTAAAGTCACCACAAATTAAGTAGAGGGAGTTCTTGCTAATGAACCACCAGTAAACCACACAACATGTTGCATTGAACTCAATATTGGAGATATAGTAAGAAGCTCCCTATATTTGGATATTCTTACTTTATAACTCAAGTATACAAGGCTCAGTTGAATGAACCCAGATGCTCAAGTTATATAAAAACTCATTGTTTTTATTCTAGCTGCAATAGGTCCCACTTAAAAAACTTGGAATGATAATGAATAATTGATGGCTAGATTGTTAATTCCACATATTATATCTTCTCTTGGGAGATTCAGTATAAGAACTAGTTCTGACAAGGAGATTGGGAAAGTTTTAGAGTAGTTGAGGAAGGAGGACTCAGTGATCAAAACCAATTTTTATTGTGCATTTTCTCAATCAAATTTCTTAACTCTTCTTTTAAAATGCAGTCAATATTTCGGATAATTAAATCACTTAGTATAAATTGTTTTAATATGTAATTGAGTTTAACACTGTATTCGGTACTATTTTTATTTCTAGTTACAGATTGAAAAATTGAAGTACAGGTTAGTTAAATAAATTACCCAAGCCATTTGAAGCTGGAATTTTAACCAAAGCAATGACTTTGTACCAGAACCCATGTCCTTAACCTTAGGAAATGGTGGCCTTACAGTGACAAAGAGAAGGATATAGAAACTTTAAAGCCGAGAAGGCCAAACCAAGAATGGGGACACTGTGCAGAGAATATTATGAGAGACCAATACTAGAGGTCAGGGAAGAGGAGAGCAATAAGAGAGGAATTCAGAAAGGGATATTTAACATCCATGGAGAACAACTCACTCTAGTTTGCAGCTGTATTTAACATCCTCAATGTAACAAGTTTTCACACAAGGGCATTTGAAAGGTTAAAAGTTACTGGAGCCAACATTACATTTAGAAAAAAGAAAAAAATAAAAACTCGGTCCAGTTTCTCCTAGTCTGTCCTGATGTCTCTCCATCTAATTCTCATCCTTCTTAATCTGAGAGTAACCCCATCTAATTGTTAATTCCTGTTTATTCTCAGTATTGAATGGAAACACTTTATGAGATTTTCCTATTCATGAAACATTTAGGATACATTCCTTTGAATTCTAAGGTAATGTTACACTACATGACATTAGCTGCTCTCTGTAGTCATTCTTGTACACTTGACCAATAGCAATCAGCGGCAGCATCTTGGGAAAAAGCAATACAATTTAGTGTCCAAGCATGAGTACTATTAAAATCCATATATCTAAATATTTCCTTTTTTCATTAAAAATAATTATTTCAATTTAATGGTGATCCTAATTTGTCTAAAAATGTTAATATCACTTTATAAAAAAAATTTAGCGAAATGGATAAAATGTAGCAAAAGTTAAAATGTGCTGCTCTTGTTTTCATCACAATATTGCTACATAAGCTTCACTGATTTTATCTTAATTCATAACCCAAGTGTATAATCATTTTCCAGGCTGATCACCATGGATATAAGGAGGAAATTACTTTCACAAATCCTTCTTATCTGTTCTTATATTAGAATCTTACATCACATTTGCAATTTATAATCAGAATTTATTTTAATGATGTTTCTTTAAGTATCAAAAATTTTATTTTTCTCTGTAGGTTTGCACAATTTAATTTTCCAGACCCTGTTTAATCATCTTATCTGACATGTGTGTTGTTTGCAACATGTTATTAGCATAAAGAAAATGTAAATATTTTATAACATCATTGAAAATATGAAGTGATATATCTAACAACTAATACTTTTCATTTAGTAATTTTGCCTTATTTCACTCCTCTCTCTGTATAGGAATCCATTTATGATTCCACTCTTTTTGAAGGAGGAGAAAAGTGAGGTTCATTATTTCACACTTTCATTAAGGTTTGGGGGGCATGATCACATGTGTTGTGTTTGGATCCTTTTAAGAATGTACATATTATCATAGGATTCTATTGTGAATTTTTTCTCATTTTTTGTGTGCCTCTTTGTCTGCCTGACATGGTGGGTAAAAGATACTTTTAATACTCTCAAAAATATTCTATATCATCATTTTAATGCCATAGTTAATATAATTTAAATTTAGTTCACAAATTTTATTTAGTTCATAAATTTAGATCCCAGATATGGAATACAGTGATATTTGATAATTATGTCATATGACAACATAAAAAGTTGAGGATAAGATGTATATACAGGGTGATAATACATGCTACTCTGTTAATAATATCTCCTTTAATGTGGGTATTTAGCAATCATGTAAAAGGTAGAATGTTCTAAAGTCCATAACACAAATGGGGAATAGTCAATTAACACAATGAATTTGGCTGATATTTGTATCTTCTATAAACAATTATTGTACCTTTTCTTAGAAGCAATTTCAATAACCATTATATTTCTTCTCTGAGGGAATTTTCATTTTAAAATTTAGTTTACCCTCAAAATATATCTTGTTTTTTCAAAGATACAGGAATTGTGACTAACAAATTAACTAAGTTACTAGAAGGTTAGTAACATTTTCTTCTATACCTGTCACTGTATATTATGAAAAAAGAAATGTATATAGTGAAGCATTTGCACTTTAGCCTAAAAGATCCTTCTACATAAGAGCAGTCTGGGACTCTTTTTCCTGCACAAAGTTCCTAGTTTAATGAATTTCTCAATATAGTCAGTGTCTCGTTTGTCCTGTCTGTCTCTCCTAGGCTCTGGCTAATCCTCTCTTTCTTCCTCTCTTCCTCTTTCTTTATCTCTGTCTTTCCCTCACTTCTTCCTTTATTCCATTTTCTTCTCTGCCTCTGCACACATACGAACATTTTGTAAAGGGAAATGTAATGAATGCAGTACCAGGACAAATGTTAAAAATTTCTAAGAGCACTTTACATTATATTAATGAAATAAATATGATAATATAAAACAAAAAACACTTAAACATCATTTGACTTCAAAGTCAACTAACCGGCCAGGCGTGGTGGCTCATTCCTATAATCCCAGCACCTTGGGAGGCCAAGGCGGGCAGATCATGAGGTCAGGAGATCAAGACCATCCTGGCTAACATGGTAAAACCCTGAATCTACTAAAAATACAAAAAATTAGCCGGGCATGGTGGCTCGTGTCTGTAGTCCCACTTACTCAGGAGGCTGAGGCAGGAGAATCGCTTGAACCCAGGAGGCAGAGGTTGCAGTGAGCCGAGATCACGCCATTGCACCCCAGCCTGGGTGACAGAGTGAGACTCCATCTTAAAAAAAAAAAAGGAGTTTTGTAGCAGATGGAATTATAAAGAGTATCTGGTACAAAACTATTCGTTTTATAGATGAAGAATTTTATGCTCAGAAAGTGACATGTTTGTAGGTACAGGACTCGTGAAGCCAGGACTAAAACCCAAGTCTTATCTCTTTGTATCTTTTCAACCAGTGCTGTTTTTTAAGGTTTTCTTTAGCTGGGCACAGTGGCTCATGCCTGTAATCCCAACACTTTGGGAAACTAAGGTGGGAGGATTGCTTGAGCCCAAGAATTTGAGACCAGCCGGGGAAACATAGCGATACCTCGTCTCTACTAAAAATAAAAAATAAAAACAGCTGAGCGTGGTATGCACGCCTGTGGTCTCAGCTACTTGCAAGGCTGAGGCAGGAGGATCACTTAAGCCTGAGAGGTAAAAACTCTATAATGAGCTATGATGGAGCCACTGCATTCTAGCCTGGCTGACAGAGCAACACCCTGTCTTAAAAAGAAAAAAAAGTTTTTATTTAATCCTAAGTATCCTAAATATACCCATTCCCCAAATCTGAGCAGTTTCAAGGTCCCGTCAACTCTGTGGTGGTTACTTCCACTGTACTCTGCAGGCATAAAACCCTAATCTTCCCCTATGGACCAAGTACATCCTTTTTTCTTTTTCTTTTTCTTTTTTTTTTTTTTTTCTTTTGAGACAAGGTCTCACTCTGTCACTTAGGCTGGAGTGCAGTGGTGCAAACATGGCTCACTGCAGCTTCAACCTCTTGAGCTCAAGCAATCCTCCTTCCTCAGCTTCCCATGCATATGGGACCACAGGCACATGCTACCGCCCCCAGCTAAATTTTTTATTTTTTGTTGAGAAGAGGTTCTCACTTTGTTGCCTAGGCTATTTGCAAACTCCTGGGCTCAAGCAGTCCTCCCGCCTCAGCCTCTCAAAGTGCTGTGATTACAGGTGTGAGCCATCTCACACGGCTATATCCTGATTTTTAATATCGAAACCTAAAATAATGCTAAAATCTAGGTCCTCTGAATAATAAAATTTCAGTTAGTCTGTTCACTGAATTTAGAGATCAAAAACAAAACAAACACATATTATTTTCTTAGATTACTAGATCCCTCCTAATCAACTTATATCCAAAATAGTTTAGATATCAGTTTCTTCTTTTATTTTATTTTATTTTATTATTATTATACTTTAAGTTTTAGGGTACATGTGCACAATGTGCAGGTTAGTTACATATGTATACATGTGCCATGCTGGTGTGCTGCACCCATTAACTCGTCATTTAGCATTAGGTATATCTCCTAATGCTATCTCTTCCCCCTCCCCCCACCCCACAACAGTCCCCAGAGTGTGATGTTCCCCTTCCTGTGTCCATGTGTTCTCATTGTTCAATTCCCACCTATGAGTGAGAACATACGGTGTTTGGTTTTTTGTCCTTGCGATAGTTTACTGAGAATGATGATTTCCAATTTCATCCATGTCCCTACAAAGGACATGAACTCATCATTTTTTATGGCTGCATAGTATTCCATGGTGTATATGTGCCACATTTTTTTAATCCAGTCTATCGTTGTTGGACATTTGGGTTGGTTCCACATCTTTGCTATTGTGAATGGTGCCGCAATAAACATATGTGTGCATGTGTCTTTATAGCAGCATGATTTATAGTCCTTTGGGTATATACCCAGTAATGGGATGGCTGGGTCAAATGGTATTTCTAGTTCTAGATCCCTGAGGAATCGCCACACTGACTTCCACAATGGTTGAACTAGTTTACAGTCCCACCAACAGTGTAAAAGTGTTCCTAATTCTCCACATCCTCTCCAGCACCTGTTGTTTCCTGACTTTTTAATGATTGCCATTCTAACTGGTGTGAGATGGTATCTCATTGTGGTTTTGATTTGCATTTCTCTGATGGCCAGTGATGATGAGCATTTTTTCATGTGTCTTTTGGCTGCATAAATGTCTTCTTTTGAGAAGTGTCTGTTCATATCCTTCGCCCACTTTTTGATGGGGTTGTTTGTTTTTTTCTTGTAAATTTGTTTGAGTTCATTGTAGATTCTGGATATTAGCCTTTGTCAGATGAGTAGGTTGCAAAAATTTTCTCCCATGTTGTAGGTTGCCTGTTCACTCTGATGGTAGTTTCTTTTGCTGTGCAGAAGCTCTTTAGTTTAATTAGATCCCATTTGTCAATTTTGGCTTTTGTTGCCATTGCTTTTGGTGTTTTAGACATGAAGTCCTTGCCCATGCCTGTGTCCTGAATGGTAATGCGTAGGTTTTCTTCTAAGGTTTTTATGGTTTTAGGTCTAACATTTAAGTCTTTAATCCATCTTGAATTAATTTTTGTATAAGGCGTAAGGAAGGGATCCAGTTTCAGCTTTCTACGTATGGCTAGCCAATTTTCCCAGCACCATTTATTAAATAGGGAATCCTTTCCCCATTGCTTGTTTTTCTCAGGTTTGCCAAAGATCAGATATTTGTAGATATGCGGCGTTATTTCTGAGGGCTCTGTTCTGTTGCATTGGTCTATATCTCTGTTTTGGTATCAGTACCATGCTGTTTTGGTTACTGTAGCCTTGTAGTATAGTTTGAAGTCAGGTAACGTGATGCCTCCAGCTTTGTTCTTTTGGCTTAGGATTGACTTGGTGATGTGGGCTCTTTTTTGGTTCCATATGAACTTTAAAGTAGTTTTTTCCAATTCTGTGAAGAAAGGCATTGGTAGCTTGATGGGGATGGCATTGAATCTATAAATTACCTTGGGCAGTATGGCCATTTTCATGATATTGATTCTTCCTACCCATGAGCATGGAATGTTCTTCCATTTCTTTGTATCCTCTTTTATTTCCTTGAGCAGTGGTTTGTAGTTCTCCTTGAAGAGGTCCTTCACATCCCTTGTAAGTTGGATTCCTAGGTATTTTATTCTCTTTGAAGCAATTGTGAATGGGAGTTCACTCATGATTTGGCTCTCTGTTTGTCTGTTATTGGTGCGTAAGAATGCTTGTGATTTTTGTACATTGATTTTGTATCCTGAGACTTTGCTGAAGTTGCTTACCAGCTTAAGGAGATTTTGGGCTGAGACAATGGGGTTTTCTAGATATACAATCATGTCATCTGCAAACAGGGACAATTTGACTTCCTCTTTTCCTAATTGAATACCCTTTATTTCCTTCTCCTGCCTAATTGCCCTGGCCAGAACTTCCAACACTATGTTGAATAGGAGTGGTGAGAGAGGGCATCCCTGTCTTGTGCCAGTTTTCAAAGGGAATGCTTCCAGTTTTTGCCCATTCAGTATGATATTGGCTGTGGGTTTGTCATAGATAGCTCTTCTTATTTTGAGATACGTCCCATCAATACCTAATTTATTGAGAGTTTTTAGCATGAAGGGTTGTTGAATTTTGTCAAAGGCCTTTTCTGCATCTATTGAAATAATCATGTGGTTTTTGTCTTTTGTTCTGTTTATATGCTGGATTACATTTATTGATTTGCGTATATTGAACCAGCCTTGCATCCCAGGGATGAATCCCACTTGGTCATGGTGGATAAGCTTTTTGATGTGCTGCTGGATTCGTTTTGCCAGTATTTTATTGAGGATTTTTGCATCAATGTTCATCAAGGATATTGGTCTAAAATTCTCTTTTTTGGTTGTGTCTCTGCCCGGCTTTGGTATCAGGATGATGCCAGCCTCATAAAATGAGTTAGGGAGGATTCCCTCTTTTTCTATTGATTGGAATAGTTTCAGAAGGAATGGTATCAGTTCCTCCTTGTACCTCTGGTAGAATTCGGCTGTGAATCCATCTGGTCCTGGACTCTTTTTGGTTGGTAAGCTATTGATTATTGCCACAATTTCAGAGCCTGTTATTGGTCTATTCAGAGATTCAACTTCTTCCTGGTTTAGTCTTGGGAGAGTGTATGTGTCGAGGAATTTATCCATTTCTTCTAGATTTTCTAGTTTATTTGCATAGAGTTGTTTGTAGTATTCTCTGATGGTAGTTTGTATTTCTGTGGGATCGGTGGTGATATCCCCTTTATCATTTTTATTGCGTCTATTTGATTCTTCTCTCTTTTCTTCTTTATTAGTCTTGCTAGCAGTCTATCAATTTTGTTGATCCTTTCAAAAAACCAGCTCCTGGATTCATTAATTTTTTGAAGGGTTTTTTGTGTCTCTATTTCCTTCAGTTCTGCTCTGATTTTAGTTATTTCTTGCCTTCTGCTAGCTTTTGAATGTGTTTGCTCTTGCTTTTCTAGTTCTTTTAATTGTGATGTTAGGATGTCAGTTTTGGATCTTTCCTGCTTTCTATTATGGGCATTTAGTGCTATAAATTTCCCTCTACACACTGCTTTGAATGTGTCCCAGAGATTGTGGTATGTTGTGTCTTTGTTCTCGCTGGTTTCAAAGAACATCTTTATTTCTGCCTTCATTTAGTTATGTACCCAGTAGTCATTCAGGAGCAGGTTGTTCAGTTTCCATGTAGTTGAGCGGTTTTGAGTGAGTTTCTTAATCCTGAGTTCTAGTTTGATTGCACTGTGGTCTGAGAGACAGTTTGTTATAATCTCTGTTCTTTTACATTTGCTGAGGAGAGCTTTACTTCCAACTATGTGGTCAATTTTGGAATAGGTGCAGTGTGGTGCTGAAAAAAATGTATATTCCGTTGATTTGGTGTGGAGAGTTCTGTAGATGTCTATTAGGTCCACTTGGTGCAGAGCTGAGTTCAATTCCTGGATATCCTTGTTAACTTTCTGTCTCGTTGATCTGTCTAATGTTGACAGTAGGGTGTTTAAAGTCTGCCGTTATTATTGTGTGGGAGTCTAAGTCTCTTTGTAGGTCACTCAGGACTTGCTTTATGAATCTGGGTGCTCCTGTATTGGGTACATATATATGTAGGATAGTTAGCTCTTCTTGTTGAATTGATCCCTTTACCATTATGTAATGGCTTTCTTTGTCTCTTTTGATCTTTGTTGGTTTAAAGTCTGTTTTATAGGAGATTAGGATTGCAACCCCAGATTCATAAAGCAAGTCGTGTATCTTGTATTTTTTAATTACACTTTTCTTCTTATAAAAGTAACATGCAGTTGTGTAAAATTTATAAATCATGTATTAACCCAAATAAGAAATCAAATAGCATTTATACATACTTTCAATACCCAGTAATAATTGCTAACATTCTGGTGTATCAGTCTTCAAATCTTTTTTGTTCTCTGTCTTATTTATAATTTATATGTATATATATTTTTATAAATATATATTTATATTTAAAATTGTTCTAAGCTATGCTACTATTTTTACTGTTTAATCTGTTTTATAATTACTAATTGCAATATATTTATAGTATATGAACACATATGTACAACATCCTCATCATTTTTTATGGATGCATTGTATTCTATAGATATACCATTATGCAATTAGATAATTACCTGTTTTGCACCTTTAGGAATTTTTTTCCCAAGGTGTTTACAATTATCAAACAATGGTATGATTAATATACTTGTGTACACATCTTTGCACGTTGACATTTCTTTAGGAAAGCTCCTGGGAGGTGAAATTTCAGGGTCAAAAATCAAATGATCTAAATATGTTCAAATGTGGTCAAAAATTTGATCAAAATGATCAAAAATATGATCATTTTTAAGTTTTTTTCATATACAATGCCAATAAGTTATATTTTGAAGTAATTTTTTCACAATTTTTAGATATTGAAAGAACAATTAAAATATTCATTAAAATTGGTCAGGCGCAGTGGCTCTCGCCTGTAATCTCAGCACTTTGGGAGGCTGAGGCGGGCAGATCATGAGGTCAAGAGATCAAGACCATCCTGGCCAACATGGTGAACTCCTGTCTCTACAAAAAATACAACAATTAGCTGGGCGTGGTGGTGCAAGTCTGTAATCCCAGCTACTCGGTAGGCTGAGGCAGGAGAATTGCTTCAACCCAGGAGGCAGAGTTTGCGGTGAGCCGAGATTGCACCACTTCACTCCAGCCAGCCTGGCAACAGAGCAAAACTCCATCTCAAAAAAATTTTAAAAAAATTCATTAAAATTAAGTACTTTATTTTCTTCTTGAGTGGCACTACCTTTTAAAATACAGTTATGAGAAAATATTACACATTCTTATCTCATGAGACATATTAGCAATTTCTATACTTAGTTCTCTGTTGAAAGAAATTGTTCTTTTTATAGTATATCTCATTGAATCTAGAAAATAAATATATGTAGCCATGTTTTCTCATCTGTAATTGCCACCTTTAGGTGAGCCAATAGCTGTATACACTGATGATACGTTTTTATTCACTGCACTTCATTTGATACATACTTAAATGGTGAATTTAACATTGAGAGTCCACAATTTGGCTTTTTTAGTTTTGTTCATTTTAAATATGTTATTTCTGTCATTCTCATTATTTTCTTTATCTTCTTTTGTGTCTATTCCACATTGTTTGTATTTTCTTAAAAGTTCATAAAATGTAATAAGATAGTTATCAAAATTACTTTTTCTCAATGGTTTAAATTAATTAACTTTAAAATTTTTTAAAATATGTCTCTTTTATATAAGTAATATACTTCTTTAGCTTCAATTAGAAGAAAAGCCTCAGATAATATTTTGATTTATGTTCAGATTATATTTATCACTCTACTTTTAAAAAATCAGTTAGATGTATTAAAACTATACTTTTTATATTTTGTTATCAATTATTTGGATAATTTCAACAGAAAACATTTTTCATTTGGGAATCCTTCACTACTGATTACAACTTAATATTTACACCAATACCTTTAATTCTTAAATTTAACTGAAAAACAAATATAATTTGTACTTATTAAAAGAATACTATTTAGAATAAGTTTAATTATAAAGTGCAAATGTTTAATGATCATCCCACAAGTTCTTGATATGTTGTTATGTTAAAAAATATAAACAATAAAAATTGTTTTCTAACCTCAAATTATTTCAAGGCAGTCCTTAGTTTTGTAAAGACATACAATAATCAAAAACAACTCCACATATGACTGTTTATCAGAAACCTTCATGAAACAGCTAGTTAGTGCAATTCTTTAGCTCAATTAAAGGAAAGATTTTTTTAACCTGAGGTTGAATATTTATATAAAAATAGAAGAGATGGGGTAAGGAATAGAGGGAATGTTTTTAAGTAATTAAATTACCCACAAGAATTTGAAGTACTAATCAATGCAATTTCTGACTTCCAAGATGTCTATAATTGCAAATTTCTAATTTTCTCCTGAAGTTTGGGGTTCTTTCTTGAGTTTGCATATTGGGCTTAAGAGTTTTCCCTTGTAAGATCCTCAGATTTGAGCATTTTGTTTAAGACTACAAGATGGATGACTGAGTCAACAATACTGCCATATTCTGGTCGCTGTTCAGCTTCCTTGTGGATTGTGTCACTGCTAAACCTGTGCCCCTACTTCAAAGAAGTTTGGGTTATGAAATTGCTCTAGGACTCCAGGGGCATGCTCATGCTCTTTCAGTCTCTCTCTCTGTCTTTGTGTCAGGAGTGTGTGTGTGTTTGGAAAAGCAAACTTAAAACGATTACTGTTTGCATACTACAGAAATCACTGAAGGTATATCGATGATCTTTGTAGTACATGCGTGTAGTAAAACCTAAACAACCACTAGCTGGCTGCCAGCTATTGTGACCATATTCAACTATATCTTTGGTTAAAAAAATTCATCTAGAAGTTAACTTTTTTTATATTGGATGTCATAGCAGCTTTATCAATATAACTTTAACTTTCTGGGCACACTAAATAGGCTTTTTAAAGTTCAAAGTAACTATAGAATTAATTTTTTATTTAAGAAGAAGTAAATCTCTTTAAAGACTTACACCAAAATAAATAGCTACAGAATATGTGATATGATTTAAGGAAATAAGTTAAATCAAGAGCAACAAAATATTGGATTTTTTTTCGTCAGTGGCTGAAATGGGCCAGAAATTTCCAATTTAAAAAAATGAATATTTTGAGCTATTTATTAATTCCTGAACATCCACATATGCTGTCTTTTTTGTGCTCTGCCTTAAAATTTCTAAAGTAGAATAAAGGTCTTGTGTAATTTAAGGAAGGGGATTATTATAAATTAAGGGAAAGGAAGAAAAGTTTTGTTTAAAATGTCATTTAGTAGGAATGCTAACATTTATGGAATTTAGGAGTATTTGTATATATACATATCAAAAAACAGAGGGCCATTTCCACCATAATTTAAAACAACTCTAGCATTTATGAAACAAGATATTTATGAAACAAATTATATTTTCTCTATTTAGTTAATAATTTACTTATACAAAAAAGAATTTGAGATAACTTGAATATTAGTTTAATACATTATACATTAACAGATTATCACATTAATATATATTTACAAACATGTAAAAACTATCATTGTAAATGTATTTGTCAAAGAAATTGGGTTGTCCCATTACCATCTCAATCAAATTTTTTTACAATTTGAAAATGTTTTGATATTTGATTTGATTTCTAAGATATAATGACCCTAATTTTTTAAGCATACTTGAATTATAAAACCATATCAAACCACTAAGAAGTCTTCTGAAATAAACATAGTTCATCACATATAAGAAAATTAATCTTAGAGATTCCTAGATAAACTTACTCTCTAAACCTATAAACCGTCATTTTTCAAACTTTTTATTTTGGAAAGTTTGAAATTATTTCAACAATATATAAACAGATGGAGAAAAAAGGTAAGTGTTCTGTGGTCAAGTGGTTATTCTTTATTGCAGGTTTTTGAGGGCCTTGTATATACAGATTTTTACTGTCAATCTGAGAGAAAGAGAGAGGAAATTGAACAAAATTCATTCAATTTATCACTTTCATTTATTTTCCTTTTATAGAGTGTATATAGGATATCAGAGCTGAAACGAAGCTTAGGAATTATGTGATCCTTTCCTCAACTAGTGAACAGCCCTTCTATTTTATTGATTTCTCTAAATTGCTTTTCATTCCAAGGAAGAAAAAAAAGACTAAGTTTTGTTGAAATAAAAATATTATTACTGGATTATTTTTCTTAGATAGAGCAAAGGACCAGCAAAGAAAAATCACCTTGCTGGTGAAGAATCCTCTACGCTGGATCACTTTATCTATAGGAGACTTTTCTCTCTAAGGTTATTATTCTACATGGAGTGTTTTCTTTTTAGGAATAGTTTCTACAAATATAGAAAAGGAACAGAAGACTTCATATGAACCAAATAATTTTTGGGTAGGGAGACCTGTTTGGTTACTGTTTGTCCCAAGGGTTATTCTTCTAGGAGGATTTGAAGTTATAAGGTAAAAGGATATTTACTCAAGTTTGCTGACTGAAATAGTCGTTTGAGATTTCATTGGTTAAGACTCTAATAAAGAATTTTCCAATTTGGGAACTGTCTATAGATGATGATTGGGTCTGGAGATGAGAGATTTGTTTGAGATTGTAATTTAATTGATGACATATTTAAATGGTTAGAAAGCTCTATTTGCATCTTGCTTTGTTTATCCAGCAAATACAGATTAATATTCTCCTTAGATCTGCCAGTGGTCTGTTAAGTAAAAGTTATATTGCATAAATCTGATTCTACCTAATTTTTAAACCATTTCTAAAGAGAAAGACACTTTTGCAAGCACTGTTAAACCAATATGCCAGAGAGCAAATCTGACTCACTGCCTGTTTTGTAAACAAAGTTTTATTGGAATAAAGCCACACTTATTATATATGCATTGTCTGCAGTTGCTTCCATGCTATGGTGGCAGAGTTGTGGCAGAGTAACAGTTTCCATATGGCTCACAAAGTCTGCAATATTTGTTATTGGGCCCTTTACAGAAAAAGTTTGCCAACTACTGCCAGTGTTATTCACATTACTACCTAGTAATCAGAAAGAATTTTAATATAGCTTTCCTAGGATGTTGCCATCCAGAAAATAGTCTAAATATTGCAAAATGTATATACCTGTTTCTACGTATATATTTATCACTACATATTTATATCTATATATGTGTGTGTGTGTGTTTAAACTTGTCAATTGGTGCTATTTATATTATATCAAGATGGAACTTTTTGAGAAACTTTCCAAACACACCTTATAGCTAATATTCTTTTAGGACCCATCATTTTGTAATGTTGGGCTCATTTTTTTATTGGCTTGCCTTTGGAGAAGACATGTTTACCTGAAAATATCTTTTGAAGTACAAAGAATTCCAAAGTTGTATTTTAATAGACTAATAGGTATTTGTACTTGACTATATTTCACATTTACATCATGGAGGCACTCACCTGGTTTTATATGTCATTCAAATTATATTAACCTAGCATTAATATTCCTCACTTTCAAATTTGACTCAGAGTCAGTTAGTCAAATCATTATTAACATGTGACTATTATAAGGAAGAAATTGTCTCACTTTATTGAATAGTTGATTTAAATTTTCTGGTATTTAGAGGTAATATAGTATAAGTTTTTTGTATATTTATCTAAGATTTTCCTTTTGAAACATTTTCTTCCCTTTTCATATTATTTTCATTAAACGATTTTCCTTTAAAATTTGTTACTAACAAGAACTATCTAATATGCAATGAGATTTTTGCAGGGCAGAGAATAATACTAAAAAATTAAAACATTAAAAATTTAAAAATATTGGCTCAGAAGGGGATACCATAACTTCTAGTTATACTGGTACCTTTTTAATCCCCTTTTCCTTTAATCCATTTTAAAAATCAGGTAAGTATTAAAATACCTATTTTTTAATAGGCACGCTTACGTCTAGCTGTCTTTACCACAGTTTTAAAGTCATGATCTTAAGCAAGGGGTATGTGTGTGTATGTTGACATTCCTACCTAAACACACTGTGTGAATTTACTGACATTTTATTATGGATATCCAGTTGAGTTCACTAAGCTCATTTTTCCCAGTATGTAGATTTGTAGTATATGATCGAGATTTTTAAATTATATATATTTCTGAGAAATGGAATATTCCTATAACTTTCCTTTAAAAATGACAAATGTACTTTTTTTGAGATGGGATCTCACTGTATTGGCCAACCTGTAGTGCAGTGGTATGATCATAGCTCACTGCAGCCTCCCAACTCCTGGTCTCAAATCCAGCCTCAGCCTCCCAGGATGCTGGGACTATAAGCATGTGTCACCACACCTGGCTAATTTGTTGTTGTTGTTGTGGAGACGGGGTCATGCTATATTGCCCAGGATGGTCTCGAACTCCTGGTCTCAAGCAATCCTCCTGCTTCAGCCCCCCAAAGTGTTGGGATTACAGGCATGAGCCACTGTGCCTGCCCCATAAATATACTTCCAAAATGCTTTTTCATGTTTTCTAGGATTTGCTAACTGAATTTAGTTCTTGTTCTAACCCAAATTTTTGAAGGCCTTCTGAATATTTACAACTGATGTCTTTTAGGTAGCACCTGTTGTAGAGGGCATTAATGTCTTTTTGAAAGAGGCTTACCGTCTTGCTTTCTTAACTCTATATTCTAATTTTTTTTATAAAATTGATCTCAGTCATACTTTGTGCCTTTACTGGCATGGTATGCTATCAGCAGTATTATTACAAGAACCTCTTTGTTGATCCTAGTTCTAGAAAATTCAAATTCAAAAGTTTCTGATAATTGGATTCACACATATACTGGGGCAAACTGCTTCAATGCATAGCCTAATTTTATGATAACAGTTTCTAAATGCAGTTCTAAAATTGTATTTGAAAGCAACTTATAACTTTAATACCTATAAATAAATCATGATGAATTAAAAGTCAGAGTTCACATGATATTATTATTGTCAAATTTCTGTGCAGTCAAATGTATTCTGGACATACACATACCAGAAATTGTTTTCTATCTAATGAAGATTTGTTATCTTCTCTTTAAACTTATTTATATTTTATTCAGATTGAAATTATTTTACATATTTAACATCATGTTTTTACTTATGAAATTGTATACTTTAAATAAATCTGTAAAATAATATGACATTTAATTTGTACATGCTACATTGAGTGAAAGTAATATACCAGCCTGGCTTTTCTTCGTTTATACATCCTGTAAGTCGGACTCAGAAATAAGAACTGAACATTAATTTTATGGGTTTTTTTCTACTCGATAGGTACTATGGATATAGAGGAGAGAAATCGCCAAATGAAAATTAACAAATACAAACAGGTAGCCGGATCAGATCCCAGACTGGAACAAGATTACCATTCGAAGGCAAGACATTTTTCTTTTTAAAAGTTGTAAAATAATCAATCATATGAAACAGTTAGATTCTTTTAAACTACTAAATGCAGATTAGTCAGACACAAACATATAATGCCATGGCCCCATGATATTATTAAGTGCTAAAATTTATGTGTTTGTATACCGCTCTTAGCAATAGAATTTGCCTTACTTAAAAAAACTATTATAAAATACAGAAGATTAAACATCTGAAGGACAAATCTTTTACAGTTTTTCATTTTGTAAAATCTATAGCCCCTCAAAAATGTTTAAGAACTTAAATGATCTTATGGTTTTCTTTCATATAGATTTTTTCCCATTTTATAGTATTTTAATGGAATCTGGTTTATTACTGAATTATTGGAACAAAATACAAATGGTGCCTGCCTTATAGTGGATCAACTTACAAGTTTTTGACTTTAGGGTAGTGTAAAAGCAATACACATTCAGTAGAAGCCATATATCAAGTACTAATACAACCATTCTGTTTTTCACTTTCAGTATTCAATAAATTACATGAGCTATTCCATACTTTATTATAAAATAGGCTTTCAGTTAGATGATTTTGCCCAACTATAGGCAAATGTTAAGTGTTCTAAACATGTTTGAGGTAGGCTAAGCTAAGCTGTGATGTTCAGAAGATGTATTAAATGCATTTTCAACTTACAGTGGGTTCATTGGGACATAAGCCCGTCATGAAGCAAAGAGCTTCTGTACATATTCACGAAGTGCTGTTAGAGGTTCAAAAGTCTTTTGGTATGAATCTTTTTTAACTACTTTTTGGGAATAAGTTGAAGTATGAGGTCTACCAAGGGAGGAAATAAAGTATTAATTAATTGTTCTTTTTTTTTTTTTTTTTTTTTTTGAGATGGAGTCTCACTCTGTTGCCCAGACTGGAGTGCAGTGGTGCAATCTTGGCTCACTGCAACCTCCGCCTCCCGGGTTCAAGCGATTCTCCTGCCTCAGCCTGCCAAGTACCTGGGGCTACAGACATGCGCCACCATGCCCAGCTAATTTTTGTATTTTTAGGAGAGACGAGGTTTCACTATTGTTGGCCAGGCTGGTCTCAAACTCCTGACCTGGCGATCCGCCTGCCTCAGCCCAAAGTGCTGGGATTACAAGCGTGAGCCACTGCGCCCGGCCTATTTCATTGTTCTTGTACTCCATTACCTTTTTATATTCAAGACATTTTTAGTTGCTTGATATTATTCGTGGTCAAAGTCATGAAAATACTTTGTTCTGATATAGCTATTGAAGATTTAATAAAAGAATTAAAATAGCAAAATTTACTCATAACATGTAGCTGTTATATGCTGTTATGACTTAGTAATTGAATCATTATAGTTGTAATATTTGTGGTCTCCGTGTAATAGAGAAAAGCAATCTGGATTTTTTGAAAGTTAGGCCTGTTTTATCCTTACATACTTAATCTGCAGTTTCTATTACATTACATCCCTTCATAACCTCAAGAACTAATTAAGTAAAGCATAAGTGGCTATGTTGGGTATACATAAGTAGCAGGTATGTACATATGTACCAGTTTCTAGCTTCTTCAATAAGACAACATAGAGAAGGCAGAGATTCTTAACATCAGCATCTACTTCTAAACTACCAGTCTCTTCCCCAGATTACATTATTACCAACATGGTGCATACAAAATTATTTATCACAGAATTCTGATATACTGGAAATGTCACAGGCCTAAAGCCAGACAAAAGTAAATTTAAGACAAATTAAAATAGCCTTGGCTTTACTCAGTAGGTTCTAAATTTCTAGAACTTTTTCACTAAAATGAAAATATGAATAACTTCAAACAGGTATAGTAAATTTTGTAGCAAATAATTCTATAATGCTATAATATTTTAGAACATTCCTAACTATTTGAGTTGGATATCAGAAATGATATCTGTGTTTTTCATTTGTTTGTTTTGTATTTCTGCCTACAACTAAATAGACACACCTGACCTTTTGTGGTTTTTTTATGCTGTAGTCTCTCATCTGTTCACCTTGTATAATCCAGAGGCCAAAGCATAAAGTCCTGATAAAATAAGATACTAAATTTTTTGTAAATGTGTCTTCAGATAACATAAATTTGTTGGTTTATATTTTACTATACTTCAGGAAGGAATGTAGATGATTTATAAAAATACTTATATAGTCTCAATAATATTGTCAGTGAAGAAAAGATCAAGAGAAAATAAAGTCACGATAAAACAAGGTAACTCCAGAAGTAAAGTCTGTGAAAAAAATGTATAGTCTAAGATCCTACATACCCACTACATGTGGGCAATGTCAACCCTGAGCTTCCTAACAAGCAGCAAGTAAGTGTAAGATCCCACATACCCATTACATGTGGGCTATATGTCAACACTGAGCTTCTTAACAAGCAGCAAAGGCAGAAAGGGAAACTTGATCAGTTATATGATTTACATTGCTCATACAATAAAGACAAGTTTCTTAGAAGCAATAGCAATGATTCTTGTTATAGAAACCTGACAGAAATTTATTGGATGGACCAAAGGAATACTATAGGCATAGCTGGGATTTCTTTTCTAATTTTGATTTTACTTCGATTCATGAATAAATGAATGCTTAAGGCTTCAAAGTTTTATATCTTTGACAGCAATCATTTTAAGTTGGGAAAAAATAAATATTGGTAAAAATTAATTGTACTAAGCATTATAATTTCCTAGATATTCTCTAAGGCAGTAGATCAGCAACATCAGCATCACTTGGAGACTTTTAGAAATGCAATTGTCTGGGGCCCCTTCAGACCAATGGAATAAAAACTCTGGAGTTGGGGTCCCTGTGGTGTTTGTTTGTTTGTTTTTGAGACAGAGTCTTGCTCTGTCACCCAGGCTGGAGTGCAGTGGCACCATATCAGCTCACTGCAACCTCCGCCTCCTGGGTTCAAGTGATTCTCCTGCCTCAGCCTCCTGAGTAGCTGGGACTACAGGCACGCGCCACCATGCCCAGCCAATTTTTTATATTATTTTAGTAGAGACGGGGTTTCACCGTGTTAGCCAGGATGGTCTCAATCTACTGACCTCGTGATCTGCCCGCCTTGGCCTCCCAAAGTGCTGGGATTACAGGCATGAGCCACCACGCCCGGCCGGGTCCCTGTGTTTTAACAAGTCTATCAGATGATTCTGATGTAGACTAAAGTTTGAGAATTACTGCTCTAAGGTGAAGAACTATTGTAAAATTATCCTTTAGATAATTGAGTTGACTTCCTCAATTAGGGTTTCAACTAGAAGCCAGAGGTGAATGATGTCTTCAAGAAAATGGAGACATTTTGAGAATAAATGATCTGACATCTTTATAAGGCCTTTAATAATGTCTGACAAATCCTACTGAATGTAGAATACTTATCACTCTGTTTTCTATTGCCAGGATTATGCAGGCAGCTTACCTCAAAATATAATCAAGTCTCTTAAGTACAACTTTTTAAGGGGTTCCAAAATACAACCCTATTTTGTACCACAACAAAGCATTTCTTGATGTGGAACTATCTTTGCTGGATCACCTATCTCCCCATCATCTGAGGTTCATCTTCCTCTGATATGTCAAAGAGAAAGTTACAGAGGAATCTTCTTCAGACATATATATATTAAGTTACATTAATTTTCAATTAATTCCTTAGATTAAAATTTTCAACATCATTTCTCTCTTTTTTGATGAGGGCTATTTAGCTTATATTTACATTCTTTACTTTTTATTTTGATAACAAATGCAAGTTATAGAGCCTCCTACTGAGCTATGTGTTTTAACATTAGATCTAGTTGCTGAAGAAAATCATTTAACAAATAAGGGAACTAAGATATAGAAAGGTTATGTAATCTATCCAGGTCCACATAGCCACTAAGTCATGGAAAGTATTACTTGGGCTAATTTAGTTTTTCAAATTTGACATAACTGTGATGAAATCCAAAGCCTCAGACATATGAAGCATATGCTGTCTCCTGAGCTGTATTCCTGAAATTCCAGTGACACAATTGTGAAGCCCTGTGTGGAATCTAATTGTTAGCCTAGGTTTTTTTTTAAAAACTGTACAGTTCACATTCTACATGGCATTGCTCCCTGAATTTCTCAAGACTTCTGCATTGATAGTTTTAAATAATTCCTACTAAATTTAAAGAAATCTTCTTAGTAACTCACTTTGAAAGCATCTATAGAGCAATGCCTATTAAGCTACTGTCTTTCTAAGAATATTTTCAGTATACTAGAAAACTTGAAAGAAGAGAGTCTATTTTTAATAAGAGCAGCAAAGGCATGTACAGACATGATTTCTAGTTAATCAGTGGATGATTTCTCAGGGAGTTTCCCTCAAAATAGAATTTATTATACTCAATGTACTCTTGCATGCTTCTTGTACTTTTTTTATCCCAGCTTGAATGTGATTCATCTATTCTTAGCAATAATTTAAGGATCAACGTATTTTTTCTATAAAATCAACTTTCTTTCCTCTTTATTTTCTCAGAAAAATGTGATTTATTAAGTTTAACAGTGTAAATTATGGTTCACCACAGGTCAACTACCCTTCTGTGAGTTATATAATGATAAATTGGCATAATTATCAATACTTAAAAGTCCAACAATGTATTTATACATGGAAATTAATATGGATGATTTGATAATGCTTATTTAAACATATGAGCTTTAGTTTTTAAATTTGCCATATTTAATATTTTTAAATGTTCCCACAAGCTATATATTGCTATGAAGATACTCTTTGAAAGAGTGGCCCCATAGCATTTCAACAAATAAGGCTCATTCAACAAATAATGTTTATTGGCACAGTATTTATTGGAACTCAAAGCTTATTTCTCTGGAAAAACCATGCTCTTTTTTAAGGAGTATGTTGTGGCAATACTTCTACAAAATTATCACAAAAATGTCTCACTCCTATTATAGCAGTTATATCATAATTTTCCATTCTCTTATTTGTCTCCCTGGAATTAAGAAGCAGTATAATCTATGAGTTGCCCAGATCTCTTCAAATGGAGGCCAGAAGCCTATGATAATCTATTTAACCCATAATATAATAGATTGGGTTAGAACAGAGGACAATGTAATAAAATAAAGGAAAAGAAAGTTTGTCTCCATTTATTGTGCATGCCTGACCCTAGGCACTTTTCACCTATATCCTGTCGCTTTTTCCCCAGGCTTCTAGTCTTTTAGGCACCCATTCACAGATCTCAAAGATGTATTGGGGAAAGCAATTTGATTAAACTAGTTTACGTTAAAATATGAATGACAACACAGAGCTTCATTTTTTAAAAAGCCCTTATAAATACAACATAAACTGAAATTGGTGGACTTATAAGCAGTATTAATAGAAAATATTTCAGATAGTTAAAGTATGTTTGGTCAATTAAAATGCCACTGTTATCTAAACTGTTTGTTTCATTTGATTAGCACTTATGCGCTTCTCAACACTGAGAAGACATATTCAGTGCTAACCTTAAGTATTTTACATTGACTTTCAAGGCACAGGCAATGAGGGGAGAAAAGTTGAGGCTTGTTACAAGTGGTCATATATGAGCTCTTCAAAAATTTAATGTAAGTCAGGAATACTTTAAGTCTCAAATATCATCAGAATGTGGCAGCAGTGGGTGAGTAGTGTATTAGAAAGGGCACAGCCTGGGGTCAAGTGGACTCTGCCTGGGTGGCTTGGGGTAGGTTTAACCTCACAGCTTTTTTAATCTATTAAACAAGGTTTTGGTATCTATTTTATAGGGTAGTGATGAGGATTAAACGAGATGATGTATATAAATTGTTTAGCACCTAGTAAATGCTCAATAAATAATGCAGCTAATATTAGTTATTATTTTATAGTAACAACAGCAAATATAATAATAGACACCAGATATGAATCTGACAAGACCAAAAAGAAATGATAAAGAAATGACTAAGATAAGGAAAATGATTTTATTGATTTTAGTGTGGCTCAGATATCTTTGAATGTTCCCTTTACTCTCAAATAAGGAGATTCAAGTAGCACAAATCTAAAAGGAAAAATGAAATTTAGAGGAAAAAAATTTATGAATCTTAAGGGGATATGAAGATTTTTTTTAATTAAAGGAGACTGGAACATAATATGTGATGAAAAATCACAAACCAAATTACTGAAATTAAGAAATTATGCTATCATGGTTGACATTAAAGGTGACTGGTCCTTGATGAAGTGATTAATAGACATGCATATGGGTGTGGGTGTTTTCAAAGAAATACTCATTAATAGTGATGACATAAATGGACCTGACAACTAAGACCACGTTTATAAAAGGCAAGTTTTAAAATGTAGATTAGATAGCCTTATATATATTATCAAGAAGAAACATGACAATACATGAATTTAGATATAATGTAGACATGAAGAAATAAGAGTTATGTTTTAATTTTACAGCAGTGATAGAAACAAAATACTTGGGGAAAAGTATTTTTCTTAGGGAGAAAAATTGAGCTGCTGTTAGTATGTAACTCAGCCCAGTAACATGATGAGGTGGATAGAGCCAGGCTTTGTGCCTGCTACAGGAAGAGCTGCTGCAGCGTCAGTTCTCAAGCTACCAAGAAAACCTAGTATTCATGTAAAACAGACGTCATTATGCATGTGTAAGATGGAATCCTCTGATAAATAGAACAAGAGGATTCTAATAGGCATGATCTTGTGAACGCAGTCTCAGGGAGTACAATAAGATGTTTTAAATAGAAAGTAATGAATGAAGCATTCTTCTTTGGAATAAGCAATCTACTGTTTCATGAACAGAAGTTGGGTTCAGATTTTCAAAAAAATGCCTGCTAGGCATAGTCTAACAGATATCCAGCAGAATGGTTTTCTATTTTTGAATTAGAATTAAGATCACTTACTCATGATTTTCAACTCGAGCCAAGTCAAGTAATCTTATCTTGTACTGATGAAGATGTCAGAGACTATGCCAGTGGCTGTACCTGGATTTCTTCAATGAAACACATCACTTCTATAAACGCTTATTTTACTTTTTCATATTTTCCTATTATTTTATTTATTTCTTCATGCCTCAGCAAGCAGATAACTTCAGGTCCTATAGCAGAATCCCAAGAGAAATATCTGGAAATCAGTGAACCTGCTGATATGGGAGCATAAGAGAAAAAAGGACAGCCTACATTACTTGGAAGTATTCTTAAATGCCAGACTAGCCTACGAAACTATGAGAGTATGCTTAGTACTCAATGATACTGCCGCCTACTATACTCCCCACCTCTCCACCAGCTGAGGATACATTTGACCAAGTATCGCACACTTTTCTTTGCTTCCTGGCCCCAAACCAGGCCACAGTCTTCTAAGCTGTCTAAGTTGCTTGTCCAAGCCAGCCATCCTCCAGGATTTTAATTAGTCACCTGACGTGTATGTTTTATTTTTACATCACCCTGAGGTATTTCCTTTATCAAGTATATTTATGAAGATACATAAACTTAGATTTTGAAATCCAGGTTATTAAGCTAGCAAATAAGAGCAGCATTATATAATATAGCTGTAGAATTGCACGAGATGCTAATGGTAATCTTATCAAGGCCTGATTAAAGCCTTCAGTCCCACTTACAAAATTGCCAAATGGTTATATAGCCTAATTAAAAGAGTCATAGTTCAGAATGAAAAATGATAAAATTACATTTTTGAAATCATTTATGCCCATTTTCCCCCTTCTATAGTTTTTTTTTGAATTCATGTTTGCAAGGATAGATTTCTCATTTGTGTGATATCAAACATCCATCAAACTAGCATTTAAAAGTAACTAAAAATTTCTGTATGTGTTTGTATAATTTCTTCCTTTATGAGATAAGTAAAAGAAGGGGTGATGTCAAGAGAGAAGGAGCCATTGGAAGTATAATTTCTTACAATTGGTACACAATATTATTAATAACTATAGCAGACACAGATTTATAGCAGAAATTCTGAAGTCTTGTTTACAGTAATAGAGATATATGGACAGTTTGATAATCACTCTTCAATATATTTTTAGTGATTAGGGTTAAATAAAGACTACAGAGTAGTATTAAAAGTGTAGATTCCTTAACCAAACTGCCTAGATTAAAACCCTACCTCTTATACTATCTGTATGACCTTGGGCAAGTTACTTAACATTCTTGTGCCTCAGTTTCTTATTCTATAAGGTGTGTTAATAATAGTACCTACCTCCAAGGATTGTTTTCTTTTATCTTTTTTTTTTTTTTTTACATAGTCTCGCTCTGTTGCTCAGGCTGGAGAGCAGTGGCGTGATCTCAGGTCACTGCAACCTCTGCCTCCCGGGTTCAAGTGATTCTCCTACCTCAGCCTCCCGAGTAACTGGGATTACAGGCACGTGCCACCACACCCAGCTAATTTTTTTGTCGTTTTAGTAAAAGGCAGGGTTTCACCACGTTGGCCAGGCTGGTTTTGAACTCCTGACCTCAAGTGATCCGCCCACCTTGGCCTCACAAAGTGCTAGGATTACAGGCATGAGCCACCACACCCAGCCAGATTGTTTTCAAGATTGTCTACATATAAAGATTAAAGTCTTAGAGCAGAGCTTGATATGTAACAGCAATCAGTAAACGTTAGCTGTGATATGATAATGATGGTTGTGGTCGTGGTGGTGGTGGTGGTGACGATGATGATAGGAAAGAAGGACAAAAGGAAGAAACACTGTTTCCAACAGATAACTTCCACTTACCAAAGCCCTTGGGGGTTCCAGTGTATATTTGTTGTCATCAGGAATCTAGTAGAGATAGATAAGTATATCTTTAAGGTAATCTTAAAAACAGGTGGGGAGAAAAGGATGAAAAATTTAAAAAAATGATACTTTTAAAAGCCTAAAAATGATTTGTCTTTTTTGCAAATCTATTCAAATTTTTTTCTACCCAAAATTCTTATTGTATAGTTTATATTCCCTAGCAAGCTGATTGTATTTAAATTTTAATCTAAATATCTGTCTATTGGTATAGATATACCTGTAGGCAGATATAAAATTATAATGTATTTCCACATAATTTATACATCTGTGTTTACACATACACTTACTCATACCCTAAAGCTCTGAACTCAGGGTTCAGAGCTTTAGGGTATGAGTAAGTGTATGTGTAAACACAGATGTATAAATTATGATTTAGCTGATAGAAGCAACAACTGTTCATTTATTCCTTGCCTCATTGGAAGAAATTCTCATCTATTTCTTGTCTCTCCTGTTACATAAAAGATCTACAGTTAAAAACTTGGTGGTGGCCGGGCACGGTGGCTCACGCCCGTAATCCCAGCACTTCGGGAGGCCAAGGCAGGTGGATTGCCTGAGGTCAGGAGTTTGAGACCAGCCTGGCCAACATGGTGAAACCCCATCTCTACTAAAAATACCAAAAATTACCTGGGTGTGGTGGCTGGTGCCTGTAATCCCAGCTAGTTAGAAGGCTGAGGCAGAAGAATCTCTTGAACCCGGGAGGCAGAGGTTGCAATGAGCCGAGATCGCTGCACTCCAACCTGGGCAACAAGAGCAAGACTCCATCTCAAAAACAAACAAAAAAAACAAACCAAAAAAAAAAAACACTTGATGGTAACTCATTTTAATGAAATTTTAGCGATTTTGTATTTTTATTTGTGATTAATCTTCGATTTTAAAAGTTTCTAGTTTAGGTTTCTTTTTCCTTAACATCCCATATTAGTTGATTAGGGCTGCTATAACAAAATACCATAGAAGGGGTGGCTTAAAGAACAGAAATGTATTTTCCCAGTTTTGGAGGCTAGAACTTTAAGGTGTTGGCTAGGCTGGCTCCTTCTGAGGCCTTTCCATGGCTTTCAGATGGCTGCCTTCTTGCTGTGTCTTCACTTTGTGTGTGTCTGTGTCCTAATCTCTTCTTATAAGGACACCAATCATATTGGATTAGGAACTACCTATGTGACCTCATTTTACCTTAATTACCTCTTGAAAAGCTCTAGCGTCAAGTACAGTCACATTCTGAGGTACTGAAGACTAGGACTTCAGTATAGGAATTTGGGAGGAACACAATTCAGTCTATAACACATCTCTACAAAGTAGCTAATGATCTTTTAAATTAAAACTTTATTGCATTGTGAAAGCATATTTGATTAGAATGTGAATAGGGATTTTTAGGCAACTAACCGTAGCTGTTTTGCTTTGAACTTTTTATTTCTTTTTTGATTTTATTACTTTTCTCTATTTCTTCCTATTTTTACAACTGCCTTCTCAAATCCTAAGAGATAAAATATTTTGGTTTTGTGTTTGCAAATGCATCTTAAAAATTAGCTGTCTTAGCCATGAAAACCACATTTAAATATGACTCGCGTAGCCATAATTTTATGCTGATATTCAAGCATGGGTCCCTTTCCTTTAGATGTATTTGTGAATTGCTACCTTTTACCATATATTCACATTTTAAGCCAGGAAATATAAAAAGACTATTTTTAATTATGAGTAAGTCTTCCAGTGTGGCAGTATTATGCAAAAAAAAAAGTCATTTGAGATGACAAAAACAGCAACTTGTATATTATAGAACACTGTAGAATTATAGCAGAAATTTTAACTTCTCCCTTTTTAGTAACATAAAGTTTCTAAAAACTGACAAAGAGAGAATTGTAGATAAGTTGCAGGCAGCTACTTGCAGGTAAGAGGGTCAATCTGTGGAGAATAGCTGCCATTGCCAAGAGTGCAGTACCCTCCTGTAATTACCTAAGAATATAAAGGAGAAACATTTCCTTTTACCGTCAGCAAAATAAAAAATAATAATAAACATATGACTTCATCTTTGCTTTCATCAAGGCTCCAGAGTTGCTAGCTTGTTAACAGCTAGAATATTCTACAGGGAATGAATTATAGTAGACTACAGAAGGGAAAGGTCTCGCTTTATAAAATCAGGGAGGATATGGGAAAAGAAGGAAGAAAATATGATCAAATAGAACAGATACATTCTTTCCAATCAAATTTCACATAACTGAAAGGATTAAGCATGATATATATATATATATATATATATATATATATATATATATATATGAAGTAAAAGAATATGGAAAACAACAGATAGGTGAAAACATATATACCTTCTGAACCAACCATGGCATTACCACATAAAATACATATATTCTGTTTTATATGTGGAATATTTATGTCTTTTATATTAAACTATACACTTCTTGAGAACGGTGACTATATTATTCATCTTTGTAGTCTCTCAGTAGCATGTACTTTGCCTTGGCCACAATAAGCACTCAATGGGATTAATTTTAGTGAATGAACGTGGACGTGGATGCTGAGAGAAGTAGGATAGGATAGTTTGAAAAAGATTCTAGAGAAGGTGAATTTTAAGCATTTTGTATCAATATAAGAACAAAATATGATTTTTAGAAGAAGATATAGGTAGATTATTGGGTAATAGTCAAAAGCATGTTTTCTAATGGGCATACAATTATTGATTTCCATCTAGAGATAATAATAGTGGAAAGAATACTGAGATAGAATGAGAAGATTGGGCTTCTAACTTTGGTTATGCCATTCATGTAATAAGACTTTGGATAAGTTGCCCAATAGTTCTTCACAACTCAACTTTTTTCTATCTACAAATTGAAGGAACCTTATAAAGTGTTAAACAAATATGTGGTACTTTGGAGGCAGCATTGAAAAGACCACTATGAATTAACATTTGGGTTTTAATCAGTCTCATCATTAATTAAGTAAATTATTTAATCTCAGAGCCTAGTCTTAAAATTAGATTTGAAATATATTTTCTATATTTTATTTCTTTCAATTCTAATGTTTCATTCATTGATTGAGTAGTCTGATCAGTGTAAGGCTCTCTACTAGACATGTTCTCACAAGTGCCTGAATCTGTATAATTTTTAATGAACTTGTGCCATAATAACTATGACTTAGAGAATAAATTTATATGTGTAATGTTTTGCATATTTTACATGAAGTAATTGATAATTAAGTTTGAATTGACACTTGTGTAAAAACCTTTAGTCAATAAAGTCAGTCATCCAGGGTAACATGGAACCATTCACATCTATAACTTCAATTTAGTTCAGCTAATTATAATACAAATATATCTACAATTTTGTTATGTAATGGCTTTGTTCATCAGCACAAAATTCAGTTGTAATTTTTCTTTAGTTGGAAGGATTACAGATATCATTTATTAGCAAAATAAATATAACGTTTTATTAAACATTTGGAAATTTGATTACTTCTATTGCATCAATTTTGAAGATCGTAAAATAATACTCCAGTCTGGAAATAATATAGCTAACCTTGGAATATATTTCATATGAAGGAAGGGACTTTGGTGATAACTTCAGAGAGTGGAAACATCTCTATAGCACTAGGCCTAGCACATGGGAATGTCCATAATCGTAGTTATTTTTTAGTATTTATTATAACATGGGAGGTAGGAGTAATAAAAACTAACTTACAGTTGAACTTCATTCTGATGGATGAATTAAAACTTACTACCTCAATATAACTTCCTGAGTAACAAAGAAATCGCTGTGATTTTATGATTGGCCATTTTCAGGTCATTTTTATGACTCGGAATGCTTACAAACAAGGCCAACAGTCTCCAGGGTCCAGTCACATAAGAACATGTTACTTCTTAAGCCCTTTTCGATTTTCTGCCAAAAAATAAAATCACCTGAATTTTAAATGAGTTTAAAGGGCTTATTTCAATAGAACATAAAACATGCTTTTATTCAATAGAACATAAAACATGTTTTTATTCAAGTTAGTTAATATGATATTATTGTCAAAGTTTTACTTTGTTAAAATCCATCCAATTATACTTACAAGTAGTGTTATTTTAATGCTGTTTTGTATTCTGATTATTTAGGTCATTTTAGATAGATTTTTCAAAATTTCAAAAAAGGCTGAAAATCTTTATTTTAAGCATATCCCTAAAGTTGAAAACAATATGAATATTTTCAAAAGAAATCAGTCTAAACTTGCTTGCCCAGTGTCCCATTAAAATGAATACAAATTATCACTTTTAATTAAAAGTAAAAACAAATTTGACAATAAAAGTGAAAAAAAAGTTTAATGAAAAGAAATAGACCTTATAATAACAAGTTGTATAATCTTAATCACTTCTCTATTTCTCAATTTTCTCATCTATAAAATGAGAAAGCTAGATTACATTCTCTCTGAGGTATCTTTTAGCTTTAAAATATGGTGAACTTGTGAATGATTCAGTGATGAGGAAATAACCAAATGTGTGGTTCAGTACCGGGTAACTTTCCTGGGCTGTTCTCTTGAACAAAAAACAAAAAACAAACAAACAAAAAAGTGGTTATATGAGTCTTCTTTCCTTCTCTGTTTTTTAAGGCATTTGAATATTTTTTTTTCAATTTCAGTGGTCATTCAGTGGTCATTCATTCTCTCTCTCTTACCTGCAAGTCAGAACTTCATACCTCGGGTATTGCTGAAGCTCATCAGCTTTAATTCTGGATTCTGGTTCTGCAACATTAAAGAAAGAAAATGCCAGAGGAATAACCATATGAATAACAATAAAATGAAGGAAATAGTGAGTAAAGAAGGAATAAAGGACGGAAGGGAAAGGGGATGAAGAGAGGGGAAAAAAGAAAAGGAAAAAGAGAATTAAAGGAAGGAGAGAGGGAAAGAATGGAGGAAGGCAGGCTAGCATATCCTTTCAATCCAAGAGTTCACTATCAAATTAGAGAAACGCATGTACATAAGTAATGATGGTACAAAATAGGCTGTGTTGAATGATATAATTTTTAAAAATACACGTACAAAGGAAGAACAGCAAAAGAAATATTCATTTGGCTGGTAGAAATCTGGGAATAGAATAGAATGTAACACATGAAGTGAAGGACTTCTCAGGCTGAAGAGAGAGCTTAAACAAAGTTATGGCGTTACATGAGCACAAGCCATGTTTAAGAAACAGCTAATAGTTCTTTAGTGTGGAAATATACAACAAATGGGGATATGTATTCGGAGAAAAGAATGTAAAAGTTGGCTGGGACAAGATTGTGGAGAACTTTGAATCTCTCAGTTAAAAATATAGAATGTTCTACATTTTAAATTTTATGTTTATATTTTTATATTATTTTAAATACCTGTATTATTTTAAAGTCTGTATCTTATATGTTAACATCTATATATCTATATTCTTTTAATATTTTAATATCTGTATTACTTATGTTCTATATTATTTTTCTATATTTTATACAACCCATATGGAATGATGGGTTTGGAAGATTTTTGAGGAAGTTGCTGACATGAACAAATTTGTGCTTTTAGAAGGTAATTTTAATGATATACTTAAGATGCATTTGAAAAGAACATTACAGACAAAGAGTCCCATTAGGAGGCTATTGTAGTAGTCCAAGCAAGAGGTAATTGTTAGTCTTTGTCCCTGCTTTGACTGTTGGCTCCATCCCAAATGGTCTTTCTGTAAGCCCAGTTGATGCTTCTCTGTCTTCTCACACAGGGAACAGGAGTAGTGGGCCTCTTCAGACTTCCAACAGAATATAATTATATTTGCCCTATCCCTGAATTTGATAGATCAGAGCAATTCTCAGGCCCCTTCAGGTTTTTTAACATTACATAGTTATTCAGGCTATTATTTAGCCTTGACTCTTTTCAGCACAAGTACTTAAAGTTACGCTATTACCTTCTAAAGTACTAATAATTGAAAGGGAACCTTATTTCTTGTCTCCAGCTCATATGTTTTTGTTGTGTTTCTGCCTGCTTCAGATCCCCAGGGCACTGGTCCTACTGATGTGTTCTCATGTCTTATTTCTGTTGCAACTTTTGGGATGCTAGCTTGCCACATGATATCTGTAATTTCTATACCCTATATCCCAATCAATTAGATAAATATTCTTTAAACATTCATAAAAATCATATAATCCATGTAATGTTTAAAGATGGTCACAAAGGGCCATGTGCCAGGAATTCTTAGTGACGGTTTCTTTATGACTTTTCTTAATTCTAGTAGATCTTATGGGTTTCTGATCTGAGGGCTTGGAGAAGCATTTAGTCATAATAAAAACATAAGGGCTTTAAACTGGGTGCATTGGTTTAGATTAGCAGCAGGCATTTTGTTCTACCCTCTGGGGCTTGGATAGACATGAAATTGTATGTATGTATCAGAATATTATTATTAATATATGTAAGGGTCTGAGAAAAACAGACTTTGAAACACTTCTTGACTGAGGCAGATATTTCAGATGACATGAGTTTGAGCTATTACTGAATAATAAAGGGTTTACAAATCTAAGACTAAAGCTATTGAAAAAATATTTACTTTTTGTGGTTACATCTATATCAATACACAGCTAAGTGTTAATGTTATATATTATCTGTAAAAGGTTAAAAAGCTGTTTTATCAGATGTGAAAAAGAAAACTATAAGATATTTGAAAGTTGTTTGTAAACTATAAAAAGTATTTAAATTTTAATTATTATTAATAATGTGTTATGGTGATAGATTGTTACTGTCCTCAGTTTAACTTTCCTTAGTATCAAGTATAAACATAATTATAAAAACTAACTGTGACCAGGCATGGTGGCTCATGCCTGTAATCCCAGCAATTTGGGAGGCCGAGGCGGGTGGATCACTTGACGTCAGGAGTTGAAGACCACCCTGGCCAACATGGTGAAACACCATCTCTACTAAAAATACAAAAATTAGCCGGGTGTGGTGGCAGGCACCTGTAATCCCAGCTACTTGGGAGGCTGAGGCAGAATTGCTTGAACCTGGCAGGCAGAGGTTGCAGTGAGTCGAGATCGCGCCACTGCACTCCAGCCTGGGCGACTGAGCAAGACTCTGTCTCAAAAAAAAAAAAAAAAAAACTAAAGTAGAATAGTTTCAAGAATGAATAAACCTGAATTTCCAAGGCAGGTTTGGTATTATCCTACTCTAAGTAAATAAACCAATCTAGCATCAAAGGACAATGCCCTTTCGTTTTTTGTTTTTTATGAGACGTGCAATTAAGAACCTATTTATAAAGTATTCATAGCCATTTTCATGGTTTTTTTTCAAGTCAAGGTAAAATTTTTGAGCTCATGGCTTAATGATGGTGAATATTTAGTATCATAATGTACAGTTTCTTTTATTTCATCATGGACTATGCCTAGTTAATTATCATGGTAAATACTTACTATATGTCAAGACCTGTGATCTCATTTAAAACTCATATTTGTCCTATTAAGAAGGTATTGTCTCCACAATGTGAATCTAGAAGCAGACTTAAAGATGTTAAGAGACTTGCCTAAGATTGTGTAGCTCCTAGTAAGTGGAAGAGCAGTTACACACCCATATCTTTCAGCTCTTAATCCCTTGGTCATTATGGTATACTGCCTCTTATCAAAATTAGATGACTATTATGATTTTCATCAATATTGTTGCTTAGGGAATATGTTTACACTATGAGGTCAGAAATTTTCTTCTGACACAGACCAGGAAGAATTTGCATTCAGAAAAGTGTATCAGTCATGTTTGCACTCAGCTGTTTATAACAAAACACCTGACAAAATTATCTGAATAAACAAGGAATTTTACTTCACACAACAAGAAATCCAAACAGCCCAGGGCTGGTACTATTATGTAAGACCCAAGCACTCTGTCTTCCTATTCTCCTTTCTTAGAGTAAGACATTCATCCCCATCATCACAGAATGCCTGCTGTAGCTGTAGGCTTGGGTTTGAACTCCAATAAGAAAGAAAAAAGAAAAGGGAAAGACATATGGTCATACCAGCTATGTTAGCTCACTGTAATCAGATACATAGTAGCTCTCCCTAAACCCCACCCTAGATTCCTGCTTATATTTCAGAGGTCACACTCACATCAAATGATCACCTTACATACAAGGTAGAAAATGAAGTTGTTTTGTTTTGTTGTTATTAAAATCAGTGTGGATTCTTTTAATAAAGACCAAAGTGGGAGAGGGAATATTGCGTAGGCATTCAGCAGCAACTGCCACAAATAAATAGGTATTAAATACTCTGGTTACCAAAAGGAAAGACCAAGGACCCATTCATAACCCCCGATAGCTAAATATTTAGATAATATTTGTTTCCATTAAATGACTAAGTAATATTTCTTGGCTGATTAGAATGGAGGATACTGGGGAAGGAGGAGTCAAAGATAATTCACAACTTATCTAGGTTTTAGTTGGATATTGAGCCTACAGTGCAGGGAACATAAGAGGTACAAGGAGAGCTGGTTTAGGGTGAAAGAATAAATTTGGTTTGAGCTATATTGAATTTGATGTGCCAGCAAAAGGAAGTACAGGAGATGTCCTGTCAGCATCTGGAAATACAGATCTGAAGCTTGGGAGAGGTGAGAATAAGGATTTTATTAGTCATTACTTGGTAATTAAAATGGGTAGACAATGGATTATATGATCCTGGGGTAATATAGTTAAAAGAAGGCTAAAGATGGGAACTTTGAGAAAATATAATTTAAAATCAGGTTAGGGAAAACAAAGCTGGGAAAGGAGATTAAAAAGTAACACTCAGGGACATAGAGTAGAAACCCTGAGTGGCAATATCTAAGAAGTCATTATGGGAAATTTTCAAGAAGGGAGGGGAAAGAAAAAACCTAAAAAGATACCACTGACTGGTAAATTAGGATGTTATTGGGGAATTTTGTTCTGGTGGGTTTTTTTTTTTTTTTTTTTTTGAGAACAGTTTTAGTACATGATAGAATGGCTTAAGAGTTGTTGATTCTCTTGAAGAACATGGTAAATTCATTTGTTAAGGGCAAAAGCATAAGCTTTGCAGCTACCTGAGATCTCTAAACCTGGGGTTTCATTGCAGCGCTGGCACTTCTATCTCTGAAAACTGAGAAATCGATAGAAGTAAATTAAGATTGTTTCTCAAGGAGAAGCTGATTACTAATAGACATTGAGTTCCCACAAAGCCAAGCCTTAGGGAAGGTCATAATTGACTACTGGCAATAATTCTTCCTCTGTAAATTATCCAGGAAAAATTATTCACCTCATAAATTTCCTTCATATCAAGCGACAGCTGGTTCATTAGTAAGTCTTGGCATACATGCTAATGGCTACCCTTTCTTCGACTACCGCTTTTTACTTTAAGCTGTTCTTGCTATGTCATGTTTCAAAGACTTCCCTGAGTGAGTCTGTTTCTAGATCTATAGAATGGAGAAAATGCCTTCTTCACAGGTCCAAGGTGAACTTTAAATGAGATCACAGGTCTTGATACACAGTAAATATTTATTGTCCCTTACTCATTCTCTCCTAAGGAGTCTTAGCCCTATAAACAAAGCCTGTATTCCTAAACCCCACAACCAGTGGTGTGCCCAACTGTCTGTTCAGTGACCACTTGGTAACTTGAAATCAGCCATAATGGGAGTATTTATATCACGGAAATCAGAAAACTCCGTAAATTGGAATTTTTTTTCCTCAGAAAGCTAGTTGTTAAACATTTACTGTAACAGCACTGCCTATACCCACCACAGAGAATGAAATAATTAGGTGACTAAACTCTATACAGCTATCAATGTATCTTGTACACTGATTTGATACTTCATAATGGAATAATACTTCAGTATATAGCCCAGATAAAGCTAAATCATTCCATTCATTTTGATCATTAAACATTCATTGAGTTGCTTCTAAATGCCAGGCCCAGATATAGATAATAAGATTACTAAAATCAACAAAAGTCATTATCCTCTGGGAGTTTATAATCTAGTGGGGTGGGTACATTACAAATAGATGGCTAAATAGCTGGATAGATGATTGATACATGGATGGATGGATGGATGGATGGACAAGGGAGAAGTACACATAATACCACATGATAAAACTGTAATAAAGGCATGAGTAAAGTAGTTGAGGAACATTCGAAGCAGTGCTTCTCTTTGAAGGAGTTAAGGAAGACTTCACAGAGGAGGTGACATCTTAAACTGTGCCTTAGAAGATGACTAGACCTATTTAATGGAGAGGGTGTTGAGTATGGCTCATCCTACCTAACTGTACTTCCTTCTGACTCCAGCTATCACAAAGGCGACCTCATAAGGTTTGGGAGAACTAAATAAAATAATCCACACATATTATTTACAACAGTATGTTTCACAGGGTATACAAATAATAATTGTAGCTAGTTTAATTACTATACCAAACTGAAGAGGCCATCAGGCCTGAGGACCAACAAGGGAGAAAATTCAGTGCCTCAGTCTCCAGTGAAAATTTTATGTCCTAGACTCCTTTCCAGACTGAGGCATGATGTTCGTTAGGCTCAGCTTTACTGCAGACTCCTTCCTTTTGAGCTCTGCAGCTATCAGAAATCTTTCAAGCTGGGGTTTCATTTGCAGAATATTGTTTACAAGACTAAATCTTAAATAAGTCCTCAAATGTCTTTGGCCTTTGCTCACTGCCCTCTCCTCCCAATTTTAGACCATTATCACATAATACCCTCTTTAGAAGTCATAGCTAAACAAAATTATCTCTGACAAGTACATTTTTTAATTTTTATGCAATTTATTTTTATTTATTTTTTATACAATTCAGCATTCAGATCAGGCACTGATAAGAGCCTTGGGTAGGACAGAGAAAAACATCATCTGGAAGTAGCTCCTCAGAGAAAAAGTACCTGCAATTGTGTTACTATCAAAGAGCAACAACTATTTTCTTTCGATTATGACATGAAATAAAAACAGGATGACGAAAATGCACATGGTTATTTAATGACTGCAGTGCCAGAATTCCCTCTGCCCTCTTCTTTCCTCTACCTCCCCTAGATTGATACCAAGAGCCCTGCCCAGAACTTCAGCCTAACTTGTATCTTCCAAAGATTATGTTTGCCTTAGTTTTCTTTCCCCGCTCCTATCTTTTGATTAACTCAGTATTTCCTTGAATGTGGTATTCAGGTATCCATGTACTTCTCGATAGCATGAGACTTGTTTTTCTTCAAAATTGGGCTTCTATATTATCCAGTATTTTGCAATAATTAATTTTTTAATTATTGTTTTGTACAATAAATGGTTATCTGGTGAGATTTATTGAAGACAAGTGATATTTAAGGAAGTTCATAATCCTGCCCCCATCTTTTGTCTGAAGATCAAACAACCAGAGTTCTTGAGGTGCTTTAGCAAAATCAGAGTTGGAAATGGCCAAACCTAAGAACTTCAAATGAGTACTGGAGAAAATGAAACTGATTTTAGAAATTGTAATTTATTTTTTTAAGTATATCATTCTAATATATCATTCTGACACTTCAATAATAGCCTTCTTTTCAATAGAGCTCTGCAGATACACTGTTACTTTCCACTAATGTTAGATATATAGGAAGAACATTAACTTTTCCAGGCCACTTAGGAACTCTTTAGAGTCTGGAACATCCTGAAGAATAATCATTTCCTGTAAATTTTTCTAGTTCATGATCTTCTTAATAGTATGTACAAAACATTAAAATGTTGTCCGGAAAAACTTCTTTACTCTCTTCCAAGATTTTAATGATCTTTAATCGGAGCACAGTTTTCAGCTAAGATCGTATTATCCTTCTTTGTTTTTGTTCCATTAAAGAGAATGGTTAACAGGCCATTCATTGTTCATCCATCAGCTATATTCTAATACATGCTAATTATTTAAAACATTATGTATTGTATAGTGCCAAGACAACACCAACCATTTCCTAAATAAATAAATTTACTTACTCACATTCGTAGCTCATTACCTTGGTATAATAACAATTTAGCTTCTCTCTCATTGTTGAAGTATATAACTTTTGTTTATCATATTTTAGGAAAAGTAAAACTACATTTATCCATTTTAAATGTTGACTGTAGTATTAAGTTGTTTAGTACTTAGATTTCTGGGGGTGGGGGTTGAGTTGTATATGTGAATATGTTATATTCTAAATATGTTCAAAATGTATTCTTCTGAAATTTTATTTATAAAAAATATTTTTCGTATTCTTTCTCACTGTCCAGATTTCTCATTTTTAAAAGCATATGTCTATTTGTAATAGAAACCTGAGCTAATCCCAGTGGTAAACATGCTCAGTGGCTTAGAAGTCAACAGAGAAATACATTTGGTGCAAGCCTTGAGTAGATAGCAGAATCATCATTAAACTGGAGCCTTTAGCTAATTTCTCTTCTTTCTTTATATAAACTGTTCCATTCAGTGTCCTATTTAATGACCTTCTGCTTTAGGCATTGGAAATAAGCCTCTGCTATTTGCTAAGCATATTATTATGTATTTTGAATATATTATTTTGAATATATTTTTCTCAAAAATTCTTAAAATGGAGTGTATTCTTATCTCCCTAGTAAGAAGGCTAAACCTCAGAGTTTAAGTTAAATCTTTGACTTTTAGGTGCTAAGAGACACACAAAGATGAGGAAGATACTGTGCTGGCCTTCAGGAGTTTGTAGTCTAATGGGGGTTTGAAAATTAAACATGAACACATTTATATACACATGCACATATATATATTATATATATATACACACACACACAGAGCCCAATGACAAGAGGTCATGTGTGATGAATTACACACTATCTCTTGTCATAGGGCTGTGTGTGAATAAAAGGCATAAAACCTTTACACTATTATAACGCTGTGAAAAAAGGCATAAAACTACAGTATAGGGAATCTTTCCTTAAATTTTGCATATCTAAAATTTTAGCTCAGCAAATTGGATGATCTGAGAAGTCTTGGATAAAGATATGCACAGTGCACACCATGCTAACCTGTCTTTTAAAAACTAAACAAATTAAAGCCTTTATGCACCTATGAATCATAGCAACAAGACTAGACATCATGACAGACCTAAAAAGACAAAGGCTAGAGTAGACAAAATCAGAATCCTAACTACTGAAATTGAAAAGCCAAGTAAGCAGTTAGGTTTCAGATATGAAAGAAAAGCAAATTGGACAAAAACCAATCAGGAAAGCTGGGATACACGAGTACCAGGTGGCTTTGGATGTCAGGATAAGGTTCTAAGACAAATATTAAAAATGAGGCATGTTCTATGTCAGCCAAGAAGTGTCATATATTTCCTGCTGAGATAAAGATATTATTCATCCTGCAGTCGGGAATCAGTATTTCCCTATTAGGTGATGGAATATGGATGAACCTGGCCAAATGGGGAAGGTGAAGCCTGAGGACATACTAGGAGTCAGTGGTAAAGTTGGGTTTAATATTTTAATTTTGTTTTATAAACATATTTTCTGAAGCAGATCTCTTGGATATATGTAAAAATAATTATGTTTTTGTAGCTTAGAATAGTCTTAATGTATTTATTAAGTATTTCTAGCTAATATTATTTAGCTAAAGATATTCCTGAAATTTACATAAGCCAGTCTTTGGCTACTGTTTAATCATCATCATCATCATCATTATCTTTGTCATCATTTGTTATCACTTGTTATGTGTCAGATATTGTGCTAAGTGCTTTACACGCGTTATCTTGCTTAATCCTTGCAGCAAGCCTTGGAGATAGGCACAATTATTATCCATATTTTAACAGATGAAATACTGAGACTCATAGAAGCAATTGATCCAAGATCACAAACCTAATAATCTATGTAGCCAGAATTCAAATGATTCAGTCCCATTCCAGAGCATTGGCTCTTAATGATTACATTATTGCCCTTACTACTGCTAGAGTTAAAACTTACAGTTTTCCATTTGAATTTAGATGATATAATAATCCCATGAGCAAAAACAAATAAGAAATATATTACCAAAACTGCCTTCATATTCAATAATAAATTACTTTAAAAGAAAGAATAGCAGCTACTTTTCTTTTTTATTATAAATTATAAGAATCAGAGAAAAGTCTCCCATACGGAGTATAGTATCTATTGAACAATTTTATAGCTTTGAAAAATTTCTTAAAACTTTGATTTTTGTATGAATAAATGCCCAAAAAACATATAAGTAAAATGAAAGCCTTCCATATATACCTTACCTTGAGATCACATTTACTTTCAATAAATTTTGTGAAAATATGTATAGATATATCATTTATTGTATTATATAGTATACAATATATTATTGTATAGTGTACATATTATATATATTATATAGACAGATATAACATGGTTAATGTTGACACCATTCATTTAAATGCTATTCTAGGCAATGGCTTTCAACATTGTCATTTAAGGCAAAATGTTTGGTATTTTAAAATGACTTTATTTGAAAAATAATATTATGATCTAAATTGTCTTTGAATAAATCCACTGTACATTAATAATGTTTCTTTTAAAATTAAACCCTATGGTTCTATTTAAATAGATATTTCCTGGGAAAAGGCAGCAATTTTTAGAAGAATTTAATTGTATGCTTTTCAATAATTGAGAGTTTATCTAACAAGATAGAAAGTTAAAGTGGACTAAGAAAGGCCAATTCTCACGTAATTTGAATATATGTTGCTAGGTTAATGGATTTGACTAAAATTTTGTGGAGCCTTAGAAATAATTTCTTTACGTTTGAAGAAGAGTCAATTATTAAAAATGGATATCTAGATACTGAGAGGTTTTGGGAGAAAACAATCAACAGATCACTTATATCGGATCTACTGTTTATGCTCTGTTGCCACTCAATTTATCTTGGCCAAAATGTTTATATCTATCTAATACTTGCAATGAATTGTCATTCGTGGGGGATTGTTTATTAAGTAATTATTCTTTAAGACATAGCAAGTGGTTGATAAAAAATAATCATCTTTCTAAGGCTTTATGAAATTTGCTAGTATCTGTGATTAGAAAATTCTCCTTTGCAAAATTAACTAGATAATAATGTTTCAGCATTAAGTTTGAAGTGCATCTAAACAAATAAAAATCAATTAGCAGATAATCTCTTAACCCAATAGTAGTCATATTTGATGTTTATAGTAAGAATACTGTTACATCACCAAGTTGTAATAATGCAGTAATAATACAGGCTACATTTACTTACATTATGCCAGATACCACATACGTCTTAGTTCTAGGCCTTGCAAAAAAAGATATTATTATCCATTTTTTTTTAAGAAGCCTTTTACAGGTTAAATGATCTGCTCAAATTTACTCAACTAGTGAGAGTTTTTCTTACCTCAGGTTTGCAGACTCCAAAGTCTATCCTTTTTACATCTCAACAAGAGGACTCTTAGCAAATGATTTTTTGTTGTCAAAATAAAGTTAAATTTTGTCCATTAGTTTTTGCATTAAATGTATTTTATGAGACTAGGTCATTAACCTAAAGCATTTACGATGGTTTTTAATTTACCAGAATATTTGAACACCCAAGAATACCCTGCAACCCTGGCTGTGCCAGTTAACTATCTGACTATTTCAATTCCAGGAAGTTTGAACTATTGTAAATAATAATGACTTTTTCTAGTATTTCTAGGATTCATCAAAATCCAGCAACCACTCTGAAATTAAACTTTCTCTTTTCTCTCGGCTTTTCTAAAAAGAGTTAATGGTTTAATAATTAGATTTTATATTATCTCTAGGTTTTCAGTGAAGCATAATGGATTAATTGATGGCTACTAGAATTTATTAAAAAATAAAAAAAATTCTACTTCCTCATATTAAGCCAAATGTTTATTTCCCAGATCTTACCTAAATGTTCTTTCCTGAGGCCAGTGCTGTTTTGAAACTATTTTAATGGCCTTCACTGGGGTGTGGTAAAAACATTCTAATTACTTTGCTAAAAACAAAGGTTTCATATAAATTGAATTTTTCTTTTAGGATAATTGCCATTCACTTTTGTTTTATATGCAACTGAGTGGGATTTTGCAGTTTCCTCTGTGGACAATTAAAGTGATGAAATAGGAGAAAGCTAATAATTGCTTTGTGTGGTAATACTGACAACTTCTGCGTATTTGTCAATCTGTGTTAACAGTATCGATCAGGATGGGATCCTCATAGAGGGGCAGATAATGTTTCTACTAAATCTTCGGACAGTGATGTAAGTGATATATCTGCGGTTTCAAGGACTAGTAGTGCTTCTCGTTTCAGCAGCACAAGCTACATGTCTGTCCAATCAGAACGCCCAGGAGGAAACAAGAAAATCAGGTAAGGGGATTTCAACAACAAACTTCTCTAAATATGTTTTAGAAGGTCTTTATGTTTCCCGGATGAACATAAAATTATTTATTTCTAACAGGTTAATATATATTTTAAAGCCAGGGGAGCTTAACTTCAGTACATACTACTTTTTAATATATTTTAATCCACATTTCAGACTTCCTGCACAGAAGAAAATGTTATGAAACTATGGATAATTTTGCTTACTACATCACTGGAAATAATATCTTTTTTCATGTTTGTAATTTAAAAATTAAGACCTCTTATATCTTTATTGAAATAAAAGTGATGGCTGAGACTTGAATTTTTCATGTTCCAAGGAATATGAAAAATAATATATTTTGTTATTAGAAAACATAAGAATGTTACTTTTTCAGTAGGATGCTTTCCTATCCTCTTGAAATTTTTATATATGCATAGAAAAAGTCCTCATCTTCTCAAGAAAATTTATACATATAGTATATAAGTTAGTATAATTTGCATTTCTTACTTGTCCTATAGATTTTATAGATGCCTAAGCTAAATTTTGTTTTACTCTTATTGGATTAAAAATTTTATAACAGGGAGATCACAACTTTTACCTTTTTTCATGTAATTTTGTAAAAGGAAAATATGATTTAAAAACTATTACAATTAAGTGCTATTTATACAGTGCTTCTCTAGTATACACTGAAGTAAGTTTTCAACATTTAAAAGATATAATTTTTACTTATGTTTTGATAGTTTTTATTACCTTTCTGTTTAATTTCATAAGTGTTTTTTCTTGACTTTCTTTTTTTGTGTGTTTATTTGCATGCCTTCAATTTCTGTTGCTTTCAAAAGACCAAAGGGAATAGAAGAGGGAGGGAAAGAAGGGGATAAGCATGAAGAGATAGTTCATGAGAAGGAAGAGGTAAAGGAAGAAAGAATTAATGAGAATGAGAAAGGGAAAGAGATTGCCAAAACGTGTAATAAGGAGAAAAACAGAGAATCAGGAGACGAGGAAAAAACACAAGATATACACGAGCAAGGGAAAGAAAAAGAACAGTGGAATAAAGAGGATTTGCAAAGGAGATTCTCACAAGATGATACCAGGTAAAATATGTTATTTGTAGGCATTTCCCATTAGTAATGTAGTCTTTTTTACCATTCCTAAAAATTATTTTGCCATTTCCATTTGCTTTATTTTCTTGTGTTTTATCTATTTAGCTTCTAATATTACTAATTAATATGTTGGCAAACTATTATCAAATAGATTGATTTATTAAACAGTCTTGAATTTGTATCCACTAGCTCTGAGAGTCTGATTTATTTGGTTACCAAGTTCGTTATGAGTAGCTGAATCCAATGTAAATTTCCCTGTGTCTCTTTTAACATGAATTACTGTATATCTTCTTTATCTGTAAGGTCTAATAAAGATCATTGAAAAGAGAAACTTGAAAATTCTTTACCAATATTGAAAACTGCTTCAGACAAAAATAAGGCAGAGTTCTTTAAAATTAACTTCTGAAGTGGCTGAAAAAAATTGAGCTTACTTTACAAGAAATATTATTTCCTGGAAACAAACTTCAAAAATGAATGAGAAAACAGGTAGCAAATAGTAGACTTTATTCTGGCTCTGGTTCCCTTGCTTCTTCTTAGTTTTCTGGTAGGTTCTAGTGCAGTTTGAGTCCTGCAGAAGATTACAAAGCAGGAGCAATGTTTTTTAATACTCTGAAAAGAAAGAATAGATGCCTTAGGGTTTATTAGAAGGCAAGTGTTGGTTATGCCTTTCTTAAACTCAATCCATTAGATAAACTTCTGGAGAGGGAACTTTGAACAGGGAGAAGGGCAGGGAAAAAATACAGGCAGCATGGCATAAAAACAACTATATTTTAATTTTCATAGCACAAGTCAGTAAGTAAGTATGAAGCTATCTTTACAGTATTATATATATTACATACAGTCAAATTAGCACGAATGTGCAGTCAGACTTTATCCTTCTGCTTGAGGATATGACGTTATTCTAATTACATTTATATGAGACTGAAAATTGTAAATTATGTACATTTTGGAGGGATGGAGTTTTCTAGTAGTCCAGAATTTGATTTTGTGTTAGTACAAAGCCTGCTCAATAAAAGCACGCCTTATTTATAAGCAAGATTTTGCCTTATTATATCTAAGCCCAATCTAAAATTGTGCTTTTCTCACTTTTCTCACAGTGAGACAGATATTCGGGATAGAACTCTACCCATTGAGTATACAATTCAGTGATTTAGCCGATGTCCCTTCCCTTGTTATCTTAGATATATTTAACTGTATTTGTGCTCTATGAAAGTTTCTGTATAACAGGCATTAAACATAAAAATGAATCTTAAGGCATATTTTATTATTTGAATCTAAATTAGTAATTTCAAATCTGTCTTTGGTATTTAACTTTTGATAATTACATTGGTTTACTAATAAAGATGACCATTTTTCTGATTTGTTGGGCATAGGATAATTTCATCACTAATTCACAGAGAAAAGCTTTCCAAGGTGTCCTTGGAAAGATACATAGAGTTTCCTTTCTTCCAGGAGCAAAGAAAAGAATGAGTCTCTAATGTGTTTTCTACATACTGTATACATGAGAACACATGAGCCCATTGGTGTTTGCCTGGAGCCCAGATCCCACGCTGCCATACCTGGCTTGCTAGGCAGAGATTCAGAGAAGACTATAACCTTAAGTTTCTGGTTTTTAAATAGTACTTGCTTCATTATTTTTTCAAAAAAAGAGCACATTATTTTTCAAGGAAAAGGGAAAGATGGTACATTCTAGAAATGTGGTTGATCAAAGCACTACACTTAGCTTAAGTAACTGTGTAATACTTCTGGAACTGTAAACTAGAGGAGGCCAGGTTGATCTCTGTAGGGAACATATATCCTGGAACATGCCAAGAAGTATCAACGGCAATTGCTTATAAGAAAATGTTGGGGCCGGGTGCGATGGCTCACGCCTGTAATCCCAGCACTTTGGGAGTCTGAGGTGGGAGGATCACGAGGTCAGGAGATCAAGACCATCCTGGCCAACGTGGTGAAACCCCATCTCTACTAAAAGTACAAAAATTAGCTGGGCGTGGTGGTGTGCGCCCATAGTCCCAGCTACTCGGGAGGCTGAGGTGGGAGAATCGCTTGAACCCAGGAGGTGGAGGTTGCAGTGAGCCGAGATCATGCCACTGCAATCCAGCCTGGTGACAGAGCGAGACTCCATCCGCCCCCCACCAAAAAAAAAAAAAGAAAAAGAAAAAGAAAATGTTGGTAGCACTCATTAATCATTTCAACATAGGCTTTTGAATTTGCTTTTACTTCTTAGAATAAATCTCAGTCTTTATTGTGAGAGAAAATATATCTGAGTATTCCAAGCATCATTTTGTTTTGGTAGTTGATAAACACAATCACAGATTGTTTAAACATTAATAACAACTTATGTTCTTATACAACATTATTGGAAATAATCTTATTCTATACTACAGGCTGAATATTCCGTATCTGAAATGTTTGAGACCAGAAGTGTTTCAGAGTTCGGATTTTTTTCAGATTTTGGAATTTTTACATATATATAATGAGATATATTGAGGATAGGATCCACGTGTAAACACTAAATTCATTTATGTTTTATAGACACCTTATACACATAGCCTGAAGGTAATTTTATCCCATATTTTTAATAATTTTGTGAATGAAACAAAGTTTGTCTGCATTGAATGATCAGAAGCAAGCAAAGACATCTGTCTCAGTCACTCATGTGCACAGTCTGTGGTTGTTTGGCATCATATCATTTCTGACTCTGAATTTCTATGCTCCCAACCAGTAGTCACTTTCTTGCACTTATTAACACATAAGTACTTAACAGTAAAAAATATGACAAACTATTAATACAGTGAAAAGGTAATGTGTTCAGGGAACTAAGCAGCATAGTAGCATCACCAGAACACCTATATCAGCAGTTAAGCAATAGCAAAAAAAAAAAAAACAATGACAAGCTTTCAGTTTCTCCCTACAATGTTGTGTTTTGATTTAAAGGTTACTGTGCATTGTGGCACTCAGAAAGTTTTGGATTTTGGAGCAGTTAGGATTTTGGATTTTCAAATTAGGGAATGCTCAACCTATATATGATTGACATTTTATATCTTTTATTTGAAATCTAAGTTTTATGAAGCATGGTCCAAAAGTAATTGCGGCTTTTGCCATTACTTTTAATGGCCATTACTTTTAATGCCATTAATTTTAATGGCAGAAGCCACAACTACTTTTACACCAACCTAATATGAAGGAAAAAAAAATTTACCTCAGAGTTTAACATTTATAGCAATGCTAGTACTTACAATTAACACAGTAACTAAAATAAACAGAAGCCATTATAATTGCTATTTTCGTTAATTAGATCTAATTGTATGATACAGATCTTACTGCATGATTATGTTCATTTTATAGTAAGTCACATTTAGTAAGTCTACTGAATGTAAAAGTAGAAATGAATAGCAAAAAGTAAGTTCAAAAATAGTTTGTTAAATGTTTGAATATAATATTTTTCCTAAGTTAATTAATGAGTAATATATTTATACTTAGCTATATTTACACACACATCAAAAATAAAAATTTAAAAAGTTTAATGAAATTAAACATGTTAAAATTTCTAAGCCTGAGAGTGATGCAGTTTCTTAGCCATGTGTGGATGGATGTTTGAGGATAGTTCCATATTAAAATGTCATCGGGATGGCCTCAACAAATTCATAAGAATATTTGATGAAATATTCAGAGAGAGGCAATCTTAAGTAATTTGTAATGGAAGATAGAAAAAACAAATACTGAAAAGCATAGTATTGTCAAAAGCAACAATGTTGGTAATTTTGTGTTCAAACTAAAAATCAAGAAATTATTTCTCTATACACTTATGGTTCTCAGGCATATCTATAAATGCTATGGAATTATCATTGCTCTTTTTTAAGAGAATTGCTCTTTTTGAGATAGAGACTTTTTTAAGGAAAAATTTGGGGCATCAGTTCAAATTTTCATGAATAACTGATTTTAAGAGACTTAGCCATTTCAATTATCTAGCAAAAGATCTCATAATCTTTAGAAGGACAAGCAGAATAATTGTTAATGAAACATTTATTCAAAGTCACTGCTGCTAACATATTCTAGATCAGAGTTAGTGTGAAAACAGATTACATAGCTATGTGATATAACTTGATATATACAGTCTATTTATGCCTATATTATGGAATTTTAAAGGGGAAGCAGAGGTCTTTTGAAAATAGTTGTGATTAGGACTCTAAAATACCAGCATTGTCATCCTGACTGTTGTGTACACCTATCTATTTTGTCTATCTAGGCTTTTTAGCTTGTTAAACAGAGGAATGGATTTTTCAATGATTCACGCACCTTTCCATAGCTTAGATGATAGTATGCAACAAACAGGAAAGTGAGCATTGCCTGTTATTCTGATGATTTGCCTTTATTATCATAAATTTGAGGTAATTGGTTCTGTGACTGACCACTGGTACAACAAACAGCTGAACATAAGTTTCTACTATTTGGCAGATGTTTCCAGACAGTATTTAATATTCCATTCCAATATTCCATCAAGCTTAGTTTTTTGTTTTGTTTTGTTTTTAATTTTCTGGAAGTGTGTTTCAGTGCCAACTCATCACAGAGGGTATGATGGGCTGTGCTCCTCCACCAAGTATTACCTGTGGCTTGTATTTTCTTTTTTGTTGTTGTTTTCTTCTTTATCACCAAGGCTATCTTCTATTTATTACCAATGAAAACCTTATAAGCCCAAATAACTTCTACTCTGTTTTATGATTGTGCATAACACTCAACTGGGAACTTTTTGAAAGTACTTGAACATCACTCCTAAAGTTGTGATTCTGCATTTTTAAAACACCACAGGTGATTATGATGCCAGTGGTGTGTAGGTGCTATTCCTCCTCTCTTTTGGGTTGCTTGTATTTCCTACTGAAATTTCAGTTCAGCTTGTCAATTCAGGGGGAAAATTTCTGGGATTTTGATAGAGATTGTGTTCAGTTAGATCAATTTCAGGATTGTTGCCATTTTAAGAATATTAAGTCTTCTAATCCATGAGCACAAAATGTTGTTCCATTTATTTTTTCTTTATTTTTCTGCCCCATATGATCGGCAGAAAACATTTATTTTTTCTTTACTTTCTTTTTTTTTTTGAGACAGCATCTCACTGTGTTGCCCAGGCTGGAGTACAGTGGTGCAATCATGGCTCACTGCAGCCTCTGTCTCCCCAGGCTCAGGTGATCCTCCCACCTCAGCCTCCTGAATAGTTGTGACTACAGGGTCACGCCATCACACCCAGCTAATTTTTTAAAAATTTTTTGTAGCGACGGGGTTTGGCCATGTTGCCTGGGCTGGTTTCGAACCCCTGGGCTCAAGCAATCCTCCCTACTCAGCCTCCCAAAGGGCTGGGATTATGGGTGTAAGCCACCATACCCAGCTTCTTTATTTTCTTGCAATGATGTTTTGTAGTTTTCAGTATATACATCTTTTACTTCTTTTGTTAAATTTATTCTGAGTATTTTGTTTAGATGCTATTGTAAATGGAATTGTTTCATTACTTTCATTTTTAATTGTTCATTGCTAGTGTATAGAAATACAATTAATTTTTGTATGTTGATCTTATATCCTTGCTGTACTCATTTTTTAGCTGTAATAGTTTTTTGTTGATTCCTTAGAATTTTCTATATAGGAGATCATGTCACCTGCATTTAAAGATAGTTTTACTTTCTCTTTCAATCTGAATCCCTTTTATTTCTTTTTCTTGCCTCATGAATCTCCTCTGCTATGTTGGTTAACTTATGGCTAGAACCTCCTCTACTATGTTGGGTAGAAGAGGCTCATGGAAAGTTCTTAAAGAAACAGCAATAGCCATATAGAATTACTTTTACATTAGCTATCCAAGCATTTTTGAGGATATTGTTTCTTATGCTACTCATCCATTTTAGAATAGTCTAGGTAAAACTTTAAGATTTTATTATTATCTCTCTTAAAGAACGGATATAGCTGCCTTACTGATAAGAAAACAATGTAGCCCATTGTATTTTCTTTTTTATCTAGTCTGTTGGCAAGTTCAAGTGAAATGCCAAAAACATACTAATCCCATTCAATTTCCTGTTATATATATATTATATATTATATTATATATGTAATATATAATATATATGTATTATATATGTAATATATATTATATATGTAATATATATCATATTGTATATGTTATATATTATATGTAATATATTATATATGTGATATATTATATATTATATAGTATATATGATATATTATATAGTATATATGATATATTATATAGTATATGTTATATATGATATATTACATATGTAATATATGTTATATATTATATTATATATTACATATGTAATATATGTTATATATTATATTATATATGTAATATATAATATTGCATATATTATATATGTAATATATATTTTACATATATATATTTGAGACAGGGTCTCACTCTGCTGCCCATGCTGGAGTGCAGTGGCACAATCTCGGCTCGCTGCAACTTCCGTCACCCGGGTTCAAACAGTTCTCCTGCCTCAGCCTCCCAAGTAGCTGAGATTACAGGCATGTGCCACCATGCCCAGCCAATTTTTATATTTTTAGTAGAGACAGCATTTTGCCATGTTGCCCAGGGGCTGGTCTCAAACTCCTGACTTCAAGTGATCCACCCGCCTCGGCCTCCCAAAGTGCTGGGATTACAGGCATGAGCCACCGTGCCCGGCCTTCTTGGACTATATTAATTCTACTATATTAGACATAATAATTGAAATTTTTTACCATTGTCTATTTTTTATTGTACACATTTGAGGTGTAAAATGTGATGTTTTGATATGCTTATTTTGAGATACATATAGATACACACACACACACATATATATACACACACATAGCATTTACTGTAGTCAAGCAACTTAACATACCCATTGTCTCATATAGTTACCTTTCTTTCTTTTATTTTGTGTGTGTTAGGAGTACCTAAAATCTACTCTCTTGTTTGCCTCCTTTTTGAGGATTTGTTTTTCTACTTCTATTTTATTACAACTACAAGTTATTTAACTTTTTGTTACATAACTGAAATTATGTATGCTGCTAAATTTAGTTAGCAGTTTTTATATTTTATCAGGCAAACTTTATTTAGAATTTGATCTCATTGCCAATCTCTTCTTGAAACATTTTGTCTGCCCTCTTGGCTTTTATGATTGTCTGTTAGTTCTGCATACACTCTGGCCACCTCTGTCTTCTTTGTGAGCTTTCTATATGTCCTCCATGTTGACATTTTCCAGGATCCCATCCTGGGCCCTCTTTTCTTCACTATCTACACGTATTATCTTAATGCTTCATGGCTTCAATGCTTCATGGCTTCAAGTAGCATGTATGTATTGATAACTTCCAAATCTATACTTCCAGCCCAGATCTCCCTCCTAATTATCTGCCAGATCTGTCCTCCTGGGTTCTGCACATCTTCCTGTATGTCCCAGGGGCATGCTAAGCTCAGCATGTAAAATTAAATTCATTATACCCCTCACCAAACCAGCAGCCAAAATAAATAACTTACTCCTCCTTCTATACACTCAGTCTCAGTGCATGGCCTGTTATCTTTGCACCTGCTCAAACCAGAAACCTGGGCATCACTCTTGATTAGTTCTTCTCCACTGGGCACAATTTCTTCCCTCCATTCACCAAGTCTTGTTGATTCTAATGCTTAATTGCCTCTGAAATATGTTTATTTCTCCATAACCCCATTTCTCCTTCCATAACTTGAGATATTATCTCTCATGGAGATTAGTTTAATAGGAAATTCTTATCTTAAAAAATAACTTATAAATATAAACTGTATTAGTCCATTTTCATACTGCTATGAAGAAATACCTGAGACTGGATAATTTATAAAGAAAAAGAGGTTTAATTGACTCATAGTTCCACATGCCTGGGGAGGCCTCACAATCATGGAGGAAGTTCAGTGAAGGAGGAGAAAGGCACATCTTACACGGCAGCAGTCAAGAGACCATGTGCAAGGGAAATGCCCTTTATAAAACCATCAGATCTCATGAGATTTATTCACTATCACGAGAGCAGCATGGGAAAAACCCGTCCCCATGATTCAATTACCTCCCACCCAATCCCTCCAATGACACATGGGGATTATGGGAGCTATGATTCAAAATGAGGTTTGGGTGGTGACACAGCCAAACCATATAACAAGCTCATTAGGATAATAGCATAAAATATGAGTAGTCAGTTTCTCTGAAGTAGTTAATTTGTGAAAACATCAGAGAAAAAGATCTCTGCTTTGGTAAATAGGTAAACAATGTGGTATATCCATACAATGGAATATTATTCAGCTGTAAAAAGGATTGAACCACTGATTCATACTACAACATGGATGAAGCTTGCAAAACTTACGCTAAGTAAAAGAAGAAAGGCACAAAAGGCCATATATTGTATTATTTCATTTATATGAAATGTCCAGAATAGGAAAATCCTTAAAAAAAAAGTAGATTACTTGTTGCCAGGGGTTAAGGGGAAAGGAGACTGGAGAATGACTACTAATAGATACAGAATTCATTTTTGGGGTGATGAAATGTTGTCAAAATAGATAGTGGTGATAGTCACACAACTTTGTGAATGTTCTAAAAGCTACTGAATCATATACTTTAAAAGGGTGTGTTTTATCACCTGTGAATTATATGATTTTAAATGCCAAAAAATGTCTCCAGAAAAAAGTGAGGGAAGGAGAATCTATAGTCTATGTTGCTTCTTCTATAAATATGACTTTAGAGGTGATAATATGCAAACAATATTTTGTTTAGGGTTTAGTTTGTCAAGCATATTTTCTTTTATTCTAATACTCCTTCTGAGCCACCTTTCCCTAAAATATTCATCTTTTTTCTATTTTTTTCATCTGTGCGTATATTTTTAAATTTCCAGAGTGTTGAAGATGAATAAAACACAGACCTTATGCTCAAGAAAAGGTGATTTTTTTTTTCCTTTCTGTTACTGTCCAAAATTTATTCTTTGGACATAAATATAATCATTGGCCTCAAACTGTGAACTGGCTACATATTGAAGATTCTCAATTAATAATTAAATATATTATTCTCAAAAATTTAGGAAAATTACTAGGTTAAATGTTGATACGCCATCATATTATTTTCCTGTGTGGTAAACTTGAGTGTACTCATGACTTCACAGTCACTATATGGGACCCTGCAAGTGACAAATTTGAGGCTAGGTAACATACATGGTCTGAAGAGAAGGTCTATCTGAAGGTAGAGGACTGAGAAGGCAAACCTACTAGAGTAAGAACCTGAAGATGGAGGAGGAGATGGGATCAGAAACATAGCTGGATAAACTGGCTTGAAAAAGGAAAAACAAATATGAAAATAGATAAGTTATTAGATAAGGAGTTGGGAAGTTGGCTAATACTGCCTGATGGCCTTAATTTTCTCAATCACATAAGAAGTAAGAATATAAGAGTTTAAAAGTTGAGTTGGGGGTTTGAAGATTTGGAATAACTACTGAAGAAAATATGAGAAGTAGCTTACAATGGACAAATTAAAGGGTTGTTGAATAGTTCTGCAGGTTGGAGACAAACAGTTTCAAGAGACACCAGCATGAGAGAGCAGTGTGATCTTTCTCACTAGCACTGAGATAGGTAAAGTGTAGAAACAGTTAAGTCACACTATAGCATTTATTGAGGAGTGGGAGTTTTGATGGATGGGGTTGTTGGAAAAATAGCAGTAGAAAGAAACTGAGAGTGCTTGTATAAATGTCAGTGCTAAATAAGAAGGAAGACAAGTTCATGTGGGAACTGATGAAGTAGGATAAAACAGATGAAATCCAAGAATTGGAAAATTATATGATATAGTAAAAATAGGGTTCGGGGAGGTAAGAGGTTTTAGTTATAATATGTCTTTGAGGCCTGTGTGATGGCTCATGCCTGTAATCCGAGCACTTTGGAAGGCCAAGGCAGTTAAATAGCTTGACTGCAGGAATTTGAGACCAGCCTCTTCAAAAAATACAAAAATTAGCCAGGCACAGTGGTGCACACCTGTGGTCTGCTACTTGGGAGGCTGAGATGGGAGGATCCCTTTGGCTAGTGAGGCAAAGGCTGCAGTGAGCTGAGATCACACCACTGCACTCCAGCCTGGTTGACAGAGTGAGACCCTGTCTCAAGAAAAAAAAAAAAAAGAGAGAACATGTTTTTGAAATGTAAGATTTTATGTAGATGCTATTCTATTAGTTGAAATATTATATGACACAGCATTGGAGTGAATAGAGTGTAATGGAAGAGAAGATAAATATGAAGATAACTGGATTTATGTAAGTTTGGGATAATTGGGCGGTTGGTTAGGTTTTTGTAACGGCTATTTAAATCCTTTAGGATTGTGGTAAAATTGAGAATTGAAGAAAAGTCTAAGCCAGCTCTCAAGGACTTCAGTAAATGAAGGAGTGACCATTAGATACCAGAAAGGGAATAAAAGGGGTTGGGTGTCGGGAGGGGCAGAGGTATAAGTTAGCATAGCCAGTTGTCATAAACTGCAAAGAAATTTAAACTTCTAAATAAAAGTGGAAGGTAAATATTCAAGAAAAAGTATCAACTAGCCAGAAATATTACAACCTAGGAAGAAGGATAAGTATTTGTTACTAGAAAGAACCTCAGGGGAAACAGCATGTTCAAGAAAGTACCAGGTTTTAGTTAAGACAAGATAAAGGTTGGTATTGCATTGTGCATAGTGAAAAGGGTTCCACTTGCTATTGGTGTCACCACACTTTCAGGGTGATCATTTCTACTAACTGATATTATTTCTAATTCAATACCATATCTCTCTTCATTGATATGAAATTGGACATCAGTGTTAATTAAAAAAAAAAGTTTTAGGACAGAGTCTCATTTTGTCATCCAGGCTAAAGTGTAATGGTGCTATCATAGCTCACTTCAACCTTGACCTTCTGGGCTCAAGCAATCCTCCTACCTCAGTCTCCCAAGTAACTGGTACTATACAGGTACATGCCACCATGCCTGGCTAATTTTTTAAAAAAATTTAGAAGGCTGGGCATGGTGGCTCACACCTGTAATCCCAGCACTTTGGGAGGCCGAGGTGGGCAGATCATGAGCTCAGGAGATCGAGACCATCCTGGCTAACATGGTGAAACCCCATCTCCACTAAAAATACAAAAAAATTTAGCTGGGCATGGTGGCACGCACCAGTAGTCCCAGCTACTCGGGAGGCTGAGGCAGGAGAATCGCTTGAACTGGGAGGCGGAGGTTGCAGTGAGCCAAGATTGTGCCACTGCACTCCAGCCTGGGTGACAGAGAAGACTCTGCCACAAAAAAAAAAAAAAAAAAAAAAAAAAAAGAGAAAGAGAAAAGAAATGAAATGAAAAGAAATGAAAAAATTTAAGTAGAGACAATGTCTCACTATGTTACCTACCCAGACTTGTCTTGAACTCCTGGCCACAGACAGTCCTCTCACTGATGCCTCCCAGAGTGTTGGGATTATAGGCATGAGCCCCCCAGCCTAAAATTCATTCTCATGTCTTACATAAGTTTTAAGAGACTTTTACAGTTTTACTTTGTAATATAGTTAGTTAGTAACTTCTATTTATTTGTATTTCTGTGATAACTGGTTATTCTATCCTTATTCAGAGATGCCTGCACAGATTAATTTTTACTGATTAATTTCATTATAGACAAAATAATAATTTAGAGTTATATACATTAAAAATGTTCATTATCATTGATTAATATATTCAACTTTTGTTTTATGGCATTACTACTATTGATTAATTTGCAGGTAAATATTATTTCTATTAACTTGTCTGCTATAGGGATAAAATGCATTTCTATGCTCTTTTCACATTTAATTTCTAACATTTTTCCCACTGATTATACATTAAGGAGTAAAATGAATTTAGTATGAAAGTAGAGAAATCATGAAATTGGAATAAATTCTACTGTATGAAATAATTACAGTAGAAAAAAATGCTGCAGTAGCTTCCATCACATTCAATATTTATTTTTAAAAGCAAATAAGGACAATTAATCTATAGCTGTTATTCAAACTAAATGCAGTATTCTGACCAGTGATTCCCTCATAATCATGTTTATCCCTCATGATAAGCAAATTTAACATACAGAAGTTCGAATTTTATAGATATAGTAAAAGAAAAAGTTTGAAATAAAATAACTTTCATGCATGAGTATTATTGTTAGATGCCATAACATCAGTATAGTGTGGTACTATAGTATGACTTTATTTTCAAATTCTGATTCTCCATACAGAAAAAATGGAATCTAATCTTCAGGATACAAAAGTGAAAAAAAAAATCCAAGAACACCTGGCCTGAGACTTTAGGATTTTAAGGAAGAAACAATTCCAGTCTTTATTTTTTAGCCATATCTTGACTTCAACCCTTTGCACTTCTCCTTGACCCTTCTCTTTCCAGGATCTTGTCTTTGTTCCTTGCACGTATGTTCACGTTGACTCTTCTACCTGAAATGTGGCTTCTGGTTTCTTTTTGAGTAAAGTACCTACTCATCCTTCACCACTCAACTCACATGTGAATTCTTCCATGACGTACCTTCTCTTCTCTTCACAGCTTATATATAATGTTCTTTTAAAATAATAGTTTCTCTTGTGATACCCATTTTCTCCCCTGTGATAGTTTTTTAAGTATATATTTAATCTATCATGGTTGATTAGTTGAGTATAGTATATCTATCATTTTTATCTTTTTATTTTTCTGCCTCCCAGTATCTACAATATTTCATACATAGTAGGGACTCAATAAAACTTTGTATATGAATAAATTAGATTGCAACAAAACAGTGAAAGTTTACACATGTGAAGAGCTCCAAAGGAATAGAGCTTCCAACATAGTACTTCTAACATAGTGCAATATCCAATATGCTAGTCACAGTCTTCTTTGACAAAAGTTTTTAAATAGTCCAGGACAGGCTGGTATTGGTGGCTCACGCATGTAATCCTAGCTCTTTGGGAGGCCAAGGCAAGAGGATTGCTTGAGCCCAGCAGTTCAAGACCATCCTGGGCAACACAGCAAGACTCCATCTCTACAAAAACTTTAAAAAAATTACCCTGTGATGGCACATGCCAAGGCTGAGGGAGGAGGATAGCTTGAGCTCAGAAGTTCAAGCCTGCAGTTAGCCATGATCAAACCGTTGCATTCCAGTCTGGGCAACAGAGAGAGATCCTGTCTCAATAAATAATAAATAAATAGTCCAGGTGGTCTTTCCCCTGCCCCCCCCCCACAATGGAAATAAACTACTATTTCAGAAATCAGTGGAAATTACTTCATAATAATGTATTTCATGGCTCATATGTATTCCATTTAGGAACAATTTGGTTGGTTGGTTGGTTGATTTACTGATATATGATGAATAGTCATTTCCCTCATCTTTTCATCTTTCAAAAGAATTCTCTTTACACTTTTCTTTTGGGGCATATTCAAAGATTGGCATGAGTTTGCTTAATGTTTAAATTCTAATGGTATCTTTTGTTATTTTTTCTTTTTTTTATTTAAGAGACAAGGGTCTTGTTTTATCATCCAGGCTGTATCATATCTCACTGCATGATCATATCTCACTGCATGATCATATGATTACTGCATGCCATATGATATGGCATGATCATATCTCACTGCAGCCTCCAAATTCTTGGCTCAAGAGATCTTCCTGCCTCAGCCTCCCAAGTAGCTAGGACTACAGGCATGCACCACCACACCTGGCTATTTTTTTTTTAATTTTCATTTCTGTAGAGATGGGATTTTGCTGCGTGCCCAGGCTGGTCTCAAACTCCTGTCCTCAAATGATCCTTCCACCTTGGCCCCCCAGAGTGCTTGGATTACAGGCATAAGCCACCATACCCAGCCTTTTGTTACCTTTTCTTATGGTTTTCTCCCACTCTTGTTAGATTTCATGCAGGATTTTTAGATATAATGTAATTATCATTTGGAGATGGCAAAAATAAGAAAATTTGTAGAATTAGTCTTCTGGGACTTTCTATGAAAATATTTTGAGTAGATATATAGTTGTCTGAAGACCACTATGTATTTTCTAGATAGTCTATTATTTACTCAGCTTTCTTTTACTATTTCTGTATACCACAGAGTATGAATTGCTACCTTATATGGTACACCTGTCATATATAGAGACTTAGAGTTCTGATCTGGCACCTTGAGGATTAGACTGGCTTGCTTTGCTAAGCTGTGAATGAGAACTTGATGCCATGAACACTGACTCATAGTAAGCATACAATGAGTCTTCATCACTTTTCATCATCCACATTTTTAGTATAAGAAATAATGCTGCCTGTAATCCCAGCACTTTGGGAGGCCGAGGCGGACAGATCAATAGGTCAGGAGATCGAGACCATCTTGGCTAACATGGTGAAACCCTGTCTCTACTAAAAATACAAAAAATTAGCCGGGCGTGGTGGTGAGCACCTGTAGACCCAGCTACTCCGGAGGCCGAGGCAGGAGAATGGCATGAACCTGGGAGGTGGAGCTTGCAGTGAGCCGAGATGGCACCATTGCACTCCAGCCTGGGCGACAGAGTGAGACTCTGTCTCAAAAAAAAAAAAAAAAAAAAAGAAATAATGCTCTAAGTCCCCCAAAAACATGCATGAGAGGTAATATAGCATAATGATTAAAAGTTAGCTCTGGATTCAGACAGAACTTGATTGAGTCCTTGTTCTGCCAGTTTCTAACAATATAAACTTGGGAAAATAAAAGCCACTCTCTTCACATACTGGGGATAATAATAGTAATTTTTTTAGAGGGTTGTCATGAGAACTCAACGCAGTAATGCCCTCAAGGCACTTAACACTTTCTGGCACATGACAAGCATTTCATAAATAGTAGAGATGGGTTTAAAAAAAGAAAGGAATCGGAAAGAGGAAAAGTAAATTTATAAAATTCTCACTTTTTTAGCTTTTTAGAACTGCATATTCCATAGAAACTTTCCTCACACTTTTCCACATGACAATTCAGAATAGGATAGATCCATTTTGCATTTCATACAAGATAAAATATTTTCTGAAGTACCAAAAGATTTCATTATAATTTCACAAAGTAATAGGGTAGAGATTGTGGACAATGTTTATAAGGTTTGTTTCATAGTTTGATATGGTTGACCTTTAGTGGTTATGGAATTAAAATTATTTTATTTCTTAAATTGCCTTCATTTTATTCAGCAAATAATTTTTAACATCTATGTGCTAGACCCTGTGCCAAAATAGGGAAAATAGTTGTTAACAAAACCTATCCCTTTCCTCAAAGAGCTTATTTTCTAGAGGGGAGATGGATAAGTGTACAAATGATTACAATATAGAATAAAAAGTATAAAAAGTAATTAGATTGATTTGAAAATAATAGTTCCCATTGGTAAAGCATTTTATAAGCCACTTAAATTTCACTTAAAGCTCTCTTTGAAGCTCAGATTGATGGAAAACTGATGTTATAAGAGGTGATCTAAATTGCCCAGTATTACATAAGTGTCAAAGTAGTGATAAAAATTATACCGTATGTAACCAAAGTTCAGGGTTCCTTCCACTTCACTGCAGAATACCTTTTGAAGACATAAACTGTGACAAGAAAAGATAAGTGAAACTCTTTCAGCCTTATATAAGGCAGAAAAACATTCTCAAAAGAAAATCTATAATTTCTTGCTGCCTCTAACCATTAAAAAGTCTTTTTCTGAATTAATAGCTTAAGAACATATTTGAGAAGCTTAAACAGTTTTTCTTATCCTTGATCCAAACCAAGCATAAGGTTTTTAAACTGTAAAAAATACAGTAATTAAAACATTACATATTATTTTGCACATGAGTCCCATGGGTTCTCTTGTTAAGTCTTTTTAAAATATTCCAGCTATGTGAATCTGAGAGGACATTTAGCTAAAATCAGTCAACAAGATAAGAATATGAGCTATGAATACTTAGAAATATAAAATTGAATCTTTTAAATCAGTGCTTTTCAAGTGTATTTTCAGAAAGTTAATCCCCTGCACTGATGCTTTAAAAAAATTATTCCACTATCAAATAAATTTGGGAACTACTACACATACAGTCCTTCTCATCAACATTCACAGCATACCTGAACACTCTGAGATGCACTATAATAAAGTTGTATTTAAACCAGCATTTTCCAAACTTTGTTTATAGTGGAACTATTTTAGTGTAATACTTTCAGAGTCATTCAGGGAATGTGCTTAAAACTCATTGACATGCTTTAATTTTCCATTTCAAACTTTGGCCTCTATTCTTTCAGTAAAATAAATATTTTTATTCTTGTTGAGTTTAAGCATAAAATTATGGTACAAAATATGGGGTTGTCTAGAAAAAACTCACTGTAGGGATTGATATTATCTCTAAAAAAGCTGACAGATGGAACTAGCAAATGAATTGTAAAATCAAGTAAGGATTAACAAATCCAGTAAAGAGGAAAAATGTTATCCAAGGAATACAAGATGAGATTTATCTCTCAAGCAATGACACTAATAGAGGGAATATAAAAATAGTTTCTATAGTTCAATAAATATTATGAGAATTGATCATTTTTGCTGACTTCCCAAATATATTTTAAAAATTCAGTCTGTCTGTTGTTTGGGGAATCACTTCAAACAAAGCAGTTAAGCCACAGTATAAAGAGATGGAATTGACAAGTGGCTCATTTTCTTTTTGTGCGTTTGTTTGTTTTTGAGACAGAGTCTCACTCTGTCATCCAGGCTGGAGTGCAGTGGTGCGATCTCAGCTCACTGCAACCTCTGCCTCACAGGTTCAAGTGATTCTCCTGCCTCAGCCTCTCCAGTAGCTGGGACTACAGGTGCCTGCCACCACGTCCGGCTACTTTTTGTATTTTTAATAGAGATGGGGTTTCACCGTGTTGGCCAGGATGGTCTCCATCTCTTGACCGCGTGATCCACCTGCCTCAGCCTACCAAACTGCTGGGATTACAGGCATGAGCCACCGCACCCGGCCTCCCATTGGCTATCTGTCTGTCTTTTTCTATGCTTCCAACAATACGTTGGCTTGGAAACATTAGCTGTAATAAAGGAGGTTACAGCTCTAGAACTCCCTTTTATGTCATATATACATGTGTGCATGCATGCATATGTGTGTCTATGTATACATGTGTATATACCATGCTCTAATCTAGCGCATGCTTAGAAGACTCTCTCCCAGTTTCCCTCTTTATGAATTGCTCTATCCTATTCTTGCCATAATGTCTGTTTATTTCTCTCCTCCTCATTTTCATTTCCAGGTTGGTTTTACATTGTTATTTAATGATTATGAGTCCATTATTCCCATATCTAATATTTCAACACATCATTAAAGTTTCCTATTTCCACTATTAATTGGAATATACCCTCTTCATTAAAAGAATTAATTTTACATATTACACAAAATGAGCAAATTCCCTTATATTTGTCAAATAAAATATTCAAGGTCAATCAATGTAATAACGAGTGAATGTTATAAGGAGATATTTAGAGACTTCTGTTAAGATAAAATATTGCTACCTCATTTCCTGTTATACTTTCAGAGTCTTCACCATTTTATTTTAATCATGATTTTAACAAATAATAATGTTGATATCTCATTTGTAGGGTGCTTTTCTGGCTAAAAACTGATTTTATAGCTCATGCATATGTAATATATGTATATATTTATGTATAACATATGGCATTCCTATACTATATAGATATATTTCTATATAATACCTACATACGTATATGATATATACATACATACATGATATATGTATGTGTCATGGGATGTTAACCGTAAACTTGAGAGACTGACAGACCAGATTTTATTATTTACATTCTGAGATGAGGATTCTCCTGGTTTAAGATTCTGTTGCTGCTCTAACTAAATAAATTTAGAATTTAGGTTCAATCTGTATAAATGATTATAACTACAAAAGAAAAAGAACTTGTGTTTCAGGCATGCTTCTTTCAGAGAACAATATTTAGGGCATACTGAAATTTTAGGTTCATGGGAGCAAAGTCTTCATCTGTTGTGAGCACTGCTGTATCCCCAGTGCCTAGAACACTGCCTAGCACAGCACAGGTCCTCAGCAAATACCTGTTGAAGGATGAATGAGTCCCTATTTCAGTCGTTTTTAAAACTGCAGTTTTTCATTAAAACTACTGAACTCAGACAATAAATGAGAAAGATAATTCTAAAAATCAAATTTTAAATATCAAAGTATTAGGTAAAATTTAGTGCCCTTTTCATTAATCCTTTAACTGTTATGAAATATAATCATCATGTTCCTTTTGTTCATACTTTTCTGCTAATGGTTCATTCTTAAAATTGTAACATAGTACTTCTCTTTCATAATTAGATTATAATATCCAGAAAACCATAGGCCATCATTGGAAAGGACTTTAGAAGTTAACTATCTAGTACCCTGAACTAAACTAGGACTCTTCCTATGTCAGTGGTTGTCAAATCAGGCTCATAAACAAAACACTGGGGGAGCTTTTTAAAAACATAAATTTTCTGGCCTTGACATGAGAATTCTATTCCAGTTTGTATCTAAATGTGATGAATGCTCTAACGCTATACGATATCACTAATAGTTGATTGTCCAATCTGCTTGAACAGTTGAGAGCCCTCTACCTTATGAGGCAGTTCATATTCTTGGACATTTGTAATTATTATAAAGATTTTTCCCAATTGGGCCAAATCCTACCTGCCTATAACTTCTTTAAAGGAGACTGCTCTTTACTTGGGAGATGATTAGAAAGATATTAATTTTAAAATTATCTTTTGATTGAGCATATATCTTACGCATTTCTGTATTTATGATATGTTTCACGGTTCTTAAAACATGAAAACAGGACTGGAAGAAAGAATTGCATCAGGGACTATCATTTTGGAATTGGCTCTAGTTATGCTTTAACCCACTGACTATATATATAAAGTAACTAGTGGATTACATACATATATATATCATATATATACATATAATATGTACATATAGTTCTACTTTTATTAGTATAATTCTTCATTTTTTCATAGAGCTTTTATGCTCCAGCCCTAGACTGCTGATCCCAAATTATGTTTTTTTTCAAATAGAACAGGCTACTCCCCCTATCAAATTTTGCTGAGTGCCACAAGAAGATATGTAAACAATTCAGTTATTTTTTTAAATCCAGTTTTCAGTCTTTCTACCACATTATAAGGTTAGATAATGGATTAATGGCATACAAAAAAATAACCACAAATAAGGAAACTGTCTTTTCATAATCTATTTTGTAGATATTTTCTTTTAATGTGGGTTGAATAGTTAAAATGAATACATTTAGATAATTAAAGACCTGAATTTGTCTCTGACAAATAAATTGTTCTGATATTAGAATTCCTAATTTTTGTCAATGTTATTTGAACTGAAAAGTAATTTTCATGTTCTCTAAATGTGTTTAAAATACTTTTACTGTTATTTTAAAATTATTATTTACCTTTAAGATAAAAACAACACCTAAGAGAAATTCTATTTTGGCATTTTAAATAATATTCATTTCTGCATTAAGGGTTTGTCATATTCCATTTTTATCTGCATTTCACTTGCTATATACTAGTTTCTCGATTTGTGGTTATTACACAATTTGGTATTAAATCAGTACATAATGCATTCATCTTGTATTGAAAGATTGGTTTGCCTTTAGTGCAATTTAAAAACATTGTCAGTTTGTTGTTACTATATGGAAACACAGAAAAAAGGAAGATGACAGTTAAAGAAGAGAACAAAAAGATGTTGAAAGGATTAGGTACTACTATTTTCCTTAAGGAATATATAAATTATACTATAAAGCATTTTATTAATCTTTCCATTGTATTAAATAACAGTAGTATTTAAACCCATTAGAAATTTGTTCGTAAATGTTAATCATTAATATTTCTGTTAGCCAAAGTAAGATTCTAGGAACTACATCACTGACTTTGAAAAATCTGGCAATTGCCTTTTTTTTTGTATTGATGGATTAGATATTCATGTCTTAATTATTAGCATAGTTGCTGCAGAAATGACAGATTAAAATATCAATATGCTTACAGTATTTTTATTCAATTTTTATAATCATTTAAGTTTTTCATCTACATTAATGTATAAGCTTTAATAACTAATTTTTTAATTTTTAAGCTTTAATAACTTTTCAAGCTTACATTGAAGGATTGCAAATATTTAACTCTAATAAATATAAGAACACGTGCAAGTCAATATTTCTTTGTAAATTGAAAATAACTAGATGCATTGTCTCAGAATATTACTGCATAATAGTTTATAATAATTATTCTGTAGTAACAAAATGTAAGAGTACTGATCTGAAGCTTAAGATTATAAATGTATTTCAGTTTGCATTCAATTTATTATAAACCCTAAAATGAAATGTTAATAATGTTGATTAAATTCTTAAACTTTCAGCAAAATAAATTGCATAGGAATAACAGCTGCCTTTCGCTTTTTTAAATTTCAGAAATAGTTGTTTATTCAATGAGGCGTTTTGTTCATTAAGTGTAGTTTCTTCAGTGCTAGCTTGACAATAGCATGCTTGATGTCTTTACTGAATCATTAAATATTTATGGTTCTAGTATTTGCATACTTATAATGAGAATTACATGCAGTAAAACGATCTTTGAAATGGTTCAGTGAGGAGGGAAGGATTTTTTTTTTACCATTTATTATAAACTAAATCTTTAATTATTTTTAACAATATGGGAACACTTACTTAGTAAATCTGGCATTAGCCAACTAGAAGTAAACTGACTAGAATTTTTATTAATCATGTTTTACCAGAAATAGGAAAGTGAACATAGAAACTGCCTACATCAAGATAACGGATTTCTTCTTAAGGCAACTTTCACAGAATTTTCTCCAGACCATATTACATTTAATTTCCTGGGACTCCTACAGTTACAGTGATATAGTAGTGGACTGGGGAACTCAAACTTAAAGACCTAAAGGGGCCAAGCAGGTAATATAAGTGATTGAAGTAAGTCAGGCTTAAGAACTTGGTAGTGTTGGGAATGGTGGTGAGCTGGAGAATGTATGCACCCATTAAAGGGGGAAAGTGCTGTTCCCCTTAAGCTAGTTATTGACATGCAGCAGTATTGACAGATCTGCTGTTTCAGGAGATCAGAAACCCTAATTCTTATGTTATCTTTGTAAACAACTCTTTTGGCCAAAGAGAGTATATCAGTGGGCCAGATCTAATGGATGGGCCACCAGTTTGCAGCTACAGTAGTAATTGTTGGAATGATGATCCTCAATGACAAAAATTGCTGAACAATCAAAAAGGGAATAAATCATGTTCTTCATTTTGTTATTTCTAAGTCAGAAACTGCTCATATGTTTTAGAACAGTCTTTAGTAATATGAATAAAAGTTAACCAGAAGATTGCATTTCTAAAGTATTCCTGTTAATGAAGGTTTGGTGGTTAATAATTTCACTGTACTCATGTGTGTACATGTATGTGTTAAAAGTAAATTAAACTCTGACTCTGCCTCATTTTTCTCAGATAACAAGCAAAATAATAGGATGTTCTATAAATTGTGTAGAATACTATTAATCCATGGTATTTCACAGGTATGAAAAGAAATATTGTAATGGATTTTAAGTCTCCAGAAGTAGAGCTAATTATAGAAATGTTAAATATGTATAAATAAATTATCTTGCCCCATGTGGAAATTATGTTTTCTATTTTTTATAATATGACCACCTAGATTAAGGAGAAATTAAATTAAGCTTTATTGATATTGCTAGAAAATGGAAAACAGTTAAATCTGTTCTGAAATGGTTTTAATAAAAGCAACTCTTTAAAATGCAAAATTATATTATTGATTGATTTAGGATTTACATTTGTATGAAGTGAGTTAGGCTGAGTTTTGTACCTTCAGCTAGTAGTTTTAAAACTTGGGAGATACTATAAAATTTACCATGAAAGATGATGGTTTCAATTTTGTTTTTAAACCTGATAAAATGTGTCTGAAACCAAAAGAGGATGACATGATTATATTTATAAGAATAATTTGGAAAGGTAGATAAGATGTCTTTAAAAAAACATATTTCTTTATCAGTCTAACTTAAGTATAAATGGTAATTATAATTACTTCTCAGATTTGTTTTTTAATGATAAAGAGCTTTTCTTATCACTCTAAGTATAATAAAGTACATATTGCATGAATTTGGAATAATTCTGCATACACTGAGTAACATCAATAACTATTCATTGGAAATCTGTTGACAGCTTTGTCATTCTTTTTTTCTAATCTAGTAGCTCGTAAATTTATTTGTATAAGATTAATTCAGTTTTGCTTAAAATTCATCACACTTGGTGGGCCCAGTGACACTCACCTATAATCCCAGCCAATCAGGAAACTGAGGCAGGAGGATCACTGGAACCCAAGAGTTTGAGTCCAGTGTGGGCAACACAGCAAAATCCCCATCTCAAAATAAAACAAAACAAAATTTATCACTTTGCATATATTAATAGTTTTAATTACGTCAATAATATAGCTGAGCACAGTGTGTATTTTAGCATGTACTTCTGTAAGTTTTGGATATCTTATAATCTAATGTATTCACACAGGACTATAGTTTTAAGGTAATGGACTTTAAAATTTATATAAGAATATATACCTTTGAAATAAATTTCCTTTTTTTTTTTTAATAGAAGCAAGGTCTTGCTCTGCCAGCCAGGCTGTAGCACAGTAGCACCACCATAGCTCACTGCAGCCTCAAACTCCTGTGCTTGTGCCACCATGCCTGGCTAACTTTTAAATATTTTATAGTGATGGTATCTCTCTCTGTTTTCCAGGCTGGTCTTGAAATCCTGGCCTCAAGCAATCCCCCCTTCCTGGGCCTCCCAAAGTGCTGGGATTACAGGCATGACCTACCACACCTAGCCAAAAATTTATCTTTAAAATTTTCCAGGGAATGTAATTGTGGGCAAAATAATCTTTACATTTTCTATTTGTTTATATGGAATATTGTCTTCTGCTTTATTTTATCAAAGAAACCCTAATATCTTAATGTATATATTTGGGAAATGTTGTCTTATTTCTTCTAGTACTTAGTTCTGACATGATATCTACATAGCCTTGCTAAAAATGTAGTTGTCCTTGGGCTGCCTAATAGCTGTATATATTTAAGTATTTAAATGAATAACTTAAGGCAATTCTTAAGCGTTGAATTGATTTCTTATTAGTGAGATTTATGTTATGATTACACAGATTGTTTAGAATCATATCAAGAACTTAAATAGAACTGGACAACAGTTCTGGACAGAATACGAACTTCTATTGGCATTGACAACTGAATATTTCAGCATTGCAAACAAATTATGAGAAGGGAGTAAAAATACTTCCAATAAGTAACAAAGTTCCTCATGATGATACAGGAGTTTACTTTTTTAACCCTATTTTACCTGTTTATTATAATAGATAAAATATGAAAATTTTAGAATATTTTATATAGTGTGAGATATTCTTATTACATAAAGGAAGAACTTATAAGAAGTATATAAGAATTTCTTAGGCAAAAACTCAATACCAAAGATTCTCCCAACTTCCAGTTGATAATTACCAAAATTATTGGGGTTTTTTGTTTGTTTATTTTTTGTTTTTTTGTTTTTTTGTTTTTTTTTTTTTTGAGACAGGGTCTTGTTCTGTCGCCCAGGCTGGAGTGTAGTGGCGCAATCTCAGCTCACTGCAGCCTCCATCTCCCAGGTTCAAGCAATTCTTTTGCCTCCCAGTATTACAAGTCCAAGTGCTTCAGCCTCCCAGGATTACAGGCATGTGCCAGTTTGTATTTTTAGTGGAGATGGGGTTTCACCATGTTGGCCAGGCTGGTCTTCAACTCCTGGCCTCAGGTGATCTGCCTGCCTCGGCCTCCCAAAGTGCTGGGATTATAGCCATGAGCCACCGGGCCCGACCAAAATTCTTAAGTTTTCATGGTGTTTTAGTCACCTCAGGCTGCTATAACAAATTGACTGGGTGGTTTAAAAAAGAGAAATTTATTTTTCACGGTTCTGGGAGGCTTGTGCCAGCATTGTGGGATTCTGGTGAAAGCACTCTTCCTAGTTTGCAGATGGCTGTCTTTTCGTTGTGTCTTCACGTGGCAGAAATCAGAGAAAGGGAAAGCAAGGTCTTTCTTGCCCCTTCTAATAGGAGCAGTAATCCCATCATGAGGGCTCCACCCTTATGACCTAATTACCTCCCAAAGGGCTCATCTCCAGATACTGTCATATTGGGGATTTATGGTATCACCAGGAATTTTTGAGGGACACAAATGTTCAGCATATGTGTCCGGGCACGGACACGTACAAATTTAGGCCAGGCGTGGTGGCTCAGGCCTGTAATCCCAGCACTTTGAGAGGCCGAGGCGGGCGGATCATGAAGTCAAGAGATCAAGACCATCCTAGCCAACATGGTAAACCCCGTCTCTACTTAAAAACAAAAAAAAAAAAAATCAAAAATTAGCTGGGCCTGGCGGCATGCACCTGTAGTCCCAGCTACTCAGGAGGCTGAGGCAGGAGAATTGCTTGAACCCGGGTGGCAGAAGTTGGCAGTGAGCCGAGATCGCGCCATTGCACTCCAGTCTGGCAAGTGAGCAAGACTCCATCTCAAAAACAAAAAAAACAAAAAAAACCCATAATTTATTGTACTTCAGGTTTTAGGCATGCTATAAATCTGGGTTTATATATATGGCAGTTAAGGAAAAATGCTTAGCAAAAGACACTTTGCCCATAAGATTGAAGAGTAAACATTTTCAAACTTAAAAATGTCACCGTATTCTCTTATTCCTAAGATAAAAGTAAGATTTTCTGAATGTTAAAATTATTATTTTTAAGTCAAAAATATGGTATTTACTTTTGTTTACTTTTAAATTTGGTTTCTGAGTATTCTCTCTGAAATAAAATTATAGTACAAATAAAGCCTGTCTTCTTTAGTAGTGTATTGTCAACTTCTACCCAACAGGGTCTATGAATCAAGTACTACCAGGCTGACGCTCCGTGAGGGCCAATTTACTATTCTTGCCTATCATATTGCTGCAGTCTCACTCAAAATAAAAGTCGTGGTAACTGAAAAATTACACTAGAACCTTCAAAAGGGACACATCTTGTTGCTTGAACAGCAAATGAAAATGCATGTATTAATAAAAGATTATTTTAGAGCTCCATTTGTACTTAAGGACAGTAAGCTACTGTATTTTTAGACAAATGTAGGGCACATTGTGAAAACACAGAGTTACTGTCCAATAAGTTTTTTAGCATATTTCCTTATGCTATAATAGAGACAGCACTGAATTGCATAGATTCTAATTTCATCTTGACTCTTAGCCCTCTGTGAAATCTGGGGCAAGTATTTTCATTTCTTCAGGCTTCAGTTTTCTCACTCATGTAGAGAGCAAACCAGATGATCTTCAAGTCTCCTCACTCATAAAACAATTAAAATCATCATAATGTTAACATTTAAGTAGCATTTAATGTAAACATTTAACATTTAAAATCCAAAGCATATGAGCTAGATCATAATTTGTAACATAGAAAAGTGAATACTTAATGCTTTTTATCCAAAAATGATATTATTATTGAATTATATTATTATTTGAACAATCTATTTAATTCCTAACATTAGTCATTGGCAATTTCTTGAAAAAGTGTCTAGTAACCTTTTCCTCTGTTTTTCTTTCACCGTTGAATAGTTTTCAGGTGTATTTCTAGACTGTGATGTTTGTGACTGTATGTTAGTAATTTCGGTATCCATCAACCAGAAATAGTAATTCATTCTCCTCAGAAGTGTGTATTGCCTTAGATTAAATAAGTAACCTGTTAGCAAAAAAAGTTAAAGGATATTTTTATTCATTATTTTGGTTCATTTTATAATACACAGTGTATGATCAAATTAAGTGATGATTTTTAACTAAAACTTCTTAGACAAGTTTTCTGGGAAAAAATGATCTTACAACAGGCAGCAACTTAGAGTATTATAAATTAAGATACAAAGAAGAGGATAAAAAAGGAAAAAAAATTAGGAGTATCACATTATTCCCTATCAAGACATAGCCAATTAATTTCATTGTCTTTGGGGTGAGAGCATTGCTTATAGGAATTTTTCTAAAAGATCCAGTTCTTTCCCTCTAGTCACCAATCCTGAAAGAAATAAACATGGGGATTAGCTAACTACTCTCTCACCTTGGCAGTATTTTACAAGAAAGTGAGCTAATTAACCTCCTTCTTTCTTTCCTTCCTTCTTCCCACACCATCTCTTCTCTTTCCTTCTTTCTCTCTCTTTTTTTTCTCTAACCATTTTTCTAGCTGCTACACATAGGCAATTATGGTACTTCGTGGTGCGATACTGAAATACATGAAAACTAGTTGTTGCCTTAAGAAGGTCAAGGCTAGTGGAGGACATGGACATTTAAATAATTATAATACAGTTATAATCACTGCTATTATAAAGATATATTCAATTGTTGAATATTCCAAAGTGATATATATTAAATAACTACTAATTCCATATTTTCATTGAGTAAGGAAGTGCAAATAAATAGGAAAGAATCTGGGGAGATACCACTTAAACCATGGTGGAACAGAGGATTTTTAAATACATTAAGGCAGAAGTTCTGAGACATGAATTTACATCCCTAATTCTGCCATATCCTAGCATGTGGTATATCATCTCAGACCGTTACCTTTTTCTTAATGGTAATATTTTGTCATGATCAGACTGTTACTATTAATCTAAATATTAATTTTAATTTGGTTTCAGTAAGGTTCCAGACTAAAGCAAAAGCAAGAAAGGGATAAGAAAGGAAAAAATACAAGACTATTACAAAGTATGTGTAAATAGGTTTTGGTATTTGATTGAGTTACTTCACTCATTTATTTAATAAATATCTTTTGAGTGCCAGGCCCTATTCTTGAGGCTTTTAATAAAATAATGGCTGAGCGAGGTGGCTCTAGCCTGTAATCCCAGCACTTTGGGAGGCCGAGATGGGAGGATCACTTGAGGTCAGGAGTTTGAGACCAGCCTGACCAACATGGTGAAACCTCGTCTCTACTAAAAATACAAAAATTAGCCAGGCGTGGTGACACACGCCTGTAATCCCAGCACTTGGGAGACTGAGGCAGGAGAATCACTTGAATCCGGAAGGCGGAGGTTGCAGTGAGCATAGATCACGCCATTGCACTCCAGCCTGGGCAACAAGAGTGAGACTCCATCTCAAAAAATAAATAAAAATAAAATAATATAATAGAATAAAGTAATGAACTAACACACAAAATCCCTGTCATCATGGAGTTTATATTCTGATGGGGGGACTGAAAAAGAAGTGCAAAATATTGGGTATAAGATGATAATAGTAGAGAAGGGTGACAGTGTGTGTCAGTCAGAGGAGATGGAAGCATTGCCTCACTTCCCAGAAAGGAGAATGTGGATTTAAATCCCAGAAGTAAGTGGAGATTTTTTTTTTGTATGTGGAGATTTAAGAGTTCTGAGCTTTGTGGGTGATTGAAATTAACAGGGATAAAGGGGATATATAATGAGATTTGCACTGGTAATCTGAAGGCTGATATTAGATGTGAAGCTGTAAGTGCTAGGGTTAGGGTAGGAGTTCGTTTTTACCTGGAGCATGCAGAGTTCTAGGGCTTAGTTCCCTCAAACATATAGGGCTGGAGGGGTGATCTTATACAAAGCAGTTCAAATTCAGGCTTCCCTCTTGACCTGAACATAGGAAGCAAAGGGAAAGAAAGAAATAGCAATGACATCAGTGCTCCTATTTTGGGTAACTATGACTATTGAAAAAAAGTTTGGGATGTCAATAGGGTTAGGAGTTTTGAGTGGATGAAGAGTAAAAGATTTTAGAAATTTTGAATTTTCATGTAAGGCCTGAAATTGGCCTGAAGCTAATTGGAGAATGGATCTGCATATTTCTATTTAGATTCATACTTAATCTGGTGAAAGGAAATGAGAACAATCTATGTTATTACTGAAATAGGTATTAACTTCATGTTTAACTTCAGCTTTTAAAATAATGGTAATTTTAAAAGACATTAATTATTCCACCTTCAGATTATTTTAAACTATTAACTCTTCAAATGTTTACATTTTCTATTACACTATGTACTTTCTGAATAGAGTACTTGACAGTCAACAAGTTATCTTTCTTCTCAGAATCCCAAGAAATATGATTCTAAAGAAAGTTTTATTGTATTGCTGAATAAAGAATGTATGATTTACCAAATGATGCTATATTTTAATATCTTAGTTTTCAATGTGCTGAAGTCATTGCATTGTTGCCGTGTTATTTTTATATAATATAATTTCCAAAAAATGCTGAATACATTAGACTGAAGTCAAATGACATTTTTAGACAAAGAAAAATTTGCATTTGAAAATGGAAGTGTGGAGATTTTTGCCATTTTAAGGGAGATATTTAATTATTGTTTATAAAATATGGTATAATGCTAACTTTCACTCAGTATGTGTATATTTTTATTTTATTTAATGTATATGTAGAGGAAATGATCTTACGATATTTAAACAACTCTAAAAAGCATTTCTAATTATTATAGGAAATAATTCTGAAAAGTCTGGTACACAGAAAAATCATCTATATCTTTTATTATGTAGAATGCACTAGTTCATTCTACATAGGCAGGAGTTTCCTCCATTAAAAAAATTAAAACCTTTAAGTATGAAATTTTACAGTAGTTGTAAGAATCAATGAGTATGACAGGTATTATTTACACTAAATTTTTGATTATGTGCATCATTGGGGACAGGAGGCTAATACAACAGTAGACTTTTTTTAGAAATAGCATTTGATATGCAAAGTAGATTTTTCTGTTATTTCTTAAATATGTTCCATGTAGTAATAGGACATGGCCAAATGTAAAACATTGGTAGATTACAAAAAAAAAAAATACAAATAGTGATTAACTAGTATTTTTAAACCAATTTAAACATATAGGCCCGATAATGCTTTAAATTATTTTCAAAGCTCAAAATGCAAATGGGCAAATGTTTAAAATGCACTATAATATAAAATTACTTCAAATCTTGTAGGAAAATAGGAGAATAGTAAAGTCAGAAAGTTAATAAGATGCAGAATAAAGTTAAATCAGCTAATTTCCAAATAAAATTTCTATACACCAACACATGAAAAAATTCTAAAGTGGATTTTCTTATACTGTCTGCCATGTGCAATAAAGCAAAGCTCAATAAAATAAAGTATGCCTATATGTGGAATCAACAACAAAAGTGGACCTGTGCAATTACACCAACTGCTATACTGAAAATAACATCTTGGTATTTTTTAATTTAAAAGCAGCCAGTGCAAAATTTTTTTTAATTTAAAGATATGCAATCATGTCTATATATGAGAGAAAAACAAAACTTTTTTTCTTAAATACTTCTTAAGTGTATGGTAATCAGAATGACACAAAGAAGCCAATATGGTTCTAGATATACTAAGAACTAACTGAAAATAATGCAGAACATATTTAACCAAAAAGGAAAATGTGAATAGCTGGGGCTGGAGAAATCCAGTATTATCTATTATCTGCTTTCTGCTTGCCAGTGGACTTAGAAATATAACCATAAAAATCTTTTCTAAGCACAGGAAAAGCAAAACTAACAAAGTGAGATTAAAAATATATCACTTGGTTAGATGGTGAGTTAGTGAGTTCATTTTGCCTCTTCTCACTCAATGTCACTTTTTGTTAGCCTCTACCAGGGTTCTCAAATGGTTTTTGTCACTTGCAATAGAATCGCCAGAGAAATCTCAAAATAAAATATCTGCCCCTCATGCCAAAAGTATCTTATTAGAATTCCTGAGGCTAAGACCACAGACTGTATTCTTGAAAAGCTCTTCAAGTGGTTGTGGTGAATACTAAAATTTGAGAACTATTTTTCTAATTAATTTAGAAATTGTATACTTCATATGCTCTTCCAATTGGACCATATAATTCAAGGGCAAAATTTAGTGCTTGGCTTTTTGCCCAGATGCCTTGGAGAATGTCCAGCTTTATGGAATTTTCACCAAAAGCTTTGCCAAAAGAGAAGCAGACCTGTCCAACCTGCAGTAAAAGGAGCTGAAGACCAATGATGACAATCAGCATTCTGTGATTTGTCAGTTTGCCCTATAGAGAACAAAGAGCACTTTGATTTAATGGTCATGTCTATAGATATTTTATCATTAAATATGAAAAACAAGAAGACAAAGCAGAAAAAAATAGATCAAATCTTAGTGAGTGGGGAGTAGCTGCAGCAGGAGGCAGTGGAGGTGGTAAGCAGCAGACTACCACCCAGAAAAGAGAATCAGCGGTAGAGGAAAGACTAAAATCCAAACAGTATATAGAATTGTGTTGTGCTGCCCGTGGTAAAGGACTATGTCTGCATACATATAAATCTGGATGTCTAGACCATGTTCTCTCTCAGTTATTGTAGCTGAATAGAAAGTAAGTGTCTGTATGTTCTGGTCAAGTTAAAAGTCTAAACACTTTTAAATGACAATTGACTGAGCGATATGTATTTTAAGAAAGCTTCACTTCAAGAGAGACAGCACAAATGCTAGGGCCATGTTGCTTTTGTTGAAACCCTGATTCCAACATCCTCCTCAAGTTTTATGATTTCTCAGTTTTCTCTTCTTTAATCTGGATAATCATAGTACTTATATCAGATTCTTTATGAGGTTTAAATTAGTGCATGTACCTACTTAGAATAATGCCTAGTACATAATAGATGGTTATTGTCATCATTGTTACTATTCAAACTAAGAGACAAAATTAAAGAGCTTGAGTAAAGTGTTAGTAAATCATAAAGCTTTAAAAGGATGCTGTGGCACTATGAATAACATCTCTATTACTACAGGAGATATCTTAAATGATCCTAGAGAATAATTTTTTTAAAATTGATATGTTAATGATGACCAACTTATACCATGATATTGAATCAGTAAATCAGGTGTCTCCAGTTTGAAAACAAATAAGAATTGACTACCTGTTCTTAAATGTATGGTATTCTTGGTGACAAAAAATTATAATTCTAAAACCTTTCAAAAGGTCACACATATTTAACTACTCAAAAACTGCAAGCTAAATCTAATTTTTATATTTGCGGGGAAAGTTTTCAGAGCCCCAAAATAGTTGATGAATAAATGAATAGCTGTTGATTCCTGAAGGTCTCTTCCAATTTTATGAGAAGTGAAGTTGTAATAAGAGGCTTATCTTTGCTGGCCGCCTTTGTGTTTACAAAGTTTCTCCTCCTCAGAAGCAAAGTTTAGTGTTGGCTGACTTAGGTTTCTTGTGATTGAGGCTAGAAGGTGGACTAGATCAGTGATTCCCCAATCTTTTTAGCACCAGGGACCAGTTTCATGGAAGAAACCGGTTTTATGTCTTACTGTGGTTGAGAAAAAGCAAGTCTAATTTTATTTACTTAATGAAAATTAATAAAAGTTTGGAAGCTGAGAGACTATTGTCAAAATGCAAAATAAAAGGTTGGCCAATCAAAAAACAAGCAAACATGTATAAATGGAAAAATAGTTTTTTTACTGGGTTCTCTTACCTTTTTTGCAACTGTAGTGAAACAATTTTCAAACTCACTTGGGGATATCAAAACTTTTCCATGGCTAGATAATAAATAGTGCCAGCTAAATCAAGTGATAGGTACAATCTGATTTTAAATATGACCTATGGGGTAATAAAATGCATTGGGGTTTTGCTGGTGGGGCCTAAGTCCTCCAATATAGTACAGTACTCAAGCAAATGGTCTCTAGAACCAGGTTAAATTGGCTTTACATTAGAACCACACATTGGCTTGTGACCTTCCCAAATATTCAGTTTCTTCAACAGCAAAATAGGAACAATTACCTAACTTAAAGAACGTTAGAAATGTGGAATGAGATTTTTAAAATATGTGAGTGCTTGTAACACAATGCCTACCATAGGGTAAGCTTTCAATACATGTTAGGCAAAGTTAGAAGCTGTTGTTTTTATGTAGTGGAATCAACATACTTTGAATGAAACTGAAAAGTAGCACATTGATGGCATTAGTAAAAATTATTTTTTAAAAAGGCAAGAAATAAATTTTTATAAAGCTGCTTTGGTCTTTTATTTCCTTAGTACTTTTCAAGATAGAAAAAATCCCTGCAAATACACTTGCCTCAAGAGCTAAGGGATTAGAGAGGAATGGCAAGTTTTCAAGCTAGTTTTCATCAGTGCTACCCTAAGGCTAGTGCCCATTCAGCTCAAAGTTCTAAATTATCTGAAACTCAGAATAATAAATAATATTTATAATTATTATCCTTTTAGCAAGAAAGAGTTAAATTATTTCAGTGGTTTTTGTAAAATGCAGGAAAATAAATAATACCCTGCTTTTACATTTTAGTTAAGTATTAACTCTCTAGAATATTCACTTTTTTCAGGTTAACTTTTTCCATAAGTATGCCTGCTTTTGGCTATTCTAAAATAAAATACCCTAAATTATCTTATTCTAAAAGAAAACGTTGGCCACTTACAGCTGTACTTGTTTTAATTTAAGTTATAATTACATCAGAAGTGACCTAAGGATTCACAAAAAAGGATAAAACTTGAAGCAAAACCATTGATTCAGCAAACATCTCTTGAGTCTTACCCATCTAGGCTCAATTCCAATCAATGTTCGGCCCAGAGCTGGTTCCTAGTAAGAGTTCACTATATTGGAAGAGTGAATGAATAGGCAAATCAATGAATGAATAGCATGTGTTGTATATAGCATTGTGTTAAGAGTGCAGACTCTGGAACCAGACAGTTGGGTTTGAATCCTGGCTCTCCCACTTACTGTCTTGTGTTAACATGTAACCTTGGATGAGTTACTTAGCCTCACTGTGCCCACTTTTCTCATTTATGTAATTATGATGATAATAATACTTCCTCATTGGATTGTTTGAGGATTAAGTTAAAACTAGCAAAGCACTTACAACAATACCACATAGTAAACAGTGATAAATGGTTGCAAAAAAAAACAATAAAAAAGAAATAGAAATATAACTTTTGCCCTCAAAGACAAAACTTATACGTGAAATGCCAGTACTTACAAAATCATGTACTACTAATTTAACATTACTGGGAATAAATACCAGCTTGGTAACTCATGTTGCCACCTGATACTGACTCTGCCCAAAAGCAGCATCTCATTTCCCAAATGCAGGTCACAGGGGATTTGCATCTAGTCCAGAGTAACACTCAAGAATTGCTTCATCAGAGTATATCTTAACTCATGTAGCCTAAGGTTCTATAAACAACATAAATTTTTATCATATTAAATGACATTAAGTCACTCAACTGAAACAGGTGAAACAGGGAGTTTCTTCTGAGGCAATTTGAAATGATAGCTAATTAATTGTACCTAGGGAGATCACCAAATCTGCTAATTTTAGAAGTGGGAATGATCTGGCACTAAATTTAAATTCTTCCCAGTCACTATCTGATCCACAGGGTCATACAGCCAACATGGGCAAGAATGAGTATGTCCAGTTTTGGGATGGTGGGGTATTTATAAATTCTTCTGTGCTGATTAGTTGGATATTTGATCAAACAATTGCCAAAGGCCTTTACAAGAGTAATACATTTTAAATAAATAATGAGTTTTACTTTCTAAACTTTAAGGAATTAAGATACATAAAAATAATCTATCTCAGCCAGTCCCAGTGGTTCACGCCTGTAATCCCAGCACTTTGGGAGGCCGAGGTGGGTGGATCACCTGAGGTCAGGAGTTTGAGACCAGCCTGACCAACATGGAGAAACACCCATCTCTACTAAAAATACAAAATTAGCTGGGCGTAGTGGCACATGCCTGTAACCCCAGCTACTAGGGAGGCTGAGGCAGGAGAATCGCTTGAACCTGGGAGGCGGAGGTTGCGGTGAGCCAAGATCGCGCCATTGTACTCCAGCCTGGGCAACAAGAGCGAAACTCCATCACAAAAAAATAAAAAATAAAAAATCTATCTCTTACGTAACAAAATAAATAGTAATATTTGTTTAACTCCCAGCTGTGCCCCATTTCATTAAATTTTTGTTTTCTTCAGTATGCTAGACTGAATTTAAATTAAAAAATAGTTACACCTGTTTTAAATAGAGTGGCTAAATATATTTTACATTTGCAGGAGGAAAAAAATATATTTGTTGTTTATAGAATCTTGGGCTCAGTGGGCTAAGGTGTGACCTAATTTGCAATTTCTGAATGTTATTCTAGACTAGATGTAAAAATAATTTCTTCCTTCAATTATGCCTTACATCTTGACTTTAAAAGTGGCTGAAGAATAAAGTGGTACATTTTGACTAAATTGTTTATATGAAGGGAAAAAAGTGAGACTTAAGATTTTATGGCCAGGCACAATGGCTTATGCCTGTAATCCCAGCATTTTGAGAGTGTGAGGCAGGATAGATCCCTTGAGCCCAGGAGTTCCAGACCAGCCTGGGCAACATAGCGAGACCTTGTCTCTATTAAAAAAAAAAAAAGTAGCCACGTGTGGCAGTGCAATCCTGTAGGTCTAGCTACATAGAGGCTGAGGCAGAAGGATCACTTGAGCAAAGGAGTTTGAGGTTACAATCAGCCCTAGTAATACAACTACACTCCGGCCTGGGAACGAGCAAGACCCTGTCTCAAAGAAATAAATAAGATTTTATAACAAATCAATAAAAACATTTCTTGACATCCCACTGTAGGCGTTAATTGTCTGCACATTGTTGAGAGTATAATCTAAACATAACCTGTGGTTCCTGGAAGATGGAAGGATTAGCTTAAGTGGAAGAAGGAGGAAGCTGTGCCAGATAGGGCGATGCATTCTGTATTATCATAGAAGCAAAAATGGGTTCATCATCAGACAACAGCTTGGCCTACAAAGAACTGAGGACTGTTGTGAAACATACAGATGGGCAGATATTTGTGGATTTCTTCATTTCTTACTGGAAATTCTTTATTATTTGATGTCTTTACCATTCACTTAGCACTTGCCATGTTTTACCTTGGGATTGTTTTGTCTTTATGCTTCATCTAGCAATCTAGGTTATAAGTGACTTTGGAACAAATGTTGTGTCTTGTATTTCTTTTTAATTAGCATAGCATTGACTCCAGTGCCTTATACATAGTAGATGTACAGATAATATGTGTTAATTGGTTGACATCTATATATTTCTAAAACATTTATTAGGAAGGTTTACTTTATCATCAGCAAATATTTATTGAATACCTAAATGATTTACAAACATTTCTAAATGCAGCTTGAATATTAGTATTTAACTATCCTTACGTTACTAGGAGTTTTCATTCAAATAGTAAATTTATTGAATTAATTTATTCAATAAATTCTTTCTTTAGAGTTATTAAGTGCCACGTATCAGGTAGTAGGCTGCTGAGGTAACATAGACAAAATATCCAAATGCCATGAGGGCAAACAATTGCAATAGAAGAATTTCCATAATGGATATATAGTAAGATCCTGAGAAAACACTGTAATTGATATCCAAAAATTCATTATGTCAGATGCAATGTGGAAATACTAGGTTCATGTAATGATCTGGGTGAACCTGTACACCGAGCAGTCCTGCTGCATAACCGCTGCCCAGATTCCAGCTACAATTTGACGCCACCTGGTGGCAGTTTTCTACTCTAGTAAAAATACCCAAAATGAAAATGATTCTGAATCCTGTAGCTGACTGAAACTTTTAGCATAGTGGCAGAAGTCCAGGTACCTCTTTCTTGGTTTCCCAAGCCTATGGAAGAGGATTGGGGGACCTACTTTCCATCTCCCTGTTTCTCAAAATGGGCTTGGGAGCCTTGCCATCCTCACCACATCCCCCTCTTCAGAGATGAGAATTTTAACCCACCAATTTGCCAACAGGTGCTTAGGCGGAAGATAAGAGCAAATTGGCAAAAGTGTTATCTAATTTCACATTACTGAGGAAAATGTTATTTCAAAGTTTTTCTGTATATACAGTTGGCATAAAAGAAAGCACATCAAAGTTATCCCAGCTAGAGGGTGGAGATTAGGTAAGACTTCACAGAGGAACTCTTATTCAAGCAGAGACTTAGTAAACCAAGTGGCCATGTGCAAGAACGGTATTTATGAAAGAGAAAAAAGCAGATGTCAAGGCACATAAAACTGAAATTAGGCAGGTATTTCAGTAACTACATATAGTGATGTATTTCTAGAGCATTTAGTTTAAGAGGGAAAAGAGAAGGAGGTGAAGTCAATGTTACGCATAGGTCAGAGCATTACTCATTTTGTAGGCCATGCAACGGAGCTTCTATTTTATTCTATAGATGAAGGAGTCATTAAAGAAATTCTCTCAATAATTTTACCTATAAAATATTACTATAAACATATCTTTCTCATCCGTAAAATAGACATCATAGTATAATAGTGCCTACTTCACAGAGTTGTGTAAGTTAAAGAGAAAATGTGTGAAGTATTTTGCATAGAGTCCAGCATAGATTATTATGTAAGTGGTAGCTATTAGCGTTGTTATTAATATTACTATAAATAATGATTGGAGTGGGCAAGGCTAGAGGCAGAGATAGGAAACTAAACCAACCTAAACTTGCTGATTGGTTGGATAGAGAGAGTAAGGATAAGAGAACACATATCTTAAATTTCTTGGATTCTGATCTGGGCAGTTAGATGGATAATGTTGTCCCTCAGGTAGTCTGAGGAGAAAATATATATGAATGCATGCATGTGTTAATTAATACATTATTTAAAATAAATATGTTATATTTGATGATACATAGACAACCTGGAATAATCAACTAATAATCACTTCATCCATTCACATGATATATGAAAATGAAATTGAGTTGGATTTCTTTACCCTTAGAAAAGATGGTAAGTGGTTGGAAGCAATCATGCAGTTATTGCTCTAGGAGGTGAGTAATACATTAAGCTAAAAACAATATTTTAAATTTGTGGAGGAGAGAAAATTGAATCTTTCAAAAAAGGAAAATAATGGTGAATAAAGGGAAAGGCAAGAGAGAAAAACATATGCACAGTGGATGGCAACTAAATCTGACCAAGGCAGGAACTGAGGATTGGGGTTTATTGGGGAATATTTCTGGCAAATACCTTTATGTAAACTGGATTGATTTAAAACCAAAGAGTGATTTACATTTAATAATACAAGCACTATAGAATTTTGAAAAGAAGTAAATAATGGGAACTAATTGCCATTTTATGTTATTATTGTGATTATGAAAGAATGTGTGAAAGATGAGAGGATAAAAGTAAAGATTCTAATTCTTAATTGCATCTGTAATCTTCTAAATTCATAAAATACATATTTTCTGTTTCTGTTACAATCAAATGCATATGCACATTCAAATAATTTAGAAAGTTATTCATTTTCCTTTTCTTATTTTGTATGTTAACATAATTAGAACTAAGATAAATGCATTTTAGAGTATTTGTTATTTTCGTGGATGGAATATTCATGTTCTTTATTACTCTAAGCTTATTAATCATTATTTTAAAATTCTACTTTGCAGACTTTCTTTTTGGGTCATTTCAGAATTTGTCTTCTGTAACAGAATTAGATTATATTCCATAATATCTATTTCATTAAGTTTACAGTTGAAGAACTGAGGTCAGAAAAATCAATATCATATGTCTCAGGGTATATGCTGTATATGCTATCTAGAGCTAATGTTGGAACTCCAGTCTCATGAGCCTAGGTACTTATTACCTAAATTTGCTAATATTTAAAAGCATGGAACTACCTTTTAATAGGCCAAATACTTGAATTTCCAACCTTTTTTCTGACCTGCTATATTATAGGAGGGAATGAAAGCAAAAATGTTGACCGGGTATACAGAGATAAAATAAACCTCTGATGGTAGGTGTTATAAAATTCCTGACTAAGGGATATAGGAGGACAGATAAGCACAATTACCACAGCGTATCATACCTGTACGGTAAGGCAGAGTAACAGCTACATGCAGACAGTTTTTACAGGTCTGAAAGAATTGAGCAAAACAAAAGGAGTGACCTGTATGTTGTTTACTAAACATCAAATGAAGACTTAGTATTTTTTCACGTGGCATGTAGTTTGTATTATGTAAGTCTCTGCCAGCAGTTCTCAAAATGTGCTTGCTGGATCTGCACCATCTGCATCACCTGGGAATTTGTTAGAAATGCTGTTTTCAGGTATCACCCCAGACCTAATGAACCAAAAACTTTGTGTTTTAACAAGCCCTCCAGGTAATTCTGATGCAGGTTAAAGTGTGGCAACCCCTGCTCTAAGCTAAGGGGAATTCGTATTCATCTTATACTACTGGTAAAGTTGGTAACTAAAAACTTAAGTTCTAGTGTCAGACTGCTGGGTTCAAATACTAGCAATGAAACCTTCAGCAAACTTCATAACCTTTCTGCCCTTCATGTTCCACATCTGTATTTGTACCATTTTAAGTGGGGTACGTAACATGTGAAGCTGAGTTGGAGAAGAGCTTGACATTTTTGAGAAATTTAGAAAAGGCCACTGTGGCTAAAGAGTTGTTTACAAAGACAAATGGCTTGACATTTAGGTGAAAGAGAAAGGCAGAGACCAGATCTCCAAAATCTTGTAGGACTCTATTAGAGAAGAGAGTGGGATCCTGAGGTCCTGTGGAGGAATTGATTTTTCCAAGGAGAAGGGACACTTTTTGTTATAGGCACAAGAAAGAGAGGATAGGGTGCAGAACAATTAGGTTTATAGACTGGTATTTGGAAGATAAGGGAATTCCTTCTGATATTTTATATTTTATGGATTTTGGATTTTTCCCAAGTACAATGAGAAGACACTGAAGAATTTTAGTAGCAGACTGCCATAAAATGATTTGTATTTTAGAAAAATCAAGTGGCTTCTATGTGGAGAATGAGTTGCAGTTGAAACATAAGCATGTAGGATGCTGTTGCAGTAGAGAGTGGCATGGATTTGAATGGTCAAAATCTGGATGGGGAGAAGTGGAAGGATATGTAATATATTTTAGAGATAGAATCTGTAAGACTTAGTGATAGATTAGGTATGGGGATGAAGGAAAGGGAGAAATCAAGGGTGCCTCTGGATTTTTACCTTCAGCAACTAGGTAAATAGTTATACTCTTTACTGAAATAAGGAACACTGAAGAAGGAATATGTTTGAGAGAAAAGATTAAATTCAATTTGGAACACATCAAATTTGTGATATTCTGTGTAACATCTGAGTGCTTGTTACAACTAGGCAACTGGGTAGATATGAAGTTCAGAAAGAAGCTCAGCCTACTAACTTAAATTTGGAGATTATATATATTTACAAATAATCTTTAATATATGATACATATGTATCATATGAGGAGACCTCAAAAAGTTTGTGAAAAAATGGAATTAAAAGATAAAAATTTTAAAAAGTAAATGTTATTTCTCAACATAAGCCGCAGCAAATTCAAGATACTTTGGGGCCAGGCACAGTGGCTCACGCCTGTAATTCCAGCACTTTGAGAGGCCAAGGCAGGTGGATCATTTGAGGTCAGGAGTTCAAGACCAGCTTGACCAGCATGGTGAGATCTCATCTCTACTAAAAATACAAAAATTAGCCGAGCATGGTGTTGAGCGCCTACAATCCCAGCTACTCTGGAGGCTGAGGTAGGAGAATTGCTTGAACCCGGGAGGCGGAGCTTGCAGTGAGCCAAGATCGTGCCACTGCACTCCAGCCAGGGTGACAGAGCGAGACTTCATCTCAAAAACAAACAAACAAAATCGATTGAAAGCTCTGCTTTTGTCTGCAGGTAATCTGAATCCAACAGGTTTGGCACCCATTGAGTGCAAAGTTTACTCAACTTTAATTATTCAGTCAGAATTGTGTAAGCTGAACCAATTGAGATGTCTATGGTGTTGGCTATTGTTTGTGCTATTAATTGTTGATCCTCTTTGATTAGGCACAAATAAGATTAATTTTTTCCTCACAAATTGATGTGGATGGTCTACCACTGGGGGCTTCATCTTGAACATATCATTTTGTCCCTTCTTAAAACAAGTTATCCATTTGTAAACTGCTGATTTCTTTGGGGCATTGTCCCCATAAACTTTTCATAAAATATTAGTGATTTCACCATTCTTCTACCCAAACTTCATCCTAAATGTGTTGTTCTTACTTCAATTTAAGCAGAATTTATATTGCTCTGACAGGGGATCTTTTCAAATGGATGTCTTATTCTTCTTAGTACCTCAAAATAGATCCTGTTCAGACATGTTACAACAAGTTAGTATGAGCTTATTTTTGGTGCAAAAAAAATTTGAAATTCATGAAGTTTTTTTCATAATATGAATTTTCCATTAATTTTTGAAAACTTCATGTATATGGTATAAGGGAATTTCGTCTGATAGCATCTATTTTCTCTATGAAATGTAAGGAGAAGTCTGCAGAGAGGAAAGCAGAAGGTGAGAGATTTGAATAGCATGAAGAAGGTAGGTATGCACTCCTTATTGTATGAGTGGGGAGAACATATATGCTGTAATTTTGAGGCCAATGATAGTGAACTATAGTGGAGCAACTGTGCTCTACTGAATTTTTTTCAAGAATGCTGATATGGGCCAGGCATGGTGGTTCATGCCTGTAATCCCAGCACTTTGGGAGGCCAAGGCAGGCAGATGGCTCAAGCCCAGAAGTAGTTAAGACCAGCCTGGGGAACTTGGCCAGACTTGATCTCTACAAAAAGGAGAAATAGAAAAAATTAGTCAGGTGTGGTGGTGCATGTCTGTAGTCCCAACTACCTGGGAGGCTGAGGTGGGAGGATCACTTGAGCCCAAGAGGTCAAGGTTACAATGAGTTGTGATCACGCCAGTGCACTCCAGCCTGGGTGCCAGAGTGAGACCTTGTCTCCCAACCTCAAAAAAAAAAAAAAAAAAAAAAGAATGCTGAAATGTTGAGATGTACACAGAGAAGCAGCATGTGGTAGGATTTATCAAGGAGTTCAGCCAGTTGGATGTCTTATGAGGAGGGATACTCAAAAGTTTAAGATATTTGCAAAAGAGTGTTTGAAATGATGGGCTGTGGAATCTAAGTTGGTTAAGTATAAATGAAGAGGAAGGGGCTGATACTTGGAGAAAAAGTGGAGGGCTCAAGGTTCTCAAAATGTTGAAGAATAGAGATAACTAATTAATTGAGCTGGAAGGAAAGGAGACAGAAAGCCTTGTAGCAGCCTTGTGGATACTGTTGGGGTAATCTTCTGGATAATGTTATCCCCGTTTTATACAATATGGAAACTGAGGCACAAAGACTACTTTGATTATTCAGTTACAACTTGATTAGTGTAGCTATGTCTCGAACGTGAGTTTTCTAATTAAATTCAGTTGGCTTACCAGTAGAGAATTACTCTGTCTACTCAATATACAAATCATCCATGTACTTTGTTCAACACTTTTGCCGTAAGTGTGTTCAGGTTACAGTGGTGACTTTTTTGATGACCCATTTATTGTCTATCTTATGTCTCTACTCTCACTGAGCATTTTTATCCAATTTTAATTAACATTTAGCTAAAAGCAATAATACAGCACTTAAATTGTCATCCTTAACAGACAAAAAGGGGTGTATGGGAAAGTCTACATTTTGGAGTTTTGGAATGTTTTCTAGGGATAATCTAAGGAATAAAGGGAATTTCCAATTTTAAGAATTATTTACCAACAAAAATGAAGAGTAAATTTATTCACGTGGATTGTGTATAGCATTTCATTTATGCCAAAAGTGTATAACTTTCAATTTAGTGCCAACCATAATATTTGACATTTTGTAGATAATAAATCAGTCTCTTCATAGAATCAACCTAAATGCCCATCAGTGATAGACTGTATAAAGAAAATGTGGTACATATACACCATGGAATGCTATGCAGCCATAAAAATGAATTCAATCATGTCCTTTGCAGGGACATGGATAGAGCTGGAGGCCATTATCCTTAGCAAACTAACACAGGAACAGAAATTTAAATACCACCTGTTCTCACTTATAAGTGGGAGTTAAATGATGAGAACACATGGACACAGAGAGGGGAACAAGACACACTGGAGCCTTTTGGAGGGTGGAGGGTGGGAGGAGGGAGAAAAACAGGAAAAATAACTAATGAGTACTAAGCTTAATACCTGGGTAATGAGATAATCTGTGCAACAAACCCCTGTAACACAAGTTTACCTATGTAACAACCTGCACTTGTACCCCGGATTTAAAAGTTAAAAAAAATTCAATTGTACTCATATATTAACAATAAATAATCTGAAAATTAACAAATTAGTCTATGAAATTAAATTTACTTGTATATGCATTATTATCAGTCATCTACATGCCAGGATTATTTTATGAATGGTTTTTATTGAATTACATACTTTTCAAATTTGAAATTACCAAAGGTATGGGGATTATTTGGCTGTAGGAAATCTGAGGGACTGTTTCTTCAAGGCCACAGACCATCTCTGTTTATATAAAATAGCTGCTTCTTCAAATAAATCTAATAAGTTTGTTTATATTTTTAGTAAAGCCTTAGTGCCTCCATGTAATTGTAAATATACATAATAATTAGAGTCAACGTATCTTAACCATATTCTAGACATTGTGCTAATTGCTATATATATGTTACTTCATTGAGGTTGCTTCGTTAATTCATGAGGATTACCTCATCACAACGTTGAGAGAGTTACATTTGTTTTAAAGATTAACTCATTTATTCAACATATATTTGCTGAAAACTTACCATGTGGCAAACATTATTTTAAAACCTACAATTTACCAATGAACAAAAGAAGAAAAGTCTTTGTCCCATTTATACATTCATTATATATTACAATCATGTATATAATAAATAGATGGCATATGATAAATAGCAGAAAGGTATATAATCAATAGAAGATACTTAGAAGAGAAGCATAGCTTTATTCTTGACATCCTCACTGAATAGATTGCCTTGTTTATTTGTTCATTTGTAGGTTTGTTTAATGAGATCACAGATGTAACTGCTTCACATATATGTTAGAAATTCTACGTTAGAAAAAAATGATTCACCATTTCTTACAAACAATCCAGTTATACTCTTTTAGTTATTTTTAAATGTATAATAAGTTGTTAACTACAGTCACCCTGTTGTGCTTTCAAATACTAGATATTGTTCATTCTATCTAATCATATTTTTGTGCCCATTAATCATCCCTATTCTCCCCACCTGCCACCGCCACTACCCTTCTCAGCCTCTGATAACCATCGTTCTGTAATCTAGGTCCATGCGTGTAGTTGTTTTAATTTTTAGCTCCTGCAAATAAGTGAAAACATGCAAAGTTTGTCTTTCTGTGGCTGGCCTATTTCACTTAACATAACGTCCTCCAGTTCCATCCATGTTGTTGTAAATGATAGGATTTCATTCTTTTATATGGCTGAATAGTACTCCATTGTATGTATGTACCACATTTTCTTTATCCATTCATCTGTTGATGAATACTTAGGTTGCTTCCAAATCTTGGCTGTCATGAATAGTGCTGCAATAACCATGAGAATGCAGATATCTCTTCAATTTGGGTGTATATCTCACAGTGGGATTTCTGGATAATATGGTAGTTCTGTTTTTAGTTTCTTGAGGAACCTCCAAACTTGTCTTCATAGTAGTTGTACTAATTTACATTCCCACCAACGGTGTAAGAGGGTTCCCTTTTTTGCACATTCTCGCCAGCATTCATCACCTCTTTTTTCGATAAAATCCATTTTAACCAGGGTGAAATGATATTTCATTGTAGTTTTGATTTGCATTTCTCTAATGATTAGTGATGTTGAATGCCTTCTCATGTACCTGTTTGCCATTTGTATGTCTTCTTTTGATAAATTTCTATTTAGATCTTTCGCCCATTTAAAAATTGGATTATTACATTTTTTCCTGTTGACTGAACTCCTTGTATATTCTGGTTATTAATCCCTTGTCAGACGGGTAGTTTGCAAATATTTTCTCCTATTCTGTGGATTGTCTCTTCACTTTGTTGTTTCCTTTGCTGTGGCGGAAGCCTTTTAACCTGATGTGATCCCATTTGTCCATTTTTGCTTTGGTTGCCTGAGCTTGTGAGGTATTACTCGAGAAATCTTTGCCCAGACCAGTGTCCTGGAGAGTTTCCCCAATGTTTTCTTTTAGTAGTTTCATAATTTGAGGTCTTAAATTTAAATATTTAATCAATTTTGATTTGATTTTTGTATATGGCAAGAGATAGGGATCTAGTTTTATTTTTCTGCATATGGATGTCTTGTTTTCCAGCACCATTTATTGAAGAGACTGTTCTAACCTCAATGTATGTTCTTAACACCTTTGTCAAAAATGACTTCAGTGGAGGTGTCTGAATTTGTTTCTGGGATCTCTTTTGTGTTCCATTGGTCTATATGTCTGTTTTTATTCCAGGATCATGCTGTTTTGGTTAATATAGCTCTGTAGTATAATTTGAAGTCAGATAATGTGATTCCTCCAGTTTTGTTCTTTTTGTTTAGGATAGCTTTAGCTATTCTGAGTCTTTTGTGTCTCCATATAAATTTTAGGGTTATTGTTTCTATTTCTGTGAAGAATATTTGTATTGTGATACAGATTACATTGAATCTGTAGATTGCTTTGGGTAGTATGGACATTTTAACAATATTGATTCTTCCAGTCCATGAACATGGAATATCTTTCCATTTTTTGTGTCCTCTTCAATTTCTCCTGTCAGTGTTTTGTAGTTTTATTATAGAGATATTTCACTTCTTTGGTTAAGTTTATCCTAGGCATTTTATGTCATTTGTAGCTATTATATGTGAGATTACTTTCTTGATTTCTTTTTCAGATTGTTTACTGTTGCCATATAGAAATGCTACTGATTTTTGTATGTCAATTTTATGTCCTGCAACTTTCCTGAATTTGTTTATCAATTCTAATAGTTTTTTTGGTGTAGTCTTTAGGTTTTTCCAAATATAAAATCCTATCATCTGCAAACAAAGATAATTTGACTTCTTTCTTTCCAATTTGGATGCCCTTTGTTTATTTCTCTTGTCTGATTGATCTAGCTAGGACTTCCAGTATGATGTTGAATAATAGTGGTGAAAATGGCCATCTTTGCCATGTTTCAGATCTTGCAGGAAAGGCTTTCAGCTTTTCCCCATTCAGTATGATACTAGCTGTGGGTCTATTGTGTATGGCTTTTACTGAGTTTAGGTATGTTCCTTCTATACCCAGTTTTTTGAAGGTTTTCATCCTGAAGGGATATTTAATTTTATCAAATGCTTTTTCAGCATCAGTTGAAATTATCATATGGTTTTTGTCCTTCATTCTGTTGATACAATGTATCACATTGATTGATTTACATATGTTGAACCATCTTCGCATCGCTAGGATCAATCCCACTTGGTCATGATGAAAGTTCTTTTTAATGTATTGTTGAATTCAGTTTGCTATTTTTGAAGATTTTTGCATCTTAAAACCATGATATGTGCATTCTAACCACTGTATTATTTATAATATTCTCTTGAATATTTTTCTCTCTCTACATGTCATAATTTTTACCCACCATTCAAGACCCAAGTTTATAAAGCTTTTCTCATCTCTGATTCTCAATATTATCCTTCCCTCCAGTGAAATTTCATAACACTGGGTTTATTCCCTTTTCTCTGTACTTATAACTTTTGCTAATTTGTATAAGCATTTTCACTCATATTTGTACCCCTAAAGCACGTGTCCCTTAGATAATAACTATGTCTCATGTCTTATTTATTGTTCTTATTGACCACAGGGCCAAAGCTACCATTTGCCTAAATGGAGGCTTTGCACAAATTAGAAAAAGTGGTACCTCTAGGTAGATAATTAGAAATGGATACTTGCTTTGAACAGAACAATTAGAGAAAATTCCTTCTTTATGTGAAGAAAAAAATGTATTCTTCCTTTTTGTCAATTTCAGTCCCCGTATGCCAGAGCATGGAGGGCAGGTACCATTTCAGCCCCCACTTGCTGCCTTGGGACCTAACACCAAGTAGATGCAAGGTAGATGTTTGCTAAAGGAATCAATCAATTTGTGGCAAGATGTTTACTATGGTTTAAATTAGCTGAGTACAGAAATGTTTGAACTAAAAATTCAAGGGGAAAAAGAAACAAAATGGAAACCAGGTCATCTCTCTGAGGATGATTAAAAATAAAGTAGCTGAAATCATCAGAGAAGAGATACAGTTTTTGTAAGATACATGTTATAATGAAGACATTTTAAAAATCATAATTTTTGGGTACATTTTTATCTTGACAGAGGAAGCAAGTGACACCTATTTTTGAAACATGAACATTTTAAATGTAGTTTTTGTGCTTAATTGTTTTTAAAGAAGACAAAACATAGCTAGAGAGAGTGCAGGGACATATAACTAGCATAAAAAAAAGATACTGAAAAATTATCATTTGATGATAGACAAATGATTAGGTACCATGAGCATGGTGTGATAAACAGAGAAACATATGATCTATAAAGTAATACGTTTAAAATTTTTCTTTAAAGTAACTTCCTTCAAACTCATGGTGGAGGGAGAGGTCTATTATTCAATAATTTGGTAGAGAATTTATAAATTCAAGAGATAGTAAAGGTTCAATATATAGACAGACTAAAGAGTTTAAATAAACTTTTTGTGTTCAGTTAATAAAGGAATATTCCTAGTTTCCTTAAAGATTTAGCCTTCATAAATTTATCACTTTTAAGGAAGATAGCCATGATCTCTCCAAAATGCCCTTTGATGTTGTATTTGGAGACATAATACTGAGCTGAATCCCAAGTCTCCTGATACAAGAACCTGTGCAATCTATGTTCTCACAGTCTTAGGACAGCTCTGATGTAATATCTGAATAGGCAGTTAAATACGAGTAAGTCGTGCAGGCCATGCATTTGTCCCCACACATGTAGGCCTTATCCTGTCTACAATGCTCACCTTCACTTCATTCCATTTATATTTAGTTTTGTAAATTTCCTCTAACAAGCATTCTCATTCCTGCCTCAGGATATTTGCACTTGCTCCTCTCTAAGCTTAGAACATGCTTCTTTCATCTGACTGGGTTCATCATTCAGGGCTCAGCTAAATTGTCTCCTCTTCAGAGAGGCCTTCCTTGACAACCTTATTTAATGTTGTTGCCAAACTTTTCAGTCCCTTGTTATTTTATTCCATCTTATTTTCTTCAGATCACATATCACTATCTAAAATTATCAATTATTTATATGTTTACTGTCTTTCACTATGACAGTATGAATGAAAGCTCCATGAAACAGGAGCATTCTATACTTGTCTGTGCTATACCTCTTAATTTTGAGAATAATGCCTGCTACATAGCCTACTACTTTTAATTTAATTTATTTTTGTTTATTTCAAAGTAAATATCTTCCTTTTTTTTTTTTTTTTTCTTTTTGCGACAGAGTTTCGCTCTTGTTGCCCAGGCTGGAGTACAATGGCGTGATCTCGGCTCAACCACAACCTCCGCCTCCCGGGTTCAAGCGATTCTCCTGCCTCAACCTCCTGAATAGCTGGGATTACAGGTGCCCGCCACCACACCCAGCTAATTTTTGTTAGTTTTAGTAGAGATGGGGTTTTGCCATGTTGGCCAGGCTGGTTTCAAACTTCTCACCCCAGGTGGTCCACCCGCCTCGGCCTCCCAAAGTGCTGGGATTACAGACGTGAGCCACTGCACCTGGCCCAAAGTAAATATCTTTTAAATAAGAATGTCCAAATCCCGGGAATGTGACATGTTAAAAGGGAGCAAACTTTAAGAAACAAATCATGTTTTTAAAAAAAGAAATCTTTAATATATTGGAATTTTTGGCATTAACAAGCTCTTGGGAAAGGAATTTTGGAAATTACAGGCCTCCTGGATGCTCCTTAAGTTATCCCAAGTAAGCAGTGACCTACCTTGTGACCACTGAAATACTGCTTCCTGCCATGAGACCTAAGACTTAAGAACCTTAAACATAGATTAATTACTAATGGCTATAATCAAGGCAGATGTTTTTGACTAAATATACTTTGTTAATTAGCCAAATGTTTCTCCCTAACTCTGGACATTTTGTGGCATAGACACACACACAGACACACGCGTGCACCCTCTAATACATTTAGATACTATACTGATACATTCAAGCGTATTAACATAATGTGTTTATATACAGTACTTGCAATAATGTTAAAAATACTAAACTTTAAATTTCTGTCATCTCCAGAAGTCAAAGAATTAGTATGAAAAACTCAGTTTTTACATACTCTTCAAAGAGAGGTTTTCATTTAACTTAATTAGGGTTTCTTGACATTAGAGTTGACCATTGGAATTTCAGTTGTAAACCAAAACCAAGTTCTTATGCAGCCTTATTTGCGTTTTATATGCTGATATTTGCCAGCAAATTAATCAGAGACTATGTCATATCATTTTTGTATCCGCATATTTGTCATAATAGGTGTTCAGTAAATCTTTGTTGAATAAATGATTACTACTTTACTAGCCTAAAATCATAGATGGTAATCTGAGTTTAAGTGAAATAAAGTTTATTTGTAGTAAATTAGGATAATAGTAATTTCAGCTACCACATTTTAGGAAAGGAATGGTATTTAATGTAGAGAAGTTTTTACATAAAAGGAGAACTTTAGACAGAAGCCAGATTTTTTTGTTGCTGTTTTTTTTCCTGCAAAGAACATGCAAGAAACGGCACTTTAAAACCCAGACATTTATCCAATTACTGCCAACTGGTGTGATGAAGTATGAGTTATAGTAGTAACAGGTATTCAGTTAATTTGTGGCACCTGGCTCAGGAAGCACAACAGTAGGAAGAAAAAGGAAGTAAGCCTTTCAAGATACCATGTTTAGGAGCTTGACCAGTCCTACTGGGTTTGTTTCTAATCTACCAGGAATGCTATTGTCTTCAAACTCTTGAACAGTACAAGCCTTATCACCACTTTCTTGCCAAAGATGTTATGAATAGTTTCACTCCTGGAACTATCCCTGTCTACTTTCTATCCTTCAATGTATTTTCTGTCCCTGTGCCACAGTCCTAATTCTCCATTGTATTAGCTGTTAGGCCTCCACAGAATCACCCCAGTCTTTCATTCCTTGGTAAATTATTTCCAGACTACCTTCTCAGCTCTAATGTGATGAAATATTTGTTTTGGCATGACTTTACATTCTTAAGACTCAGAATTTGTCTTTGTCTCATCTTTGCTATTTATTATCTTTAAGCCAAACCACTTACCTCTATTCATTCAAACCTATAAATGAAAACTTTGGCCCTATAGCATATAAACTTCATTTGATTTAATCACATCTTCCAATAATCCCTATATGCTATTTATGTATTTGGGGAATACTTGTGTTTCACTTGCTTTGTAGTTACTTGTTTTTCTCCTAATGATTGACAATACTAGATTTGCCTTTTTCTTTAACCATTCAGGATACAACTTTTCAACAACTATAATTTTGCCATAAATCAATCTCTGTATTGGCAGTTTTATATATTTAACTTCGATAATACTAAATATATACAGTTTTTATTGTTTTTCTAAAGCCAAAAATTAGAAATATGCACAAAACAATATTTAGAAATGTAAAAACAGTGTCCTTTTCTAGAACCGAACACCCTATATCAACACTCAATCTATTGTGTAGTAATCTGTTAGGATTAGCTAGAAATCCATACTGTACCTTTAACCCATGACAAGAACTAATGTGGGTTGAGTAATTTGATTTACATAAAAGAAGAAGCGATGTTGGACCTTGATTGCTCTTTTCGTTTGTCTGTTTTAATTTTTTTTAGTTACCGACACTTTTTATGTTTATTCTGGAAAAAACAAAATAGAAAAAGATAAACTTTTTTTAAAACATAGCTATCAACCAGAAAAAATTAAAATGACTTTTAGCAGACTGGTCACAGTATATCCTTTCATATTTTTGGCTACATACATTTATATTTTTCCCCTAAAAATAAAATTTTTCTGAACACATAATTTTATTTTTCTTCATATCTCTTCATTCTTCTTTTGTGCAGATGACTGGCGCATCATCTCATGAATCTAGGCTTCTCAAATTACTTAGTTTAGCACAAAATATTGCTTCTTTTTTTTATAAAACTATTTTTGGATTTCTGTGACTGGAAAAACTCTGGGATTTGAATTTACCTGTGTCCCCTAGTAGTAGGGTAATTCCATATTTGATACATATGTCGTCCAAAGCTAAGTTACAGATATCTGCTTCTCCCTCCCCATCCCCCACCATCAAGAATATCTTTTTATGTCCATAAACATTTATGTATAACAGCATTTTCAACAGTACATTGTCTTTTATTGATGAACATAATTTATTTAAACATCCACTGTTGTTGGACATTTGTGGGTTTTTCCCCTTGTCTTATTTTGTTTTGTTTTTGCTATTATAATCAATTGTGCAATAAATATCATTATAGCTAAATCTGTACACATTGCTAAGTTTTCCTTTATGATAAATTGTAAAGTTGAAATGCTAGGTTAAAGGGTAGGCTTGTTTTTTTTTAAAGCTTTTGACATATATTGCCAAGTTGCTCTTTAGAAATCTATCACTGAGATCCCACTAGAAGTGTTGAAATATACTGTATTTCCAAACCCTTATAAAATTTCTCTTTTAAAAAAATTACTAATGTAATACGTCTTTTCCTAGCCACATTGAGCATTTTAAAATATTGCCCATAATTACAAATTCTTTACTCCAAAGTATTTCATAAATCAAGACTCCCAAAACTTTAAACACTTTTTCAAAAATCAAGAGTCCCAAAACTTTAAAAATTTTGGTAGCTTGTGGCTGAGCGTGGTGGCTCACACCTGTAATCCCAGCTCTTTGGGAGACCAAGGCGGGAGCATCACCTGAGGTCAGGAGTTCAAGACCAGCCTGACCAACATGGAGAAACCCCGTCTCTACTAAAAATACAATAAATAAATAAATAAATAAATAAATAAATAAATAAATAAATTCGCCGGACATGGTGGTGCATGCCTGCAATCCCAGCTACTTGTGAGGCTGCGACAGGAGAATCACTTGAACCCGGGAGGAGAGATTGCGGTGAGCTAGATCGCGCCATTGCACTCCAGCCTGGGCAACAAGAGCGAAACTCCATCTCAAAAAAAAAGAAAAATGGTAGCTTATTTGCTTACAACATTTTTTGCTTATCGTTTTAGATGATATCCAGTGAAGAAAGAAAAGGAACCCTCGCTGCAATCTTTCTCTCATCAAAACACACCACTCTAGTGCTACTATTCATAAACTCATCCCTGGTGATCTCTAAGTTTCAAGGAAATAAAAAGAGCATCCATCTTATAAAACTTTTAATAACCCCTTTTGGGCCAGGCTCGGTGGCTCAAGCCTGTAATCCCAGGACTTTGAGAGGATCAGGAGAGAGGATCACTTGCGTCCAGGAGTTGAGACCAGCCCGGGCAACACAGTGAGAACCTGTCTCCTCTCCCAAAAAAAAAAAAAAAAAAAAAAAAGCCAGGTGTGCTGGCATGCACTGTAGTCCTAGCACTTAGGAAGCTAAAGCAGGAAAATCAAAATCACTTGAGCCCAGGGGTTCGAGGTTACGATGAGCTATGATTGCACCACTGCACCCTAGCCTGGGTGACAGAGCAAAACACCATCTCTAAAAAACAAATGAATAAAAAGAAATAACTCCTTTTGTAAATAATGCTTTATTAAAGTTGTTAGGTTGAAGAGAAGTGCACTTGTTTCAAACAAAGTTCTCATTAAAATATTGTTTATCTGCAAAATGATGTATCAGTTCCAGTTAGTATTTTATTGTAGTGTCTTATTTGATTTTGGTCAAGTTCTTTATGGCCTTGATATTCAAACATAAAAATTCAAATGCAAAAATCACAAGATACAATTTTGTGAGTGTATCTTTGACATCCTTGGTAATTAGTAGATTAGGTGGTTCTTTAGAAGAGTATATGTTTTGAATAAAAATTTCTTTTTCTTTTTTCTGAGACGGGATCTAACTCTGTCATCAAAGCTGGAGTGCAGTGGCACCATCTCGGCTCACTGCAATCTCAACATCTCGGGCTCAGGTGATCCTCCTGTGCCTCCGAAGTAGCTGGGACTACAGGCATGTGCCACCATGCCTGGCTAATTTTTTACTTTTTTGTAAAGATGGGGTCTCACATGTTGCCAGGCTGGTATCAAACTCCTGGGCTTAAGCAGTCGTCATGCCTCAGCCTCCCTAAGTGCTAGTATTACAGACGTGAGCCACTGTGCACACCCAAAAATTGCTATATAACAGAAACACTAGGTTATTCTGAGTATGGAACATAGGTTATATAAAAAGCCTTAGTTTCTGTTAAACTTTGGCTCTTTTAAACGATAACAAGCCTTTTCTTTTTACTTTCTATCAAAATAAAACAAACTTGAAAATTATCATTTCAGGATATTGCAGAAACATATTCTCATCTCTTTTCTCTTCTCTTCTCTTCTTTTCTCTTCTCTCCCCACCCACCTGCGCCTTCTCTCTCTCTCCCTCGCACACACACACACTAACTCTCTTTGTCCTGTTTCTGACTATGTATGCCACATTTTTTTCTTAAAACAAATGTGAGGGATATAATAGTATACTTCACTATATATTTTTTAAATTTCACACTGGGTCTTTTACCGCCTAAATACTTGGAGAAGATATTACATAGGTTAATAAAAGTAATATGTGGTTCTAGCCTTTAACCAGATTTTACTCTAGGATAGAAAACACTTTTTTTTTTCTGGAAGACAAAGATATTGAATTAGACATAAGAGTTCACCTCAATAAGTTAGTTTTCTAATTCTCATCCTTTAAATAATGTTTAAAGATATTTCTGTTTCTTGATTTTTATTCTTTTTTATTACTTTATGTATTAAACATTCATTATCAGAACCAAAGTAAAACTTTCTAATACTGAGTCAAAAATTGATGTGTAAATAAGTATTTTCATTCCTGCAAAACAGACTGCTTCCCTCATAGTCCTCCTAGGTTTATGGGGGCTAGCTGGATAGCCTGCTTCCAGATTCTTCGCTTTCTAATCTACCTCTACCATACCCCAGAAATCGTGGAAAAATCCAAAGTCATTTCTTTAATTACTCCCAGTTGCAGTATTAGTCTTGCAGTAGATTATCAATCAGCTCACATGCCTCAGTGATTCATCGATTGCTTTCTGGCACACTGTCTGGAAAACTGATAATGATTTTTCTTTCTTTCAAAAGAGTGCAAGAAGAAAATCTTTCTTTTCTTTATTTTTGTAATATAGATTTATATCAGTAATGATTAAGTAAAGTGAAATAAAGTTATTTTTTAATTCAAAGCTAATGAAAATAGCAAGCCTTTTTAGAAAATTTAACCATTATTAGATAAACCTTATTATAAGAAAACTTACAGGGCCACTCTTGAAATGGATATTATATTATCAGCCTTTTTTTTTTTTTTTTTTTGGTAAAATTTTCCCACTTGTCTAATTACCTTTTGAAGGCAACAGTAAAATAGAGAAGAATGTTTTTGTAAGCTTCTCCCTTATGTCGTATGGCTACCTTTAGGTGCTGCAGGACAGCATAGTGTCTTAAATGAACCCACTGATTTTTCATGAATTTTTTTCCTGTGATCATGCAAATTTGCACCTTGTCTTTGACAGCAGAAATAAAATCATAAATCTGATTTTGCATATTTGCTCTAAGGTTGGCCCAGAGTAACAAAGCACAATCAAGACCATGGTATTTGAAATTTTTTAACTCCTAAAAATATATTCCATAGATGATATAATTTAATTATACTCCAAATGTTTTATCTAAAATGCATTTTCTGTCTTTTCCTTTTTACTCTTGTCCTCACTTTTAATGATCCATCGGCTGACAGTGTCTTTACATCCAAAATGCAAAGCAGACAAATGGGCATATCAGGGAAGAACATGACAAAAAGCACCAGCATCAGTGGAGACATGTGCTCACTGGAGAAGAATGATGGCAGCCAGTCTGACACTGCAGTGGGCACCTTGGGCACCAGTGGCAAAAAGCGGCGCTCTAGCCTTGGTGCCAAAATGGTAGCTATCGTTGGTCTGTCACGGAAAAGTCGCAGTGCTTCTCAGCTCAGCCAAACGGGTAGGAATTTCAATGTTACTTTTAACTTGATATTTGAGTTGTCATTACAAGATATATTTCTTTTCTCTTACTCATTTTATTGCAGTAATGTGTGGATGATGACATGTTCCAGAGGGAAAGGGCATTTTAAACTAGTTAACCTTTCTGAAATCAACAATGATGTTTTTTCCAGTGATCAATGAGCCTGCTTCCAAGTGAACCTTGGCCAGTGTTCTTAAAATGTAGATAATGTCTTTCCTCCTCAGGGAGGAGTTACGCTGTGACACCCAATTGCCAGCTGCTGATCCTTTGTAAAGATAATCTGAAATGGGGGATATTTGCTTTTCTTTAGGTTCCTCAAGTTGGAACCAGCTAAATTAATTTCCATTCCCAGCAAGATGCTGTGAAGATGACTTCTCATATTTTGTGTGAATAATACAGTTCTTGTTTTGCTGACAACCCAACTTCCTTTTCAGTTTGTAAGCAACATTTACCAGTAGTTATCAATTTTCTCACTGCAATTTTTATTTCCCTGTTAAAACTTCAAACAGCAATATTCTCCAGCAGCAGGGATGGAGGAATTTTCTGCTGACAGTGAAGATATTCAAAGCTTTGCTACTTTAAAATTCAGTTGCTAAATCACATCTGCAAAAATAAATTATATACAACACTCCTACTCAGAAAAGCCACTGTTAGCAATTAAGAAATTTGTGAATCAAAGCAATGTCTTTTTTCAAATGGGTGTAGATAATTAAACATTAAATCCTTGGTATCTTGGAAATAATAGCATATCTTCTACTTGACAAACAAATGCATGTAATATGGTGTTTCTTTTATAGCAAAATAAATTATAGGCAGCTGGATTAAATCTAATTTGTGTTTGACTACTAGGACTCTTGTACATAGAAGTCAGATATAAATCTACAGCACAAAAGAATTTAAGGTTACATTAATTCCTGGACCCGGCTAATCTTGATTTTTGCAAACCGTACTTGTGATTCTGGGAATTTAGTCTTATTTAACAATATTATATTGAAATAATTATTTGGTGGTATTTTTTATATTCTGGTTGTAACTAAAGATATTTAAAGTGATTTTTGTCATAGGATTTTTAATTTGGTGTTGTAAAATACTATTTTGCATTTTAATATATAAATAGAAGTTTAATTTATGGACAGTGGACATACAGATCATATTTTAATGATTTTTAAAATTGTTAGTATTTATACCTAATTAACTATGTTGTGCTAATATGATACATGTTGGCCTTTTGAAATTGAGGTTTTTTTATACTTCTCTAATAGAACTTCATTGCATGTTTTTCTTTAAAACTTACAAACATCTGTCAATCTAAAACTTCTCTAAAAAATAAAGTCTACTAATTTTTTTTAAATTAGGAACCTAAAATGGACGTTAGTAAGACTACAAGTTAGAAAATATATGAAACTAAATAATTAATTCCATTCACTCAGGGTTCTTATTTATAAGTATTGAACGCTTACCGTGTGCCAGACACATGAAGAAAAAAGATGAATAGGAAATCATTTATAACCCAAGTTGCTTACAGTCTAATAGAGGACAGATACTTAAACAGATTGCTTCAAGGTCATACGCCAGTGGTGAATCTAGAGTTACACAGATGGTACACTGGATGCTCAGAGGAAGGCCACTTGACTCAACCTGGAACTCCAGGAATGAATTCCTGGAGATGATGCCTCATCAGAGGTGTCATCTCAGTGACTCAAGTGGCTGCTAACTAGGTAAAAGACGATTAGAAAGGTGTTCTAGATAGAAACCGTAAGAAACAAGGCATAGATCCATGATATGTGCAGGAATGATAAACAGTTACATAATTTTAACATAAAATATTGGACTAAATAGCTAGAGATGAGGCTAGTAGATAAATAGAGACCAGGTCATAGAGCATCTCAGATCATAATTATAGATGATAGGAAGTTTTAAAAGGTTCTCAGTAGAGGATTGATATGGTCATATTTGTATGTACTTTATGTATAGTTTTTAGGCCATTCAGGCTGCCATTTGTTTATGTAACAAATAATTTTTGAGTACCTATCATTTGCCAGGGACTATCCTAAAGAAAACAGAAGACAGAAATCCTTCTTCTCTTGGAGCTTATATTCTAGTGGGGCTACAATAAAGAGGTAAACTTAAGTCCATACCTGGAAAAGAGCATTTAAGGATGAATTAACAGAGAAGTATGATAATTCAGACAAAAGATAAGATCCTGAGCTAAGCCAGCCGTAATAAAGATAGAGAGGGAATGATAGATTCAGGGAATTTTTAAAGAGCAAAATTAGTAGTCATTTACCTGATTAAGTGACTGATTGGATATGAGGAGGTGAAGGAGAGAAAATTCTAAGATGACTCCCATATTTCTGACTTGCATCACTGAGTGGATGGTAGTGCCATTAATGGATATTGGAAGTATAAGAGGAGTGGTTGCGGCATGGTGACTGATGCCTGTAATCCCAGCACTTTGGGAGGCCAAGGCAGGCAGATCACTTGAGGTCAGGAGTTTGAGACCAGCCTGGGCAACATGGCAAAACCCTATCTCTACAAAAAATACAAAAGTTAGCCCCTCATGATGACTTATGCCTGTAGTCCCAGCTACACTGGAGGCTGAGGCATGAGAATTGCTTCAACCCAGGAGACAGAGGTTACAGTGAGCCGAGATTGGCTGCTGCCCTCCAGCCTGGGTGACGGAGCGAGACTCTGTCCTGCACTCCCCCAACTCCAGAAAAAAAAAAAGAGATGTTGGGGAAAGAGGAAGAGGGATGAGTCTTTGATTTATGAAATTTTGAATTTGTGATATATGTGAAAATTTCCAAGTGGAAATGTCTAGAACATTTAAATAAACACTTTTGAAGCTTGTGTCAGAAGCAGGGACATAAATCTGAGAGTTACAAAGTTTAGGTAATACTTAAACTCATGAACGTGGCTGAAATTGCCCAAGAAGAATTATACAGATAAAACAGCAGTAGGCCAAGACAATGCCCTGTGGAAGATTAACATTTTAGAATTGCGCGGAGGAAGAGCCCAAGAAGAAGAAGAAGGAACAATCACAAAGAAAAGACCAAAATTATGAGAGGATAGTATCACAGAAATTAAGAGGGTAGAATATTCAAAAACAGAAGGGTCAGTATTTCTCAATAATCAATTTCATGTCTTTACATGTTTGGCACAACTGTCCCATATATCTTTCTTTGATTGTATTTGTATTACAAAATTATAGCTCTATTGACCATACATTGAGATTCTGTAACAACACTGATTTTCATGTATGAGTAGTTATAGGTTTTTGTCTCAAAAACATTGTGATGTTGGCAGATTTAAGAAATGTAGTCTTGTTTCTTGTTATATCATAAAGTTCCTTCCTATATATTACATAGCAAATGATAAAATCTCTTTGTCACTGTCTTCATTACTATTCAGTGACATTATAATGGGTACATTTTTAATTGTTCTTAAAATTTGCAGTTATTCATACCTACTCCCCTTAATAGATTTGACCTGCTGACAATAGAATTCAGATTATCTCTCATTTTAAAGCCCAAGTTTAACTGTAGCATAGCCAACAGAGATTGTTTTACAATTACTGGATTTCAAACTTCCAATGGGTTTCTCAGTTCTGTATTTGTGTGCATATGTATATGTGTTCAAAATAAGGTTTTAATTATGCTTTATTTTCTTAAGAAAAAAATGGAATCATAAGCTCCAAAAGTATTTGAAACAAATCTTCAAATTTCAGTATTTGAGCATATGATCTAGTAGCTTAGATATTAAATTATCAAAAGTCATTATCTACAATAATGAACTAGTTTTATAATGCTGGATCTTATAATAGCTTCTTTCTTCAGACATAAATATATAAGATGTATTGAGTAACTTGCCTGAAACAAAGAAATTCTTTGTGTGTTTTCAGCTATATGTTTGTATTTTCAAAGACTTGTTTAGTATTCTCTTTATTTTCCTGGTCTCTATGTGAAGATCTATATGTAATTAAGTTAAAGAGTCATCATGTGATGAATGATGTATCATAATGATTTCAATATTTTGAGATGGTATTTACTATTGTAAAAATAAATGTTATTGTACCACCATGGATTTCAAGATCAGACAAGACAACTTACCTCCCTTCTGAAGAGTAGAAACTCAGCAAAACGGGGTCTTCCTAAAGAATAGTGAAATGATTCTGGATGATATCACAGTAATTATATGTAAATAATAATTGGCAAAGGAGAAACCTTTTATAAAGGTATGTTGACCAACACACATAGAGGCTAAGTTATAACTCTCTTCTGTCACACTATTTGTATGTTCCATTGCCTGTTAATTGGAAACTCATCTTTTAAATCACTGTTTCTAAAGAATTGAGTATGACTTGATAGGCATCATAACCTAGTAGAGAGCATATAGAGGGAATAAGGAGACTTGAATTCTATTGCTTACTCTGGGTTATATATTAAATATGGACTCTTTAAAAACTTATCCAGCAGATCTGAGTCATAGTATGTCTATCTGACTGATGGAATTGACACGTGCTATCCTAACAGCATTTCTATAAAGATAATATTTTTAAATGTAAGAAAAGTACATTAAAATCACATGGTAGATATAAGACATCAGTAGCCAATTCAGCCTCATAGGGGAATCAAGAGTTCTGTTTTAGACATGATTTTGATTTTGAGATGTCCATTAGACATCTAAGTACAGTTATTACATGATTAAGTGCATAGATGAATTCAGAGCCCAGTAGATCAAAGCTAAGGATGTAATTTAGGAGTAATCCGCGGGTAGCATTTGAAGCCATAGAACTGGATAAGATTATATATGGTAACTTGAATCAAGAAGAAAACTAAAGACTGAGCCCTAAGACATTCTACCATTTAGAGGTCAGGAAGAAGAAGAAAATTCATCAGAGGCTTAAGAGAAGGCAACCATTAAAGGAAAAACAAAAAAAGGATATCTTAGAAACCAAATGAAGAAAATATTTTAAGAAGCAGGACATGATCAACTGTGTCAGGGACTCTGACAGGTCAAGTAAGATGAAGACTGATAATTTACCATTGAATTTGGCAAGATGGAGAAATTTGGTATACCTTGACAAACCTTGCAGTGGTGGACAAAGCCTGATGGGAGCATGTAAAGAAAACGAAGAGGTGAGTTAGAGTCAGTGAGAATAAAAATATGAACACCTAACACTTTTTAAGCACTTATTATGTGCTAGTCACAGTTCAAAGCATTTACATGTAAATCATTTAAACCTCACAACAAAGTTATGAAGGAGGAATGAGTTATTATCTCCATTCGATAGATGGGGGGAAAAAGTAGGGAGACAGGAAATAAATTCCCCAAATTTACCCAGCTAATGTCATGGGTGGAAGTTGGAATTTGAATCCAGACAATCTGGATCTGGATACTTCACTTTTAATTTTTCTGTTACAGTCTAGAATAGCACTGTTAAATAGAACTTTTGGCAGTGATGGCAATCTCCTACATCTGCCCTGTCCTGTACAATATGGTAGCGCTAGTCACATGTGGCCATTGAACACTTGAAATGTGGCTAGGGTAACTAAGTTAACTGGATTTTTAATTCCTTTACATTTTTAATTAAATTATTTTAAATTCAAATAGGCACATGCGACTAGTGATTACTGGATAGCACAGTTAAAAACAATTCTTTCTGGGATTTTTTAAAACAAATAAGAAATAGAAATTTTAAAATAGGACTATAACTTGAGGGAGAGAGAATCAAAGAAGAGCTTTGTTTTTTAAAAACAGGGACTTACTTGTGGGAACAATTGGGTAGGTGAGATCCAGAACTTAAGTGGAGATCATTGGTTGTAACCTGTGGTCACTCAGGCATCTGCGCTCTTTTCATCTTGTAATAATTTATAAGCTCACACAGTACTTTAAAGTAACTGTTGTTATAACATTTAGCAACTGTAATCATTTACTCATCTATCTCTTGCCTAAACTGTTTTTCTTGTTTAGTTTATCCTTCTCAGTTTCTAGTATTGTATCACATATGGTGATCCTCAATGAAAGGGCCATGAATTCCATGAGGCTACATGATACACTTCCCTGGGGAATGGAAAGAAATAGTAGAGTTTACTTTTTTTTTTAATCTAAAAAACAAAAAAGAAATTAAACTTTACAAATATTTAATATATGGCTTCACCTAGTATTCTCAGTCTAAATGCCAGAAGGTCTCATGCCTTTCTGGGGGTGTTAGTTTTTTTTGTTTTTTGTTGTTTTTGTTTTGTTTTGTTTTTTGAGATGGAGTCTCGCTCTGTCTCCCAGGCTGGGGTGCAGTAGTGCGATCTCACCTCACTGCAAGCTCCTCCTCCCGGGTTCACGCCATTCTCCTGCCTCAGCCTCCCAAGTAGCTGGGACTACAGGCGCCCGCCACCACGCCTGGCTAATTTTTTGTATTTTTAGTAGAGACAGGGTTTCACCGTGTTACCCAGGATGGTCTCGATCTCCTGACCTCGTGATCTGCCCGCCTCGGCCTCCCAAAGTGCTGGGATAACAGGCATGAGCCACCGCGCCCGGCCTTGCTTTTTTTTTTTTTTTTTTTTCTGAGACAGAGTCTTGCTCTGTCGCCCAGGCTGGAGTACAGTGGCGCGATCTCGGCTCACTGCAAGCTCCATCTCCCAGGTTCATGCCATTCTCCTGCCTCAGCCTCCCGAGTAGCTGGGATTACAGGCGCCCACCACCATGCCCGGCTAATTTTTTGTATTTTTAGTGGAGATGGGGTTTCACCGTGTTAGCCAGGGTGGTCTTGATCTCTTGACCTGGTGATCCACCCGCCTCGGCCTCCCAAAGTGCTGGGATTACAGGCATGAGCCACTGCGCCGGCCTTGGGGGTGTTAGTTTCAACTACACTAACAATGAGAAAATAGGAAAGTGGCTTAAAAAGATTCTTGCGATGAAACTGTGGTTTGAAGATGATACCAAGTTTGCAACTTTCACTCCTAGTTAAGCTCTTCATCAGCCCCCAATAAAGACACTATGACACTTTAAGATCTGACAAGAAGTTTACCAAAAAATTCTAAGTTATCAAAAAGATGAATAACATATGGATTTACATCTACTATTATTAACAAGAAACCTTACCCTAGGTTTATACTTTACATGGCCTATGGTGTGTCTTTGTGATGTTTCTTTTTCAACTATGACATAATTAAAACTAACTATGAGAAAACTGAATTTGGAAGCCAACCTTCAAAATACTGTATTTACCTAACATACATTACCTGCTGTAATATATACAAACCCTGAAAACTTAATACAAAAGTTCATTTATTCATCAAATATCAGTCCAATTTAGATATTTCCAGTAGGCAGTGGCCTTTTCTGTAGTCATCCAGGGCTCAAGACTTTTTTCATCTTGTGGGCTTTCCCTCTTAGAAGGCCTTAGAGCCCTCTCTCTTCAGCCACTACCTGGGAAGTTTTTACGGACAGGAATTGGAAATGGTAACATCACTTCTGCTTCTATTCCATTGGCTGCTTAGTCAGAAGGCTCATACTGGAAAATGGGACATTGGGAAATTTATAGCCTTAGAGAGTGCCCAGGAAAAAGAGCAAACAGGTTTGATAAGCAAACCACAATCTAATACTGCCACACAGCATTAAGCCACTGTTTTCAGAAATTATAAGGCACTTTACTTCAAATATGTTTCCTGAGAGCATAAGTCTTATTTTATTATTTAAAATAACTATTTGCAAATATTTATTGAATTTTAATCACCTTTAAAAATATCTGCATATATTTTATGTATTGTTAAAGTGTAGTAGAATATGTGCATCATTTATAAATAAATTTTTACAGAACTAGAAGTGAGATTTTTAGAGATTTATAACTACTGACCTAGTATGTAACAGTGCTAAGTGGATGTTTGCTAAGGAAACAGAGAAACTCAATTGCTGGCCAACTCACTGTAATCCTGGATCCATCCTTCCTAATGCTTATTTTTTTGAACAGCATTCAGACCAGGCATACAGAAAGTGACTTGATGTATGCCCTATTAATACACAAGCGTACATTAAATACAGTAATATCTGTGGAAACAAGTAATAAGAATGAAAGAGATGTTAAGTAATAGTATTATCTTTTCACATCATCACAAATCTCAAACTAACCCTATAGGATATGGCATGTTAATGTAGGATTCTAACAATGTGCCTTTACCACTAAATTTAGGCATATTTCTTGCCTTTAAAATTATAACAGTGTTTTAGCCCTTATAATATTATCCTTCATTATTTAAAAATATTGAATCATGCTACTGTATGTTATTTACTACAAGTGACTCAAGTATTGTAGATGAGGTAAACAAAACATTTTCTGTAAGTGAAAGCTGGTGTTAACATTATCATAAATTGTGTTAAGGTACTTATATAGCATCTAGGCTCGGCATGTAGCTAAGAAAGATAGTTTTATTGTTCTTGGAAACTAATTTAGCATTTCTTAAATTTGAATTGGATTTCATATTTTTCTTCTAAAAAACATATTTTTAAAATACTTTTAATTGTGGTAAAATACACGTGACATAAAGTTTACCTGTTAACCATTTTTAAGTGTACAGTTAAGTGCTTTTAAATATGTTCATTATGTTGTGCAACTATCACCACAATCCATCTCCACAACTCTTTTCAGTTGCAAAACTTAAACTATGTATCCATTAAGCAATAACTCTTCATTCTTCCCTCTTCCCAGCCCTTAGTAACCACCATTTTACTTTGTCTTTGTGAATTTGACTGCTCTAGATATTTCTACTCATCAGAATTTGCTTCTTTTTTAAGGCTGAATAATATTCCATTGTGTGTATGTACATGTATACACCACATTTTGTTTATCCATTCATCTGTCAGTAGGCACTTGGGTTCCTTCACCTTCTGGCTATTGTGAATAATGCTACTATGTATATGGGGGTACAAATATTTCTAACAGGCCCTCCTTTCAATTATTTTGGGGATATACCCAGAAGTGGAATTGCTGGATCATATGATAATTTAATTTTTGTTTTTTGAGGAACTGCCATACTGGTTTTCTAATTATTGTTATTATTATTATTATACTTTAAGTTCTAGGGTACATGTGCACAACGTGCAGGTTTGTTACATAGGTATACATGTGCCATGTTGGTTTGCTGCACCCATCAACTCGTCATTTACGTTAGATATTTCTCCTAACGCTATCCCTCCCCCAATAGGCCCCAGTGTATGATGTTCCCCTCCTTGTATCCATATGTTCTCATTGTTCAACTCCAACTTATGAGTGAGAACATGCAGTATTTGGTTTTCTGTCCTTGTGATATTTTGCTGAGAATGATGGTTTCCAGCTTCATCCATGTCCCTGCGAAGGACATGAACTCGTCCTTTTTTATGGCTGCATAGTATTCTGTGGTGTATATGTGCCACATTTTCTTTATCCAGTCTATTATTGATGGACCTTTGGGTTGGTTCCAAGTCTTTGCTATTGTGAATAGTGCCGCAATAAACATATGTGTGCGTGTGTCTTTATAGTAGCATGATTTATAATCCTTTGGGTATATACCCAGTAATGGGATTGCTGGGTCAAGAGGTATTTCTAATTCTAGATCCTTGAGGAATCGCCACACTGTCTTCCACAATGGTTGAACTAATTTACACTCCTACCAACAGTGTAAAAGCATTCCTATTTTTCCACATCCTCTCCAGCATCTGATATTTCCTGACTTTTTAATGATTGCCATTCTAACTGGAGTGAGATGGTATCTCTTTGTGGTTTTGATTTGCATTTCTCTGATGACCAGTGATGATGAGCATTTTTTCATGTGTCTGTTGGCTGCATAAATGTCTTCTTTTGAGAGGTGTCTGTTCATATCCTTTGCCCACTTTCTGATGGGGTTGTTTTTTTTCTTGTAAATTTGTTTAAGTTCTTTGTAGATTCTGGATATTAACCCTTTTTCAGATGGATAGATTGCAAAAATTTTCTCCCATTCTGTAGGTTGCCTGTTCACTCTGATGATAGTTTCTTTTGTTGTGCAGAAGCTCTTTAGTTTAATTAGATTCCATTTGTCTATTTTGCGTTTTGTTGCCATTGCTTTTAGTGTTTTAGTCATGAAGTCTTTGCCCATGCCTATATCCTGAATGGTATTGCCTAGGTTTTCTTCTAGGGTTTTTATGGTTTTAGGTCTTACATTTAAGTCTCTAATCCATCTTGAGTTAATTTTTGTATAAGGTGTAAGGGAGGGATCCAGTTTCAGCTTTCTACATATGGCTAGCCAGTTTTCCCAGCACCATTTATTAAATAAGGAATCCTTTCCCCATTGCTTGTTTTTGTCAGGTTTGTCAAAGATGAGATGGTTGTAGATGTGTGTTGTTAATTCTGAGGCCTCTATTCTGTTCCATTGGTCTATATATTTGTTTTGGTACCAGTACCATGCTGTTTTGGTTACTGTAGCCTTGTAGTATAGTTTGAAGTCAAGTAGCATTATGCCTCCAGCTTTGTTCTTTTTGCTTAGGATTATCGTGGCTATGCAGGCTCTTTTTTGGTTCCATATGAACTTTAAAGTAGTTTTTTCCAATTCTGTGAAGAAAGTCAGTGGCAGCTTGATGGGGATAGCATTGAACCTATAAATTACCTTGGGCAGGCCATACTGGTTTTCATAGCAGCTGTACAAGTTTATATTCCCACCAGTAGTGCACAAGAGTTCCAATTTCTTCAGATCCTTGCCAATACTTAATTTTTTTTGTGGGGGTGGTTTCTGATAATAGCCATTCTAATGAGTATGAGGGTGGTATCTCATTGTGGTTTGGATTTGCATTTCCCTAATGATTAGTGGTATTGAGCATCTTTTCATATGCTCATAGATCATTTGTTTATCTTCTTTAGAACACTGTTTATTGGAGACCTTTGCCCATTTCTTAATCAGGTTCCAGGGGGTTTTTGTTGAGTTAAAAATAAACTTTTTTAAAATAGAAAACTAGAAGCAGGTTTTTTCAATCTTAAGAGTCATCTGACTGGGCACGGTGGCTCATGCCTGGAATCCCAGCAATTTGGGAGGCCAAGGCGGGCCGATCAACTGAGGTCAGGAGTTCAAGAGCAGTCTAGCCAACATGGTGAAACCCCGTCTCTACTAAAAATACAAAAATTAGGTGGGCATGGTGGCTGGCACCTGTAATCCCAGCTACTTGGGAGGCTGAGGCGGGAGGATTACTTGAACCTGGAAGGCAGAGGTTGCAGTGAGCTGAGATGGTGCCACTGCACTCCAGCTTGGGTGACAGAACAAGACTCCATCTCAAAAAAAAAAAGAGTCATCTGTATATTAATAATAACATATATTATAACTTATTTGCATTTGTCCAAATCCCATCAGACTATAAATTTCTTGAGGGAAGGAGCTATATCTCATTCATTTTTACATCTCTGGTACCTAAGATAATAGTTGATATCCACAAAATACTCAGTATTTGTTAGAATGCATGTATGAATAAATGAGTGAACAAATGAATGAATAACAATTTAATCTCTTTAGAGAAGATAACTTAAAACTGTATTCCCCAAGGTATTAAACTGATATATTGATGTTTTGAAGCTATAAATGATCATATGGATATATGTCAAATGTTTCTTATTTATCATCTCATATTCTAGTGTTTCATTATTGTTTATGGAAATAAGTAGAACTCTTGAAAGCTTTTGTTAAGGAATATTTATATCTACAGCTACAAATGCAAATTATCTTGCGTTATCCCTTTCCAAACATGAAGGTTGCAGTCATAATCAAATTATTAATAATTTGCTAATGTATTCTTATGGTATTTTAATCATTTCCCTAAGTCAGTAATATTATTCATACATTTATTCATTAAATAAACATTTTTATCAACTACACTATTTGTAAGAATCATTTTAATGGATGCCATGAAAGACATAACTTGACAAAACATTGTCCCTACTACCTCATAGCTTCTATATTCTTAGGATCTTAAAATCTACTAGAGGAAATGAGTTGTCAGCTTGAGTAAACATAAAACAAGGTGGAACATCATGAGGATTAGCAAGATTCTGTAAGGGAGTGTGGCAGAATGAAGAAAACATAAATTTTAGAGTTCAAGCAGGCCTGAATTCAGGTCCCAATTCTGCCACCTGGGCAAGTTACTTCTCTCAATCTCCATTTTCTCAGCTGTAAAAATTATGGACTCTATCCTCCTACTCCATGAAGTTGTTATGAGCACTTATACTAAGCGCTTAAAACTTTGTCTAACATATACTAAGTTTCTATTAAATGACAGCTGTTATTAATATTATTGTTAACATAAGTTTAGCTGTTATCATTAATATTATTATTATATTGTCATTAATGTAATAGTGGAAATGATTCCTTCCAGCATTGTTGCCAGGGTACCAATTGATCTGAACCTTGAAGTATGGATAATGTTTAAATTGTGAAGATGCTGAGAATATGGCCTGGACATTTTGGACATGGGAAATATTAGACTCAGAAATATGGAAAGGTATCTTATGTATGAGCAGACAGAGAGTATTTGACACATAGTGATAAATGAGACTAGCAATAGAGATTGGGGCCAGATTACAAATCATGTTGGTTGAAGGAGTTAGAAACCTAGGGTTGGCAATAGGGATCTGTTGTAGAATTTCAAGCAGAGTCATGACAACGTAAATTAGAAACATTTTGTCAATAAGAAAGACTAGAGATCAAGAATAAGGGACAACTTTTTTTAGATTAGAGTAGAAATGATGAGGGCATGATCTATGGTGTATCAGTTTCCTATTGAGGCCGTAACCCATTATCATTAGCTTAGCAACTTAAAACAATGCACATTTACCATGCCATCCTAAGACTAGGTGAGCTCTACTGGCTTCTCTGCTCTGTGTCTCACAAGACCAAAATCAAGGTGTCATCCACGCTCGGATTTTATCTTAAGACTCAAGGCAAGACTCCATTTCCAAGGTCATTCAGTTGTTGGCGGAGCTCAGTGCCTTGTGGTTGTGGACCTCAGGTTCCCATTTTCCTGGACATATGACCTCCTTCATCTTCAAGCTAACAAAGACACATTGAATCTTTCTTGTGCATTTAATCTCTCTGACTATCCATTCTCCCTTATCCCTTCTGCCTTCCAGTCAGAGAAGTTTCCCTGCTTTTAAGGGCTTATGTAATTAGATTGGGCCCACTCAGGTGATCTAGGAAAATCTCCCTATTTTAAGGTTCATTACCTTAATTACATTTGAAAAGGTCCTTTTGCTATGTAATGTGGCATATTCCCAGAGTCCAGGGTGCAGTGCATGGACATCTTTGGGGGACCATTCTGTCTACCAGAAATGATAGTAATAGATGAAAAGGTAAGGAAATTCAAGAAATACTGTAGACATATTTTTGAAGTTATTATATGCATCCTGTATGCTTCCTGGGAGTCAATGCAAATAGAAATAAATGTTAACTTTCATAGCTTACCTTCTTTGACCAAAGAACACCCACAGTTATTAAGATTTAAGCTTTTTTTCTAATATAAAATTTAGAAGAATTTATCAGTCATTAAAAAATGTAATTAGCAATAGCATGAATTTGTTGTTTAATTTTCACAACTTGAGATGTAAATATTATCATTACCATTTTACAGAAATCTAAAATCAGAAAACTAAAATGCAGTTTCATGGTTGACAGATAAAGCTCTAAAGCTGGTATTCTTTATATGACCCCCATTATTGCTAACAGTGTATTTTTATAATTAGCTTTTTTCATATTATTAGGGGGGGAGATCTTTCTTTTCAAAATAAAAATTCCTCAGGAAAGTACTTCTAATTTAATATAAGCTTTATTTAACTGGACATATTTTAAGATGTAAATAGCCAACAGGCATTGTCCAGGTTAGTAATCAGTAAAGTCCTGGTAACTGTAAATAAACCATAAAGAATTTAATTCTGAGCCAAGAAATACATACAAGAAAAAGAAGTCTTTAATTTCATTAAAATTTATAAGTGCCTTAAGGTTTTTGAGCATCAGAGTATAAACAGAAATGCAATTTTAAGGCCATTTTAAATGAAATCCCCATACACTCTGAATTGGTATATGGAGCTGCTGAATGCTATTTACTCAATTGAGTCCTGTCCGTGTTACCTACTAGAAAGACTTCCAAAGACACAGTTGCAGTTATTTGATAGAAACATCATAAAATCCTAGCTAAGCAGTAATGATACTAGGAGCAATGATATCAGGAGTATGGAAAAAGATAAGACTGTTGGCTCATTGTCCCCTTGGGCTTTGAAAACTGTCTGGCATTGCAGACTTTATAGAATGAAAAACACTAAGATGAATCCATCTTCCCTTTGATGCAGCTCTAAGTGGACAAATTCTTCTAATATTATTCTAGGATGAAGTATTTTTTTAACTGACACTCTATTATTCACTGCCATATAAACTTTTAGTATAACAGTATATTATTATTCAGTAAATATTTATTGAACTTCCACTGAGTGACAAACAATATGGTATGTGCCAACTATTGTCCTCCTCATATGGTATCTGTTCCAGTGGGAAAGACAGGCCTTAACAAATAAATAAAGTAATAATTAGTCAACATTACGAAGCTTGCCTTGATGAAAAGTTCCAATGATATACGAGTTTATTGCAGAGGATACTAACCTACTATGGCTCATCTTTCTGTCCACAAAGACAAATGACCTTTTGATTTAAAATCAACCGTGTAGGATCTGAATTTGTATACTGTGCATACAATGAGGAAGAGAGGCAGTAGTTTCTAATGTAACCTAGGATATGCTTGGGACTGATACAGTGGAAAAGTGGAATCTAGTGTATTTCTCTTAGGCATTAAAGTTTGGTGCTGACATAAGAATGTAATTTCTGTAGCTTTTATTCCAAAGATGTAAAAGGGTGGTTTTGGTTTTGATCTTGTAATGTGAGGAATTTATTGCTTTTTACTTGAAATTTCATAATTGCTTAGAAAGTGAGAATAGGATGAGAGCTGGTACAGAAGTATGAGTTGAGATGGGGAAATGTTCTGATGAGGAAACTGATGGTGAGGCAACATGTAATACAGAAGTATAAGAAAGAATAGGAAGAATACCACAGAGACCCTCCAGGAAAGGCACTGTGCTCATTAACTGAGGTATTGAGGAATTTTACTTCACCACCTTTCAGCCAAATCCTCCTTTCCAAAGGAAATATCGTAGCCCAAAGGTAGGGGAACAGCGGCCACCCACCTTTATCAAATCCTTTCCAGTCCCATTGACATTTGAAGTATCTCAATTTCTTGTCTCTTTTTGTCTTCCTCTTCCTACTGCCAGCAGTCATTTTATCCTGGAATTATCTTTCCTGTGTGAAAGGAAAGATAAATGACCAAAGTTTTCTGACTTGCCATCAGTCAGAATTCCTCTTCATTTAACCTGTCAGTTGTGAAATTATCTTACTGGAAGCACTAGTTTGATAAAGTTCTGCTTCAACACATTAAAATAGATTTCTGTTTTACAAAAAAACACAGATTATTTAAGAAATCTGCATTCATTTGATTTATTTCATTTGGAAAGTTTTTTCCAAAAAAATAAGGACAAAAATGTTTTTTACACAAGTGAAAATACTTGTGTTTTAAAAATAAAAATCATAAATTTAGTTAATGAACAATGAAAGATATGCCATTTCAACTATTCACAATAGCAAACACATGAAATCAACCCAAATGTCCACCAATGATAGACTGGATAAAGAAAATGTGGTACATATATACCATGGAATATTATGCAGCCACAAAAAAGAATGAGATTATGTTCTTTTCAGGGATGTGGATGGAGCTGGAGGCCACTATCCTTAGCAAACTAATGCAGGAACAGAAAACCAAATACCACATGTTCTTACTTATAAGTGGAAGGTAAATGATGAGGACTCATGGACACATAGAGGGGAACAACACACACTGGGGTGTGTCAGAGGGCAGAGGTTGGGAGGTGGGAGAGAAGCAGGAAATGTAACTAATGGGTACTAGGCTTAATACCTGGGTGATGAAATAATCTGTACAACCAACCCCCATGACACATGTTTACCTATGTAACAAACCTGCAAATCCTGTATATGTACCCCTGAACTTAAAATACAAGTTAAAAAAAAGAGATGGCATTTCATATAACTAAATACATATGACTATATGTTTGAAAGTTCACTTCTTATTTTTAACCGAAATGGTAAACTGGAGTTTATTTCCTTTCTCAAGGAAGGATAATATTCTTTTCTTCCAAATTTTACAGTACAGTGCACAATTTTAAAGCAATACAGGATCCTCTTTAAACTGTGTTCTAGAATTAATCCCACTAACTGTCGAATCTTTTTGTTTTATGTTTGATTGTGATGAACACCAAGTGGTGTGCATTATTTGTATATTTGAGTACACTTTCATATATTTATGAATTAGCCTTCTTATTCTGAGTTATCCAATCTCAATCACAATAAAATTCCCTCACAGGTTTACATACTGGATTATTCCTCTTTTTAATCATTTTAAGTACATTTATTATTCCTTAGACCTACTTCTTAGATGTGTATTTATTTTGCATTTATCTTAATGTGTAGAAACTTAGCGGGAAAAATTGTAAAATGTCATATAAATATACTTTTTTCTGTTTTTTTTTAATGGAATATTCGTGTGTGTCAGTGAAACCTTATGCTGTCTCTGTACCTCATTTTGAATAAGAGAACTATGTAAATTCATTTAGTTTTAATCTGCTGTATCTTTTTGGTCCTTTATGATTGTTCCATCAGTCTTTATCTGTCCTTGCTATCAACTGCTTTTTTTTTTCTTAAAATAGTCCACTTTAAGTTTTATCCTGTTTTTCAGTGAAACATTTAAATATACTAAGGTTAGTTTAGATTCCATTTTTATCAAATATTGCTTAAAATTTTAAATAGAATATCAGACTAGCACTAAGCACTTAGATTTTTTAAAAGTATACAAATTTCTAAATATCCATTCAATTATGATTAACTGTGTTTCTAATAAAGAAAAATGGTGTCGTGCAGGCACTATGGAAAATTTAAAAATTACACAAATTACATAAAAGTTAAACAAATCATAGACCTACTCTCAGAAAGCTTAAATTCTATTAGGGAAGAGATGTTAGATAGCCTATCAGTGCACAAAATGCTATAAGATTTCAGAAAGATCACTTCTCACTGGAGTGGTATTTTGGATTTCTTTTTTTTTTTTTTTTTTTTTTTTTGAGACAGAGTCTCGCTCTGTCGCCCAGGCTGGAGTGCAGTGGCGTGATCTCGGCTCACTGCAAGCTCCGCCTCCCGGGTTCACGCCATTCTCCTGCCTCAGCCTCCCGAGTAGCTGGGACTACAGGCGCCCGCCACCACGCCCGGCTAATTTTTTGTATTTTTAGTAGAGGCGGGGTTTCACTGTGTTAGCCAGGATGGTCTCGATCTCCTGACCTCATGATCCGCCCGCCTCTGCCTCCCAAAGTGCTGGGATTACAGGCTTGAGCCACCGGGCCCGGCCTGGATGACTTCTTGAAGGTTTGTAATTTGAGCCAGACTTCAAAGAATAAGTCATATTTCAATGAAATGAGATAGGAATGCATGTCAAGCATAGGGAGCTTCAGAAGTGTAGAGTAAGTTCAGAAAAAACATTTAGTATGCAGCAGAGAAAGATAAATGATCTAATTTGACTAAAGTATTCATTTCCAAACTTTTTATTTAAGCAAATGGAACCCATTTAACTTTTCGAAGCACAGGACAATACAATCTCTAAGGGTGTCCTTAGAGCATACTCAAGGAACTAAAACTATATTCAAGACCTCAAGCATAGAGTATAAGAGATAGAGTTATAAATATAAGGTAGAGTTACACAGTTTTATATTTATAACTGTATAAATATTTATATTTATATATAAATATACTCTATAAATATATCCCAACCTTCCCTTCTGAATCCCCAAAGTCCATTATATCATTCTTATGCCTTTGCATCCTCATAGCTTAGCTCCCACTTAAAAGTGAGAACATACAATATTTGGTTTTTCATTCTTGAGTTACTTCACTTAGAATGATGGCCTCCAGCTCCGTTGAAGTTACTGCACAAGACATTATTTCATTCCGTTTTATGGCTGAGCAGTATTCCATGGTGTGTATATGCCACATTTATCTACTCATTGGTTGATGGGCACTTAGATTTGTTCCATATCTTTGCCATTGCAAATTGTGCTGATATAAACACCTGTGCATGTATCTTTTTCATATAATGACTTATTTTCCTTTGGGTGGATACCCAGTAGTGGGATTGCTGGATCAAATGGTAATTCTGCTTTTAGTTCTTTAAGTAATCTCCATACTGTTTTCCATAGTGATTGTAGTAATTTACATTCCCACCAGCAGTGTAAACAGAGTTTCTGTTTCTTCCTGATTTAAACTAGGAGGGTTGCATATTTCCAGGAATTTACCCATCTCCTCCAGCCACATCCATGCCAACATATATTGTTTATTGACTTTTTAATTATGGCCACTCTTGCAGGAGTAAGTGGGTATCTCATTGTGGTTTTAATTTGCATTTTCCTGACAATTAGTGATGTTGAGCATTTTTTCATATGTTTGCTGGCTATTTGTATATCCTTTTTTGATAATTGTCTATGTTTTCTGACCACTTTTTGCTTGGATTATTTGTTTTTTTCTTGCTGATTTGTTTGAGCTCTGTGTAGAGTCTGGATATTAGTCCTTTGTCAGATGCAAAATTCGCGAATATTTTCTCCCATTCTGTGGGTTGTCTATTTACCCTGCTGATTATTTCTTTTGCTATACAGAAGCTTTTTAGTTTAACTGGGTCCCACCTATTTATCTCTGTTTTTGTTGCATTTGCTTTTGGAGTTTTAGTCATGAATTCTTTGCTTAAGCCAATGTCTGGAAGAGTTTTTCCAGTGTTGTGTTCTAGAGTTTTTATGGTTTCAGATCTTAGATTTAAGTCTTTGATCTTGCATTGAGTTTTATATAAGGTGAGAGGACCCAGTTTTATTCTTCTGTATGTGGCTTGCCAGTTTTTCCAGCACCATTTATTGAATAGGGTGTTCTTTTCCCAATTTATGTTTTTGTTTGTTTTGTTGAAGATTAGTTGGCTATAAGTATTTGGCTTTATTCCTGGGTTCTCTATTCTATTCCATTGGTTTAGGTGCCTATTTTTATGCCAGTAACATGTTGTTTTGGTAACTATAGCCTTGTAGTATAATTTGAAGTTGTGTAATGTGATGCCTCCAGATTTGTTCTTTTTTCTTAGTATTGCTTTGGCTATGCAGTCTCTTTTTTGGTTCCATATAAATTTTAGGATTTTTTTCTAGCTCTGTGAAGAATGATGATGTTATTTTGATGAGAATTGCATTAAATCTGTAGATTGCTTTGGGCAGTATGGTCATTTTCACAATATTAATTCTACCCATTCATGAGCATGGGTTGTGTTTCCATTTGTTTGTGTCATCTGTGATTTTTCAGGAGCGTTTTGTAGTTTTCCTTGTAGAGATCTTTCACTTCCTTGGTTAAGTATATTCCTAAGTATTTTATTTTCTTTTTGCAGCTCTTGTAAAAGGGATTGGGTTGTTCATTTGATTTTCAGCTTGGTTGTCATTGGTGTGTAGCAGTGTTACTAATTTGAGTACCTTGATTTTGTATCCTGAGACTTTCTTGAATTTGTTTATCAGATCTAGGAGCTTTTTGGATGAGTCTTTAGGGTTTTCAGGGTATACGATCATATCAGCGACAGTTTGACTTCCTCTTTTCCAATTCAAATGCCCTTTATTTCTTTCATCTGCTCTCGCTAGCACTTCCAGTACTATGTTGAATAGAAGTGGTGAAAGTGGGCATCCTTGTCTTGTTCCAGTTCTCAAGGGGAATGCTTTCAACTTTTCCACGTTCAGTATGATGTTGGCTGTGGGTTTGTCATAGATGGCTTTTATTATTTTGAGGTATGTCACTTTTATGCCAACTGTGTTGAGGGTTTTTATCATAAAGGGATGTTGGATTTTATCAAATGCTTTTTCTGCATCTATTGAGATGATCGTATAATTTTTGTTTTTAATTATTTTTATGTGATGTGTCACATTTATTGACTTGTGTATGTTAAACCATCCCTGCATCCCCGTTATGAAACCCACTCGATCGTAGTGTATTATCTTTTTGATATGCTGTTGGATTTGGTCAGCTAGTATTTTGTTGATGATTTTTGCATTTATTAAATATGTTCATTATGGATATTGGTCTGTAGTTTTCTTTTTTTTGTTAAGTCCTTTCCTGGTTTTGGTGTTAGGGTGATACTAGCTTCATAGAATGACTTAGGGAGGACTTCCTCTTTCTCTGTCTTTTGGAATAGTTTCAGCAGGATTGGTACCAATTTGTCTTTGAATGTCTGATAGAATTCAGCTGTGACTCCATCAGTCCTGGACTTTTTTTGTTGTTGGCTATATATATATATATATATATATATATATATATATAAAACAGATTCAATCTCATTACTTGTTATTAGTCTGTTTAGAGTTTCTGTCTCTTCCTATTTAAACTAGGAGGGTTGCATATTTCCAGGAATTTACCCATCTCCTCCAGATTTTCTAGTTTGTGTGTGGAAAGGTGTTCATAGTAGCCTTCAGTAATCTTTAGTATTTCTGTGGTATCGGCTGTAATATCTCCAGTTTCATTTCTAATTGAGCTTATTTGGATCTTTTCTCTTCTTTTCTTGGTTATTCTCGCTAATGGTCTATCAATTTTATCTTTTCAAAGAACCAGCTTTTTGTTTTATTTATCTTTTGTATTTTTTTGTTTCAGTTTCACTTAGGTCTGCTCTGATGTTTGTTATTTATTTTCTTCTACTGGGTTTGGGTTTAGTTTGTTCTTGTTTCTCTAGTTCCTTGAGGTGTGACATTAGGTTGTCTATTTGTGCTCTTTCAGACTTTTTGAAGTAAGCATTTAACACAATGAACTTTCCTCTTATCACTGCTTTTGCCAGAGGTTTTGATAAGTTGTGTCATTATTATCATTAATTTCAAGGAATTTTTTAATTTCCATCTTAATTGTTAACCCAAAAATGATTCAAGAGCAGATTATTTAATTTCCATGTATTTGTATAGTTTTGAGTGTTCCTTTTGGAGTTGATTTCCAGTTTTATTCCACTCTCATCTGAGAAGATACTTGATATGATTTCAATTTTCATAAATGTATTGAGACTTGTTTTGTGGCCTATCATGTTGTCTATCTTGGAGAATGTTCCATGTACTGATGAGAAGAATGTATATTCTCCAATTGTTGGGAAACATTTTCTGTAAATATCTGTTAAGTTCGTTTGTTCTATGGTTTAGTTTAAGTCCATTTTTTTGTTGTTGTTGACTTTCCGTCTTGAGGATCTGTCTAGTGCTGTCACTGGAGAATTGGAGTGACCGCCTATTATTGTGTTGCTATCTATCTCATTTCCTAGGTCTGGGAGTAATTGTTTGATAAATTTGGGATCTCCAGCATTAGGTGCATATAAATTTAGGATTATAATATCTTCCTGTTGAACTAATCCATTTATCATTATATAACATGGTTCTTGTCTTTTTTTACTATAAGTATGATTTGTCTGATGTAAGAATAGCTACACCTGCTCACTTTTGGTTTCCATTCTTGTGAAACATCTTTTTCCACCTCTTTACCTTAAGTTTATGAGAGTGCTTATGTGTTAGGTGAGTTTCTTAAAGATAGCAAGTATTTGGTTGGTGGTTTTTTATCCATTCTACCATTCTGTATCTTTTAAGTAGAGCCTTTAGGCCAGTTACATTCAACATTAATACTGAGATATGATGTACTATTCTATTCATCATATTAGCTGTTACCTAGATACTTTTTTTTCAATGTGTTATTGTTTTATAGGTCCTGTGAGATTTATGATTTAAGGAAGTTCTCTTTTGGTGTATGCTGAGGTTTTGTTTCAATGTTTAGAACTCCTCTTAGCATTTCTTGTCGTGCTAGTTTGACAGCAGCAAATCCCCTCAAGATTTGTCTGAAAAAGACTTTATCGCTCCTTCATTAATGAAGCTTAGTTTTGCTGGATAGAAAATTTTTGGCTGACAGTTATTTTGTTTAAGGAGGCCAAAGATAGGACCCCAATCCCTTCTGCCTTGTAAATTTTCTGCTGAGAAGTCTGCTGTTAGTCTGATAGGTTTTCCTTTATAGGTTACCTGATGCTTTTAAAATTATTTCCTTCATCTTAACTTTAGGTAGCCTGATGACTATGTGCCTTGGTGGTGATCTTTTGCAATGAATTTTCCCAGAAGTTCTTGGAGCTTTTTGTATTTAGATGTCCAGATCTCTAGCAAGGCCAAGGAAGTTTTCCTCAACTATTACCTGAAATAAATTTTCCAAACTTTTAGACTTCATTTCTCCCTCAGGAATACTAATTATTCTTAGGCTTAGCTGTTTTACATAATCCCATTTTTTTTTGGAGACTTTGTTCATATTTCTATTCTTTTTTCTTTGTCTTTGTCTGATTGGATTAATTCAAAAGCCTTGTCTTTGAGCTCTGGAATTCTTTTTTCTACTTGTTCTATTGCTGAAACTTTCCACTGCATTTTGTATTTCCCTAAGTGTGTCTTTTATATCCAGAAGTTCTGATTGATTTTTTTTGTTATATATATATATCTCTCTCTGGAAAATTTTTCATTTGTATCCTGGATTTTTAAAAAATTTCTTTAATTTTGTTTTCACATTTCTGTTATCTCTTTGAGTAGCTTAATCATCAACCTTCTGAATTTTTTATCTGGCATTTCAGAGATTTCATTTTGGTTTGGATCCATTACAGGGGAGCGAGTATGATCTTTTGGTGGTGTTATAAAACCCTGTTTTCTCATATTACCAGAATCACTTTTATGGTTCCCATTCATTTGGGTAAACTATTTCTTGAAATTGTTCTTGAATTTATTTTCTACTGGACTGTGTTTTTTAAATTTCTTTTGTTCCCCTCTTAAGGATAAGACTTTAATGTTTATTGTTTATTATAGCCTAATTTGATTCTCGGATATTTTATGTGATGCCTCTGGATGAGTTCCTTAGTTATAGAGTCTTTGTGTGTTGGCTTTCCCAAATGCTGCTTGTAGTAGTTTGGTACTTGTTGTGTGGGCAAGTTCACTGTCTCCCATGGGGTTGGAATGGCAGGAATCTCTTGAAGCTTATCTCATTTTCTCATGGTATATACTTTATGTACTTAATTTTTCTTCAATGTTTTATTTACTGAGTTGATGATTCAGGCTTCAGGCCAATAGGGGAGATATCCCTTAGGTAGGCAATCATTGTAGCTAAAGCATGTGGGTAGATGTAATACCCAATGGTAGACAGAGGTCCCAGCCTTGATGAAGGTAGCTGGAGGAGCTCTCAGTTAGGGCATCATCTAATTTAATTCTTAATAAATGTTAGCTTTTAAGATGTGAAGAAGTCTGGATCATCAGGACTTAAAGAGGAAATACATGGTAGAAATGGGAGGTACCAACTGTAAAGAAACAAAAAAAAAGCTCTAGTTTTGGGGCTGGCAAAGTATGGGCTACAAGCCAAACTTAACCTGCTACTTTTATGTTTGGTTGGGATTTTTGCTTGATAAATAATTTTTATTTGATAAATAAAGTTTGTCAGAACACGGCCAAGTTCATTTGTTAATGTATATTGTCTGTGTTTACTTTTGTGCTCCAGTGGCTGAGATGAGTAGTATCTGAGCATCTGTGGATCAGGGAAACCACATGATCCACAAAGCCTAAAATATTTGCCATATGGCCCTTAACAGAAAAAGTTTGCCTGTCTATTCTAGTTGATGCTTTTGGATATTCAAACATTTATACCTCAAAATGAGAGAAATCATTTTGTGTTGGAGCATAAATGGAAGAGAATATTGAAGATGTAGAAGAGGATATGACTAAGTGTGGAAATAGATTCCCAAACATCTTCTTGGATAATTTTAAAATCTCAAAATATAAGAAAGAACTTTAAATGTCACTTAGTCCAGCCAGTATTCCACCTCATACTTAATTTTCAGTTCTTTCCAAACTCCAAAAGGAGTTCTGTACTCTAGCTACGTGAATTACATGAAGATTGCCCAGTCAAGAAGTTTGGCTCCATTGTTGTGAAAGAGTGGCGTTTTCCACTAAAATAGCCTTGAAATGTTACCAGTGTCCATACATTTGCTATCTAGCACATTTTTTGTAGTCTCTGCATAAAATTACAATTTTCCTGCTTACTACATCTGCTTTTGGTGCATTTAACAATGCCTCCTCTCATTTTTGGTCTTTTATTTTTTGATCAATGTAAGTGTTTAAGACTATGAAACAAGTGTAACAAATTTAATACTCATACGTTAAAGAAAAATTGTTTAAAATGAGTATTCATTTTCATTTTTCTACTTAATTCAGAATGCTATTGGAAGACTCTTGTTTCATACCTGTTACCTAGAATTAATCTTTCTGGGTTTTGGCATTCTTCAAGAAAAATGACACGAGTAGGCAGTTAGGATGTGCTGCTTCCTGATCTGTGCAGTTTGGGAAGTTCTGCCCTTTGTGGATAATTATAGGATAACAATGACTCTATTATTTATTTTAATGAACACCAGATTATTTTATTGAAGTAATCTTTAATTTTTTTACTATGGTTTTGATCATGAGAGTTTCCATAATGTTATGAAACATTTTTTATAGAACAAAGAAAAAAGTTATAAGCTATTGCTTTCTTAAAATATTTACTACCTTAGCTCTTCTGATTTTTTTTTTTTTTTTTTTTTTTTTTTTTTTTTGAGATGGAGTCTCGCTCTGTCGCCCAGGCTGGAGTGCAGTGGTGCGATCCTGGCTCACTGCAAGCTCCACCTCCCGGGTTCACGCCATTCTCCTGCTTCAGCCTCCCGAGTAGCTGGGACTACAGGCACCCGCCACCATGCCTGGCTAATTTTTTGTATTTTTAGTAGAGACGGGGTTTCACAGTGTTAGCCAGGCTCTTCTGATTTTTAAAATTAAATCTGATTCTAGGACTTAAGAGTTTCATGGTCTAGAAGTAATGGGTAATGTTAAAGGATTTATTTATTTATTTATTTATTTATTTATTTATTTATTTATGTAGAGACAGAGTTTCTCTCGTCACCCAGGCTGGAGAGCAATGGCATGATCTCGGCCCACTGCAATCTCTGCCTCCTTGGTTCAAGCAATTCTCCTGCCCTAGCCTCCCAAGTAGTTGGGATTACAGGTGCCTGCCACCACGCCCAGCTAATTTTTGTACTTTTAGTAGAGATGGGGTTTCACCATGTTGGCCAGGCTGGTCTGGAACTCCTGACCTCAGGTGATCCATCCGCTTCAGCCTCCCAAAGTGCAGGGATTACAGGCGTGAGCCGCTGCACCCGGCCCTAAAGGATCATTTTAACCATTACTAAAGAAGTTTAGGAAAAGGAAATAGAAGTGAAATTTAAATCAGGCTCTTAGACTAGTTAATAGGTTTCTTGACATATTTTGTTGTTGGGGTGGAGGTTAAATGGCAAGCTGAAAGATTCTGGGCTTAAAAGGCACAAAGAGCTAAAAAAAAATAAGTTTGGGAGTAATGACAATATATTACCTTCTTAATATTGGTTTACTGGCATATTCATTTAGAAGAAAATGCATTATTTCTTAAGCCAAATAACAAAGAGACAGGAGAAGCAGGAGAAGTGATAGTCATTTATTTGAACATCAGCTGTGTTCTTGGTACTTTGCAAAGCACTTTCTAGTTTATTAACTTTTTTAAACCCCACAGTTGCTCTTTACAGTAGGTATTACGATTCTTGATTTTACTTCTTATATGAGGAAACTAAAGAAGCAACAGAAAGAAAGGTGTTGCGGGGAAGAAGGTAGGAAAAGAAACAATAAATGATTTTGAGTTAAGTCCTGTTCAAAATTGTGAAGCTGGAGAATTTTCTGATATTCTCCACTTTCTGTTCTCTTTGAATAGGGCTCCCTTCCTTTCAATACCTGATCCCTATTAAAGTGTTTTCAGATTCTTTCACCCTTTTTATTTTCTCAGGAACTAATTGGCTAATACATTTCCATTAAGATACAGAATGGTTAAAATGCTTAAGTACTCTCTACAAGTATTTGAAAAGTCTTAAGCCAAAATAGTGAATTTGTAATGGAGATTTTAGTCATTGACAAGTAGAGAGAAAAGTCTGTAGAGACAGAGAGTTTTCCTGTATCTCCAAAATCACCTCTATGATGAATACATACTCTTCTTTCTTGTACATACACCAAGTGCACCTTTGAAGAGCTGCCATTTTCGTTAAGCCAAAAGATGTGTTATCTGCTAAAATATAATTGTTTTAGCATAAAAACTTTCCAACAAGTTTTTTTTTCAGAAATATCTGTCATTTATTTCCTACACCTCAGGATCTTTACTTTCTTTCTTTTTTTAAATTTCCTGTTAACTTTAAAAAATTTTTTTGTGTATATATTTTTATTGTAGGTGTATATATTTGTGGGGTACTCGAGGTATTTATTTTGATACAGGCATATAATATGTAACAATCATATCAGGGTAAATGGGGTCTCTATCCCCTCAAGCATTTATCCTTTTATTGTGTTACAATCAAATTATACTCAGTTATTTTAAAATGTATAATAAATTATTGCTGACTGTAATCACTCTGTTGTGCTAGCAAATACTAAATCTTATTCATTCTGTTTTTGTACCCATTAACTGTCCCCACTTCCCTTTTCAACAGCTTTTAAGTTGCAATAAGAAACACAATGACTTCTCCAGTTACATTACTGAATAATGAATCCCCAAACCACATTGAAACTTACTCATAAAGGTGGATTTTGAAGAACAGAGACTAAAAGAGAAAGAACAAGTAAAGAAAAGTGTATCATGATGAGTCATATAAAGCTTTCACACCTTAGAGGAATTCTTTCTGTAAAAATTGAAGAAGCATCACCAAACGGGCCCAGTAATCTCTAAAGATGCAGGTTGTCACAGTTTCTAGAGGTGGCCAGTCACTGATGTATGCTCTCTTCTTGCATTTTTTCTTTTCCTCAAAGACTGAAAAGAACTGAGACAAGCTGTATAATTCTCTTCATGTTAGGACATGCTATATAGTAGGATGTGGCTATGTCCGAAACTAGTCCTACCCAACTTCTCAGGATGGCACATTCATATTCTCATTCTCTCTCTCTGTGTTTCTCTATCTGCAGTGCTGTCTGAAGCAGGAATTATAACAATCTCGAGTTCCTCACACCATTGTTTCACAGTTTTATATCTGTAATTCTAACTTGCTTATACCTGTGCTACCTTTCATTGCCACATATCTGGCAATATGTGCTCCCTTACTTCTTGTTTCTTGGCTAATACTGATACAGCTTTGCCTGTATCTCCAGCTGTGGCTTTTTTCCTGTCTTCCATTTGGACCTCATCAAAATAAGTAAGATAATTGGTAGATTCCCTAAGCATTTCCCTTTTGGTTGTAAAAACAAGCTGAATCGGGAACAACCTAGAAACCTTCTCTGACTGTATTATAAGCTGGACCACCTACCACTATCAACATCATCATACTCCATTACAGCATTACTGGCCTGGCATCAAATCATAGTGGGCATGGTTCCATTCTCTCAGGCTTGAATCCTGGTCCTTAAACTATTGGTTTATTTATTCTGTCCTTGCTGTGAAGTTATAGTAACCATAGTAACAATACAGCATCTTCATAGCTTTGGAGAGTCAAGCTAAGCCGTTTTATAATGAAGAAAAGATATTTAAACATTATATGCTAATGAAAATGATTCATATAATTATATATGAATATATAATCATATATTTTCATATCATTATATATGAATATATAATCATATATTTTCATATCATTATATATGATAGTGAAAGAAAAAATGAAACATAAATAATTGAATGACAGCCATATTTTTTCCACGAGGCCTTCTCAATACTTCTGTAAGCTACAGAAGTTATGAACTTGTATCTGAAGGATATAAACAGCACATGGTTTTATGTACTACTCCTATTTTATCATTAGCAGCCTTTCAAAATAGTTGCTGACTAAAAGCAGTATGGTTATTTGACATATGTAAGAAAGTGACAAATTCAACAAGTGAATTTGTATTGAAATACGGAAGGTCAGCAGACACGTGTATAGATCACATCAATGGGTTAATCAACTCATAGATATGTTTAAATATGTTTCATATGTTTATAACTAACTATAATTATGGTTAATAATATAATGTATTTCGTTTGCATATAAAGGAGGTAACCACAGTTCTTAAAACTTGAATTACTTTTCTCTGTGAAATAAGACAGGTAGTAAGAACATTTTGTGGATGTGAAACTGAAGCAACATATTAAGTGACTTTCTCAAGGTTTCAGAGTAATATTAATTATGAAATAAAGACAAAAGTTAGTTCATTGTTTAATAGTGTGGTGATGGTGCCTTTGTAGTAGGAAAATTTCTTTTTAAATTTATGGCTATATTCTATATAACAGCTATTTCCATAGGGACTACATTAGGATGGCAAATTTATGTACTTCATATGTAATATTTTTACTTTTTACTGAACTGAGCTGACTGCTTGTTTAATAAGATCTCACACATTTATGCCCAATTTCTAGCTTTTACATGTTAATCAATATGAAGTGCTACTGAAAAATTTTCATAACATAAACAATTACAAAAGTAAAATAAATTTAAACGCTTAAATGTGATCTCTTCAAATCGATCACATAGGCAAAGAAGGAATAATCACATATTGGATTCCTAGATATAAGATAATCTGCTATTTTCAAATGATCATATAAGAAAAACACAAGTAAACAAATTGTAATTCACTGCTAACTACATAGATATAGACTATAAGTAACTCTATTGGCTATATATTGTCCGACTGTAGGCCACCTGAGGACAGAGACCATATTTATTTTTTTACTGTAAAATGCTGGCCTCGGTGTCTATCATTAAATTAACATTTGCTAATTATATAACCATAACAGATAGAGGAAAAGTGGTATTTGATAATAGTCTCTCCTTAATGCATTTCTCTCTGGGCTTGGTTCTAGACTTGAAAGAAGATGTCAAAGCTTTAATAAAGAACTCTAATGATGGTGTCTACCATATGGAAGCAGACAAGAAATGAGCTAGAGTCTAGGAGACTCTGAGTTTTCTATTGCTACTGTAAAAAATTACTACAAATGTAGAGGCTCAAAACAATGCAAATTTATTATTTCATACTTTCTTAGATCAGAAAGAAGTTCAGACACAGTGTGGCTCAGCTGGTTCTCTGCTTAGAATCTCACAAGGCCAAAATCAGGGTGCTGGCAGGACTACATTCCTTTCTGGTGGCTCTAGGGATGAGTCCTCTTCAAACTTGTTTAGGTTGTTGGCAGAATTTCCATTACATGTGGCTGTGGGACTAAAGTCCGCATCTCCTTGCTGCCTGTAAGCTGAGGGTCATTGTCAGCTCCTAGAGCTGGCCTGCATTACTTGGCTCATGGGACCCTTCCATTTTCAAAGCCAGCAATGGTGAGTCAAGTCCCTCTTGTGTTTTCAGCCTCTAATCTTTTCCACCTTGTCTCCCGTTTGTTTCTTTCTTCTGAAAAAACTGTGTAACTGACTCTTCCCGCCTTCCTCTTTTAAGGAGTCAATTATATTAGGCCCACAGGGATAATCTAGGACAAGCTCCCAATGTTAACACCATTACCTAGTCTAGTGTTTGAATAGCCACAGGATGGAATCTTGGGGGAACATCTTTAGAATTCTGCCTACCATACAACGTCAGCAACAGTAAGCCATATTATATAAATGAGGTTATTTAGTTTCACATCAAAATCTACATTTTGTTGTTGCTGTTGATACTACATGCTTTAGTGAGTTCGTATTTAACTGTTCCAATTTTTCTACTACGCTTCAGGGAATTAAGAAAAAGTTTGTACACCCAATCATGCATACTTAAAACAGATTAGAGGAGGAATATACCAACATCGTGGTAGCAACAGCAGTTAGAAAAATCTCAAAGTAGTTCTTGGATAATAAGAGAAATTATGCTCAGGATGTGCCTCTCTAGGTGGAAATTCTTACACCATTGCTAACTTGGGAAAATCTGAATTTTTATTTCATTAAGTAGAATGAGAGTATCTTTACCATTGCTAAAGAATATCAAGATAATGAGCAATTCCTAGACATTATCTGAACTGATGGGCTTAATTATTGAACCATAGTCCTGGTATAATCAGAGACAGTGGCCTTTATTTTTTGTCTGTAAGTCATTGAACATAGGGAGCCTGGGCATAACAATAAGAATACCTCAGGTTAATCTATAAAAACTTCAAATAGATGTCTCCTATGAATTAAGAATCAGGATTTTCTTGGTTATATTCTTATTTCGAGGACAGCAAAATGGGGATTTTAATAGTTTGGTAATAGCAACTGCATGAAATATCAGTGCAATGAAATAATTAGATTTCTATAACTATAAACTTTTTGTAATCCCTCAATTCTTCATACTTATGCTTATTATCTTATTAAGGATTCTAAGAAAACATTTCCTGGATTTGTACAGAAAAATATGACTTCATTGTTCTGACCAGTCTTTACTAATAATAATGCACAGGAGAATCCATTTTCACTTGATAAAATATGGGATTTTGTGAATAATTTTATATAACCACTAATTATTTACTACACAAAACTTTCTTCTCTGAAATTTACATAATATCTATTTTGTGCTTAGTAAACTTAGCTACTGAAGTTAAGTGGCTCAGCTAGGAAAATGTAGTAAAATAACAGCAAATTATTTTCAAATTGTAAATCTCTAATGAATATACACCTATTTATAATTATTACCTTGTTTTTTTTTTCCAGGAAAACATGCATCAAAAATATTCCCTTTTCTGTGTTTTTAATTTATAAAACCAATATCTGCTTTTATTTTTAAAAAGTCAAAATAATACAAATACCTATAATAGAAAATAAAAGTTGCTTCCTTACTTACCTACCTCCTCTGCTTTTATCTCATCTCCCAAAGATAACCCCTGTTAACATTTTGCTGCATAATCATACAGACTTTATCATACATTCCAGTATGTACCCTCCACATGTTCTACTGCAATTTGCTTTCTGTTTTTCACTTAAAAATATAATTTAGAGTCTTTACATGTCAGTACATAAAGATCTATCTCATCTTTCAGGGAACTCTGTTGAATGCTCTTCTACTGCATAGATTTAATGTAATGCTCTATTGAAGGGCATTTAGGCTTTTCTATACAATGCTACCGTGAACAAACTTGTACTGACCTAATGTATGTATGATTTATCTGTAGGATAATTTCTGCAAATAGAATAACTAACTAAAAGGGCATGCCCATTTTTAATTTTGAAAAATATTGCAAATTACCCTCTAAAAGTATTATACAATTTACATCCTCTCAGAGAGAATATGAGAGAACTTATTTTTGCCCACTCTTGGCCATGCTAGTGTAGTATTTTCTTAGTGAGGTTTTTTTTTTTTTTAATCTTTGCCAATCTGGTACAAATTTTCATTTTCATTTTTTTCAGTACTCAACAACAGATTATTAATTGGAGCAGTTGGTTGAAATATGTTCAGAAAAGATATTGCATTTGTTCCCTGCTACTCCAGAAAGTAGATCAATATGACTAGCTGCTTTCTAAAAACAGGAAGGAGGAGAAGAAGCAATTTTTTCCTTCCCAACCCCAAATATGCATTGTATGTTATGTTGTCAAATAAGAAAGCAAAATTAAGCTTTCATTTGTACTGTTGCTTTGTAGTTCTTTGAAGCATAGACTTTAATCTATGACTCATTGCTTTTTAAGGTCATTGCACTATTTAATGTATTAATATGACATTGGATCTTTTGCCAATCTAAAATCTTTTTCCAGCTATCAATATTTTCAAAGGAATAAGAAGTAAATTTTTTAAATGTATTAATAAAGTAACTAGGACAAGGGCAAAAAAGTAATCAGAAGCAATGTTTATTAAGGGCTTTTATGCCTGTAGCTTTCTAATTCTTCTCATTTAAATGTGCTACTGATTAAAAGTGGACAATATGAAGCATCATGAAAACAGAAAACCTTTTTACTTAAAGCAGAGTTTCCCGAAGTGTATCCTACAAAACAATAATTCTTTCGAAGCTATTTGGTATTAAGCAGAAAAATAAGGCTTCATAGTCAAATAAGTATAGAAGAAAATGTGAGTTAAACAGTTTTAATCTGTTTTCTTAATTGCAGGACTTCATAAAGTCCTTTATTATGTTTATGTGCTTTGTGACTCTCCAAAAGCAAAATAGAATAGGTGACTTTTTCCTGACTCACTTTGACCAAATAACCCTTTGTCTATTGAAGCATATCTTGGAATTAATAGTCCTTAGAGTATTTTGGAAAACATCTAAACATCCTTAAATTTAAATTGCAGCATGTGTTTTTATGAAAAGATACACTTAGAAGTAGGTAAAAAAAATTATGATTAATTCAGCATTCTAAGATATTACTTGTGATCATTGTAGGGGCATAGAGAAAATAAGACTTTTCACCGTTAGGAATACCATGACCAAATCACTTAAGTAGGTAAAATCTTTAATCTGAGCCGTCAACCCTTTCTGTTGTAATTTCATATTATGTATCCCAAACTTAAACTGTACTACTGAGTCCATTAAAAGAGCTATAATTATGGTAAAAATTTTGGGAAAAATTATGTCAAGATAACAAAAATTCCACAAATGTTTGTTTAATTTCACAATTTTTCTCTTAAAAGTAATTTTATTTTAGATAATTTTGTACTATTGCTTTTGAACTCTAAGGGGAAAAGAGTATAATCCAGGATTTTATGAAAATAATGGCACATTTTACTAAATTTACCAAATTAAAATTGAAAAAATTTGATTTTTATGCAGTAATCTTTGGGTAACATTTGTTGTATATAATTTTTTATGTACTTCGACATTTATAACCATTTATTTCTGAAGGAATATTTATGTTTACATAGCCTTTTATTTCCCCTTAAAAGTTAATGATGCATTTTTTACAAATTAAAGTTACTACTACTCAAGGCAAATGTTAGATGTAGTTTGAGAATGGTAAAATATCCTTTCCTTGAATCCTATCTTAACTGGTAGACTTTTGCTTTTATGTTAGATCCATTTAGGACTTTTTTCCTTATGGAAATATTTTATATGATTTGAGGAATGTCATATTTGAAAGTTATAATATTTGCCCTAGGGGATAAATATTTTAATGTACCATTATTGCAGAAACTTTAAATCCCACAAACTACTGTTAATATTAGGAATATTTTCTTCTAATCCATTAGCATGTTTTTATACAACGGGTTCTGTGTATATTCCAAATAATATTATGACACAAGTATATTCTTAGGTTATCACAGATATTTTGGCTACAAAAATAATCTGTCACGGAAATATAATACAATTTAATTAACATTGTACTTTTAACAATGTACTGAATTTAGAAAAATATCTTATTTTTAACAGCTTTATTGAGATTCATACAGCACATATCTGCATATTTAAAATGTACAATCCAGTAGTTTTTAGTGTACTCAGAGATATGTACAACCATCTCCACAATTTTAGAACACCTTTATTACCTCAAAAAGAAACCGCATACCCTTTAGCTATTCCTCCCCCTCCTCATTTCACCCATTCATCCCTCCTCCCCTCACCTTAATCAACTACTAATCTACTTTCTGTCTCTATAGCTTTCCCTATTCTGGGCTTTCATACAAATGGAGTCATATAGTATGTGGTGTCTTTGACTGGCTTCTTTCGCTTAGCATAATTATTGCACATCTCAGTTCACACCAGCAACATTTCAAGTGCTCAGTTGCCATGTGTGACTTCTGGTTGCCATCTTGGACAGTGTAGGTTTAGACTCTATCGGTTTTATAGGTGTGCATTTTCTTCAGCCCTGGTTTTCTCCTCTATGAAGTGAAGATAATATCCATTTCAATAGGCTAAGATCAAGTTATATAATTTGTGTGAAAGTATTTGTGCACTGTTTACAAATATTGATGATTATTTACTTTTAATATAAGCCATGGAACAGCTGCAGCTATTCCAGTGATCCAGCTAAAAGCACACTCTTCCTTTGAGATTTAGGGGAAAAAAAGAAATAAATGAGCCATTGAAAATGAATCCATAAGGATATAGAAGTGACTAAAACTTTTACCCATATTAAATGTTGCTTGCAGGTCTGTATTCTGCTCTGCCTGATAGAGTACAACTTAACAAAATAAATCCAATCACTTAGCCCACTAGCTTTCTAAAGAATTAAATTATCAAAGGGATTGCTTTCTATGGCAGAATTGATATAATTTTTCTAATTATTTAATCTATGTTCTGTATTAACTTTGGCTGTCAAGAAATTCAAAGTTAAATTTGCAATTCAACTATAGCAATTAAGTAGGACTTTATAATCTATGTATTTCTACTAATTTACATAATTATTTTATTATCTTTTTTACTTTATTTTACCATTGTTTTTTCCATTTTTCTTTATTACATAAATCCATACATTTTGTAAAACCGGGAATATAAGTAGTCAGAGACAGAGATCATGCTATTTTGCAGATGTTTAAGGATAATAAGATTGACATTCAAACTAGACAATTTTGAATACTAAAATACCAGTAACACCATAATGCAGAAGTTCCAGAATACCATGGGGGGGAAAATGAGCATTATTTTGAAAATAAACTTTGACTTTTTTTAGAGAGAAAAATCTGAGTTATTAAGGAATATAGAGATGAAATTGTTAGGAAATACTGCAGGTATTCATTTTTTAAAAATTGAATTCTGAACAGCTCATCAGAGTATAAAATAATATGATTTTATCTTCTGCCCCTAAGATCTACAACTTTTGTCATAACTGTTTGAGGTTAAATAAAATAAACTTTAGAGTTTATTTTTAAAAGTCTCGTTAATTTATGTATCATCACCATTAGAAAACTTCGGGGAAAGTGGTAGATCGACTTATCTTTTAAATTCTGGACTAGAGTTTAAAACTGTGAAAGCAACATATTTTGGTAAAACTTCCTATAACACTTAATAGCAGCTTTAGATTATGGAGGTTTTCGAGGAAAAAACTTTTGTTCCTTTAATTGGTACTGAAACATTGTATTTTTTCCTATGGCCATGGTCTATAAACATGAAAGCATGGGAGTTGTCCACACACCCCACAAAAGGAAAAGAACAATGTGCTATCTATGTCATAACTTGTGCTCTACCACAGTTATGTGGGAAATGTACATAATGTGATTTTTTGTCTTGAACAGGTCATCTACATGACCAGAGACAAACAAAGTAACAATGTTATTACATGAAATGTAAGACATAGTATTTCTGAGACTATATTTTCTCAAGTCATCATATCCACACTCTACTTAGTTTGCTTATACTAAATTGGGTAATATGCCTCTAAAGAACAAAGACCTTGTCTTCTGTGTAAATTACTATTATTCTTAAGGTATCTATACTCAAATTCATGTGTAAACATGTTTCATGTAATTTAATTACTTGTTACCCAGCTAGATTAAAAACTACTAGAGAAAACACTATTTATTATAACTCTTTTACCTACCTCATGATATCTAAACAATGTTTTTATTGAAAAGCATAAGAAATATGTCTTGCTTGATTCGCCATAATATCCTTTCTGATAGTATCAAGGTGAAATATTTCACTAACTATAGACCTCATTCTGTAGGATTTCTCTTTAGAACTGCTTCCAAATAGATTAAAGAAATTTCCAAAGGTTATTAGTAGTTGTTAGTGAATGACTTTTATTTTGTTTTGTTTTGTTTTAATACAAAAAGATACAGTAAAAAAATCAAGATAACATGATGGACTTCCTAGAAATCCTTAGTAAATCAAAGATTTGTAAATCAAAGATTTTTAGAAGTAATAAAGATCAAGTCAATTGACACTCATCTGCCTCCTTTAAAAAGTACTGTGTTTAGGAAACTTTTTAATACGTATGTACATATGTATCATGATAAGAAATTAGATTCTAGCAAAAATTTATAATAGGGAAGAAAAAGAGAAATTTATGGTCTATGGAATGCTTTTTTGTTTGACTTACATTATTTTGGGTGTACCAATAGTACTAGCTAGCGTCTGTTATGACTGGCGGGTTATAAAATATTTTCAGAGTTAACCCTAGTTTGTATGAAGCATAATTGCCTTGATTATATCTTTTTATTCTTATGAATAAATGAAACTGTTTAAATTTACAGTTACCTTTTCATTTCACACCAGGAACCTAATTTCAACTCAATAAGCCCTGAGAATAAGGCATACGATCTTGCTTAATTAAGCCAGTTATTAATTGCATTTCATAGTAAACAAAAATGATTCTTTATACTTGTATGTTTTTCCTTCCTGGTAATAGTGGGTTATATGTAGGTTTTTAACTGTCCTAGATCTCTGTAACCTTTCAAAGCTGTCAAATAATGAAGAGCTATTCAACATGCCAAATAATATATAGGTATTATTTCCAAAGGGCCAAAAGTGTTCACCTTTTCTAGGTTTGCCTGGATCAATGGTATCTGTAGCCAAAAATTCTGACAAGAGGCGCTAATGCAAATAGTAAACATTATACTAAAAGAGGGCCTTTGGCTATGTAGATAGAAATTAAAGAAATTTGTCATTAAAACTTCAAACAATAAAGTGAGCAAAGGACATGAATACACATTTTACAAAAGAAGACATACAAATGGCTAACAGATATATGAGACAATGCTCATTATCATTATCACTAGTAATTAGAGAAATGCAAATTAAAACCACAATGAGATATTATATACACCAGTCAGAATTTCATTAAAAAGACAAAAAATAAGAGATGTTGGCAGGAGAAAAGGGAACCCTTATACACTGTTGATAGGAATGTAAATTGGTAAAATCACTATGAAAAACAGTATGAAGATTTCTGAAATAACTAAAAATCGAATTACCATTCAATCCAGCAATCTCACTTCTGGGTATCTACCTAAAGGAGAAGAAATCATTATATCAAAAAGATACCTGTACCCATATGTTTATCATGGCACTATTTACAGTAGAAAAGATATAGAATCAACCTAAGTGTCTGTCAATGGATGATTAGATAAAATGTGATATATATACATATATATATGGAGTGGACCACTATTCAGCCATAAAAAAAGAATGAAATCAATTCTTTGCAGCAACATGAATGGAACTGGAGACTATTATCTTAAGTGAAAAAAGTCAGATGCAGAAAGGCAAATACCACATGTTCTCAGTTATAAATGGGAGCTAACTAATATGTACACATGGACGTACAGTGTGGAATTACAGATAATGGAGATTCGGAAGAGTGAAGGGATGGATGACGAGAAATTACCTAATGGGTACAATGTATATTATTTGGGTGATGAATACCCTAAAAGCCATGACTTCACTACTATACAACCTATGCATGTAGCAAAATTGTACTTCTACCTGGTAAATTTATAGAAAAGAAACCTCTGAATGATGTAATAAACATCTAAAGCTTCAATATAAATTTATTGTTTTATTCCTAACTAAATATTTTCTTAGCTAAAATATTTCTACTACTCTTTACTCCGAGGGGTTTGACTTCTAGCAATGCCAGGGTAGAGGATACAGTGTGCAGAAACAGTTGGGGAGAATTAGTAGCTCCCTTTGTCTATAGGTCTGACTACCATGTCACTTCATTCTCAGAACTCCAGAGGCTCTCCATAGCCCTTCATGTTAATATCCCAGCCAGTGGCTTCCATATTAATGCCTTCCGCTAATTAAATCCTTTTGTCCTTTTAGGCCTCACCTACTCATAGATTGCTGGGTTCCAGTCCAGAGAGGGTCTCCTTACATAGGCAGATTTTTTTACTTATCTGTATTAGAGAATATTTGATACTCCTCCTTGGCCTTTTGCCTATTCTAGGACCAAGTCAGGATCCAAAAGTAACATTTTTAACCTAAAAAGACCAGACCTCTAGCATGACTGCCACAATCTTCTAGATTTCCTAAAGTGCAGGAAAATATATTGTTCAAAGGAAAATATGTCTTGCAGGAAAATAGAGGAAAGAACCTATTTGTACAAATAGGTTTAGGGAAAAAAAGGAAAGAAGATGGGAAAAAATAGTACTGACAGACTGAGAAATGAAACAAAGTCATAGTACTAGTCTCAAATCTCAAGTTATATGATTTTAATATACTTTGTCTTAGAAGCAGTCAACTGGTTGATTTTGGAGATGAGGTAATCTATGCAAAAGTCATTGTATGGTTCTTGCCTTTTCCTTCATGGATTTCATGAGGCAAACTCTTTGTAGAAATATAAATATGGAAACTGTTCTTATAAATTCCAAAATAATTCAGTGTAGGCACTTGGTTTGTTGTTTGAGGTTAATTCCTCTTCACTGTGAGAATTTCAATTCAGTGCTTATAATATGAACAATATAATGATGATAATAGTGTATTTGAGAATAAATCTCAAGCAACATAGTGATGTGACAGGCAAGTAGTGTCCTGCTGCTAGGGAAGTATCAACGCAGAATTAAAATAGGCTTAGAAAATAAATCTGTAGGTGAAACTGACACATTTCAAAGCTGACATCTTTTATTCTATCACTACATTCATATCTAGCATAGAAATGTGACTCTATTTTTGTTTAGATCTGTTCCTTCTTGAAAACTAAATCTCTTCCAACATTAAAAGCAACACACTTGTATTTCTTAAAGTTGTATTTGGAAGCATGAAATCCATCTTGTTTAACTGAAGTTTTTCCTCATATTCATATTTTTATTGAATTATTTAAATGATTTTATGATTAAGAGAATAAAATATATTTTAGATACATTGTTTACTGTTTAGAAATCATGAGATTCTATAGTGGTAAGACCTTCCAAACTCTTTAAGACTTCAGCTTGATAAAATTTTTCAAGCTTGGTATAAAAAAATGTTCCTCTTAACAGTGGATACTTTTCAAGATCACACATATTTCTTAGTAATTTTTTCAAGAGAAGAGTTTTTTTAAAACTTCTTTATTGTGAAATAATTTATGGACTCACATGAAGTTGCAAAATTAATAGTGAGAGTCTCATGAACCCTTCACCTAGCTTCCCTCAGGGAGTTGGGCTGCAGATATAACATAGGAGATGTAGAAGTAATCACATATAATAGTATTTATAGTATGAGAATGGATGTAGCCTAACACTTTGTTCAATAGGACAATACTTAAATGATTGGTACTAAAGGTATAGAGAGTTCAGCTTGAGGGCCACTTTTATTAGGGAAGGCGAAGTAGGAATGAAGAAGTGGGACTTTTAATGGTTTGTTCAGATAGATAGATAGATAGATAGATAGATAGATAGATAGATAGATAGATAGATGGATGAAGTATAAAATCATCTAGATATAAAGTTGATCTTTCTAATTTTTTATCTAGAGCTATCCAGAGCTTAAAAATTTCTCAGTATTCCCAGTATCCATTTCAATATTGTTTTTCTTTGAATCAGTAGTTTTTAATTGCTATGTATAATTCAAAAAGAGTATAATAAACATATCTAGTATCCATTATATGCTAGGCTTATAGAATTTCCTAGATACCCAACTACAAATAAGACTTGTACATTTCCTGTGGGTGAAACACTCAAAATTTGTCAAACTAGGTATATGCCCAATATAAGAGGTATTCAATGTTTTTTGTAGTAGGCATTGTGCAGAGATGTAGTATCCAAATTACAGTTTACTCTAAATGCATGGGAAATGGTTCACAATATGTAAGCTTAAAAATAGGACACAAACTTATAGAGTATGATTCATTTTTATTATATTTAATTACAGGTAGTAAATATAACAAAATGTCATTTCCTTCCTTCAGGCAGTAAGAGTGTGGGGGTTTATTTCACTAGACTCTTCAGTATTTTCCAGGCTTTCTATGATAAACATATATTACTTTTAAAATTATACGTCTTTTTCTATTCTGCAAAGAAAGAAGCAGTAGTTGTATGGACTGGGACTGCTAGTGAGCATAACTAGCAGTCTTGTGAATTACAAATATTAGACTTTCATAAGGCTCACCAATGTCTACAAATTGTTCATCCTTCCATAGCTTTAATTGCTCTTCATAAGTTAAATTATGTTTTTTGTATTTCAAAAAATAAATTGTGAATTTATTTGGTATTTCAAATTATTTTGTGTATTTCAAAAGTAAATTGTAAATTCTTAATAATTATTATTTTAAGAACAATAAGCAGCCAGACTTTTCTGTAAGTTATCCTGCAAGATGGATATTTCTATGGGAATCAAAGAAAGAAAAAGAAGCCCCCAATAAGTTTCGAAACAAGGAATGGGAAGAAGGTGCTGGAAAAGAGCACCTGTTCTCTCCTTAAACCATTTACAGCTTTTGGCACTAGAGACACATTCCACCACCTACAAACACAGGTCTCTGATAGAGAATAAATCATTAGCCCTTTGTCATCAGAACACTAGTCTATCTTCCTGATCCAGGAATGGGACAGAACTGCACTCACTTAGGTGTGTCCCTTCACTTCTGTTACTCTCTTACTGTGTAACTGAACCTAATATTTCCCTAGAGGTCCAAAAGAGTGAAATCACCAAAAGATCCTGGTGTAAACTCTGGAAAGTTTATCTAAACTGGATAGAGAAAGAGAAAGAGATAAATTCCAAATATATACATTATATATATATATATATTTATGTAAATATATATATATTTCAAATATATGTATACAATTCTAAATATATATTCCAAATGTATATATAGTCTCTCTATATATACGCATTTAAATTATACATAGTTTCCACAAAATGCAGAATAATGGCTACAAAATTATAATTTGAGGTAGTATATATTTTAAGTTAATTATTAAATTACGAAGTAAACCAGTTTTTAATCTGAATCTCTGAAGACAGAAAAAAACCAATAATTACTTTGCTTCAGAGATCAAAATAGAATATCAGAGCTGGAAGGGACCATCTAATCCAACTACCTCATTGATTGAATCTTTTCACATCATCTTCAAGGGTCTCACATCATCTTCAAGGGTCATTGGCCTCTCCTAAACACCTCCAGTGATGGAGAATTCACTACTTAAAGATAAGAGTGACAGACACATATTACAGCATGGTGGCTCATGTCTGTAATCCCAACACTTTGGGAGGCTGAGGGGGAGGATTACTTGAGGCCAGAAGTTCAAGACCAGCCTGACAACATAATAAGACCTTCTCTCTACAAAAAATTAGAACATTAGCTGGATGTGGTGGTACATGGCTGTAGACCTAGCTGTTCAGGAGACTGAGGTGGGAGAATCATTTGAGCCAAAGAGTTCAAGGCTGCAGTGGACCATGATTATGCCATTGCACCTCAGCCTGTGACAGAGTGGGACCCTGTATCTAAAAAATATAAACTAATTAATTAAAAATAAAAAGATAAGGATCCTTACTCCATCTTTCTAGGAGCGGATCCTTAATCCATCTTTCTAGGAACTTTTAATATGATTTGGATCTGGCTCTCCGTGACTTTCATCCAAAGGTCTAGTTCTACGCTTTGGACTCATTTAGCTCCTATATGATACTTCTTATTTTAAAAGAAAGTTCCGGTGTCTTGCCTGAATTTCCTTTTTAGGCTTTGTCCTTTTTGTCTTTATGATGCAAGTCTCCAAATATTTTGATTTGTCTCCTCCAAATATATTCAAGTTTGCCTGTATTTCTCAAGTTTAGTACTGAAAAGTGAGTGAGGCTCTGGGTGCGCAATGACTGCATTGATGTAGAGTGGGCTATCTCCTCTTTCCCTATAGATATGAGAGCATGCATTTTTTTTGGCAGCCTATGAGCATATTGACCTTTTGGGTAACTACTTAACAACCTCACCATTTCATAGATAATTTCAAGCCTTCAAAAATAAGAAAGATATAATTGCTACTGGCAGACTGAATTATTGATAACAGGTTGCAAATATTTTATAGGCTCATTCCTCCAATCTCACTTTAAGCATTTGAAGAATGACAAATTTAATTCTTCTCTTTTTTTGTTTTTTTTTTTTGTTTGCTTCAATCTCTTCTTCTGATGTGGGAAGCAGTAGACAGAGGTGATAAAGATAGAATCAAGCAAATATATGTGGTCATTTCATAAGAAGGGCCAGAGGAGGCAAAGGTTTGTTACCTAAATCATTATACATTTTTGGAGTCTCTCTTTTAGCAGGATCTAGTTTCTCTTATTTCCAACAACAAAAATTTATTTTATTGCAAGCTGTCAGTTGAAACATAGTCTCTATTTTGAGGGTATTTATGGTGGGTTTCTCAGCGCAGTGAAAATCAAGCCTATCATTTTAAGTCTTAGTTGTATAAAGATTATGCCATGGATTCTGCTTCTGAAATGGAGACTCTTTCACAAAATATAGCTGTTTTAAATTCCCATGTTTATGAATCAGCATACTCTACCTAATAGGTATTTTTGTGGTGAAAATCATCTTCTAATTCACTAGTTTCATATATATATGAGTGTCAGAACTCTGATTTATCAGATCTGATTTAGTAAAGTGTGACACCAATCATACATGTATAGAGTGAGTTCTATGCCTTTCCAAGAAACAATTGAGCTTAAGACCAAAAGATAAAAGAAGTTTAGCAGGAAGTATATTGAAAATAAAACATGATTAGAAAGCCAAAAGAAATATTTAGAAGCTTTAGCCGTTTCAAGGAAATTATTATCTAAGTGCAAATTAGTTTGTATTAACCAGTCTTTAACCCTTATGATATTTGGCTCTTTCTAATTTGCTAATAATAAACAATTAAATAGCACAATGAAAATTTGTTAGTGTAGAGCTGATCAGCGTAGCCCCAGAGCAAAATTCTTTTATTATTATTATTACTATATTAATTTTTAAGACGGGGTCTCACTATGTTGGCTAGGTTGGTTTTGAATTCCTGGCCTCAGCCAATCCTCCCTCTTCAGCCTCCCAAAGTGCTAGGATTACAGGCAGAAGCCTCCGTGCCCAGTCACAAAATTATATTTAAGTAAATTATCTTATGCCCTGGAATAGAAATTCATTTTCCAAGAAGAGCAGTTATCCTAGAAAAATATTTGTTCCCAGAAGAATTAAGCCTAATGAAAATTTTCACTATACTATGTATGAGCCAAAAAATGTATGGTTTTACTATAAAGAGAAGCTAGGGTCTTTATGCAAGTTAATTCATTAGTAAGAGTTCTCTCAACTGCAGGCAGTAGTGATAGGCATTTATAAATTCCAGTAGGAAAAACATATGAAATGCAAATATCAACAGTATCTGCATTGAAAGAATAGGGCCATTTGTTCAGTATAATACAGTATTTAGTGCTGAGTGATATACTTTAAAAATGCATGCTTTGTGAAACTGATAGGTAGAGTGCTAGTCTGAATTATTTTGTAGTAATTATTATAAACTCTGAAAGGAAAACTCACTGACAGCATTTGTGGCTAAGAAATTCCATTAAAAAAAAGCATAACAATCATATTTTGATGTGAAAGTTCCAATTCTTATACTTTAAATTTCATTTTCAAAATAATATTTCTTGTTATTTGAGCAGTAGTGTTTCTTTATCATTGTGATACAATAAGCTGGAGATAAAAATTTTTATTTTCTCCATTTTAAATGTATTAGCTAATATAGAAGTGGTTCAGCTAGTGCCACAAATGAGTATCATTCAAAACAAAATTGCTGCTGTACTTACTCACTTGAATGAAATGTAAGAACTTGTCTTTCTGGAGATGAAACCCAGAATCTAATGCTGAAGAGATCCATGTGATATTTTTTCAAGATCTTAAATTCAGATTTTGGTTTTCTTTCTTTTAGCATGAGTAAGCCTTGTATAAAGTTGTGCATTCATTCCTTCTTTCAACAAATATTCCTTGAGCACCTACTGTGTGCAAGCATCATACCAGTTGTAGATGATACAGCAGTGAACAAGACAGACACATGGTACCCACTACCACGTGACTTCTAAATTAGCTGAAGAGACATTTAATGTATCATTACGCTATAATGAGATGTGCTGTTGATAAGAAAGGAGTCAGCACAAGGAAACACTTAGAGAAACTAGAGAAACAGGGTGGAGAGAGCTTCACGTAGGTATACACTGAGAGAAAGAGTCTGCTTTTTCTCCTCCCCTCTCTCTCTCTCTCCCTCCCTCCCTCCTTCCCTTTAATCTCCATTCTCCCTCCATCTGTTAGAATGGTTATTCTAATTTTCTACATGTTTAATGTGTACCTTCAGTGTGTGTATGTGCTCTTGTAAAATAGTATTGTTTTATATAACTCATAAATGTGTTTGTGTATGCATTTTAATTTAGATTCTCTTTTTACTTTTCTGATTGAGTACTGTGGTTTTCAGATCTTCTTCCTGGTTTTATTCCTATATTTCTAATTGTTGCATTGTACTCCATGGTGTTCAATTTACTGCATTTTTCCTCACTGTTCTTCCAATGCTGGATGTCCAGATATGCTCCAGCTCCTGCCATCCTAAATAACATTGAGCTGAATATCTTCATATATCTCTCCTTATGAGCCTGGGTGAGAATGTCTTTTGGATTTATGGAGTCGACCCTTCAATGTGTGTTTAATTAATTTGGGGCCAAGTTCTGACAGCTTCTTCATCAGATTGCCTGCTCTCATCTACCTTCCTACCGGCAGTGCATCAGGATCCCTGTATCACAACATTTCTGCCAAAGATGGGCATTACTTCCTAATTTTTAACATGCCAATATCAGTACATCTAATATCAGCATTAGTGATGGCTAGCATGAGTGATAGCAATTAGTGATATCTCATTGTTGTGTTAACTTGTGTTTCTTTGATAACCAATGAATTTGAAAATCTTTTCACACAAGTCAATCTTTCAGTGTGATCTAATATAAATTTCCTATTCCTAACCCTTGCTCATTTTTATTGGGGTTTCTATCTTTATCCTTTTGGTTTTCAAATATTTCTGATATTAATACCTTCTTTGAATCGAGACATTATAAAATCTTGCTAGCTGTCATCTGGAAGGTTTTTATTGTTGTTTTTCATTTGGAATGTGATGGGGTAAAATCTGGAAGAATCTAGAATACCTCAAAGCAAGACTCTTCACCATTAGGCAGTATAGGCATAGTGCCAAGAGCCAAAGATCTTCAAATGGTCTTTTTCACAATGGCTACGTTATTTTTCAGCCTGCTTAGAGTACTTTCCCATGGCAAATAATCAGTATTAGGAGAATTTTTTTCTTTCTTTTTTTTTCAAATGAGCAAAATGCTCCTATAGACCCTTTTTGCACTTGAATCTTTGTTGCATATGATTTCTCTGTAATCTTCAGACATTGTGGCCCCAAAATTCATGTGTTGGGGCAAGCTTTCTGCAAATAGTTTACCAAAATTATGAGCAATTAAGGTTTTTGATATTACAAATATTATTGGGCATTATTTACTTTCTGTGCTCTTATAGTGTTTCAAAATCTTTATGGTGATTTATAATCAATGATAATTTTTCTTGAAAACATCTTTAAATAAAGACTGAATGTAAAATTAAAGAAGTTTTTGAGCTATACTACATATAAAATACGCTTTAGATATAGGGTGGGGACATGAAGGTGAATGGAAATACATTTTTAAAACATAACAATCTTGCTCTTGAAGTTCAATTGGATATATTCAGTCACTCATTAGCAAAAATCATTTCTTGACCATCTAGTACATGGCACAAAAAGTGTCTGACCCAGAGTGGGTGTTCAATAAATACTTGGTGAATCAATGAATAAATAGACATATTATATAACATAGTGTTTAATACTGTTTGGTAGAGGCAGACTCCAGATGGTATGGAATCTCAGAGAAAAGGCATCTACTCTGACCTAGAGAGACTGGGAATTGTTCCCTGAAAGATACCTGAACATATTAGTAGAAAATGTCCAGGTAAAGAGAAAAGGAGCAAAGAGGACATGCCAGGTACCCCACCTTCACAAACATGTGGGATTTAAGAACCTCTGATATGCAAGACAACTCACATAATTCAGTATTACTGAAGCTTGGTGTGAGAAACAAGAAGAAGCAACAGATAAACACGGATAACAGGTATGCCTTTTAGGTCAAGGAAAGGGAAACTGCTGAAAGCTTTTTAAGCAAAACAGTGACATGGCCTAAGCTGCCTTTTAAATAGCTCATTCTGGCTTCATGAAGGGTGAATTGGAAAGTATTTAGATTGAAGGTGGAACGACAGAATGGTAGTATTTTTGATAATAGAAATTAGAGATTATGAGGCCCTGAATTAGGGATTAAGAAGAATTGATTTTATAGATATTTAGAAGGTATGAATTAGGGCTTGGTGATTGATTAGATATGGATGGGAAGTTGAGGAAGAGGTAGAAGTCAAAGGTGACTCCCAGTTTTCTACCTTGGATGACTGAGTGAATAAATGGTGCTGTCACTGACTAAGTGAGAGAACACAGAATTAGGAGCAAGTTTGACAAAGAAGATAAAGCATTTGGGGATATTTTGAGGTTTTGATACCTCAGGAACTTTCAAGTAAAGATGTGTAGTGGGCCTCTGAATAAGAAATGTTAAATAATAATGAAGTGTAAGGGTGGCAAAATTTTATCTCCTTTTTTTTTTTTTTTTTTGAGAAAGAATCTCTCTCTGTCAGCCAGGCTGGAATGCAATGGCACGATCTCGACTCACTGCAACCTCCGCCTCCTGGGTTCAAGCAATTCTCCCGCCTCAGCCTTCCAAGTAGCTGGGACTACAGGCACACGTCGCCATGCCTGGCTAATTTTTTGTATTTTAGTAGAGATGGGGATTCACTGTATTGCCCAGGATGGCTCAAACTCCTGGCTCAGGCAGTCTGCCCACCTCAACCTCCCAAAGTACTGGGATTACAGGCATGAGCCACCGTGCCCCACCTTATCTCCATCTTTTTAGGGTTATGGCTGGGCCCAATAATTAAATTGACATGAGACAGATTAACAGGACAAATGTGTATAAATTTATTTAATATAAGTTTTATATAATTAAAAGACTTTTAAGGCAAATGTAGAAACTTACATAGTTGTAGAGATAAAATGCTTAGCTCTTTAAATATTGAGAAGATTTCTTTTTCTTAAGGAATCAAAGACCTAATATGACTATAACATGAAGCACAGAAAATTATTTTTATAAAACATGAAATATTTGGTTTTTAGGTAGATAATTTTAAAGGTAAAGAAAAATCTTTTATAATGTTTTTCTACCAAGAGCAGACCAATACTCCAAAAAACACTTTGTCTTTTTAACAAAGACCAAATTCCAAAGTCTTATAATGAATTTATTCAATTTAGTCTGCTTGGACATGCAAGATTCTCTCTTGTTTTTCCTTTTCAACTTTTTATATCCATTCACTTTTAATCTTTGGTTCACTGATCGATTCTGAAACAACCTTTGAATAACCTTACGAAACAAAAGTACTCTTTCCTTAACAAAAATGTCTTTCCTATGTTTAGCTTTTCTTACCAAAAATATATCTTATTTTCCTTTTAAGCTTTTTATGTAGAGTTGTTTTCCCTTATTATTACTAGTAGCTTTAATTACATATATCAATTAGAATTTTTAATTCTTAGTAACCTTAATTTCTAGTGAAAACTAGAAAACTAAGAAGTAATTATGAACTGTTATATAACATCATTCTATATATTAACACCATTTTATAATTTCTAGAAATATGTTTGATGATAGTACAGTTTTTCACTGTGGTACAGGATGTGTTTGCTAACAGACCCAAATGTCCTTTGTTCTGTACTAAGAAGTCCAAAGTTTATAAGCTTAAACTTACATTTCACAATGAATATTTTTCAGTATTATGTCGTATTTGGAAATGATATAGATGCTTAACAAATATCCATATTTAATTTAACTTAGTATAACTTTAAAGTTTTAAGTTGCAAAAAAGATTTTGAAAATGATTTTTAAGTAGGCATACTTTAAAAAACATAATTATTGAAAAGTTTATAAACTTCTATCCCACTTACATTTAATTTACTTAGTTTTAATAATTGTTCATGAAAATTTCATGAGATATTAAACAAAGCTAGTCATTATCTTATATTTTTCCTATAGATAAATCAGGCAAATATTTAAAAAATCACAGATGCAAAGAACCTAAAAATTAAGACATATGTCTCTTTTAATTCTCATTGTTGTGTTTGTCATACATTAAGCAATTTATTTTGATGGTATGTTTTGTTCTTAGGTTGAATTTATTGTATTTGTAATTCAACAATCTTAAACATAAGCTTTTTTTTTTTTTTTGAGATGAAGTTTTGCTCTTGTTGCCCAGGCTGGAGTACAATGGCGTGAACTTGGCTCACTGCAACCTCCATTTCCTGGGTTCTTGCAATTCCTGTGCCTCAGCCTCCCAAGTATCTGGGATTACAGGTGCCCACCACCACACCTGGCTAATTTTTTGTATTTTTAGTAGAGATGGGGTTTCACCATGTTGGCCAGGCTGGCCTTGAACCCCTGACCTCAAGTGATCCACTCGCCTGGGTCTCCCAAAGTTCTAGGATTATAGGCGTGAGCCACTGTGCCTGGCCAACATAAGCAATTTTATTGGTAAATTCAGGTAGAATAAGTTGTATGTCTGCATCATGTTTAAGGTTGACAACTCTGAAGACAAACCTTCTTTATTTAAACTAACACATTTAAACTAACTTTTTATTTATCAAAGATTACCCCAGATCACATGATCTTGAAAACTTAAAACTCATTGAGGTCTGAGGAGATGGGACTGGATTTTGCGAGGGTGGTTTAAGCCAGGGACTCAGAGTGCCAGAGGATCTTCTGGGGTTGGTGGTCAGGGACAGAGAGTTGGAGGTTAAGGGGGGTATAGGTGGATGGAAAAGGAGAATTTTTTGCAGGTGTGGATTTTAGCTTTTGTTCTAAGTCTGATTTCTATTTAATCTTGCTAAGGGTGTCCCTAAGGCTAGCCATCACATTTTTTGTGTCCTCTTTTTAATTTAATCTTTACATAGGTACCAATGAGGCAATTGCTTAGGATGTGAGCTCTCTAAAAATAATAATAATAATAATAAAATAAAAATTTTTTAAAAACTTTAAATACAACAGTCAAAATCTTCAAAAGTATACCTATGTTAATTGTGATTCAAAACCAATAAGCCTTTTTATGGTTCAAAATCAATAATCCTTTTATGACATAATTACGGATGCATGCATTTTATCCCAAAGATGGTACAAAGGATGCGGTTCGCCTCAAGATCCAAAGTTTTTGCTAAAAAAACAAAGACACTCAATGTTAACAAGGCAACAAAGGTTGAGACAATTAAGACAAATTCTTCTGAGTGCTGGCAGAGTCGCAAAAAGAGACACTCCGTGTTTCAGACCCCTGGCCAGCTAGCTAGCTGCCTGATGCAAGCCTGAGAACTTGTGCCCCTGTTATGGTGAAGACCAGAGAGAATATTTTCACAGCTCACAAAGTCTAGTTTTCAAGACATAAAACAAGACAGAAGGAGAATCTTATTCTATTATTTTCCTCCTTATGAGAAACCACACAAAAGACAGAGGCAAGGAAAACAATGATTATTTCTAGGAGGCTGTGGATCAATAACCAATGGGTACCCAGAACCAAATTCACAAGAGTCACAATTGAAATAACTAATTCTTACAAATGTTTTTCTCCTGCCAATCCAGATTAGGAAAGGAAGAGACAAAGAAAAATATTTACTTTTCTCTCTCCACGAGGCATTCCAGACAGAGATCCAGGAGAGCTGATTTTGGTAGGAATTTCTACCTTCTGGCTTTTGTCAGTTCTCCTAGGATCCCATCCTCAGGCTCTGGAGTGAGTGGAGTATCCCAGCCTTTTAGGTCCAGTCCTCGTCACCAGAGACTGCCAAGGGAGCAAAATTCCACCACCATCTTCTTAGGGTCCTGGATGGGCCCAAGAATTACACTGATATTAAATCGATTAATAGGAGAAAAGCACACAAATTTATTTAATACAAGTTTTACATGGCAGGGGAACTTTCATAAGGAAATGACCCAAAGAAGCACTTAAAGTCAGTTACTTATATAATGAATTGGACAAAGAATAGTAAACTATGAAGAAGCAACTAAATTATGGAGGGAGGCTTAAAATATAACTTTTATTTTATTTTATTTTATTTTATTTTATTTTATTTTGAGACGGAGTCTCTCTTTGTCGCTCAGGCTGGAGTGCAGTGGCGCCATCTCGGCTCACTGCAAGCTCCGCTTCCAGGGTTCACACCATTCTCCTGCCTCAGCCTCCCGAGTAGCTGGGACTACAGGCGCCCGCCACCACGCCCGGCTAATTTTTTGTATTTTTTAATAGAGACGGGGTTTCACAGTGTTAGCCAGGAGGGTCTAGATCTCCTGACCTTGTGATCTGCCCACCTCGGCCTCCCAAAGTGCTGGGATTACAGGCATGAGCCACCACGCCCGGCCTATTTTAACAAGATCTATATAGGATTTTCTTGGTTTAAATTTCCCATTCTTGATGTTAAGATGTAAAGGGAGGGAATCTTTCACATGGGAATTTCATCTTCTATTTTTAAGAAACAGCACTGTTAGAGTGATCTTTTCCACCGGCTGCCACTCAAGTGTCTTTAACTGAAATCGTCAGTATGCCAGACTGGTACATTTTTAACTCCTTCAGCAGGTAGTGTGTGATAAATTCCCAAAGAATGAGTAAGAGAAAGGAATTTCAGAGTAGGAAGGCATGCCTGTGGTTCAGGGGATTCAGAGAGCTGGTGGAACTGAACTCAATCTTGAAGGACAGACAGTATATCAATAAGCAGAGATGCAGGAGAACATTCTATGAGCGGCACACAATAATGTCTTTAACAGGCTCCGTATATGCAAGGCTGCTGGGACCATAAGCCTAGGGTTGGGAGGAAAGAAACTTGAACTGGGTGGCGCTGGAAATGCTATGGAGTTGGGCCTCCTTCCTGAGGACCATGACTTGAAGTCTAAAGTGTGCTTTAAAGAGGAATATGATGAACCTGGGTCCTACTTGGGGAAAGGAGGTAGGGAATGGCATGACAAATGAAATTGCCTAGAAATGGCAGTATTATGAGTCAGACTAGAAACCCTGTCATGATTCTGAAGGTCCAGAGGCTAAGAGCATGAGGAATCAAATAGCTTTTGGCCCCAGGATATAGGAATGGTCAGGGCAGGGCTTAACTCTGACAAGAAGCAGCTTTGGACAGGAAGATGCATTCTACACCCTACTAATGGATCCAAATGAAGAGAAATAAGAAATGAGAAGCAAAGAGGTATGTTGGGTGGGGAGGGGAGTAGCAAATAGAGAGACTTAGTTAAAACTGTATGTGTTGAAAAGTAGGAGTAAAATTGGAAAGATCTTTGATTGGAAGCCCTGAATTCCAAGATTGGTAGATTAGATTTTGTCCTATCAGTTCACTTAAGAGTTTTTTGTTGTTGTTGTTTTCCTTAGAAACTTATTTTAAAATATATATATTCTAGGAAAATAAATCTGGCAGAGATGTCTAGAAAGGATTAAAAGGGAGAAACTGGAGGCAGGAATGCCAGTGAGCAGACTGTGAAGGAATCCAAACACAAAGTAGTAAGGTCTAGGGCAAGGGCATGAGGATTGGAAATTGAAAAGAAAGAATACTTAACATATGTATTTTTAAATATGAGTTGGTGCCAGGGTCAACAGTCATTTTTACCTTAAAACTATGCCAGTGAGAGGCCGGGCGTGGCGCTCACGCTGTAATCCCAGCACTTTTGGAGTCCAAGGCGGGTGGATCACTTAAGCCAGGACTTGGAGACCAGCCTAGGCAACATGGTGAAACCCAATCTCTACAGAAAAAACACAGAAACACTAGCTGGGCAATGCTCATGGCACACACCTGTAGTCCCAGCTACCTGAGTGGCTGAGGCGGGAAGATCACTGGAGCCCAGGAGGTCGAGGCTGCAGTGAGCCATGATCTTGCCACTGCACTCCTGCTGGGTGACACAGTGAGACCCTGTCTCAAAAACAACATCAACAAAACCTAGCCAATGTGTACTAAAACAAAGGTTGTTTTTGTTTTTGTTTTTCTCTCAACTTTGATTTTAGGTTCAGAAGGTACACGTGTAGGTTTGTTACATGGGTAAATTGCATCACTGGGGTTTGGTGTACAAATGATTTCATTACCCAGATAGTGAGCACAGTACCCAATAGGTAGTTTTTTAAACCCTCTCCCTCCTCCCACCCTCTCCCCTCAAGTAGGCCCTGGTGTCTATTGTTCCCATCTTTGTGTCTATGTGTACTCAAGGCTGAGACAAAGTTTTAATCCTAACATAGGAAGTAATTTTTAAAACATAATTAGATGTAGGTGCTTTGTCTTATTCTTTTTGTGGGAAATTTTTAATTGCTGCATAGAATTCAGGGCTTTCCAAGCTAATTTTGTAACAACTTAAGGTTTCTATATTTTTTCAGAACCATCAAAAAATTCTAAAAAGATTCTCAAAATAAGTTTTAAGTCTCTTCAATGAAATATATGTCATTAATGATATCTAAGAGAAGAATATAGTCATAAAAGCTAATGCATAATCGAGGAATGTAAAAAATTCGGCATCATAGATTTAAATGATATTGGATTGAGACATTTTAGAAATGTAAGATTTTATGTTTCTATTATATTTAATTAAGTAGCTAGAAAATTACACAGTTAATTTTTAGTGTATTCTGTCTTAAAAAATTATCCAGGCTTCTAGTACTGAACCCTTTAAATGATGAAATGAGAAACATGTTCACTTTTGATTTGCTTCCTGATAAGTGGAGATATAAAAATGGGTTCGGGGCATCTATTTTCTTTGGTGATTTGAACGAGTTATAATTCCATTTTGTAGAGCTTTCTAAATATCAAAAATAGAATTTGTAATGATTTAGGATGCTAATGTAGAAAAATTAATTTCAAAAGCTACAATCCACAGTAATAGTATTCAGATGACTCATTCAGCTCTATTGTAGAAGCTAGTATTAACAGTTTTCATTTTAAAATATTTTCTGTAGAAGAATAATGAAATAAGAGTTGAAGTATGCCTGTTGGTAATAATGTAGTTTCTTTATTACAATTTGTTTAGATAAAATAGCGTCCTTAGAAGCAAATCAGTGAGCTGATCATTGTGGTAGGCCCTGGGAATTAGAATAACATCATTATTAAAATAAAATTTTTGCTTTTAGGAAACTTGAAGTCTTACATATGTAAAAATGCAATAACAAGTGTGGTTTTTAAGAGATTATATAAATAATTTACCTTTGTTTAAACTGAAAGCATGATACTCAGAATTAGTATAGACATACCAATTTTTAAAAGAGCAGAAGTACTTAGGACATATTTAACTTATGGAAATTCACTTTACAGCTGAATTTTATCATACAAAGAGACGTGGTATATTAGGACAGCAAAATTGTGCAAGATGTTTTTTAAAATCTTAGAATAGATCTAAATAATCCTAAGTAAATTCCTTAAAGTTTTTAAAAGAGACTGGTGAAAGCTTTTGAAAGCACTGTAAAGCTAAAGATTATAGGACACTTTATCTTGAAGCATACTTTACAAAAAACGTACCACAGACTAGGTAGCTTAAGCAACAGGAATTTAATTTTCTCATAGTTCTTGAGGCTGACTGGAAGTTCAAGATCAAGCGTCCAGCAGGATTGGTTTCCTCTGAGACCCTCTCCTTGGCTTCAGATGGTCACTTTCTTGCTACCTCTTCACATGGCCTTTCCTCTGTTCCAGTCCATCTCTGCTGTCTCTTCTTTTAAGGACACCAGTCATATTGGGCTAGGGCCCCATTTTAATGCCTTGTTAACCTAATCACCTCTTTAAATACTATCTGTGAATATGATTATACTCTGAAGTACTAGGGGTTAGGACTTCAACATATGAATTTTGGAGGAACACTGTTTAATCCCATAACACATGTGAAGAGATATAAATCACAATAATTTTTCTCCAGTTAAGTAGGAATAAGTATGGAATAAAATGTAAAGGATAGTGTCTCCACTTAAAGACTCTCATGACCCTGGAAGTACAAGATGTTGGGAAGTATGTTTCCTAAATATTTAGAAGAGAAGTGTAATTGATTCTCTTCACGTGAAGTTGTATTCATAGACAGATTATACTAGTACTTTCTCAAGACATTTTCAAATGTAAGATATTGTCATTCCTCCCAGCCCCGCAAATATAAAATGATTTATCAGGCCTAGAAACATGAAAACATTTATAGTAGTAATACATTTAGTATAAAATATCAAGTTATTTTATCAGAAATGAATTTTCAGGAAAATAAAATTAATATATTTTTATACCAAAAATGTTATCATGTATTATGTGCAGAAAAGAATTAAATTGGAAAAGATATGTGAAAAAGCTTTTAAAATAGTAAATTTCTTAAACTGCTAGTTATGTCGTGTCTCATAAATATATTATGACCCAAACACAGAAACCTATTAAAATGATCTCTAAGTGAAGACACTAAGTGAAGAGAGCAACTTAGGATCATTTAAAACCAATTGAATTTTTAATACAAGTTTTAGGAGTTATTAGACATGGGACTAGACACTGTACTTTTTTTTTTTTTTTTTTTTTTTTTGTGAGATGGAGCCTCGCTCTGTCACCCAGGCTGGAGTTCAGTGGCGCAATCTCAGCTCACTGCAACTTCCGCCTCTTGGGTTCAAGCGATTCTCCTGCCTCAGCCTCCCAAGTAGCTGGAATCACAGGCACCCACTACCACTGCCAGCTAATTTTTGTAATTTTAGTATAGATGAGTTTTCACCATGTTGGCTAGTCTAGTGTCAAACTACTGACCTCAAGTGATCTACCTGCCTTGGCCTCCCAAAGTGCTGGGATTACAGGTGTGAGCCACAGTGCCTGATCTACTTTTTATTTCTTTTAATTACACTAAATAAAACAATTGAAGCAATAAATCCATTAAAAACTATTTCTGAAACATTCAAACGTTTTTTGCTTTGGTGACTTTTATAAAGAATGGCTACAGCTACTTCTCAATTGAGTAAAGGGATGAGGCAAAGCCAATAGTTTGAATATTTTTAACTGACAGTTCCTAAGTCTACAAAGTTGCCCCATGTGGCTATAGCAGAAATAGTTGATGCAGAAGAACTCTCTGCCCGCCATTCCACCCACATTAAAAATGCTAGATAAAACACAGCAAAATAATTTTGGAACATAAATTTGCCCTGAGTACACTTGGCCATAAAACCTGTGGGCAGTTGTTATCATATGAACTTACATTAAAATATACATATATATGGTGTACAGTATTCTACATTGTGAACCTATCTATATATGCAATGTTAGAGGAGAATTAAGAACTTTGTAAGTGCATGTTACGTGTTAATAATCTTCGTGATATTCACATTATAATCATGAAGTAATGCAAACTAGGTAATAAACCTTTAGTCCTGAATGTGGGATTAACTTGAGATGGCTGCTTTGCCAAGCTTAGTTTTACTTAATCGAAAACCTGTCTTAACATGATGCTGTTATTTTAGTGTGTAGTATTTGCATATGGTGTTCTTCCTCTGCCTTACAGGGGTGTTGTACAGAAGCTGGTGTTAAATTTCTATGGACAGTATTAATTGTGACTATATTAAAAAATTTACAGAGAGTGCTCATAAAAATATTAAACAGTTGTCTGAAAAACTGACCTCAATTCCTCAACCTCAACCTCTAGAGCACCTGATTTAAAAACAAAAACAAAAAAAAATTACTTGACATTTTTAGCAAATCTATGAGTGTGTTTTGTTTGAGGAAAGAGAGAAGCTATGACAAAGCTAGTACTCAGGAGAACTGAGCCTAGAGAAGAATCCTGTAAGAGGCTTGTATATAAGGAAATTAACCAGCTCCAGATTACAACCCCTCTATAAGTTTGCCTATACGTTTTTTAAATGCACTTTTAACAGTCCCTGAAATTTGACCAGTTAAGGCTATTGTTTGAAAATAAGAATATCTCTGAAAGATGAATAGACTCCACCAGTTTGTTTTAATGCTAAACAAACCTAAGATTACCAATACTTTAGGAGCAGAAGTCTTAATTGAAGGAGGGAGGATATGGAGCTAATGGTTTTGGAATTTCTGAAGACTTTGGGCATCATCCTTGGTGACATACTAAAGTGAGAGACAGAGTTTACCTTTATCTCCAGATCTAGCCATCTGGAGATGTTCAGAGATGTAGGGAGATAAGAAAGCAATGAAGAAAATTTGTTAGGAATGTGAAAACTATACCTTTTTCCCATTTCAGAGTGTTTTTAGGATTTTCATTGTGCTAAAGAATAGAAAAGTAAACCCTCTTCTATTTTCTCATTTTTAAATTTTCTTCCTCTTCTCTCTTTCTCCCTCCTGTGTTATATAATTACTGGATTCCAGAATCAGAACACAAACTGATACTGTATTAAATATAATGTAATTACTTTCTGGCTTGAGTGTTTGCCAGAGATGACCTAGGAAATGAATGACATTTTGATTTACATTGTAATTTTTTGAAAATGGTTTATGAGCTGTGAACAACTAACACATAGACACTTCACAATAAAAATTTTGTGAAGTGTCTGTGTGTGTGTGTGTGCGCGCACATACATGTGCACCTACCTCCCTATTCGTCATAACTTAAGTTGTGAGTTCTTACAGATCAGAAGCCTTCTATACCAGTGTTTATTGGTGTGTGTTTTTAGGTCTACCTATATTAATATCACTTAAAGTGATAGTTAAGAATACAAATTTCCTGATAGGTCAATCAAAGTCTCTGCAGCAGAAGCAGCTCTGTAGGTGATTATCAGGCACACTCATCATCGAGAACTGCTTATTTATTTGAATTTTTTTTTTTTTTTGAGATGAAGTCTCGCTGTGTCACCAGGGCTGGAGTGCTGTGACATGATCTCGGCTCATTGCAACCTCTGCCTCCCGGCTTCAAGCGATTCTCCTGCCTCAGCCTCCCAAGTAGCTGGGATTATAGGCATGCACCATCACGCCCGGCTGATTTTTATATTTTTAGTAGAGAGGGGGTTTCACCATGTTGGCCAGGTTATTCTCAAACTCCTGACCTCAAGTGATCCACCTGCCTTGGCCTCCCAAAGTGTTGGGATTACAGATGTGAAGCACTGTGCCCAGCCAAGAACTGCTTATTTATATTATGAAGAGGAAAAGGAAGTCCTATATAATAAAGACCCTGTAATCTACCATAATAACATAAAATTTTAGGTTGCCTCATGATTCACTGGTTTCTGTAATTGTCAAAGTTTGTTTTATCAAAAGTCACAGAGAGGGGTTATTGAGTTATTTTTATTCTTGTGTTTGGAAATGTTATTAGCACTTTATATGAAAGTTGAAAAGGGATATTAATTTTTGCATGGTCTGAATTATAGTTAATATAAATTCGTATCTCTCTGAACTTTAGAAACAAAAAATTCAAACTGTGACCAAGGCTTTGTTCAGCAATATGTTAGCTGCATTAAAAGGAAATACATTCTTTGCATTTTTGTAGATGTATATCATGGGAGATGTTGCCTTGGATCAGTGTCAGAAGAATATACCATTAAATTATCCATTTAAAATAATATAAAATATAATGATGATAATAATACTTCCTGAGTTCTCATTATGTACCACGCATTGTACTGGGGGCTTCGTATTCACTGTTAAATGAAGTAATTCTCACAACAACCTATTGGGTTATTACTATTATCTCCTATTTACAAGTATAGAGATTTTAAGCAATTGCCCAAGCATGGCTTACAGCTAGGATGTGTGAAGGCTGGGACATATACCCAAGCCTGTCTGATTCCTGAGTTTACACCATTAACCACTGTGTCATAATGTCCCTTTGAGCAAGAGTAAGTAAACATCTGACCAGACTGTTTGGAATATGTCCCAAGGAGTAGGGAGGCCTAGCTTCCAGAGAGTTTCATATATTCCTGTGTCTTACAAGGGAGGGATAGAAGGTAGTTCTGTATGGAAGAAAGCAGAAAGTTTAAAACTGCAAGCTATTGAAGCTGGAAGGGAGCTCAGTGATCTTTATAGACAGGACAGAGAAGTTGTCTGACCTCTTTTTAGAAAAGAAACCAAGGGACAGAGAGATTAAATTTGCCTAAAATCAAATGTCTGTTAAAGAGATATCTAGTTAATGAGAGACTAGGATTAAAAAAAAACAGGCTTCTTTTTTTACATATAAGGTTTGAAATGTCTGCCAAAGACCCAAAAGTATGTATGGAGGTTCATAATAATTTGTCTTGTTTTAAGATGACTAATATCTAGGCCTACCTATTTCTGCTACGCCCAGCCCATTTTTCCATCATGGATAACCAATGTCTTTGTCCAGCTGCAGAGCTAGCAAATAGAGACTGGAAGATTTTATTAGAGTGGACATGAGAGGTGACATTTAAAATACATTTTAAAAAATTTAAATCCAGTTTAATATATTCTTAATGACTTTGTAGATGGAGTAGAATAATAATATCCAGCTTTCTATGTCATGGTCCTGAGGTTCCTGAGCCTATCCCTGCTTCTTTTCAACCAGGGAACATAATATTCCCTAGGATGAAATATACTTGTGCATAATATTGTCCATAAAATATATTTGTGGGCCAGGTACAGTGGCTCACACCTGTAATCCCAGCACTTTGGGAGGCCGAGGCAGGTGGATCACCTGAGGTCAGGAGTTCGAGACCAGCCTGGCCAACGTGGTGAAACCCCATCTCTACTAAAAACACACACACACAAAATTAGCTGGGCCTGGTGGCAGGCATCTGTAACCCCAGCTACTTGGGAGGCTGAGGCAGGAGAATTGCTTGAACTCAGGAGGCAGAGATTGCAGTGAGCCAAGATCACGCCATTGCACTACAGTCTGGACAACAAGAGCAAAACTCCTTCTCAAAAAAATATATATATATGTATATAATATATATTATATATATTTGTGAATAATATTCGGTAATAGTGGCCCACTGCATAAATGAGACACAGGTTCTTCATGGATGCAAGTGTAGTTTTTTATTTATTTTATTTTTGTTTAAGGCAGGATCTTGCTATGGTGCCCCAGCTGGTCTCAAACTCCTGGGCTCAAGCAGTCCTCCTGCCTCAGCCTCCCAAAATACTGGGATTACAAGCATGAGCCACCATGACCAGCTAGCAAGTGTAAGTTTTAAAGTCTTCTTCTAACAAGTGATTGTTTTGTTAAACAAGCACTGGATTATGATGCTGTTATGAAATATTCCTGGCCAGAGATATAGTACATTTCATGAGACCTTGAAAAATACGTTTGGTAGGAATTGACTGACCTTTAAGTAGTTCTTTAAACTGAAGTATGAGAGGAAGAAAAGGTCTATTTAAAATTGAAGAATATTAGGCAGGGCACAGTGGCTCACACCTGTAATCCCACCATTTTGGGAGGCCGAGGGGGGCAGATCACCTGAGTTCAGGAGTTCGAGACCAGCCTGGCCAACAAGGTGAAACCCTGTCTCTACTAAAAATACAAAAATTAGCCGGGCGCAATGGCGGGCACCTGTAATCCCAGCTACTCGGGAGTCTGAGGCAGGAGAATCGCTTCAACCCGGGAGGCGGAAGTGGCAGTGATCCGAGATCGAGCCACTGCACTCCAGCCTGGGTGGCAGAGTGAGACTCCATCTCAAAAAAAAAGAAAAAAAAAAATGAAGAATACTTTCTGTAAAGGGTATCAGTATGACATAACAAGAGAAACCACAATGGACAAAGGTGCTCAGGGACTTTTTAGAGTAAATAGCAGGAACCAAATACTACAGGGAAGTCCTGTGGGATAATAAAGAAGGAAAACCTGAAATTTGAACATGAAGATGTAAATATAATTTTAGAGGTAAAACTGAGGCTTGAAAAACCTCCCAAAGTGTTGGGATTACAGGCGTGAGCCACCACGCCCAGCCTGATAGACACTTTTAAATGGACCCGAAATTCCATGAACTTGACAAAGGAAGCCAAGTACACAGCATTTAAGTGAAGCTGAAAAGAAAAATTACGTAATTTTAAGATTTAATACAGTCTAGAAGATAAAATACTTCCTTAGAAACAGGTCATAAAACTACTACAGAGGCAAAATGGGGTAATTAGAAAGCTTTAAATATCTATACATTTGCAGAAGTCTTTTTGAGGATAATCAGGATTACTGTCTGTCTAGACTCATAGGAACAACAAAGAACTGATGGAGAGGAGCAAGTGTTAGAAATCTTGGGAGAAGGAGACCACATTTCCCTAGATTTCAAAAGTAATCAAAATATAGCAGGCAGAATTAATTACTTCCAATTCTATAATTTATGTTCACCCTTTTATTACAACACTTAACACATAGGGATATTTGTTTTATGGTTCTGCCTTTACTAGCTGTGAGCTAATAATGGAAATAGACTCTCTCATGGATCTTTTAATCTCTAAGACCTGTTATATTGCCTCACACATTGTAGGTGCTAAAAAAATCTGTAGGAAGAAGTTGGTAATAAAATAAAGGAAGAGAAGGCAATAGGCTTAGAGGAACAAGAGAACTATCTTCAAGACTTTGCTCAAATATCTCCTTCTTGGTGAGGAACACCCTGACTATCACCTCCCACCACTCCCTTACTGTGCTATACTGTTGTTGTTTTCAATCACACTCATCTTTCATCTTACTGTATAAATTCACTGGCTTATTTTGTTTGTTGTTTGTTGTCTGTTTCCCCTTGCTAGAATATGAGCTTTAGGGGGCAAGGATCTTTGTTTTGTATACTAATGTGCCTGAAGTACTTAAGATAGTAGGTGCCTAAAAATTTTGTTAAATAAATGAAATATCTGATAGACTATCTTGCAGAAGAGGAATTAAACTTCTTGCATGTATGTTTGAAGGACACAAACTGGAAATGTGTTAAAGTTGCAGTTATACTGATTTGACTCAATAGTTAGACTTGAGTAGTAGAAAAAGCTTAAAAATACAATCCTGACATATATAATAAAAAATGAAATTGAGTCTATAAAAAGTAAGGGAAAGGGATATATAAGAAACCATTTTAGGCTGAGCAGGGAGCTTGCAATCACTACGTATTTTTAAATACCAAAGAATGAAAGAGAAACAGAGGGACATGCAATGAAAGATTCAGGCAAATTATGAAGGGAAATGATGTAGAACTATAAGTACAATACCACAAAGGCTAAAGTCCAAATGACCTGCAAATTTTTTGTATACGTAGAAACACCAAAAACAAGGTAGAAGGAAAAAATTGGAAAACAGAAAGCTGTGGAGAAAGTAAAATGAAGTCTTTTAAATATTTTAAGGCTCCCCCATGAAAGAGGACTTTTTTACAATTACAGAAGGCACAGCTAGAACCAATTTCTGGATTTTACAGTGAGGTAATTTTTGACATCATAGTAAGAATAATTATTTATTAATTAAAACCACAAATCTTCATCACTGAAAATTGTTCAAGAAGAGTTTACAGGTAGAAATATTACACTGCATAAAATATTAAGTGTCTATTACCTCTTCTGTACTTTGGAATTTCACTGGCTGTTTGTTTGGAAGGAGGGCCCTATACTTTGAGTCAGAGTGTTCTCTAGGAAAATTAAAGGAGATTCTTTTAAATTGAAAAAGGTATTTATGCAAAGGATTTATTCCTCTCCTGATCTCTACATACACATATCTCTCTTTTTTAAAATGTTGTTCTGGGACCCTTTTGGGAGTGCCATAAATCTACATAAAAATTCAGAAGGCACATCCGTGTTTGCCCATAGACTTCTGGATTATTGTGTGGAAATGCAGTATCACAGGGCCTTTCCATCTGACTTTTGCACAGTGGCAGGCTGCTCATTTCTTTTTCTAATTCAAGTTATATTTCTTTCACAGAAATTGACCTGTCAAGAACAGTGCTACATGGTATAACCTGAAGCAATATGTCCTAATATTTTAAATAAGGAGCTCAGTTCAATTATGTAGGAACAAAATGTATCTCTGACATAGACATTCTTGGGGTTGGGAGTAAGATGATCGACTGCAATCTTATGTCTGTTGAAATAAAACTTACATTATAGGCTTAAAACTTAAGAAATCTTTCCTCTTCATGTTGGACATTGTGCTACTTCAGCTGAGGACCTAGATTTTAAAATCATTCCAAACTAGAGACACACACCCAAAATCTAATTTATTTTATTACATTAACTCAACAAGATAACATGTTCTATATATTAGGCACTGGATGGGGAGAAAGTGTGCAGCAGGGAATAAAACAGAGGTTTTTTCTAATAAAGGTTAGAGTCGAGTAGGGGTGGGAAGAGAATAAAATATAAACAAAGACATTTATAAATATACCTTGCAATAATATTTATGAGAAAAAGAATAGGACACCACATGAAAAAATAAAATGGCCTTCTACTTTAGATTGGATTGCCAGGAAAGGCCTTATAGGAATGGGAAGTAAACCAATAACAAAAGATCATGAAGCAGAAAATAATTTGGCCTGTTTGAGGAACAAAACATTGTGATTTCAGTCTGGTGATCACCAGGGAGTACGACTTGTGATAAAATTAGACATACAGGTCCTCCAAGGTTATGCTACGTGTTTGTATTTTATTTTGATTGCAGAGATAAGACATTGAAGGGTTTTTAAGAGGTTCGTGACATGACCCAATGTGGAATTTTTTTTTTTTTTTGAGACAGAGTTTCGCTCTGTTGCCCCGACTAGAGTGCAGTGGCACAATCTTGGCTCACTGCAACCTCTGCCTCCCAGGTTTAAGTGATTTCTGGCTAATTTTTGTATTTTTGTTAGAGATGGGATTTCATCATGTTGGCCAGTCTGGTCTCAAACACCTGACCTCAAGTGATCTGCCCAACTCGGCCTCCCAAAGTGCTAGGATTACAGGCGTGAGCCACCGCGCGTGACTGGATTATTTTTTAAAGATAGTCCTAGCTGCTTTATGAGGAATATCTTGGGGGCAAGAGTGAAAGTATCTTGGAATAGGATTAAGAGAAATGGATAGTAATGAGATCTGTTTTAGAAGTAGGATCGACAGAATTTTATGATGATGATTGGACAAGAGGAGGCACACGGTAAGGGAAAGTAAGGAATAAAGGAGGATGTCCAGATTTTTGTTGTTTGAGCAACTATTTGGCTGCTGATGTCATTTATTTAGAGAGGGAAAATAAGAAAAGAAGTAAATTTCTGTGGGAAAGAAATCGAGAGTAGATTGAGAAGTCTGTGAGTTATTCTAGTGGTAATGTCAAGTAGACAGCTCTGAGACTCAGACGAGAGGTCTAAGCTAGATAATTACATTTGAGTAAATGCTTTTGGTTTTTAAAACTGGAAATGAAATTATATCCTCTGGAGGGAATGTATAATAAAAGAAGAGGGCCCAAAGTTGAACATGAAGGATATGTTACAACAGGTGTTGGAGGTGTACATTTGATAGAAGAGGTGAAGTCAGCCAAGGGTTTTTTTAAGAGGATGCCACAAAGATAGGAAGAAAACTTACAAGAATGTAATCCTATGGAAGTCAAGAGAAGATAATAATTTCAGATTAAAGAGTGTTCAACTCTGTGGAATGCTGCTCAGAGGGCAAATAAGATAAGGACCTGAAAGTCCCATTGGATGTGACAACAAGCTAGTCATTGGAACCTTCTAAAGAGCAGTTTAATTTTTGTTATTTTTGTTGTTGTTTTACTCTTTCCTGAGTCTCACACACACACACACGCATGTTCATTCTTAACTAAAACTAAATCATGATTTCTTTACTCAAGAGAACAGTATACTCTGTTCCTCTGATATTTGTGTACTTCACTAATTAGTAAGCTAGGTTTTAAAAGGTCTTATAAACCACTTCAGTAATTTAGTGCTATTATAACTGAGTGGAACTTAGATTGAATGACCTAAAAAAGTGAACACTCTCCTCATAAGAGATGACAATTTCACTATGCTACACAGACACATTGAGAACTGTGTTGAGACCTATGAGAAATGGTTGAGTATGGTGGGGGTGTGTTATAGCTCTCCGTCATACATGCTGTCCCCTCTACCTGTAAGATCTTTAACTCAATTTTTTCTTTACCTGTAAACCCCTATTTATCCTTCAAGTCTCACAATCAAAGAAACTTTCTCAGAAAAGTCTTCTTCGGCTGGGTGCGGTGGCTCAACCCTGTAATCCCAGCACTTTGGGAGACGGATCACCTGAGGTCAGGAGTTTGAGACCAGCCTGGCCAAAATGGTGAAACCCCATCTCTACTAAAAATACAAAAATTAGTCAGGCATTGTGGCACATACCTATAATCTCAGCTACTCAGGAGGCTGAGGCAGGAGAATTGCCCGAACTGGAAGGCAGAGGTTGCAGTGAGCCGAGATCATGCCCCTGCACTCCAGCCTGTGCAACAGAGCAAGATCCCGTCTCAAAAAGAAAAGTCTTCTTCCTTCTGTGACTTCCCCAAATTCCTATCTCAATTAAGTCCTCACTGTCATTACACTTTGCAGTTTTCTTTCATGGTACTTAACAATAATTATGAGTTAATTTTTGTGATTATTTGTTAACATCTGTCTACTCATTACATTGTCAACTTTATGAGGAAAAGCAGTCATTCCCGTTTGCTCATTATTTTGCTTTCAAGCTTAAGAAAGTGCCTGGGAAATAGTAGTGGTCAACTAATATCTGTTGAACAGATAGAAAAGAAATGAATGGGCCGGGTGCAGTGGCTGATGCCTTTAATCCCAGCACTTTCGGAGGCCAAGGCAGGCAGATAACGAGGTCAAGAGATCAAGACTTCATCCTGACCAACACAGTGAAACCCCGTCTCTACTAAAAATACAAAAATTAGTTGGGCGTGGTGGCACGCGCCTGTAGTCCCTGCTACTCAGGAGGCTGAGGCAGGGGAATCGCTTGAACCCCAGAGGCAGAGGTTGTAGTGAACCGAGATTGAGCCACTGTACTCCAGCCTGGTGACAGAGCGAGACTCTGCCTCGGAAAAAAAAAAAAAGAAGAAGAAGAAGAAGAAGAAGAAGAAGAGAAATAACCGCAAATAGAATAGCTTTGGGGTTTGTTAATTTGGTTACATTGTAGGCTGTAAATCATGGATCAAGACTTGTGGCTCCTTTGCAAATGTCTTTTCATAGTTTGTTGTCAAGTATGGGAAAGGAGATTGGGGTTTGAAATGTTATTCCATTAGAAAGTTGAGGTGCAGAAGGAGTTGCCAAGCAGAGGAATCCAAGTTATAAAGCAGTGGTCAAGGAGAAGCATTACAGCATTTTCCCTTAATTAGAATACATACTGATTTGCCTCTCCTTGTAATTACTTGTATTTATTAGAGAGTTTCTGTTTTATACCACAAATTTACCTCTTACTGAGACTGTTTTTCTTGGGTAATAGTCCTCTGTCTTGTTAGACGTGAGCCACTCACCTTATTGTGGATGTATAAATGAAGCAAATTATATGGAACCATTTTGAATTGGATTTTAGGAGGAAAACATGTTTAATCTGTATTATTATTTCCTATCATAAAGTTTCATATCAACAAGACAGACAAACCCTTATTGAAAGATTTTTTTTTTCTTTGAGACAGAGCCTCACTCTGTCACCCAGGCTGGAGAGCAGTGGCATGATCTCGGTTCACTGCAACCTCCACCGCCTGGGTTCAAGTGATTCTCCTGCCTCAGCCTCCCGAGTAGCTGAGATTACAGTTGCCCACCACCACACCCAGCTAATTTTTGTATTTTTGGTAGAGACAGGGTTTCACCATGTTGGCCAGGCTGATCTCTAACTCCTGACCTCAAGTGGTCTGCCCATCTTGGCCTCCCAAAGTTACAGGTGTGAGCCACCTCGCCAGGCCCGAGAGACATCTTTAACAGAGTATCTTAAGTGGGAATCAGCTGATGATGACTTGCGTAGATTGGTTCCTGAGTTGGCTACTTTGCCCACAGCCTTAACTGTTTACCAAATATACTAAGCTACAAATAGAACTACGTTCAAGCAACAGTCCACTTATACCCAATCTAGGTGATGTTTGACCTGGATCTGTATAACATGAATGTTTTCCGTGGGCTCTTTTTTTCCAATACGCTATTTAAAATCTTGCAATTTGTAATGCTTTGACAGACCCCTCACTCTTCTCTACTGCCTTTGGTCTTTAATAACTTTAGATGACTTTATTACAAATCTTATGTCTTCATACATAATAAAAAATAAAGTGTCTGCAATTTGAAAAGTCAACTAGACAGTTAAGCAAAAAATCTATGAAAAATGCCAAATTTTCTATTTTTATGTCAGCATATCAAGCAGTATAAGCAACTTATAACCATTTATATCCACTAACATATGACTTAGTTGAACAAAGTGGTAATCAAAAGAAGTCTTTATTGCCATAAATGTTGTAATGAATACATGAAGCTTGGCTAGTAATGAAAAAAAGGAACAAGTAAGAATTAGACTTTAATTGTGGTTAAGGTACTTTTTTATTTTTCCATTCATACCTAATATTATTCTAGTCACACTATGGTGTAAGGAGTAAATGAATAGTGAATGAATAAATAATAAATAAGGAAAAGTGTAAATATGCAAACTTTTTACAAATATTGCATAAAGTTATTGACATTGGTATCTGAAACTTAAAGTTTTTAGATCTTGCCATATATTTGTGTAGAATGTTTACACTCACAAAATCTCAAAGTGCTGTTCATCTCATAATGATATAAGAAGTTGCTAGGTGATGTTCATCTGGAATTTCAAGGAAATTATAATAGGAGACATGTTTCTTCTTTTCTCAAGTGTTTGAGGATATTCTTCTAACATTGCCATGAAGACTTTGTATGAATTTATCACAAAGCTGGAGCATTGCTTGGAACAGTGGAACAGAATGCGTGAGCAGGGAATTTCTTAAACTTGGAAACCATCCTTGCCACTACCACTGCCCTAGGGAGACTGGGAAAAATAGAAGCCCTCATGAGAAGCCCAAACTCTTGCCCATTTTCAAAGATCAAAAATAGGCATATATAGTAGTTATTATGGGCAGGGTAGAGAAACTTCCATTTTCAGTTTTCTTTGTCCCTATTTTCTGCCTACCAAACATCCTTCAAAATGTTTGGTTTATGATTGATTATATTTCATTTTTGGAAATATACTTTCATGGGTGGCCAAATAGCAATGAATTGCAAATCTCATGAATATATATTTCCTATCTTGTCTGGAGGCTGAGTTGTTCATGTGATTTTGGCTGAACTCATACCCATATGCTGATTCCTAAAACTTTTTGAAGACATTCAGTGAGAGTTTTAGATTCCTGGTGATAGCTAAATAAAGATTTACATAAATACGCCATATAAGAAAACAGAACTAATCATGTTAAAAGTTCCTTGTTGTAATCCCAGCACTTTAGGAGGCTGAGGCAGGAGGGTCACTTGAGGCCAGGAAATCGAGACCAGCCTGGGCAACATGGTCTTATTATCATGGTCAACAGTTCTTATTAGCAGTTTCATTGTCTAATTGTTGATCTCAGTAGAGTCTCTTCAGCTGTGTCACTTAGCAATTAAAGATTATGGATTGTGCAGTCATAAGGCCTGGATTCAAATATTGGGTTTGCTACTTGTGACATTGGACAAATTTATTTGTAACACTGTGCCTCAAACTTCATGGGCTTATTCCTGATCTCATTTCTTAATAAGCTATGTGACCTTGAGCAAGAGACATCCTCAATATGCCTTGGTTTCCTCATCTATATAAAGAGTATAGTAATATCTCCCTCATAGGATTGTGTGTGTATTAAATGAGTGTATGTGCTGGTAAGTAAAGTTGTTGAGGAAAAAGGCCTGGCTTATAGTAAGTGGGATGTAAGTGTTAGCCACTATTCCACTACAGCGTGAGCTTCATGAAGGTAGAGGAGGATTCTATCTGTATTTGTTCACTGCTGTATCCCCAGTGACTAGAATAGTGCCTGGCATGTGGTAAGCACTCAAGAAATATTTATTGAAGGAATATGCATCAATTTTCTTGTCTGTGAAATGAGAATAATGGAATTAACTACCTTATATAGTGTTTATGAAAATTAAATGAGACAATGCATGTGAAGAACTAAAGTAACCTATTATCATCATCATTATTATAAAGGGCCATAATCAAAATTAGAATCCAGATATTTATTCTTCCCCTGTATTATCTAACTACTCTGCTTTTATAACTCATTATTTTGATCTTTAGAGTTTTTTCCCCTTTATTCCTGAGTTAAATCTTACCATTAGTTTTTAGCTTACTCAATAAGTTTATTTTGTTAACTTCCATGGATATATTAGCATAAATCTCATTGCAGAGATAATGAAAATACTAATCATTTAATCTTTCTTCTCATACTGTGAATATCTTGTTTTTTTGTTTTTTTGTTTTTTTTGAGACAGGGTCCTGCTTTGTTACCCAGGCTGGAGTGCAGTGGCATGAACATGGCTCACTGCAACTTTGACCTCTAGGGCCTAAGTGATCCTCCCGCCTCAGCTCCCCAAGTAGCTGGGACTACAGGCACGCACCACCACACCTGGCTAATTTTGGTATTTTTTGTAGAGATAAGGTTTCACCTTGTTGCCCAGACTGGTCTTGAGCTCCTGAGCTCAGGCAATCCACCCACCTCAGCCTCCCAAAATGCTGGGACTACAGGCCTGAGCTGAAGTGTCCAGCTTGCAAATGTTTTTTGACCTCATCAATTTTTATGAAAGTTTCGGGTCGACCAGCTACTGAAGTATTACATCTGCTCTTCACTCTTGAAACCTGCTGAGTAAAAACCAAAAATACTTTTGAAAACTGAAATCACAAAAGCTTAAAATTTATTTGTACAATATTGACATAAAACTGGGGATGGAAGAAAAGATTATATATTTTGGATTTCATATTCACATCAAGGGTAATTTCTCAAGACTATTAAATACCTTTAGCAATTTTAAGTCAGTTTAAAAATATCAACTTCATGGATTTATCGCTCATGACTTAAATGCAATGATATTATATTACAGCAAAAAATAAAAAATAAAGTAAAATAATTTAGGATCCTGAGGGTTGGTTTTTAATAAACCAAACCAAAATATATCCACAAATATTCCTATTTAGCATAAAGACACTTGTATGTGAGGAATTAAGTCACAGTCACAGGTAATTGATACCAGTTGTGAAAACTAATATCGTATCTATCTTCACAACTGATGAATCCTCCTATTACCAAGAACAAGTGTATATCAAAAGAAAAGAGGTTAGTTGAGTCTGCAGCATGATTTATAACTTTTCATGAGAAATTCCCGTCTCTCTCAGCAACTAGCCTTTTCTGAGTTGACTGGAAAACACTTAAATAGTGATGGAAGTAGGCATTCGTTTTTCTACTTCTTTTTAGCATAGCCACTTCTGAGCCTTACTGCTTTTTTTTTCTTTTTCCATTACTTCCCAGAGGGACTTTCTTTCTCTTCCCTTCCCTTGGTATTAGCCAGCAGTTTGCATTCTCCTCATCATCAGCTACGTTAGTGGTCCCCAACATTTTTGGCAACAGGAAACAGTTTTGTCGAAGACAGTTCTTCCACAGACCAGGAGCAAGGGATGGTTTCAGGATGATTCAAGGGCATTACATTTATTGTGCACTTTATTTCTATTATTATTACATTGTTGTATATAATGAAATAATTATACAACTCACCATAATATAGAATCAGTGGGAGCCCTGAGCTTGTTTTCCTGTAACTAGACAGTCCTATCTCGGGGTGATGGGAGACAGTGACAGATCATCAAGCATTAGATTCTATAAGGAGTGCACAACCTAGATCCCTCACGTGTGCATTTAAAATAAGGTTCGCACTCCTGTGAGGCAGAGCTCAGGTGGTAATGCAAGCAGTGGGGAGCAGCTGTAAATACAGAACAGATGAAGCTTTGCTCACTCACCCGCCACTGCTCACCTCCTACTGTGTGGCTCAGGGTAGGCTGGGGACCCCTGGCTTACATCATTTGTAGCATAGAAAAGGGCAGGCTGCCACAGGCGTAACCATGTTCCTGATGGAACTAATCCATGGTCTAGACATGATAGAGCTACTTCATGTAACAACCTTTCTGAGTATTTACTTAAGTGATCAAACCTCTATTTCAGGAATAAACTAATTTCACGTAATTTAAAACTCTGGTGATTTTTTAAAAACTATTACAAAAAGTGATACATAAATGACATGTAACTTTCTAGCCCTGTTAGAATTGATGGGACTTAAATACATATATGGCTATTTAATATTAATGTTTTTATTTTTAAAGATTATGGATTTAACATTGGTATACAGTTTGAGTAATCACTATGGTTTTACAGATGCATTGTCGACATTTATTTTGGACAAAGTAACTTACTGCACAGTTAAAATCATATTTATAATCTATGATTTATGAAAGTATATGTGGTATAAGATATCTGTAATATGATGTACAGGACACTGAACCTGAAATCAGGAACCCTGAGTTTGAGTCTTGCTCTGCCACTTCGTAGTTAAGCAAGTCATTTAATGTTGACTTATTGTCTTATCTATAAAGAGATAATGATGACATTCTGTCAGGATTGATGTAAGAATTAAGTGGCATAATTACTATGTTTTATAAACTCTAAAGTACAACATATCTATAAAAATGTGAGTACACACTTGTCAAATATGATACTATGATAGTTTATCCAAGTTATATCTGTTTTATCTTTTCTTCAAAAAGGTGATTTTTATGTTTAATAGTGCAGTCTTTTATTCAAGGCCGTGTTTTGCTTTTAGATGACAATTTATTGTGTATATTTGTGACTCACTTTTTCTCTATAAATTAATTGGAAAGTTATAAATAATTTGAAATACTGGATGATAATGATTCTGGAATTACACTTAGTTTTATGTAATAAAATTATATAGTAGCCCATTACTTGAGAACTACATCCAAAACTACATATACTACTTGTATATTCTGATGTGAAGGAAGGACATTTTCAATCTTTTATCAGTAGTTTATTTTTATGTAAATTTTTAAATTCCTTAGGGGGTGACAGTACTTAGAATGGAATTAAGGAATAATAAATCAACTTATTAATATACATAAACCAGAAATATTATTTAGATAATGTTATACATAGGAAAACAATTGAACATAAAAATTTTTTTTAAAGTAGAATTCTACATTTTCTCAATAATTTCAGTATATTCCACAAGTTGTCATTCAAGACTAGAAGTCTCTGGCCATTATTGAAGGTCTGTCTCTCTGGTACCTCTGTGCCAACACTCTTTCCTTAAAGCTTTCTTCCCCTAAATAAGATTATTTTCTTCCTTCTCTTTCATTCTTTCTACTCTACCTTGTGCCATTCTTCCGTCACTCATCTATATCTGTAAGATCCTAGGAAAAAAATATCAAAAAAGCTTCCCAGGACAACCTTGTTCTGAAGCTGCAGGAGGGAAGTGGTGGTCATGTAGTAGACACATCTAGACTATTCCAGACTAACTTCTTCTTGGTTCATGAAACCAGGTTATTAACACAGACAAGGCAGGGCCCAGGCAACTCAGGCATAACCACTGATTCCGTTCTCAGACTCCCCATCCCCAGCAGTCACTTGCAGAAACCCAAGAAATCTTTTTCCAAAATGACTTTCAGCCAGCATTGTGATGTCCCTGAGTGCCAAAATAAAAGTTTTCCATGCATCCCCAGCCAATTTATTTTATTTTATTTTATTTTATTTTTGAGACACAATCCCACTCTGTTACCCAGGCTGGAGTGCAGTGAGACCATCACTGCTCACTACAGCCTCAACCTTGCAGGCTTAATTAAGCCTTTGTCCTATCTTAGCCTCCTGAGTTGCTGGGACTACAGGCATGACCCCCACACCTGGCTAAATTTTTACTGTTAACTTTTTCTGGAGATGAGGTTTCACTATGTTGCCCAGGCTGGTCTCGAACTTCTGAGCTCAAGTGATCCTCCCACCTCAGCCTCCCAAAGTGCTGGGATTGCAGGCATGAGCCACCTGAGCTCAGCTTGCCAATTTATTTCTTTAAGATTCTCTGCTCAATCTCTCTTCCTTGATACCTTCCCCCGATCTTAAGTTAGGGATGTCCAGTCAAAAGTACTCAAATTTTTCTAACCAAGTAACTTAATCTTTAGGAGAGTCTGACTGGTTGGTAAACTTGCCCATTTCTCCGAGTATAATTAGATTTGTATGGTAACAGCTGTTTCCTCTTAAATATAAATATATTTTCTATATTTGTTTTACCCTTTAATCTAAATTTTCTCTTACATAAAGTATTTTATTACATTAGATTCATGTTTTTCAAACTTTTTCAAAAGTGAGAAACACATTTTACATCACAGCTCAATACATACGTGCGCACACACATAAACATACATATTCATAAAACAATAGTGCAATTGATGCACTAACCATGTGGGCTGAACTCTGATACTGTATTGTATTTTTTTAATTCTAATCAAAACTTAATAAGTTATTTTCATGACTCATTTGTGACCCACAGTTTAAAAAAAATTAGGTGACTTTTAATAAAGTCCTTGCAGTTTCTAAAATTCTATGATTCTTATAATGAAAATCTCATTTAATAAAATTTTCTAGTCTCTGAATAAAAGTGATATGGTTTGAAAAAGTACTCATAGAGTTGTCTGGTTTTATCAATGTTGTTTTGAAATGCTGATATTTGAGGAAGATAAATAACGAAAAGAAAATTGGACTAACAGAGTTGTAGGGACATTAATGAGAAAGGACAAGTCTATCAGGAAAACAAAAGCAATAAATCTGGATGAGCCTAAGTCTAAACAGCTAAAGTTGTTACTTTTTCTTACCATGGAACTCTTATTTATACTGAAAGTTTCCTAATTTTAAGTGTATTTAAAAGGATTATTACTTGTATGCATTTTTCATACCTTCTAAATTGTGATGTGCAATGGACAAACAAAGTCCTTATCATACCTAGAAGGCTCTGTATGACCTATGTCTTTCTCTGACTCTTGTCTCTCTGTCCTTCACTCCTTCCCACTCACTCCAATTGCCCTGGCCTGTCTGCTGTTCTGTGGTCACACCAGGACATCATACCTCAGGGCCTTTGCACTAGAGGTTCTCTCTGCCTCAAACTCACTCTCTTCCTGGAATATCTGACTAGCCACTTCCTCAGGTTCTTCACACCTCTGTTCAAATGTCATACTGTCAGTGAGAACCCACCCTGACAACTCTTTTTGAATTGCAGTGTCCCATACCTCTTAACTTTTTATTTGCATTCATCTCCTTTTTAGCACTATATAATTTACTGATTTGTCGTGTCTCTCCCCTGCAACTAAAATGTAAGCTTCATGAGAGCAGGGATTTTTTTTAGCTGCTTTGATCACTGTTGCATCATATAAACATCTACCATGGTACCTGGCATATACTAGGAGCTCAATTAATATTAATTGAATGAGTATTTGAATCTTTCAGCATATCAAGCAAGTAACTTGTACATATATACTATCTAGGAACTATTTATTGAATAAATGAACCATTTTAGATTGCATAATTTACATTTTACGTTGAAATCCCCTATTACACACGCCCAGTGATCATGTTTGACAGGGTTAGGACTGAATAGTACCCTACCTTCCCACTTCCCTAGATTGGGAAACAGAGGTGGGATGACTTGTCTCAGATTACAAAAAGTAAGGCAGTCATCTGATTCCTGGGAAAACGAAATTAAAGTTGCTTTAGGTTCCGGGATAGAGATGTGCAGTTTGCAGAATGCATCATGTAATGTTGCTTATAAACTACTTTGCCCTAGTATGTTTGTGTTGTTTCCAAATTTGTGTTAACAGGATGTTATACCTTTTGCTTAGATGTTAAGCCGTACAATGTTGTCATTCTTAGCCATACTGGGTAGATTATTTAATTTAGAGAAAGAAGGCAATAAAAATTCCTAAAATTAAAACAATTTGATAGACATCATTGTGCTTTTCAGTGCTGGTGTTTATCGGTTCTTGGTTTCTTTAGTTCACTTTTTATCATTTTTAACAAAGAGAGTAAAAGAGAAAGCTTTAATTGTAGGTTTTCGTGGAACTTGGTAAAAATTGAGGAGCCTTTGTGTCATGACTTGAAGAAAATTTCAATATTTTTTGCCTGTGTTTGAGGAGCGTTAAAAAAAACTGTGAACCTGAGGAAAGGGAAAGTGACTACCAGAAATTTACCGGTTTACTTATCTGAGATGCCTAACTCACTGCATCTAATTAGTCACCACTCCCTGGCCTTAACCACGCGGAGGGAAGAGGAAACAGCAGGAGCTACTCGGAGCAGCTGCCCGGGACCTGAGGCGCGCGCCCCGGAGCCACCAGCCCACCGAGGTGCAGCCGCGCCGCCACCTCCCCCTCCGGCCGCTGATTGGCGGGGACCGCAGCATCAGCGGCATCTCCCTGCGCGGGGAGGGCAGCGAGACTCCAGCAGCTCCAGCCTCCAGGATTCTCAGCTCCCTCCCGGGCGAGACCTCGGACGTTCACTGCGAGCAGCCGCTCCGCCCGCCACCGCCTCCATCTCCTCCTCTGGACCCCTCTCCAATAAATTGGAGGTCCCGGCGGCCAGGAAAGCCACGTCTCCTCCGGGCTGGGTCAGGGAGGCAGGGGCCAGAGCCTCAGGGTCCCGTGGCACCAACCTGGCTTCTGGCCCACTGGTCCCGGAACCGCTGCGGACGCTGCGCCCCAGCCGCCAAGACGCCGCGTATCTTGTACCGCGGGAAAAGCGGGTCCTCGTCCAAGATGGGCCGGCAGGGCTTGGGGGGTGCCAGCGCTGCGGGGCGCTCCATGCAGCGCTCCCAGAGCCGGAGTAGCCTGTCTGCCTCCTTCGAGGCACTGGCCGGCTACTTTCCCTGCATGAACTCCCTGGAGGAGGAAGAAGGAGGTGAGACACCCCTTCCCCCGTAGTTGGTGTCTCTATCTGTTTAGAAAGTCGGTGGCTGGAGGGTTGGCCGGGGCAGAGAGAACTCCACGTAGCAGTGTCCCAGCCCCTCTGCTCTCCGGGACTGTGCCGGGGGCGACAGCCCTAGAGCACGTCAGCTGAGCAGAGAAGTTGTTTCTTGGTTATTTGGAGAGCTCCACAGGCGCCGACTTGGGAAAAGGCTCTCCTAGTGGAGTTGTATTACAAGTGCTTGGAAGTTGAAAGAGAATGTAAACTGGTGGGAGGCAAGGCGGCGCCTCTTCGGTGCACCCCACTCTGTTTTGGTTTACCCTTCGCAGTCCGGGTATTAGCATTCGGCCTGGAGGACAGAAATACTTGAAAACTGGAGGGAAATGCAGCAGCAAAACTTTGAAACAGGAATGTCAGCCTATGAAAACCCAAGATCGGATGAGGTGAAGGGGTTACACAGTGGACAGACAGTTAGAGGGTTGCTAGTACCGAAGGTGAGTTTGTGCTCAAGGCACAATCTCTGGTGTTTCAGCAATGCCATTGTAATTAAGCTAATGAAAAACACGAGGAGGAGGACTCGCTGTTTTAAACTTTTCACCAGTTGATTTGGAGTTCGTAAAGTTTTGAATAACATAACATGTATTTTCTTCATGAACTTTCCTATAAGATTTAACAACTAACACTGAAAATACAATTTGTCAATCAAAATGATAATTGACTGGTAAATAGTAAGTAGTGTCCCAACATTTGAAATATTTATTAATTTACTGATACACTAGTTGCAAACTGTGTTCATTTTTAGATGTATATCCGGAGTAGGTTCGTTATCATGATGTTAACTCTATTTTTGTAAATAACAGGGTTGGTTTTGCTTTTATCCCGAGAAAATCAATGACCTCTTATTAGGACATCTGTAGTGAGCCCTGATTTAAAAGAAATTGCCCGTTCTAAAAACAGATTGAAATATTTTTTTTCTGCTTTTTTTCCTGATAGGGGAGGGGGAAAAGTAGAAGATGGAGGATTGGTAATATGTCTGGAAAGTTGTCTTCAAACTAATTTATTAGCTAGAGCTATCCAAGTTTCTTCTAGGTTATTGTTGCAATATCAGTTGGATATAAATCAATATAGATTTAACAGCAGGGGACTTCCCTATATAAACATGATTTAATTTCCATACTAGTCCTTTTCTGTTTTTGTTTGTACGTTTACGTTTCACTTGCTTCCTATAATTAAATATTTAAAATTCTAGGAAATGTAAACAAGTCGAGAAGTAAATTAAATTGAGTAAATGAATGATCATAATTGTAGCTAAAACTTTTAGTACTTATTATTAGTCCGGCACTGTTCTACACTTGACGTGTATTCTTTTAGGCCCACAACAACCTTATGAAGCAGTACTTTTGTTATCCTCATTTCACAAATGAGAAGACTGAGGCAGGGAGAGAGTTCCGAAATTTGCCCAGGGTCACCAAGATGGTAGGTAATAGAGCCAGCGTTTGAACCCAGGCATTCAGCAACACAACCTATTCATTCAGCTCCCAAGCTATACTAGATTATTATTTTCTTATATTTGGCTACATTCACATACATAGTAAGTGATGAGGCTAGAATTTAACCACTTGTGCCTGAAAATACATATTTAAATAAAACATAGGTTATTATGGACTCATTTCCCAGATTTTTATTTTTACACCAAGTCTTCAGTCTTGAGTTTGCTTCAGATAAGGTATCATCCTTTTTCTTTAAATTATGATTAGGATTGTTGAGTTTACAAAATATCATTCCAAAAACCTTTTTGAGACAAGAAAAATGTATATAAATATGAAATTATTTCAATATTTGAAGTACGTTTGCTTAACTATGGCTCACACAGACTAATCCCAAAGGAAATTCCTACATCTACACATGGAAATTGGAACAGATTTCTATCCCATAATATGGCTTCTTAAGCTGCCAAGACAAAATGTTTTATATGGGAAACGGCGTTTTTAAAGTTAACCATACAGTTCTCTACTAGTAACTAGAGAGGAGACACTCTCCATAAATTAGAGGTTTTTCCATTGGCTTACAGTCATTTTTACAGCCACGAGTAGAAATCTTAACTTTTTTCTTTGATTTTGCGATTCTCTTAACACCTTTGAAAGTCCTGGAATTTTTAAAGGTATTTCAACATACTCTGCAGGATTGTAAAAGTTAGAAATCATTGGCCTAAAGCAGTGCTTCTCTACTTCCTTTTTTTTCTTTTGAGACACCCACACAGGATACATGAAGGTCATGTGGTTAACATATTCAGGATTATGTTACTATTATCATAACTGTGAGACTCATTCACATTTATAAAGAAAATCCATCCCACTGTATGATTTTCACACTGGTTAATAGCAACTTGTCTAAAGAGCACGGATCTACTAACCAGTATGATTTAACCAGTGTGATTTGACTAAATTAACCAATCAGTTCAGTAAGCCAGTCTGATTTTAAAGCTAGTCTCTTTTTTTTATTCTTTTCAGAAAGAGTTCAATAGCTAAAGAATTTCAAGTATACCCTGTCTTCCAGTTCCATATTCACATTCTCTTCTTGTACAGCGTGTTGAGTTTCCATTCTACACAAAAAGTGCCAAGAAGTCTACAGAGAGATCATATTCTTTTCGTTCATCCACTCATTCATTCATTCAAAAATATTTATTGGGGGTATTTGATGTGTTAGAAGCAATGAGTCTCTAATGAATTAGGTAGATGTGCTCCTTTCCCTCTCAGAGCTTTCAGCCTAACGGAGATAAGTAGACATTAATAGAAATAACTACATAATTATAACTGTGACAGGTGTTAGGAGGGTAAAGGGCAGAGTGCAACAAGAAATTATAAGAAAGCCTAATTTAGGAGTTAGAGAAGGGTGCCCTGAGAAAGTGAGGGTTAAACATTGATTCAGGTGTCAGTGATAACTCTCAGTTTCTCATGAACCAAGCCAGTATCAGCAGCCTCCCACACACCTTTGAAAAGAATTTTCCTGGAGCCCACAATTAATAAGTGGTGGAGTTAAGATATAAACCCAAAATCTGTCTTTGAAATTTATAATCTAATTACTCTATATGTTGCTTCTTCATTATTATATGACATTTCCTTTTAATATGCTATGGTCTTGAAAACCAAGAACAATAATAAAAGTTTCCATTCATTGTGCACTTTCTATGTGCCACATTCCTTTAATTTCATGATAATTTTTCAAGAATGTTACTATTTTCCTCATTTTACACATATGAAAACCAAAACTCAGAGAAGCTAAACAACTTGCCCCCAGATCATAAATCTCAGTGAAGCTTACTTCAGTGAGGATGAAAGGGACATTCCCATAAACAAAATAAATTAAGATTGTCGATGGTCTTTGTGGAATCGTTTTTGTATACTTGGAGCTCTTTTTTTTTTTTTTTGCATCCTTTTCCCTGGGTGTATTCCAGGTAGATGCTCTCCAAATCTCTGAGGTTTTTTTTTTTTTTAAGTGAAAGTAGTAATAGTACCTTACATGTTATTTAACAGTTTATAAATTATGTTTACTTATTTTATCACTGAACCCTTTGAGATAAGAATTATTTTCACTATATAAACTACTTGGGCTCGACACTGAGTCCACCTCCCTAATGTAGGATATTACTATGTGTAGAGTTTTCAAACATTAGAGACAATTATAGGAAAGAAGGAACTATTTCAAGCAAATGTTACCATTCTTAATAAGAGAAGCAGCCCCACAACTTCTCACCCATAGATCCAAGGGCAAATGATTATGGCCCTATAATGTAGGAAAATGGCACATTTTCTAATACTTGGGGAATCTGGTTTATCAGAAGCTATCTTAATGTTACATGTGGCTCTGGGTTAGTGATTCTTGTTTAATTATGTCCATATGTGATGAATTTGGCCTGCCTGATTTTATGATCTGCCACCTTTGTTTCAAATATAGTTTGGCAATCATACAGAAGAGATCCTATCAGCTTAATACTATAAAACTGAATAAATTAACTCATCTGACTTCTTTTACATCCCACTAGCTTAAAAATAAATTATAGGAAAACCATCTAAGAAATAAGAATAGCTTTAAAATCACCAGAAAACTGAGGAAAGAGTCTTTGCATGTGATAGTGAAGCTATGAGGAATTAAAATAAAATTGACTAAATAAACTGGAATAAAAAGACCTATTTAACTCAGCCTCACTCTTTGTGTGTTTCTTTTCTTTTTTTTTTTTTTTTTTCTTTGAGACAGAGTCTTGCTCTGTCGCCCAGGCTGGAGTGCAGTGGTGCGATCTCGGCTCACTGCAAGCTCCGCCTCCCAGGTTCACACCATTCTCCTGCCTCAGCCTCCAAAGTAGCTGGGACTACAGGCATGTGCCACCATGCCTGGCTAATTTTTTGTATATTTAGTGGAGACAGGGTTTCACCGTGTTAGCCAGGGTGGTCTCAATCTCCTGACCTCGTGATCAGCCCGCCTCGACCTCCCAAAGTGCTGAGATTACAGGCATGAGCCACCGTGCCCGGCCTAGCTTCACTCTTTAAGAGGTTTATTCACCCAGCAAGAAGAGTATAAAGAGACATATCTTATTCTAGTCTTTGTGTATAGTAAATAATGTACTTAATTCTTAATAATCAGTCCCATTTGATTAAAATAGTTTAGAACTTTGCCCTTACGCCGTTGAAATAAGAAAAATTCTTCATACATTTAAATGTAATCCTCTTAAAGTGCAAACATCATACCTAGCACAGTGATATTCAGTGTCTATTAATAATTAACAGTATATAGTTCCACCATTCTTTTCACACTGAATATCAGTATAACTGACTGCCATCCATCCATTATATTTATACTGTTTAAAATGTAACATGTGATAGAGACTTTTTTAAATGCAGTGATCATAGTTTTTACCCATCTTCATGAAGCCAACCTTGGAAGCAGGACATGGATAGACAGTTACTATGGTTCTTTTTATAGGGGATATTATTTTTTCTAGATTATGTGTAACAAATCATTCCATAAATGAGTTCATACCTTGTTCAAAAATAGCACAATATTTTTTTATGTTAGATTTACATTATAACAGACAAAGTGAAGCAAAAGATTTTGGAATTAAGAAAAGTAAATTGAGTAACAGTTCCACTCAATGCCTATCAAATATTACCTTTTTCATATAAGATTCAGAATCTTTCACCACCATGTGTCCAAATAGTGTCTTTAATTTAAAACTTTAATAGACTGAGTTCTACAAAGGAAAAAACCCTTTAATATAAAAGTAAAATTAAACCTCAATTTGCTTTCATCCTTTAACAGGTTCACTACCAGTAACAGGAATTAGTTTCCCTGTAGAAACATCTTATATATAATGACTTATGAAGGAAACTCACTAGAAAGTTATAATAACAGCATCCCATTTCTTCCAAGGACTGTGTTTTAATGTAAATGTTCTCTGCTATTATTAAATAGGCCCCTATTTATGGATCAGACAAGATCATTCTGTATATTTGTTCTCTTTCATATTGAAATGTTTTTGATTGGGGAGGAGGGAGATTTACCTAATGCTGTGTATATATAATATTATTTGAACAAGAAGAAAACACACAAAAATGATAGTATCATTCTAGTTTGGAAGTATCACTCTTTAAATGAAAACAGGGTATTTATTGTAATGTAAATCATGCTTTATGCAAAGATAATGTACCAAACCCATGAGCAGAAATCCCACCAGGCCTCACATGGACCTAAACTGGGAGCCAGAAGGCTGTTAGGAACCCATGAGCATTCTTTTCCCATTTCTTGCCGTTGATTCTGTCTTTGCATGGCTGCTTTTTTCTTTCTCGGCAGCTAGCTCTCTCCCTTGCTCTATTACCCAGACCATGTGGCCTATGGAAAATGGCAGCCAATGGCATCCAAGTTCACCTGTCACAGTTCCACCCACACTGCATATTTCTGTCTTTCTCAGTCCCACTCCCAAATTCCCAAAGAAGAGATTTCACTTACCCAGTTTGGTCCATCCCAATACAGCCAGAAGGCAAGGCCATGTATGTATAAATTTAGTCACCAAAAATGCATTTCTGTGGGCAACTAAGAAGGGAAGTGGTTATTGTGAGCTTCGTAGACATCACCAAAGGTGTCTGCTTTTGTCTGGATCACCAAGAACAAAGGATTTGAAGTACCATTTTTTAAAATTTAGATTTTGTGCCGGCATGCTGGCTCACACCTGTAATCCCAGCACTTTGGGAGGCTGAGGTGGGCGGATCACCTGAGGTCGGGAGTTCAAGACCAGCCTGACCAACATGGAGAAACCCTGTCTCTACTAAAAATACAAAATCAGCCAGGCTTGGTGGTGCATGCATGTAATCCCAGCTACTCAGGAGGCTGAGGCAGGAGAATCTCTTGAACCCAGGAGGTGGAGGTTGGGGTGAGCTGAGATCACTCCATTGCACTCCAGTCTGGGCAACGAGAGCAAAACTACATCTCAAAAAAAAAAAAAAAATAGGTTTTGTTTAAATGAGACTAAAAGGAAAGGAAATTTTATTTTAGCAACTTAAAAATAAAACTATCAGCCAGGCGCGGTGGCTCACGCTTATAATCTCAGCACTTTGGGAGGCCGAGCCAGGTGGATCGCCTGAGGTCAGGAATTCACAACCAGCATGGGCAACATGGTGAAATCCTGTCTCTACTAAAAACACAAAAAGTAGCTGGGCATGTTGTCAGGCTCCTGTAATCCCAGCTACTCAGGAGGCTGAGGCATGAGAATCGCTTGAACCCTGGAGGCGGAAGTTGCAGTGAGCCAAGATCGAGCCACTGCACTCCAGCCTGGGCGACAAAGTGAGACTCTGTCTCAAAAAAATAAAAATGAAATAAAATAAAATAAAATAATTGGTTGTTCCCTTATTATTCCTGTAAATCACAGGCCAGGAAAGAAACATGCATCAGTGAAGTCGGACGGGAATAAAACGAAAGGGAAAAGACAAGGACTCAAAGAGCTGGAGAAAGCTTATCTATCTATAAAAGAAGGATGAATAGTCAGTTCTAGCTAATTAATGCCAGACTGAATGTCAGCCCAAGGTTGGAAAATTTACTCTTTTTTTTCTTTTCCTGAAGGAAAGCTATAAATCTGGTTGTTTACTTAAAACTTTTATATTTTAAAATGTTGGCACATGAATAAAAACTTTCAAACATTATTTGGGCCAAACAAAACACACTTATTGACCAAATGTGGCCTGACATTAAAGACCAATATTTTGCAACTTCTGCCAAGGAAATGCTTCATTCCCAACTTTTCTCAGTTCTCGTTTTTCTTTCCCATTCTCGTTGTCACCTTGGTAGTTTGGGACACGTGAGCTCACCTTTGAAGTGATCTGATAACCCCCCAACCTGCTCTCTCTCTCTCCCTTCTGGACCAATCCAACATCACTGCTCCTGTATCAGTTCTCTTAAACCCCATCTTCATCTTAACACTACCCTTCCTTCAAAAACTTCAGTAGATTTACATCTCCTACTAAGTAAAGCCTTTAGCCTGACATTCAAGTTCTTTAACAATATGAGGTGTTTTCTTTTTTTATGGTTTAGCATCCCCACCTCCCAAGGCTAGTAATTCTATGAAACTAAGTCTTCTTGCTCTTTGTCTCCAAAGTTTTGTTCATGCCTTTCTTTCTATTCTTCCTTTACCACTGTATATATATCCTGTCTAATTGTCCTTCAAAGCTGGGCTCATATTCCATCTACTGTATGAAGTATTCAGAAGCTATAGGAGCTTCTGTAGACAGAGGAAAAACTGTGTGGCTGAATTGGAAATACTGGCTCCACCTCTTCCTAGTTGTATGGACTGTGAAGACAATTTCTTTCAGCTTTAGTTTCCTCATTTGTATGTAAAGTGTACATAACAATACCTATCTTGATGAATATCGTGAACTAGTATTATGCTTACTATTCCCTTATACTCCCATTTCAAAATATTTTTGCCTTTTTCTGAACCTCTAAATATGTGCTATCTACTACATGAGGTATTAGCCACATGTGACTGTTTAAATTTAAATAAATTTTTAAAAATTTAAAATTTTATTCTTCAGTCCCACTAGCCACCTTTCAGGTGTTCAGTAGCTACGTATGACTAGTGATTACCTTATCATGCAGTGCAGAATTATAGAACATTTCTCTCATTCACAGAAAGTTCTACTGGACAATGCAGCTCTAGGAACTTACTACCACTCATAAAGCACTTAGCGCATATTGCCTTGCATTATTATTTGTGTACTATCTTACCTACTAAATTTAAAAATCATATAGTTGGGAATTATGTGATCATGTATTACATATTTGTTATCTCCCACAGTACCTTACATCCAAGAAGTACTTAACAAACATGTAGTGAATGAATAAATGAACAAGTACCTGGTCGGTTTCTATGTTGTTATTGTGGAATGAAAAGAAGCTATTAGATCTGAAAGGGACCATACTGATTAGGTGATTGTTTGCATTCTTGCAGGTACAACAGTACTTGAATGTTATGCATTCTTTGTGCTACACATAGAAGTTGTGTATACTTAGCTTAATATAAACTAGCAACATATTTTTCTATCATACATTACAAAGAAACATGCATATGCAACATGTTTCCTTTCAGGTGCCCAGTTGCAATCAACAGAAATCAATTCTGGCAATTTAAGCAGAAAAGAAAGGTATTTGCTAAGGGATCCTGGATAGGTCATAGAATCTCTAGGAAGGCTGGAGATTCTGGGCTGTAGGTTAGGAGTGATGCCCAAAACCATACTGCAGGTTAATCCTGCTAAACTATCACTGCTACTTGGCACAGATATCACAGCTTGCACCATTGTCAGGACTCATGGCAAATCACTACATGCTGCTACAGGATAACTTCGGGAAAGTATATTCTGGCCACTACCCTCATTGGAATGAAAGCCTATGGTGTCTCTGCTTCTTTGCTTTATTAGCTTCAGATTCAAAGTTTGGAAAAGTAGTGCCTCAACCATGTGCTTATACCCTAATTGCAAAGCAGGCTAGAAAAGTAGCACCTTCCTATTTTAACTTCTATAGTTGAAGGATGGGATATGGGATATTTTTCAAATGTAGAAGGAAGATTTAAATGCTGGTAAGCCAAAAACATTAACAAATATCCACTTTGTAATATAAAATAATTACCAGTGGTAAGAAAAAAAAAACTAAGCTCAATATGATTAGCTATTTTTTAATTCTTTTAAATAAGAGTTTGTCATATTGTTATTTTCCTCTTTGTTCATTGAGCATAAGCAGACAAGAACGGGGGGAAATCTATAGAAGAAATCTAAGGTAAAGAAGATGGCATTCTCAATTTTAACTTTTTCTGCAGATTTGACCACCCAATATCCATGCATTCTCTTGTTTTTTCATATAGAGCATAATAAATTCCTCCTCAGAAGGACAACCTTAAAACCTCAAAATCTTATCCGGCTGGTCGAAATCTAGAATCTTTGAGCAATGTGTAGTCCTCTCATATCTCGATGTGGCTTTTCATGTTATGGTGACCTGCAAGCTGAAAACAAGTTATCTGCCTCCGTTATCTGACTCTGTTAAATCTAATTTAAATGTATGGTAGCCACAGAAAAACTGAAAGAAAAATTCCCATTTAGAAAGGAGAGAATAGGAAACACAAAACAATCAGTCATCTGTAGGAGTTATCAATCTCACTTGGTAGGAATGGCAGAGATTGACAGTAGAGTACGTTTCTTAGTTTACTCATCTGGCAACCCTGGTTCTGTTTTCAGGAAGGTGTTTCTTCGTTGTTTATTCTCTATGGCCACGAAGGTTTGTATTGAAGAGTTGGCTTCATTGCTGTCATAGCCTGCTTCTTTCTAGTACAGGTTTGGAAACTCCATTGTTATCTTATGGGTTCAACAGAATTTTGTAAGGTAAGCTAGTATTTTTTTTCTATACCAGTAGTGCAGAAATTCAGTAGGCTTACAGTCTGTTTGCTTCAAATCAGTTTCAAGTGTGAGTCTCTTCAGCCAAACGCCTCATTAGACACAGGCTTTCAGCCTAAAGATTCTGGTATTTTAGTTTCTAGCCTCTGTGCCCTACTCACTTCCTTTGCTTTCAACTTAATGGCAGCCACCTTGATATCATCTGAAAAAAAGGATTTGGGTGGGAAGGCCACCCCTTAGTTCAATTTGGCCAATAGGCTCTCTCCCCTTCATGGCAAGGCCTGTTATTTATGCATAGTTTTTTTTCTGGAGATTTATGATAATTTCATATGTTATTCAGTTTCCAAAACTGTGCAGATTATAGGATCTGATTCTTTTTCAACACTATTTATTAAACACCACTACGTGTTGTATACTCTATGGCATAGGGTAATTAGGATTCCAAGTTTGCACCAAAGAACTCTGACCTACAGAAAGATAAGTTACCTGCCCAAAATTTGCAAATAGTCAAATAGGAACTTGAACTCATATCATCTGATTCTAAAATGGCGTGTTCATCCAACCATAAAATATTGCCTCAAAATATCTAACTTGAGAGTTACGAAGAGGTTGGTGATATTTCACATCCATTCTTGAGACAGAAACAGGCACAGGTATCAGTGGACTGATGCATGATCAAGTACAGATCTGAAAGTTTAAAAAAAAAAAAGCCAAGGAGTGAGGTAGTGGATATGCAACTCTATCTAAGTAGTTTAACTGTGGATCAGGAATGGATTATTTTCTAATGGGCTTTTACTTTATCCCCTTTAGTGTAGTAATAGCAACATCAGACAAGAAAAACAAGAAAGTACCAAAAAATTACAAATGCCAAAATAACAATGACAGCTATAATTTCTTGTATTTAAATGTGTTAAGAATACCAAAATGATAAGCCTTACTTTTATGGAAAAAAATATAATTATCTTACTGCAGAAGAGTCATAAGCTTTATTTCATCATAAGGTCTTGTTTCTCATTAAAAGTCAGTATTAACAATTACAGGAACCCATAATGGGAAATGGGTATGCCAGTCCTCTGGCTTGATCCCTCTGTTTTGCAGATGAGGATCAAGACACACAAGAGGTCAAGATCCTTTTCAACTCCACATGTTGGCAAATCCGCAATTTTTCACGGTGTATTCAGTCCTATTGACAGCTATGGTATAGTTTGATGAAATCTCCAATTTTTCGTGTGGGTTGGTCCAAAGTGGCATGCTGAGAGATTGAAATGCATATGTATATTGTAGGGAATAACTGTTTCTAGCACATTTGTTTCCATTTTTATCATAAATACGTTACCATCATTTTCATGAAGTCAGAATTTAGTGATGAAAGTGACATATCCCCATTTTTCATGAGAGAACAAAAAACGTGAATGATCTGAGTCTCAACACTACCCATAAAACAATGTATTTTAAGTTTATTTGGACATGCAAGGAGAACCTGAGATGAGGTTTCAAGTCACTGATTATTCTGGAATTAGAAATTTGTGTCCAAAATACTAAGTGAAGATGGAAGCCCAGCATGCTTTGAGAAGCAAGCTTAGGTTTTGACATTGCCAAAATTTGAGTTCAAATCTCATCTATATTATTAGTCAACTGTGTGAATTGGGCACTTTCCTCATATGGAAAATGATAGTAGTCATCACTGCCATACAATCTTCTTACGAAAACTAGAGATAGGTAGATTTTATATCCAAAGCATCTCCACATAGTTGTAAGTCATGAAACAATAGCTCTTTCCCTCCTTTGTTCTGAATTGAGTAGTTGAGTTTTTTCCCAACTTTTATTTTGAAATATTTTAAATATGAAAAAGGGAATAATACAATGAACATCCACTACATAGACTGACAGACGTTATTGACTTTATCTTTTCTCTTTCTCACTCTCTTTTCACTCATACACACACATGCATTCACATACATACACCACATACACGTGGTATGTATTTTTACCGACCATTTGAGCATAAGGTTAAGTTGCAGACATCATGATAAATCATTAAGTACTTTTAGCATACATCTCAAATTTTTAAAAAAATATATGTAAGCATAAAATTAACCCAAAAACCCCTTTGTTATCTCATATTCATTCCGTATCCAATTTCTTCAGTTCAGTTGTCCCCCAAAAAAATGTTTTTTAAAGCTTTTTGTTGTTTTTCTCCTTAATCCAGGATTCAGTCAAGATTTATTCATTGCATTTGGTTGTTACGCATAATCTAAAACAGTACTTTCCCTTTTGTTTTTCATGACATTGACTTTTGAAGAATCCAGACAAAACTGTCTTGTAGAATGTCCAACATTCTGGATTTTTTTTTTTTTATCATTCTCTCTATTCCCTGTATTTCCAGTAAACTGGAGGTTAGACCTAGGGATGTGATTACATTGAGTTAAATGTCATAGGTGATATAAACTTTATATAGTCCATCGATAGACACATAATGTCAAGATTTCTTACTCCTAGGCATGCTACATTTCATCACTTGGTTAAGAGGTGACTGCTAGTTTCTCTCTATGGAAAACATATATTTTTCTCTTTATAATTACTAAGCAATTTCTGGAGTAATACTTTGGTACCACATGAATATTCTGTTCTCTAAAAATTATCCAATAATTGTAATATCCAGTGCTGACCCTTGCCTGAATCAATTATTACACTGGGACTGGGAATTTTAATTGAGTTTTTTTGAAACATAATCAAACTTAAAAATAGACTTAAAATGTGTATTAAGTCTATGCTTTTACATTATGTCATAAAGTGGATTAATATAGTATTGATAACTTATTTTCTTACATACAGCATTTTCACATATGACATGACATTTTCTACTTTTCTATAGACAAGTATTTTCAATTTATATAGTTTTTACTGAAAATAAGTGGTTTTATTAATGGATATGTGAATACTATTATGGGTCATCATACTGCATGTTAATTTTATATACAAAGAGCAGACGAAAAGTAGTTAGAAATGTAAAAGAATATCAGGAATTAGAAACATAAAAAATTAGTTTCCAAGAAGAGCGTAAGGAGACATGATGACTAAATGTAATGTGGTATCCTGGATCAGAAAAAGCACTTCAGGTAAAAACTAAGGACATCAGAATAAAGTATAAACTTTAGTCAATAGTCATATATCAATATTAGTTAATTGCCACAAATTTACCATACCTATGTAAGATGTTAATAATTGGGAAAACTGGATGTGGGGGTGCTAGAATTCTCTGTACTATCTTTGGCAATTTTCCTGTAAATCTAAAACTATTCTAAAATCAAATATTTATTTAAAATTATTTCAGTGTGTTTTAAATGGGAATCTGAATTTTAAGAAAAATGATTAAAATTTCTTTAAGCATGCTTATAAAGCAAAAGCCATGAAAACAGTTATAAAATAGAATATCAAATTCAGAGTTTTTAACAGAGCTGTATTCAAAATGGCCAATTTTTAAATGATGTTGAAAACAAAAAAATAGACAAATTTAAAACTTTATTTACAAGAAAATGGAATACTATCTATTGTATGTATCTGTCAGAATAGGTTAGGTTGTAGTAACAAACAACTAAAAATATTAATGGCTTAACACAAAAAATTTATGTCTCACTCCCACTACTTGTCCATTGAGAGTCCTGTGTGTGGCTGTACTCAGGCTGATGGAAGGAGACATAGTGAGTCATACATACATCAGCTGCTAAATCTTCTGCCTTGAAGTTACATGGGTTAGTTTTGCTCACATTTCATTGGACAAACAAGTCACATGACCACACCTAACTTCAGAGGTGGGAATAAAGTGAATATACATGAATAGACCTAACATCTACCATAATCATGACCCCTGCTTGAAGCTCACCATGCTGTAGCTACTAGATATGTAACTTTTATAATATTAAATAGTTGTGACAAAGCTTTTGGAATGAATGGATTCATGTTAAAGTCCGAAACAATTTTGTGTGTCAATTGTTAATTTTTAATCTCAATTTTTGTTTTAATTGTAAATGCAGAGCCTGGATTAGCCCAGACGAAATTGTTGGCTATTTGTCTTTATTTTGTTTAGACTTTTAGAGATTTGAATTATATTTGTGATAGTAGCAAGACCTGAGAAGCATAAGTGTATGAGCTTTTACATGCAGTCAGAGTAATCCATGACAGTGTCCCCATATTGAGGTCTTGCAGGACCAAATAAATAAATAAATAAACATCTTTCATATCTTGATATAAAATCTGCTGATGGGAGGGAAGTTATAAAATCTGCCGATGGGCACTATTTACAATAGCAAATACTTGGAACTAACCCAAATGCCCGTCAATGATAGACTGGATAAAGAAAATGTGGCACATATACACCATGGAATACTATGCAGCCATAAAAAACAATGAGTTCATGTCCTTTGCAGGGACATGGATGAAGCTGGAAGCCATTATTCTCAGCAAACTAACACAGAACAGAAAACCAAACACCGCATGTTCTCACTCATAAGTGGGATTTGAACAATGAGAACACAGGGACACAGGGAGGGGAACATCACACACTGGGGCCTGTTGAGGGGTAGGGGGCAAGGGGAGGGAGAGCATTAAGACAAATACCTAATACATGTGGGGCTTAAAACCTAGATGATGGGTTGATAGGTGCAGCAAAGCACCATAGCACATGTATACCTATGTAACAAACCTGTATGTTCTGCACATGTATCCCAGAACTTAAAGTAAAATTAAAAAAAAAAAAAATCTGCTGAGGGGAGAGAAGTCATGTCCACAGAGTCTACCACAGAGGTTGATGAAGGTGCTGGAGACAATTGTTATATTTAAATTTTAGGAATTAAAGGAGCAAGATGGAAGAGAGTAAAAGTAGAATTTACAATTATTGATTCTTAAAGACGAAAAAGTCTTCTACCAAAGACAAACTAGCCACTCAGGACCTCAACTTTCTCATTGCTGCAATAAGGGAGTGCATAAACTACATAGATATACTGGATACCCAAGATTGCTTCCTAAAATCTGTGAGTCAATAATTTTAGAAATTCATTGTAATGCATTTTTTAATATGCTTTAAATGTAACACAAATGGTTTTCTAAATTATACTCACTCTGAGAAATGGTAATTTTGAATAAATGCAAAAATAGCAACTCGTTAAAGCATATAAATTGTGGTCTAAACTAAAATGTAAAGTCAGTTTTCATAATCTGCCAACTATTCTTCATCCTGTTTCCATAAACCATTTTCCATATTGACATTGAGAAAACCCTGAATCCAAAGTAAGTCTGTCTGCAGTAGATGAGACCTTGCAGGTGGGAGCAACCAGGAATGGGTTATGTGAATCCAAGATTTGAAAGGAGGTCACCATGACATTAAGTTTGACAATGCATTGTAAGCCCTGCCTTGGGTGGGGCTTAAAATAGTTTCCAAGTCAGTAGCAGAAAGGATCTTTTGGTTTTTGTTGTCAAGTAACCAAAAAGGTTTTCTGGTTTCCAGATATTATTAGGGGAAACTGACCCTTTGGTCTTTTGTTTAATCAAATGGCTTTACTGAGGGTGCCAGGTAAATGAGTCATTCAGACTAAGCAGGGCAGAATAACGAGGACACCTGTGTTCTTCCTTCTGCCTGTGATGTTTTGCAGTTCAAGAACTTGATTTTTACCTGCAGGCATCTTTTCCAAATGTACTTTGGCTTAAAATACCTAATACCAAAATTAGTGATTTAAGGGCTCAACAACAACACCATCTGGGCCTTACCTGAGTATTTTTTGATGTCTCAATACACACACACACACACACATTATACATATATGTTTATGTATGCATGTGTATGTTTATATGTATGTGTATACTTTTTTAAATGTACACTTTTTAAAATAATGGTTAAGTTTTTACAGTTTTGATGGTCCACCCCTAAGTCATAATAGGATATTTTAATAAGTCTCCTCATGTAAAAAACTTATCTACAAAGGACTCAGAACTTACTGTATTAGTTTTATATTACAGTATAACAATTATCACAAATTTAACAGCTGAAAACAACACCCATTTATTAATTCACAGTTCTGTAGGTCACAAGTCTGGCACGTTTGGCTGGGTTTTTTCTCTAGAGCATCACATGGCTGAAATGAAGATGTTGCCTGGGCTGAGTTCTTGTCTGGAGGTTCTAGGGGAGAAAATCAGCTTTCAAGGCCCTTTCGGTAGTGGACAGAATCCAATTCCTTACAGTTGCAGGCCTGAAGTCCCCATTTTCTTGCTGTCAGCCAGGCATCACTCCCAGCAGCTAGAGGCTGCTCTCACATCCTTTCCATGTGGCCCCTTCCCTCTTCAGGCAGAGAGAAGTATATTGAATTTTCTTGTGTTTCACATCTCTGTGATTTCCCTTTCTGGAACCAGACAGAGAAAGCACTCTGCTTTGAAAGGGCTGGTGTGGTTCAGTTACGCCCATTCAGATAAGCACCCTATCTTTAGGTCAACTGATTAGTATCCTTAATTACATCTGCAAAATCCCTTTTACCATGTAAAGTAACATAATCATGGGTGTCATCTTAGAATTCTCCCTACCACATTTTCTTTCTATAGACCTTCACTGTTACGTAGATTCAGTTTTTAAGTTGAATAATGTGACAAATCATTTGGAACATTAAATGTGATTCATGGTAATGAATGACATTCAAGTTAAATTAGTTTTATTGTAAATGTAGCTAAAGATTTTGTGGTGCTGAAAAATAAATTACTTTTAAAATAAGCCTATAAATGTATTTGATAATGGAACATTGAAAAAGACATGTATTAAAGGGCTACTATAAATGTTCAGTATATTAGCTGGATTTATTTGATTATGTCAGATGATAGTGATTAGCATATCTCCTCAATGTATGCTGTTAATCATGGTCTTGGTTATGCATTAATACACAAACTCGTAGACATTAGAACTCAAAGATATCAGATATCATCTGCCCTCCTCCCCCTCCCTTTTTCATAAATGAGGAGCCAGAGACTCAGAGAGGGGATATGACTCAGAGAGGACAATAGATAGAGCTCACAAGTTAGTGGTAGAGTCAGACCTAGAATACATAGTTTCAAATTCTGTATCTGGTAATAATAACAGTATAATTAATTGAAGCTTTTCTATGCATCAGGCACTATCCTAAGTGCTTTAAATGCATTGTTTTCCTTAATACTCACAAAAATTCCTACCTCATTCCTAATGAGGTAGGCTTATTATTGCTGTCATTTCAGTTTGAGGAAACTGAGTCACAGAGAGGGTATGTAACTTGCTCAGTGTCATCCACCTTGTAAATGGTAGAGTGGAGACTAAAAGAGAAGCAGTTTGATCCCAGGGCCTGACTCCTTCACTGTGCTCTGCTTTTCCCACCCCACTAAGCTGCTTCTAATAGGGCCTTCCATATGCAGTTACAGCATTAGCACAGTAAAATCTCCATAGACAGCTGCACAAGCTCCCCATTTAGTTATATTCTGACAGTGAAGTACTGAATAGCAGAAAATGTGGAGTCTGGGAACTGTCTACAAATGCTGGTTCTGTCACTTACTATGTTGCTTCAGGGAATTATGTAAACTTCTGGGGCCCTTAGATGCTATAACTGTAAAATTGGGATTTTTAGCATTGTTATGAAGGGGATACATGTAAGAAGCAACCTGTAAACAAAAAAATTACATGCTTATCATATTATTCTTTGACAAACGGTGCTGGTTCTCATAACCCTATAATGGCAGATTTTCAAGTCGCTTTAACTATGATAGAGTCAGACCTTAAATTAAAAACTTTAGATCTTTGACATTGCAGAGGCTGTGTTCTGAGATCTTTAAGAATCTCATTTCCTTTCTAAGTCGTATGTTTCTTGTACGTATCCTCATTCCACATGCTCAAATGTCACTGAAGTTTTATGTCTCACCTGATGGGAATTTTTTCACAAGAGCGCTGTTCACAGGAAGTGAACATTAAAGCTACATGGAGAGACACACTTGTACAAAATTGTATTACCTCTTGCTTGGGGTTTTTGTTTGTTTGTTTGTTTGTTTGTTTTTGAGACACAGTCTTGCTCTGTCACCCAGGCTGGAGTGCAATGGTGCAATTTCGGCTCACTGCAACCTCTGCCTCCTGAGTTCAAGTGATTCTCTAGCCTCAGCCTCCCAAGTAGCTGGGATTACAGGTATGGGCCACCACGCCCAGCTAATTTTTGTATTTTTAGTAGAGACAGATTTTCACCATGTTGGTCAGGCTGATCTCAAACTCCTGGCCTCAAGTGATCTGCCTGCCTTAGCCTCCCAAAGTGCTGGGATTACAGGTGTGAGCCATCATGCCCAGCCTACTTTTTGATATAGTTATTTGAGGACCACTCAAATGAAATCATAAATATTAACTTCATGTATATCAGGATGTACTCTGCATTCTCATTCTTTCATTTCTCCTTAACATTCTCCCTCATTTTTTGAAACATATATGTGCAGTTTTGGGTTGGGGGTGGGGGCTTGGTTGTTGTTTTGTTGTTTTTTCCTACACCATTTGAAAGTAAATTGCAGAATATATAACATTTCAGGTCTAAATACTTTAGCATGTATCTCCTAATAAGAAAATTCTTTATAATACGTGTCATTATGCACCTTAAAAAATAACAATTTTCTAATCTCATCTAATGTCAAATGCATATTCAAATTTTCCTTAACTTGTCCTAAAATTACTTTTATACTGTTTTGCATATAGGGTTTCTTGTTTTGCTTTCCCAAACAAGAAGTTCAAGTACACTCGTAGCATTTGATGGTTAAATTTCTTTGATATATTTTAATCCAGAATAATTCCCTTACCTTATTTCTTTGTTTGTTTTCATGATATTAACTTCTTTTAAGAGACTAGGCCAACTTTCTTGAACAATAGTCCATGTTCTGGATTTCTCTGATTGTTTTATGTATGTGTGTCTATCATATACCTTGTTACTCTATCACCTGTTTTTGAAAAGTTGAAGTTGGCTCCAAAGATCTGATTAGAAACAGGTTGCATGTTTTTGTCTAGAACAACTTGACAAGTGATGCTTTGTATTTTATATCTGGAGGTGCATATGATTGTCCCCTCTTAGTGCTACTAAGTTTCATCACTTGATTAAAATGGTGGCAGCCTGGTCTCCCAGTGTTAAAGTACTTTTTTTTTCCTTTAACAATTAGAATAATTTATGGAACAATTATTTGGCTCATATGAGTATCCTTTCTACAACCTTTCATCTAATAGTGTTAGCCTCCATTGATGAGCCTTGCTTATATCATTGATTCCAATGGAGGTTGCAAATTGGTAAATTTTGAATTTTATGTAAAATTTAATGCTTTTACATTTACTAATATTCTGCTGTAAAGAAGATCTTTCCCTTATTAGTAGGGGATGTTTTGTATCTTGTTACAGTTCATATCAGTACAACATGTTTACTACCAATTATCTAAAATATCAGCCTTAGATTGCGGAACTGAGTTATAGATCAGTCATAATTTATATTTCATTTATACTCTTTAAAGCATTTTGGTGTACCTTAATGTTGGAAGTAGAGAATGGATGAAATTTAAAGCAGTATTTCAAAATGGCAAGTACTTCTAAGAGACTTGGTGAAAAGAGATTTCGACAAATCACTGGCAATATCAGCAAATATTTATAGACCTAAAAATAACTTATTGCTGGGCACGATGGCTCACACCTGTAATCCCAGCACTTTGGGAGGCCAAGGCGGGCAAATGACAAGGTCAGGAGTTCAAGACCAGCCTGGCCAACATAGCGAAACCCCATCTCTACTAAAAATACAAAAAATTAGAAGGGCATGGTGGTGGTCACCTGTAATCCCAGCTACTTGGGAGGCTGAGGCAGGAGAATCACTTGAACCCGGGAGGCGGAGGTTGCAGTGAGCAGAGATTGTGCCACTGCACTTCAGCCTGGGCAACAGTGCAAGACTTTGTCTCAAAAAAAAAGAACTTATTAATACCAGCCACTAAAAGAGCTAACCGTATGGTTGTATCCCAAAAAGCTATCAATATGCACAGTGTGGATAAATAGTTAAGCCCGACAAGAAGTAATCGAGTACAAATCATTTGGACTATCACCCTCTTGCTCGAGCTTTGGTAGCCTCTCAACTTCACATCTCAACACTCATAGCTTTTGTAATTTGGGCTCAGTTTTTTGTGGAACCCACTCCCCCATTACTTTACATGTGCTTGGTCATTGCACCTCCCTTAAATGCACATGGTCATCCCTATCTTTGCACCTTTGCCATGCTGTTTCCCTTGCTTACGAAGCTCTCTTCTCACCTCTCGTTAAGTCCCAATCTGCCTATGTTTCATGTCCAGCTCAAATCCCACAGCCTCTATGACATACTTCTTCCCTGACCTCTCCAGATAGTACTTCCTATCTGTGTCACATCTGTAGTATTTGACTCAGTTTCCTGTTTGGTCTTCTAATTGGTTTCTATTAGTAAATCACATCACCAAACTATTAAAAATCCTTGAGGACATGACTACCCGTGAACAAAAATTAAAAATCTCTTTTCACATTATTTTGGTGAGTTTTTGCATTGCCCTTGGAATATCTTTCTGAAAGTTACCAATAGATGTGAAACTATTGGCAAACTAGGCTCTCTCCTTTGTGTAGATTCTTTTTCCTTCTAATATCTATCACCCTACAAAAACAGACTTTCCTATAAAAGTTAAGACTGGAATTTGAGGATTACTCACCATCTGTTTCTTTGTAAATTGTGTGAAGGCCTGGTTCTTTTACTATGATTAAAAGAAAGGGAAAAATATGGTAAGCAGAAATTAATCTGGCATTTAAATATTACAATGAAAACAAAAGATAGGCATAAATTAACCTGCATTTAAGTATTACAATGAAAATAAGGCTTATTTTTTTTCCTTAGGTTGAATCTTTTTGTTTCTTATATTAACAATTTGCACACTGTTTTAAATGGAAATAAAACAATGGTGTTTTGTGCTTCTACAGATTTTTTAGAAAATCTTCATCCCACTCAACATGACATTGTTTAAAATTGTTTTAAATACCTTTTCTTTCTGCCTCCTTAACAAGAGCACTTTTTATTTACACAGTTCTTTGCATCTGATGATCTCAGAGCCTTCGCTGATATTTCTTACCACATAGTGATTACAAAGCTGTTACACTTTTTGTTTCTATCTCTGCAGAAGCAGGAGGTAAAAAACTAAGGAGCACTGTCCAAAGAAGTACAGAAACAGGCCTGGCCGTGGAAATGAGGAACTGGATGACTCGACAGGCAAGCCGAGAGTCTACAGATGGTAGCATGAACAGCTACAGCTCAGAAGGAAAGTGAGTGAGGCTGCATGTGATGTGTGTCTCCTCCGTGCCTCACCTATCTCACTCTATGTGCTTTCACAGAGATTTTCCAACTCTCATGCTCTTCAGAACCACTTTAATTTTCACTGGCTGATTTCCTGTGAAGAGAACTTTGCTCACCTGCCACTGAACAATGTGACATATCTGGCTTTTTATATCAAGTGAAATAGGTTTGGGGATAAAGTGTTTTGCCTTAATGGCAAGTTGCTAAAGTGTGACTCTTACAATGCAATGCAAATAAAATATTTTGCCCTAGCTTGAAATAATATATAAAAGCCCAAAAATAATAAGCATGCATGCCACACCATGTGAACAATGCTAGTTTTAAGAATCGCCATCCTGAGAATTATTGCTAAAAAATATGGAATGCTGGCGTATACTTAGTTCCATGTTGCAACAAACAACTATAATTATTTAATTATATTAAATATAACAGCCAAAAAGAAATGCCACCAAAAAACTTGGGGAGCCTTTTACATAGTTATGAAGTAGCTTTCCTTTGAATCAACTGTCTCAGATATTTTTAAAGCATTTTTAGCTTGTGTAGTTCTGTCACCAACAAATTAATAGTACTTAGCAACTAAAGATCTGGAAGTGGGGCTGTAAAGGACATTAACAAAGGAAAATGGGGTTTACTGGCCTCACTGTCATCACTGTGTAAGTATTAGATGTTTAGATAACCTATGTGTGGCCAGTTTACAGATGTGAGGCCGTAGGAGCTGTTGGCACAGCATGAATGGTATGTCTCAGGATAATTTGTCTAGCACAACAACATAAATACAAGAGATATAACTGGTTTCTCTACATTTGTAAGTAGGCTTATTTGGGATACTTATAGAAACAAACTAAAACATTTGTATTAACTAAATATTTGAGAGTTGAGGTCGGGGGGAGAAATAGATTCACTATTCATTAAGGAAGTCTAAAAAGAGAGGGAAAATCAACTGAAAAGTGAATGTGCACTGAGCACTAATCATTGCAAAGAACTATATTAGATACTGTTAGGGATATAAAAATGTTTACACTATAGCCCCTGCTCCAGATGTTTATAGTCTTATTGGAAAAAGAGGATGAATACCCATAAATTCATTCAACAAATATTACCATACCTTCCAGTGGGCCAGTCACTGTGCTGTACGTTGGGGATGTAAGTCATAGGAGGGAGGGAGTAAATCTCCATGGCTAAGATTATGGGCTTTGCAGTCATATAGGTCTGGTTCTCTCATCTGGGTCTTTTCTTTTCTTTCTTTCCTTTTTATTTTTTTTGTTTGTTTTCTTTTCTTTTGTTTCCTTTCCTTTCCTTTACTTCTATAGAACATACAATATTTCAGGCATGGTTCTAGATGCTAGAGATACAGCAGTGAACAAAGCAGACCCCATCTCCCCAAAAATAAAATACTCTCATCACATTTACACTCTCATAGAGAAGACAAACAATAAGAAAAATTGTTAAAATGTATATAAAAGAAAAACTAGTAAAATTTATAGTAGATTAGATAGCACACATGCTAAGGAGAAAAATACAGCAAGGAAGAGAGATGATCAAGACGGTGGAGGTAAGATTTGCCACAGGATAGACGGGGAAAGGAAATATTCGAGTGAAGATCTGAAGGAATTTAGTGAGCAGAGGGATATCTGAAGGAAGAACATTCTAGAATGAAGATTGCTTCAGAGGCCCTGAAGCAGGAGCTGGCCTGGTGTCAGCAGTGAGGAGGGCAGCACTGGGGAGGAAGGGTGAGAGCAGTAAAGGATGAGGAATTAGGGCATGTGGCAGGGGCGGGGGCAGCTTATGTAGACTTTATGTATTGTAAGGACTTTGCTTTTACTGAGTGGGATGAGAAGATGTTGGATGGTTTTGAGCAGAGGAGTGACAGGATCTGACTTCCGTTTTTGGCATATCAGTCTGAGTGCTGAGGGGGCAAGGGGCCAGGACAGCAAGGGCAGCAACAGGGAGAGCATTCACAAGGCTGCTACAGGAATACAGAAGCTAGGGAATGGTGGCTTGGACCAGAGTGTAGCATTAGTGAGGTCAGATTCTGAATGTATTTTGACAGTAGAGCAAGTAAGATTTATTGATGCATTTGATGTGGGTAATGAGAGAAAAGAGAGTATATTTGTTTGCCAGGGCTACCATAATAAAATACCACAGGCTGGGTGGCTTAAAAAGCAGGAATCTATTTTCTCACAGATCAGTAGGCTAGAAGTCCAAGATCAAGGTGTCTGCAGGTTTGAGTTCTCCTGAGGCTCTTCTCCTTGGCTTGCAGATGGCCACCTTCTTGTGATGTCTTCTCACAGCATTTTCTCTGTGCTTATCTACTCCTGGTGTCTCTTCCTCTTCTTATAAGGACATGGGTCATATTGGATTAGGGCACCACGCAAATGGCCTCATTTAACCTTCTCTCTTTAAAGGGCCTATGGCCAAATACAGACATATTGAACTTTAGGGCTTCAACATAAGAATTTTGGGGTGACACGATTCAGTCCATAACAGAGAGGAAGGAAGAAAGATGGCTCCAAGGTTGACCAGTTGGAAGAATGAAGAATGAGATTACCATTTATCAAGATGGAAATCTTTTGACAGGACCAGAGTTTGGATTTTTTGTTTGTGTGTTTGCAGTCGGGGGACAGGAGCATGGAGAGAGTCAGTTTTAGACAATTTGAGTTTCAGGTGTCTATTACATATCCAAGCAGATATGTAGACTAAGCAATTGGAACATAGGTCTGTGGCCCAAGGGAGAGATCCAAGCTGGAGATGCCAATCTAGGCAATAGCAGCATAGATGGCATTTAAAACCATGAGACTGGATGAGATTATCAAGGGAATTCAGACATAGAAAAAAGATAAAAGGTCAAAGGATCGAGCTCCAGTGTTTAGTGTCAGAACTAGCAGAGGAGGTTAAGGCTGAGTGGCAGAAGGAAAAGTGGGAAACCAGGAGACTGGAGTGTGCAGAAAGCAGTGGGAGACAGTGCTTCAAGGAAGAGGGGGCAAGGGAAATTGTGTCAAATGATCAGATAATTTTAGTGGAGTGGCAACAATGAAAACATGATTAGACTTTCAAGAGAGAATGAGAGGAAAGAAATTGAAGACAGCACATAGAGACAATTATTTCAAGGAGAGAAATGGGGTAGTAACTGGAGAGGGAAATGGGGTCAGGAAAGGGATTTTTTTATATGGTGGAAGAAATAACAGCATATTTGTATGCAGATGGGAATGATCCAGAAACATTTCTTCGTGTATGAAATAGGAGAAATAATAGAATCTATCATAGTGCAGCTAAGAGGATTAAATATGATAAAGCCTGGATGGAGTAAGTGCTCAATATGTGCTGAGTGTTACTCATAGAAATCACAGTCTGCCTTTGAGACCAAGGAAGAGAAAGACTCACCAGCAGAAGCCTGCAGTGCAGTGTGACAGGTGCTTCTGGTGTCATACTTGGGCTGCTGAGAATATGAAGGAAGAGTCCTGGGAGGTGGAACTGGGTATTTGGATCCAGTAAATATAAGTGACAAAATAATAGGACTAGTCTTGCCACAATAATGAGGCTAGAATGAAACCAAGCTTACCTGAAAATAAATAGGGGTTGGGGATTTAATCTCATATGTTATTTTGCTTTCAGTCTGATTTTCCCTGGTGTTCGCTTGGCCTCTGATAGCCAGTTCAGTGATTTCCTGGATGGCCTTGGCCCTGCTCAGCTAGTGGGACGCCAGACTCTGGCAACACCTGCAATGGGTAAGAATTTCTGCCACATGATTTCACTATTTTGTTTTAGATTGTTGAAAATGAAATTCTCTAAATTTCATAGAATCTTCTCTCTCTCTCTCTCTCTCTTTCCCTCTCTCTCTCCCTCTATTTTTTTTTTTTTAAGACAGAGTTTCACTCTGTTGCCCAGGCTGAAGTGCAGTGGCATGATTATGGTTCACTGCAGCCTTGACCACCTTGGCTCAAGAAATCCTCCCACCTCATCTTCCCAAGTAGCTGGGACTACAGGCACACGCCACCATAACCAGCAAATATTTTGACTTTTTTTTTGTAGAGACAGGGCCTCATTGTGCTGACCAAGCTGGTCTCAAACTCCTGGCCTCAAGCGATCCTCCTGCCTCCACCTCCCAAAGTGCTGGGATTACAGGCATGAGCCACTGGGCTCAGCCCAGTGGAATCTTTAACAATATTATCAGCAGGAATCAAGACCTTAGATTTTAAGAATAAAAAATATTTAACCATTATTTCTCTTTTAATTTTAATGCTTTTTAAAGGAAGATATTATTGATAGAATTTTAAGTATATTTGAATTTAAGAAAATATATGGGAAATGATGAAACGATGTTAAACCAAGGTCTTTGACTCTATTTTCCTTAGTGCATTTGTATATTAAAGCACATTTGTTCCTTCCTTCTTCCATTAGGTGACATTCAGGTAGGAATGATGGACAAAAAGGGACAGCTGGAGGTAGAAATCATCCGGGCCCGTGGCCTTGTTGTAAAACCAGGTTCCAAGACACTGCCAGGTAAAAACAAAAGAGATTTTTCTATTATTGTCCATAATCCATATTGTTTCAATTTAGAGACCTTTTGATTGGTTTAGACCTTTGATTTAGTTAATCAAGATTACTAATGGATGGTCCATTATGACTGGTCTGGTGCTGGAGTCATTTGTGTGTTTATCCTGAATGAGTGTTCAGTGAGGATGATCCGGTGGGGATAATGTAAGTTGTTAAATAAGTACATACATAGTAGAAACCACTGCAAAATAAAAACCACCCCACTTAGATCATTCATTTTGTCACACCATGTACACAAGGAGTTCTTTTTTCTTATTAGCTAGTCTTTTGTGTTATTCTTCAGTTTCTCTAGAGCTTCAAAATTCTCCTCAGGAATCCATAAGTCTCTGGAATTAGAATAAAAAATAGATACAGGCTCCAAGAGTAGCATAAGCTATGTATGCTGGATATTCTAATTATAAGACTTTTACTTCCTATAATCTGAGGAAAGAGAGGCACTATTATAACTTCTTATGCTACATATTTCAAATTGAAATGTCATTTTAATCTAAGGTGCATTGAAGCCATGGAAGGTGCTACAGTGCTCCAAATACATTGTGTAGAGATCGTTTGATAAGATGTATAAAACAATTTCTGAGGATTCTGAAACTTGATTTCTAGCCTCAGCATCTCTACTGATTGACTTGTAATTTTGACTCTCAACTTTTCTATTTCTAGCTTCAGCATCTCTACTGATTGACTTGTAACTTTCACTCTGAACTTTTCTATCCTTGCAGAAATTTTTAATTATAATATATAATCTGTTGTATAACCTGGCACTGGTGATTAAGACAGTTGTGTTTATATATGTCTTAGAGCTAGTCAACTCACTCTGCTATAAAAAAATCATGATTTGTACATGCATGAAAATGGTTTTTATGAAGTGTCTGTTGGATAAATTTTAAGCCATAGATTGTCTAATTAGTTGCCTCTTAGCTAATTTGATCAATATCACATGAAATTCCACTACTGTTATACCCACACCACCACCAGTAAGTAAGTACTTTTGAGTGATAATCACTATTTGTGGGGATGAGTGAATGAAACAATATAGCTTCAAGCATGTTAAATAGATTTAAGTATTGATAAATTAAAGACTGAGCAGGACATCTCTCAGGACTGGAAGCATTTCCCTTTATTTAATGCAGTGTGTAAACCTATATAACCAGTTGATGAAAAAAATGATAATAAACTCAGAGGTTATGTCAGCATCCCCTAAAACTCCCTGAAAGACACAGTTATCCACTGTTTATCTAATGATTTTGACAGAATGCAGCTAGGCCAGTGGCATGATTGCTAGCTCTTTCAGCCAAAGATTACTAAACTGGTAAATGTCACCGTGCGTCGGCCATTTCATGTCCATAGTTTATTGCTCATTCTCCTCTGTGTTTTCTTTCCCAAGCACCGTATGTAAAAGTGTATCTATTAGATAACGGAGTCTGCATAGCCAAAAAGAAAACAAAAGTGGCAAGAAAAACGCTGGAACCCCTTTACCAGCAGCTATTATCTTTCGAAGAGAGTCCACAAGGAAAAGTTTTACAGGTATCTACTTAATTGTTTATCCCTTACCTAAGAAAGTATTTTTCATGGGGTCAGACATTATACCCCAAATCTTTTCTGTTGTATTCTTTTATGTTCCTCACAAAGGAAATTCTTTGGAAACTTTTCAAAGCAGTGGCCCGTGCTATAAAGCAATATACGTTGTCATTTTCTTTAAAGTGATTTACAGACATGCAAATCCCCACCACACGTAAATTCCAGTCTCTCTGGATTTCTTATGACCTTAATGCTTCAGTACAATTTCCCCAGTGTACCTTTAGATACCACTAGTTAAAGACAACTATTCTATTATGCAGATTTTAACTTGATCTTTGATGTCAGAAAATTAACTGAATGTACTTTAGTATTTTAATATATTTTACAAGTTTTTCTATGTACACAGTTACACTGACATCACTCTACTTTTTATTTTGCCAACAGATCATCGTCTGGGGAGATTATGGCCGCATGGATCACAAATCTTTTATGGGAGTGGCCCAGATACTTTTAGATGAACTAGAGCTATCCAATATGGTGATCGGATGGTTCAAACTTTTCCCACCTTCCTCCCTAGTAGATCCAACCTTGGCCCCTCTGACAAGAAGAGCTTCCCAATCATCTCTGGAAAGTTCAACTGGACCTTCTTACTCTCGTTCATAGCAGCTGTAAAAAAATTGTTGTCACAGCAACCAGCGTTACAAAAAAAAAAAAAAAAATCACAGGTTGCAAACCCTGGTAACACTGCATGCTTAATGTTGTGTCTTCTGAGCCTGTTTCTAGGGATACAAAGCAATCCTGTGTTCTCAGAGGAAGTTGCACACATTGTGCCCTAAAGAAGGCCCTCAGGTGAAAGAGCAGAGCTGTGAAGAACTATCAGATTTGGAATTCAATGACACTCGAGTTCTGGTCCAATCTGAAGCCATGGATTAATCTCAAAGAATCAGTCAGTTTCATGCAACAGAAGCCCTTTTCAATGGCACCTTTATATTTTTATCATTCCTTTTTCTTCATTTATCTAACCCCAAAGCCCTGATATGCCACAGAAATGGAGCTATACAGCCATGAAGCGGTGTTACAGGTGAGGAGTGTAATCCTAGGAAGCATCAGGTGAAAAGCAGGAGACCAAAGAAGTGGTCAGGAACAATCATCAGCCCTCCTCTGGGCGGGAATCAGAGCAGTCAGTCCAGCAGGAAGAGTGGCAGACTTTGTAGCTCCATGGGCACGTCAATTACTAATGCTAAGATGTGTTGGACTCTGAAAAACAAAATTCTGTGGCTACACTGTACTGAATGAAATTAAAGAAACTTTTTTTGCATGGACACAGATTAGCTGAATACTTAAATTATTTTCTTGGGGCTGCAACTTGCAAAAAAAAAAAAAAGAATAAAAATCAGCCATTTTCAACAATTTATATTATTTTTAAAAATAAATTTCACTAGTGCATGGTTTTAAAAAGGAGAGAGAATGCAACAGGGTGATACAAAGATACACCATGTTTATTCTTTAATCATAGTCTGTGTTTTGGCAGACATTACAAATGGAAATACTTTCTAGAAGATACTTAAAATTCTCTTTATGTGACAAATAAGTATAATATATTCAATTTATTTCCATGTTAAATATACAAATCTTATGAAGTTCAATATGTGCAAATTTTTCACATCTTTCTCCTTCTCTCACTTTACCTCTTCTCCCTCTTTTAAACTTTTCTTTCTCCCTGCCAGAGTGAACCTTATACTAAAAAATTACAAGTTTTGATCTGATCCTCTCTCATACCCCATGTTTGATTCAGAGCTGTAGATGCCTCTGAATTTGCGAATTTCTCAAGGGAAAATTAACTTTAAGAGCTTTCTTTATTTCAAGCATGTTGAAAAGGATTTTGCAACATGACTTGGGAGTACATTAAAGTAAGTCAGCATGTATTTGACGAAGAAGATATTTGAACTTTTGCAGTTTATTGTACAGTGCATGGTAATTTTTTCACCTTTAAAATTCAGTTTACAGGAAAATTCTAAAATCATGTTGCCATTGTGATGTCCAATAAATTTGTTTTTAGCACCAGCATTATTCATACAGGGGTTAAAGTATTATTTGTAGAAGGTCTTAGGTTTTGTTTGTTTTTTAATCATTTAAAGCAATTTCTTTAGCCAGTTTCCATTTACTATGTGAATAGAAGCACTGCTAAAAATTGGGAACCCTGAAACACAGGGCTGTTTATTAATTCATTTTTCTGTAGTAAAATTCAATTTTTCACAAATTATATTTCTAAAGAAATATAGTAAACATAAATTTGCAACAATTTTAAAGCTCCAGTTTTTAGGTGACTCAAAGAAAGTCATTATGCCTATTAATAGTTATTTGATGCCATCACCAAAAGTCTATGTGAAAATCTCCTAAAGTCAAAACCCCTGCCTTTGGTTTTACAGACGGTTATTACCATTGGGTGGAGCTGCAAGGTCAAATTTCTCCTAAGTTCCCCTATTTAGAGGAAAAGTCACTGGTTATTGTAATAAACCACCCATGGTTCTTTATGTACATTTTGATAACACATTATTATAGCTTGATTTTAATTTTTTGCATTAATTTTTGAAATCCACATACATCTCATTTGTTTAAATTAAGGCCATGCACAAATATTTTTTTTAGTTCAGTGCTGACCATTAAAAACTATCATGCTTGATACGGTGCAAAAGTTAAAATGAGTATCACTAAAAATGCCTTCTTTTTATGTGGTGCAATATGAAATACACCAAGACTGTGTCTTGACATTCTGATGGACCCAGGTAAAGTTGTTAAAAGAACGAATAAAACTTTATTAAAATAATTTAGACACCTGTGTACCAGCAACAATTGATTTAATAGACCTATAGTGTCTATACTATCCCTTAGAATAAAGGTTTATGATTTTCCTGATACTAAGATGCAGTCACATAATCTTTTGTGCATATTCCTATACAAATTATTTCTAATTTTAATAAGAAGGACGTGACTACGGAATATTTGTACATACTTGTCATTATGCAGTATTTATTTAAAAGTTGGTGTTTTTTTTTAATTTTCACATCTGCACCTCGACTTGTGGTTTAGTCATGTAACTAGCACTATGCCAGTGACCGTTGTTGCCCTGTACATAGTATGTTTGAAAAGTAAAGGGAATTCCAGTTGGGAAAAAAGGGCAGATTAGTCCTGTAATGAACACCAACTAATGTAAATCAAATTCATTCTGGTGATGGTATTTAACACTTTAAATAAAACATTTTCTTTACAGGCGTCTGCAGTGCTTTCTCTGACTTTTCTCCCCACACAGCCCTGAGCCTGCTGCAGCTCATTCCCTGAACTCATGTGTCATTTAAAGAATGAAATCACCGTCTCCTACTTCTCGATAACATAAGTGGACTGCTGGTCTTAGCAGCGGCCCTCAGTAGAGCATTTCTTTAAAACGCCAAAGGATTTCTGCTCACACTATGAAAAGGTGCTGTTTTTTAAAAGGTTGTTATTTTGGATTGAGTTTCTTTCTGATTAAATGACTCAGCAACTCACAGATTTTTTGAGTGAAATTTTTAATTTAGTCATGGCCTTCACTGACAGCATAGTCACAAATACTCAGGCACAGGCTCTGCTAGCCCCTGGGTGAAGATGGCGAAGGCATAACTGGCTTTATGCAGCATATGTGTTTCTGCTAAAGTGTCAGTTTTGCTTTGTGGGGAGTGGAGGGTGTGTTTTCGGGATGGGGAGACGTGGTAACCTGACATGTAACAACCTGTCCGGAGACTAGCTTCTACGTGTGGATATGAATGGGTGAGAGGATTTCTCCATATCCTTCTGGGGCGATTCCTCAACTGGGAGAAGGAAACCCTGCAGAGTTCTCATGGGAGTCTGCTTCAGGTTTGAAATTTAAGAGCTAGTTTGGATTCATGTTTAGTAATCGAACTGAAATCTAAGTCTAGCTGTCTCTCTATTCTTGGAAACAACCATTTCCTCCATTTCCAAAGACTCAACTCGAGTCCAATTCCCCCTATCTGTCCCATATATTTTTCCTTTATCCCATATATACCCCCTACTCTAGTGAATTGTTTCTTTGTTGTTCATTCCTGTTCTTTGTTGTTCATATACATTCCTGTATATGAACAACATTTTCCTTTATCCCATATATACCCCCTACTCTAGTGAATTGTTTCTTTGTTGTTCATTCCTGTTTCTTTGTTGTTCATATACATTCCTGTTATAAAAATTCCCTTCCCTTTCTTATGTGCCCTCTCCTGAAAAGCCCTTCTACTTTTCTCAATAATGATCCATGCGAGTCCCTTCTTGCAACTCCCAGCTCACGAATGAGCTCTTTCGGCAACTCCTGACTAAACCCTAACAACATGGCTGCCATTGATGCCAACACCTTCACTTTCCCAGGGACCCCAGATGCCAAGGCTCCATAGGCAACAATAAAGGATATGATGGTCCTGTAGTGGGTATGATAGAATTAGGCAAGAGATCACCAAAGCTGTCTGCCTACTACTGATGTAAACCTTGACATTCTGTGCACGTAAAAATCATGTGCTCAATGTGTTTGTCTCAACTCCCTCAGCTCGTGATGCCCTCAGGGTTCTGTGGGCATTTATGCACTGAAGAAACAGGAGTTCACACATCCACCTCTGGACTGTGAAATGTGTATTGAGAAATACTTTGCAAGAGAGAATTTTTTTAAGTGAACAAACAACAAGTCTGTGCCACACACATCTTCCATATGCCCTGACTCAGGTCACTTAATCTCCAGGATTTCATTTCCTCACCTGGAAAATATGGAGTTTGAGGTAGATTCTCATCTATCATTAAATCAACACTTTAACTAAAACGTAAGCTCCTTCAGGGCAGAGACCGTATCTTCAGTATCAAAAACAATGTTTGACACATAGCTGCTCAATAAACATCTGTCCAATGAAGGTTTATTTAGTCCTTGCTTTATTTGAGGCACTATTTCAAGCATAGTAGTGAACAAAACAAACCGTAGTCCTGTCCTCATGGGGCTTTCATTCTTCTAAAGAAGACACATTGGGTAAACAATTCCAAGTGTGATAACGTTCCTAAAGTGAAGCCCCCAGAATGCTACAGGAGGATACAGCAAAGTGTTTCAACCCAGTTTAGACATTTAGGGAAAGCTTATTAAAAAAATGAACAGGAGTTAAATAGAAGGAGATAATGGCAATGGGAAGCAAGACTATGTCAGGCAGAGAGAACAATGGCAAGAAATTTGAGGAAAGGGAATCATTACCACTTGTATTATAGTGTCTAAAACAGTGATGAGCACATAAGAAGTGAATGAGTTGAATGAATGCATCTGTAGATTCCTGCATTTGGGGCTATTTCTAAAGCACTGAGAGTTTTATTGGGAAGCTAGTTTTGATTTAAAGTTGATGTGAAATCTATTTCTAAATGAGATAATTGATAAGGTCTAATCTTCGGTTTCATTATATTTGAAATGGTTCTCAGAATGATGCTTAGTCCTTAATCCCATTAAATGGTTAGGCCTTTGAACACAGGAATCAAAGCCTGCAATTCCATACCCAGCACAGCACCTAGCTCAATGCCGAGCACATTATAGGTGCCAGATACCCAGCATTAACAGTGAATGTCCTTCTCAAATATTCTCAGATAGATTATTGTCAGCTGGGCACAGTGGCTCACACCTGTAATCTCAGCACTTTGGGAGGCCGAGCCGGGCAGATCACTTGAGGCCAGGAGTTTTGAGACCAGCCTGGAAACATGGAGAAACCCCATCTCTACCAAAAATATAAAAATTAGCCAGGCATGATGGCAGGCGCCTGTGGGAGGCTGAGGCATGAGAATCACTTGAATCCCGGAGGCTGAGGTTGCAGCGAGCTGCGATCACGCCCCTGCACTCCAGCCTGGGCGACAGAGCAAGACTGTGTCTCAAAAAAAAATAAATAAATAAAAGAAAAGATTATTGTCATAAACATGGAAGATTCCTGAGTCCTGAAATTTATGTTCATGGTTTGTGTATGGTTACATCAAAAAGACTTTAAACCTGTCGTGTCCTTAATGCCTTTTGAGTACCAGCTTCCTATCATCCTGCCTTGGGGCAGGGGACCCTATTGCTTATTATAAGCTTTCTTTTCTAGTCCATCCACATTTTTCCTCTGAGACCTGCCATTCCCCAGCCCCATGTGATGGTATTATAGAGGGTGCAGACTCTTAAACTGGGCCAATCTTTACCTTGCCTATGAAGATTTGTTATTTTTTTGTTTTATTTTGTTTTGCCTTGATACCAAAGAGGCAGTCCATCTCCAGTGACAAAAACTATCCCATTGTGGGGGAAAAGTCAGGAGCTTCCAGTGACAGTGTTTTCTGATATCTGATGAAAGTTGGTTTATGCTAAGAAAGTCAGCAAAACCAAGTGGAGGCAAGAATGTGGAGAGAGTCCTACAGATTCCGCATTCCTAGTTCCATTACGACTGAGGATCAGCGGCATCCCTGCTCTTCCAAGAAAGCTCACACAGTCTAGCTGTAATTAGTTGAGTTCCTGCTGCTTGAGGTCATGAGTCCTAATTAATATATTTGGCCAAAGATGATTCTAATGAAACTAGAATCTCGAAGGAGCCATTGGGTTCACCTAGGGCAACCTCTTAGCTTGAAGGGAAACCCTAAGGGGCGGCCATTAAGCCTCTGCTTGACAAGTGGATGGAGAAATAAACGCTGCAATCCATTTCATTCCATAACATTTAGCCTAAATTGTATTCCTTAACACTCAGCCTCAATCTCCTTCCAGTATTTTATACTTCCTGGGATAGCACTACCTTGCAGAAATGTACAGCAAATGGCTGATCGCTCTTCCATAGATAGTCCTTCAAATATTTAAGTGAGCTATCTTATTATCCCCAACTCTTAGAAAGCAGAATAGCATGTTGGCTAAAAATTCCTGTTCTAAATAAGAATGCCTGAGTTCAAATATTGCTTTCTCATTTGCTGTATAATAACTATGTAATAGCTATATAACCTTGAATAAGCCACTTATCGTGTCTGTTTTCTTATCTATTAAATGGGGAAGTAAAGATAATAACAGTACCTGACTCACAAGGTTGTTGAGAGGATTAAACAATGTAACGCAGACAAGGGACTAGCACAATACCAGACATACAATTACTCAGTAAGTATTAGCTATTTCTGTGGTGGTACTGATTGTCATTATTACTATTAGTTTTACTACCGTTAGTTTTTTTTCTCTTCCAGGCACTTCTAATGCCTTCAACACTTGTCACTTACTAGAAACCTCATCATCTTATCTGTCCTCTAAATATACCCTCTCCATTTGCTTAAGCAAATGACTCTGGATGAGTACTGGCTCAAGAAGAGTACTGTGGACTCTGCTTTGTAAACACAACCTGTGATTCTGTTGCCGTGTTCTGCAGTTACCTCACATAGCCCTTTCAGACTAGGCTGGTGGTCAAACGAATCTCTCAGATCCTCCATATGAATTGCTTTCTTACTTGTCCTTGTGGAATTTCATTTTTAGCCAAGCACAGATGTAAAAGTTTTCTTGCTAAATTTTTTTCTTATTGGTTTTGTCCAATATTCCAGCCTATCAAAATCATTACAACTGCCCTAAATCTGCATTCACTCTGAATTTTGCTGAAAGCTTAAGATTTATAAAACATGTCAGCTTTCACTGCCAGCTCTGTGTCACGTGCAGTTCTGATAAGGACGTTTCCTCTATCTTGATTCACATCTTTGATAAAATGTTGACTAAAATAGGGCCAAGATCAAAGTTTTGTAACTCTTTTCTGGTAATATTAATTGATATCTATAGTAGTTATTGTCATCTAACACATTATAATCTACAAAATGACTTTAATACACGTGATCCAAATCAGCAGTGCTCACCCTTTTTGGCACCGGGAACTGGTTTCGGAAGACAATTTTTCCACAGACTGGTGTGGTTGGGGGATGGTTCCGGGATGATTCAAGCACGGTATGTTTATTGTGCATTTTATTTCTATTATTATTACATTGTAATATATAATGAAATAATTATACAACTCACCATAATGTAGAATCAGTGGGAGCCCTCAGCTTGTTTTCCTGCAACTAGATGGTCCCATCAGGGGTGATGACAGTGACAGATCATCAGGCATTAGAGTCTCATAAGGAGCATGCAACCAAGATCCTTCACATGTGCAGTTCACAATAGGCTTTGCACTCCTATGAGAATCTGATGCCACTGCTGCTCTGACAGGAGGCGAGGCTCAGGCAGCAATAAGAGTGATGGGGAGTGCCTATAAATACAGGTGAATCTTCCCTCACTAGTCACCTCCTCACCTCCCACTGTGCAGCCCAGCTCCTAACAGCCTATGGGCCGGTACTGGTCCATGCCCTGGAGGCTAGGGACCCTGATCTAAATTAATCCTTATGACTACTTTATGAGGTGAGTAGTAACATCAACTTTATTTTGCAGATAAGAAAACTATGGTTCATATAGTTTAAATAATGTGACCAAAGTCCCCCATCTGAGAAGGGCCACATCCAGATGAAACGTGGGTCTTCTGGCAATAAATCGAGTGGGTCCATCAATTGAAGGGCCGCTTCACTTGACCACAGTCCACCACACAGTTCCCCACTTTATCCACAGAAAATTCATTATGGCTTTCTCGAATGATTTGCAGAAATACAGATATGTTTTCCTCATAGAGTAATCTAGTTGCCAACAGAAAGCATGTCAGGCAGGGCAGGGCGGGGAGGGAGAAGGAGGTTGCTGGTTATATGGCAACTTTTCTGAGTTACTGTTGGGACTTGACTAGAACATGTATATGGACTTGGCATAAAATGGGCACCCACGAGCGGCAGCTCTTTTTCTTATCATGAGCCTCAACTCCTGTTTTGTTTCCAATTAAAGACTATTCTAGTTGCATGCAAGAGAAGCAAGAGAGAAATGAAATGCTTCAGCATTTTTCCCTTCATTATCTTTGAGTAGTAGAAGGGATCTGCCCCCTCCTTGACAACTCCTTGGACCCAAAGGAAATAAAGGACATTTTTTATCACCTTCAGCATTTTTTCAGCCATTCTGGATTCTAACCCTCTGCCTCCAGCCACTCTTCTTTCAGGTGCATGCCCTGGTTCTATTTGTCCTCATTATGGGTCCAGCCTCCTTCTTTTATATTTATTTGTTAAAATCTGAGTTCAGCAGTGGTGCCTGTCTGTAATTAAACTGGCTTTGGCTTTGGTTTTGTTTATGTATTTGTTTATATATTCATTTTATATAGGCAAATATTTATACATACCTACTATTTCCCTTTGTTTCTCATTGGAATTTTAGAATAATAATTTTATTTTTTTCTAGATTTTTCCATGCATCTTTGGCTATTACCACTCCTGCCAAGGAAACATCCTTACATCCTCTGAATTTTTTCACACATCAATTAAAAATTCCAGGACACGTGTCTGATAACGACCAGCATCCATTTTCCTCATTGTCATGACTATAAAATGAAATAGTGACTTATTCCCAAGTGTGTAAGTGACAAATCTCTACATCACAAACTACAATTTTGTTTTTATTTCTTTAAGAATTACATTCTATTGGCTTGTTCCTGGACTGACACTTACTGGCTGTTCAGCCCTGACAATGTCATTTATATTCTTTTAGCCTCACTACCCCCATCTGCAAAATGGAAATCATAAAACTACCCAATTCATTAGGCTGTTAAGGGGATTAAATGAGATTCTGTATATAGAATACATGGTACTATAAGTGCTATAAAATTAGTGTTCAAATTGCCAATTATTAGCATAAGTAATTGATTAGAATGTCTTGAAAACCATTTCATTCTTTGCTGGACTGTCTCATCTGAAGCACAAGTCTTCTAAGGGAAGCAAAGAGTTCCCTCTGAACACTGGGGACCAAGCTGGGGCATCCCTGCTGGATTTGGCGACGACTCTGCTGAGCCCTCTCATAGCAGACCTTCCCTGGAGAGGAAGGAACCCCCCACAGGCTCAGCAGTCCACTGCCCACGACTACTTAAAAGAGAGACCCCAGTGAGGAATCCCACACTGCAAGGCGGCTCCAGGCCTTCTCAGAAAGGAGCAGCTGGGCAGACAAGTCCAGCAGTCATCCAAAGGATGGGGCTTTAAAAACGCCCCAGCAGAGTTTCACACCCTTGGGCTGGCTCTCAGGGTCCTGGAGAGTCAGGGACGGCAGAGGACGCCTCAGCCCCTGGAAGATCACACTACATAGGAGAATGGCGACCTCAGAATCCTCCTGGATGGATCCTCACATTCCTTATCACACAGCTTCTCTGGTTATTTCCTCAGCAAGGAATAGGTCAGGCTCTTCTCTAGTTCTGACCTCCAAAGGCTGGGCTCCCTGTGTCATAGGTCTGGCTGGTGGGCTGCTGGGGACAGCAGGCTTCTTGGGTGGGCTCACAGTCACACCCAAGGACTGCAGAGCCCCTGCGGACTACAGTGGAACTCTGGCAATACGTTGGGGTTATCCAGACCCTGACCCTGTAACAATTCGGTCCCTGTCTGGGTAGTGATGAAGGGCAGGGATCTGTTTCTGATGAAGAGTCATGAGCTTCCTTGGCAAATCTTATGCTCTCGCTGGAGAAATATTGAAGCTGTGGGGAAAGAGACACGTTGTCTGGGATATTCTTGATTTGTTATAAAACTTCATGTGCTAACATCCATGGAGCTTATGCAAGTTGTTTGCGACATAGTAAAAAACTAACAAAAAATCCTAAAACTTTGGTGGCGGGGGGAGGGGCATCCTGAGTGTCCTGAGATGCCATGAGTGCTGCACACTTAAAGTTGACAATTCAGTAAACTTGTCGATACAAGCCTGGTTAGGGGGAAAATCCCAAACTCGCAAAACCAGAAACCTAGATCTGCGGGGCTTTCTCAGAGAGAAGTGATAGGGTTCCACAAACAGAGCAACAGTCTTCCAATCCACTAGGAGGCAGGCTGTTAAAAATATCCAGGAATCATTGTCCTTCTAAAAGGACTGGACTTCTTTCAATAGCCACCTCTAGATACTCATAAGCACATCTTTTCTGTCTTACATCTTTCCTATCGTCATGACAAATCCCATTTTTGTCTTCAGGTATAAACATTGTGGACTCTTCATTCAACACTGAACCTCAAACCCTGTCCCTCTTTTTCATGGAAGAAAAAAGGAAATGAGGGCAGGAAAAGGGAGAGGGAAGAAGAGTATAGAAAAAGAAGGAACCAGGGAAGAAAATGTCTCAAAACCACCTACCCCTTAACTGGAATTTGGTCTGTTTTTCCCTGTCTAGAATTATAATCCTTGTTTTCTCAGACCTAGCTCAGAGTGAGGCAGGAGAGTAGGTGAATGTGAGTGAGAACCAAAAGCAAAATGGAAACAGAAACAAACATATGGAGACTTCATTTAATTACATAATTACTTCCAGGGTCTTCCCGAAGAGCTGAGTGTGCCTTGAAAGGGTCAAGGAGAGGGGTCATGGCTTTAAGAGGACACTTAAAACCTAGGGTGGAACAAACTTGGGGATGGACAAACCACACTCACAGAGAGTGGGACCACAGCAACGTTGCCATGGAAAGGTCTTCCTTTGGAACACGATGTGTGGCAATGGGAATACCTTGCTGTTGCTGCTGTCAACCACTGCAAAATCGTGTGTCCATTATTTTTCCTTTCTCTTCTTTTACTAAAGAAGTATCAGATTACTGGTCTGCCCAGTCAGGGATATTTTTCTTGTCTGTTGGGTAGAGTGGTTTATCAGCTGTATTTCAAACACACTATTTTGCACCTAGGAAATAGGATCATGGGTCATAAAACACAGGATAGGCCCCAAGGATCCAAAGAACATACGGGTAGGCTCTAGCAAGCAGTCGCCCTGGAAAGAGCCTGCGTAATGCAAGAACTTTTCAATCCTTGATGTCTAGGTGGTGAAACTCTTTACCAATTGCCACGTGCTCCTGACTCTAGTATGCAGTTGGTCTTCTTGATAATGACGATTCTGAATAACACAGTACATGACAGTCTATTCCCTGAATTGTATTTTTAAAACATATTCTGTTCAAGCACTAGCAATGACATGGTGAATAAGATGTCATTCCAGACCTCAAATAGCCTACTCGAATATGACCAAACTGTATGCTTCTATACCTAAAATATGATGTGTCAGTTGCTAGATAAGATCTGCTAGACAGGATCTTAGAAGCATTGGTTAATTTTCTTTAGGAAGGCTGCCCAGAGTAGGTGAGCTTTTCTTTTTACTGTTAACTCATCTGTAAATTGGGGTGCACAATGCCCACTACAAAGGCCCTTGAGAATTTAAATAACAAAAGAAATGACAGCCCAGCGCATAATAAGGACTCAACCAAAGTTGTTTCTTCGTATCAATCAAGCATTGCATTCAGCCATGGGTAACCGAGGCCTCAGTAAAAGTAACCTAAAATTATAGAAGCTTATTTTTTCTTCAAAGTTAGTTACTTCCCGGTTACAAGACGGTAGCTGCAGCTCCTGCCATCTACATTCTAGGAAAAAAGAGACAGGGGACGAGGGAAGAGTAAAGGGACCAGCCAATTGGGTAGCTACCTTTAAAGATTTCCTGGACCTGGAAGTCCTGCCCAAGACTTTCAGTCTAAGGAGGAAAATATTAATGGTTCAATATTTAACCATTAAATATGATGCTCTTTTGTCATATTGAGGAAGTTGCCTCTTATTCTTAATTTGTTGAGAGGTTTTTTTTTTTATCATGAATAGATGTTAAATGTTGCCAAATGCTTTTCCTCCTTCTATTAAGATGATTGTATTTTTTTTTCTCCTGTACTCTGTTAATATAATGAATTACACTGATTGATTTTCCAGTGTTAAGACATTTGAAAATTTGGAAAGAAAGCCAACTTGATCATGATGTATTAGCTCTTTCTATAGTGCTGGATTCAATTTGATATTTTGTTAAGGATTTCTGCACCTATATTTATGACAGATATTTGTTTTCAATTTTTTTTCCTCTAATGTGTTGGTCTTCTGAAAAAACTAGTGGGGAAGTGTTTCCCTGCTCTATTTACTGAACCAACTTGTTTAATATTGATACTATTTCTTTCTTAAATATTTGATAAATGTCAACAGTGAAAACATCTAGACTTGAAGTTTGTTTTCTTTGTGGAAACATTTTGACTATAAATTAAATCTGTTCAGTAAATAAAAGGTTAATAGAATATCTGTCAGTTTGGGCTGTATTTTTCAAGGAGTTTGTCAATTTTATATGTTTCCAAATTTTTCCTTATAAAGGTATGTGTAATGTTATTATCCTTTTAATGTCTGTAGAATCTGAAATGATGACCTCTCTTTCAGTTTTGATATTTTTTCTCTCCTTCTTGAGCAGTCTTACTATGAGTTTATTGATTTTGTTAATCTTTTCAACATACCTATTTGGGGATTTGTCATATTTCTCTATTTTTTCCATTTCATTGATTTCTGTTATTATTTCCTACCTCTAATTACTTTGGATTTAATTTGTTATTTTCCTAGTTTTTTAAGATGGAAGCCTAGATCATTGTTTTAAAATCATTCTTCCTTTCCCATATAATCTTTATAATTATACATTTCCTTCCAAACACTGCTTTAATTGCTTCTACCAAACATTGTTATTTTCATTACCATTCAGCTAAAATGTTTTGTCATGCCTGTGATTGCTATTTGAATCCATGGGCTATGTAGAAATGTACTAATTCCAAATATTTGGACATTTTCTAGCTATCTTATTGTTATTGATTTCTAAGTAATTCTGTTTTGGCCAGAAAACAAATTCTTTAAGATTTTGATCTTTTGAGTGTTGAGGCTTATTTTACTTTTGAGCATAGTGTTTATTTTGGCTGACATTCCAAGTGTACTTGAAAAGAATGTATATTTTGCAGTTGTTGGGTGTAATGTTATAGTTCTGTGAATATTAATTAGGTCAAGTTGATTAATATTGTTGTTAAAATCTTCTATATCTTGATTGTCTAATTCTGTCAGTTAGTGAGAGAGAAGTATTAAAATCTGTAACTATGTTTGTGGGTGTGTCTATTTCTTCCTTTAGCTCTGTCAGTTTTTTTCTTCATGTATCCTGAACCTCTGTTATTAACTGCATAAGATATATGATTGCTATATCTTCTTGTTGAATTGAATTGTTTATCATTATATGCAGTACCCTTTTATTACTGGTAATATTCCTTGTCTGGAAGTTTATTTTCTGTTGATATACCTATACCATCCTTCTTATGCTTACTGTTTCCATCCTTTTACTCTTCATCTATTTGTGCCAGTTTATTTAAATTGTTTCTCTGTCTCCTTTAGGATTATATGGCTGCCTTTTGCTTTTTAATCTAGTCTGATAGTTTCTACCTCTTAAATAGAAAGTTTAATTCATTTACATTTAATATAATTAATAATATGGTTGGGTGTAAGTCTACCCTCTTGTTATTTATTTCCAAGTTATCTTATCTAGTTTTGTTTATCTGTTTCTTCTTTTCCTGTCTTCTGAAGTAATATTTTTTATATTCCATTTTCATTCCTCTATTTGCTTTGTGTTAATTTTTTATGGTTTCTTCTAGATAGAGTACAAGATGGATCCTTAACTTATTACTGTCAATTTAGAGTTAATATTTTACTAGTTCACATAAAATGTAAGACCCTTACAACAGCAAAATTCTATTTACTCTGCCTATCCTTTTTGCTATTGTTGTCCTTTAGTTTGTCCACATAAGTAATAAAATTCTATAATGCAATGTATTATTTTTGTTTTAAATAATTTGTTATATTTCAAAAAATTCAGAGAAGGAAAAAACATTTCTTTGTATTTCTAATAACATTTACTTTTTCTGGTTCTCTCATTCTTTCCTGTAGATCCAAGTTTCCATATGGTGTCATTTCCTTTCAGTCTGAAAATTTTTCTTAAGCATTTCTTATAATACAGACCTGCTGGCAATAAATTCTACAGGCTTGTTATCCTGAAAATATCTTTATTTCATCCTTTGAAGTATAATTTTAAAGGATAAAGAATTTTGTGTTGAGTGTTTTTATCCCATATTATACTATTAAGTTAATGATGGGTTCTTTTGGTCCTGTCAGATTTGTTTCATTCTTTGTTAGGGCAAGTCTATTTCAGTTTTGAACTTAGAGCATGGCCCTCATTCCTAAGGCCTAGTCTTTCTGGAGTCACGACTGCATGTCTGAAGTACTCACTCAGCTGTGTCCACTCTGGCTTGTCATTTGATAACGCTACTAACAGGAGCATAATAACATCAACTCTTGACTGTTTTATAAAGTGTAATTTTTTTATTTCGATTTTTAAATTTTAAAACATATAAAGATTATACTTCCAGGTTAAACCTTTGTCTGACTATTCCTTGTACCCCCAGAGGCAACCACTATTGTGTTTTTACATTTATTGCTTCTATGTATGAGTATACTTTTCCTATTCATGAATTTATCCTTAAACAGGAAAATGGATAAGTAACTGGGATACTTAAGTCTTGTATTAGAGAGATGCTTTGGAGACAGAAGTTATATTAGAAAAGGAGGCTGGGCGCAGCGGCTCGTGCCTGTAATCCCAGCACTGTGGGAGGCTGAGGCGGGTAGATCACCTGAGGTCAGGAGTTCGAGACCAGCCTGGCCAACATGGTGAAATCCTGTCTCTACCAAAAATACAAAAAAAAAGAAAAAAAAAATTAGCTGGACATGGTGGCGGGTGCCTGTAATCCCACCTTTTGGGAGGCTGAGGCAGGAGAATCACTTGAACCCAGGAGGCGGAGGTTGCAGTGAGCAGAGAGCTCCCCATTGCACTCCAGCCTGGACAACAAGAGCGTAACTCCGTCTCAAAAAAAAAAAAAGAAAAAGAAAAAGAAAAAGAGATTCTAGAGACAGGAAGATTAATTAGAAGATTGTTGAAATGATCCACAATGAATGTTGGTGAGGAAGAAGTAAGGGCAAAAATAATAGATAAGGAGGCTGAAAGGCCATTTGCAAGGAAAGGATAACATTAAATTTGATTTAAAGCTTGAATTTTAAATATGTTTATTGGTGTTATTTAAATACTGGGAAGTATTTAAGTAACTTTTCAAAATTATGTCCTGTTAAACATTTAATGCATGTCTCCTATGTGCCATGTACTGTGTTGAAATTTGTGGATGTGATGTTAAGCAAAAATAAAATCATAATTTCTACCTATACAAATCTTTCTGCTGTGCTCATACTCTCTTCTGAAGGGACAAATGTACATAGCCATTTTTTCAGCCCAATATTTAGCAGGTATGCATTGGTACAGCCATGCCAGGTTTATGTAGTCAGTGCCTAATCTAATTGATTGACATCCTGTTCTAAAAAGTTGGTTCTTCATTCCGATTGGCTGATACCTCTTATGTATCAATTGCTAAGTTTTAGTATTTGACTATCAACATGAATGACCAATAGCATGACACTTCAAAGATAAGTTCAACCTATCATAGTCTTTCTTTCATTGAAATAATTAACCCTACGGCCACAAATTATGGAGGATCAGAAACGTGATTAAACAGAGGAAACTAATTGATAGCAGGATGAAAGAAGCAGACATATGAAGTGTAATTGTATAAAAACCATGATGTATCACTAACACTCTGCCAAGATGTTTAGACCCATCTTGAATCTGGACTGTGTGAGGTCCAGCCCTATTTTAGATCTTCTCTTCTTAGATATCCAATAGATTCTCCTAATCACTTCATGTAATTCCTCACAATAAACACCCGCCTTCCTTAAGCTAGCTTGCTTGAGTAAATCTTCGTTTATTTAGCCAAGAGACAAACTAAACTGTAACATCATCTATAATTCAGATAATTTGTCAAACCATGACATGAATACATTCATCAAATCTGAGCGCTGTGTAAGTACAGGAAGTGGCATAAATGTCAAGAACAGATGTGAAGCTGGAAGTCTGGAGACATTTTCTGACCATACTGGGTAAAGGAATTTATTCTAGTTCTCTTAACTTTGGGACTTAAGAGATGCTATCAAGCAATAGTTCTCAATCTTCAATGTGCATCAGAATCGCCAAGAAAACCTTGTTAAAATATAAGTGTCTGGGCTCCATTGGCAGACATTCTGATTCAGTAGGTCTGAGGAAAGGCCCCAGAATATGCATTTCCAACAAGGTGCTAATGCTGCTGATCTGGGGAACCCACTTTAAGAACAACTGGCATGGAGAATTCTCAGAGTAAGTTCATGTTAATGTTCATCTGTTTATGGTTCCCGCCTTTACAGAGTCACCAGTTCCATGGTAGCTTACTACTTTACAAAATTCTGCCATCCATATTCCCAGGGTTAGTTTGTGTTATGGTTAATATGGACTGTCAACTTGACTGGACTGAAGGATGCAAAGTATTGTTCCTGGCTGTGTCTGTGAGGGTGTTGCCAAAGGAGATTAACATTTGAGTCAGTGGGGTGGGAAAGGCAGACCTACCCTCAATCTGGGCGGGCACCATCTTATCAGCTGCCATAACGACTAGAATAAAGCAGGCAGAAGAAGTTGGAAATAGCAGACTTGCTGAATCTTCTGGACTTCATCTTTCTCCCATGCTGGATGCTTCCTGTCCTTGAACATCAGACTCCCAGTTCTTCAGCTTTTGGACTCTTGGACTTACACCAGTGGTTTGCCAGGGGCTCTCAGGCCTTTGGCCACAAACTGAAGACTGCACTGTTGACTTCTCTATTTTTGAGGTTTTGGAACTCAGACTGATCCACCACTGGCTTCCTTGCTCCTCAACTTGCAGACGGCCTATCGTGGGACTTCACCTTGTGATCGTGTGAGTCAATTCTCCTTAACAAACTCCCTTTCATATATACATATATCTTATTAGTACTGTCCCTCTAGAGAACCCTGACTAACACAGAGGGGTAGGGCTGGAAGATAATATCCAAGAGCAAAGAGAAAGTCATAAATAAGCCATTACATTAATAATGATTTTTCTTTCTCTGGAAGAAATGACAGCAGAGAGATTTGAGGGTTTCCGGAACTTACGGTGCTGTCAATAAAGAGCCATAAGTATACAACTGGGGTCTGGCTGTATTTATCTAATATACTATACTGGAAAGGCTAATGATGGAGAATTACAGATGTTTCTAATATTTAGGTGTTTTATTATCACCAGCAGTACATCTCTAAATCAAATAAAATGAAATTTCATAACCCAAGGGTGGACCATTTTTTATTTGTCGCAAAACTAAAAAACAACAACACTAATTATTACCTAGCCTTAATATTGCCCTCTGTTTTCTCAAAATGTGAAATTCTCATATGAATTATCTTTGCTTAGCCACACAACTTTTCTGTGAATTGAGGTCATGTCCTGGTGCTTCTTTACTCAACTAATGTTTATGGAAAAACACGAAGGTTAGCCATTGTATTCTTCATGTAAAAAACTTCATTCTTCATGCAAAAAACTCACTGTCCAGTAGGGGAGATAAGACTTCTGGAGAAATTACTGCAACAACAAGAAATAGAGCAGAGCAGGTGCCTTAGGGGTCCCAGGAGAGGGGAGTCACTTTTGGTTGGAGGGATCAGAGACGTTCCTATGAAGAAAGTGGCATCTCAGCTGAGTTTTAAAAGTGAACTTGGGTTTTGACATGAGTATGTGGGAAGAAAAGGATTTCAAAGACAGAAAATTAATTCTAAGAGCACTGAGCAAATAAGCTCAGGGTATGTATTAGTCAGGGTTCTCCAGTGAAACAGAACCAATAGAGTATGTATTCATCTGTTCTTATACTGCTAATAAAGACATACCCGAGACTGGGTAATTTATAAAGGAAAGAGGTTTAATGGATTCACAGTTCTACGTTGCTGGGGAGGTCTCACAATCATGGCAGAAGACAAAGGAAGAGCATAGAAATATCTTACATGGCAGCAGGCAAAGAGAGAATGAGAGTCAAGTGAAAGAGGAAACCGCTTATAAAACCATCAGATGTCATGACTTATTCACTACCACAGGAACAGTATGGGGGAAACTGCTCCCATGATTCAATTATCTCCCAGCAGGTCCCTCCCACAACATGTGGGAATTATGGGAGCTTCAATTCAAGATGAGATTTGGGTGGGGACAGAGCCAAACCATATCAGAGTATATACTCATTCTATATATATAGAATGATTTTTTATAAGGAATTGGCTCATATGACTATGAAAGTAGAAAAGTCTCACAATCTGCTGTGTGCAAGCTGGAGACCCAGGAATGTTGGTAAAGGAAATTCCGGTCCAAGCTTGCAGGCCTAAGAACCTGGGGAGCTGTTGGTGTAATCCTCCATCTAAGAGCAAGAGAAGACCAATGACCTAGCTTAAGTAGTTGGGCAGAGAGAAAGAATTCATCTTCCTCTGACTTTTTGTTCAGAGCCCTCAAAGGTTGAATGATCCTAACACTGGGGGAAGGCAATTCACTTTACTCAGCTCACCAACTCAAACAAATCTCTTCCAGAAACATCCTTACAGACACATCCAGAAATAATGTTTAACCAGGGCAGGCGTGGTGGCTCACACCTATAATCTCAGCACTTTAGGAGGCAGAGGCAAGAGGATCACTTGAGGTCAGGATTTCAAGACCAGTTTGGCTAACACGGTAAAACCCCATCTCTACTAAGAATACAAAAATTAGCTGGGTGTGGTGGCACGTGCCTGTAATTCCAGCTACTTTGGAGGCTGAGGCAGGAGAATCACTTGAGTCTGGGAAGTGGAGGTTGCAGTGAGTGGAGATCACGCCATTGCACTCCAGCCTGGGTGACAGAGGAAGATTCCATCTCAAAAAAAGAAAAAACAAAAAAGTTTAACCAGATATCTGGGCATCCTCTGTCCCAGTCACATTGACACATAAAATTAACCATCACAGGTTATATCCCATTTATGGTGGGCTATGTGGTGTTGTGCTCATGTAAGATCCATGCAAAGGAGTAGGGGAGATGAGACTAGAGGTGAAAGAATGCAGGGTCTTAAATGCCAGATCAAGGATTGAGAGTTTATTCAGTAGATGATGGGGACACATCGGAGTTTTGAGCAAAGGCATAATATAATCTAGATATTTACTTTTATCACATTCATGAATAGCTAATGACAAAGGAAGGATAATTGATCATAAAAGGGAAGAGAATAAAAGCAGCAAAATTACTCAAGACGTATAATAGTGCAAGAATTGAGGGACCAAAGCAAGAATCAAGGAGGCACCTGTGGGAACCATAAGGCAGAGTTGCAAATAAAGTGGGGACAAAATGTAAAATAGTCATGCATCACTTAACAATGGAGATACATTCTGAGAAATGCATCATTAGGCGATTTTGCAGTACTGCACACATCACAGAGTGTACTTACAGAAACCTAGATCATATGTGTGTGTGTGTGTGTATATATATATATGTATATGTGTGTATATATATATGTATATATATATATATGAAAAACAAATTTCCCAGCAGCATTGCTGAATATCAATAATTTCCCCTACTTAATCTGCAATGCCAGTATCAAATGCCACATATCAGGCTTCTGCATATGCTCCATTATAATTTTATGGGACCACCATCGTATTTGTGGTCTGTCATGACCAAAACATCATTATGCAGCACATGACTGTAAGTGATTGAATGAAGTTTAGGTTTTTAGAAGAGTGTTCGTACCATTGACCAAAATAAAAAAAATCAGGAAGAGACTTTTGCTTCTGGGTTAGGGAGGAAAAATAATGAATATAGAAATAGATATGTTGAGCTTGTACTTCTATAAGTAAAATCATATAGAAATGTTGACGGCAGCAGGAGAAGTAGAACTTGCGCTTCAGAGAAAGAAACAAATTGAGATGTTGTATCAGTAAACATAGATTAGCTTATGCTACAATAATAAGCTACATGAACATCTTGGTGACTTGAAACAATGCTGCTTATTTGTAACTCATGCTTCATGTTCATTGTGGTTCATCAGGGGCACTGTGTCCATCCTAGTTACTCAGGAGCTCCATTTAATAGAGGCTCTGTCTCGATGTTACCAAAATGCCAGGGGTTCAGTCTAGGTCCTGTTGCTTGCTGCACGGACGGAATCCCAATCACTGAGGCAATGAGTACTGACAGGGAAGCGGGCTTTAATCAGGTGCTGCAGCCAAGGAGAATGGGAGATAAGGTCTCAAAGCCATCTCCTTGACCGACTAAAATCGGGAGGTGTATATAGCAGGGAAGCAGGGAGGTGGGAAAGCAGGAATTCATGGAGGTAAGGAAGCAATCATGATTGATGAGTGGTCTGGAATATTGTTGTTCAGATGAAATGATCCGGTGAGTTTTAGTTTCTTGCCTGAGAGTAGATTTCCTGAGGAAGGAACTCAAATGAGACAAATGTAAGTTTCAAGTTTTAAGGCTAGGGAGGGTCAGTTTCTATGTTTATTCAAACAACTGTAAATGTTAGTTCTATGGGACAACAGGGATGACTTCAGTCCCCCTTTTCTATAGATCAATTCCTCAGTCATGGGGAATCTGGTCATCGATCTTTCTGGCTGCTTCATGCTGAGGAGGGATGTTGTGGGATCATGAAGAGGCTTGGAAATGTTGCCCCTGTGGTTGGAATCAGTCAGGGGTACTTTTATTTTGGTTTTAGAGCAACATTTTACACCACATTGACTAAGATAATAAATTACATAGATAACCCAAATTTAGATAATACCAAAGAATATGGAGTTGATCCCTTGGGGAAGCCAAGAGAAAGTTCCTGAAAGCCGCATGTTCACTTTATGATTTCTTATCTAGCGTCTTTGTCTGGGCTTTGAATGCTAACTTAAGGCCCTCCCAAGGTTCACAAGACCATGACTGTTTTCCCTGGAGGGATCCCAAAGGGACTGGTTTTACTCAAGTCTGGTGAATCCAAGTCTCAACACTGGTTAAGAACAGAAGGGTGGCTGGCCAGCAGCACCTCAGAAGGGCCGATCCATTGTGGTTGCAGCTGGTCCTCCGCATGACTTGGTTCTCTGGTTTCAGTTTCAAAGAGTGAGGAGGCACATCCGTAGGGAACTGGAGCCTATTGGAAGTAAACTCAGAGAAAGTAGTTAATATATTTCCAAAGGGTAAAGTTAATACCCTTACCATTATAAAGCCAGCCCCCACTGGTTTGCATAGGAAACATATCATCTGCTTCATCTGAGGTGCTCCACTTGACATTGATAAGTGGAGTTGAGCAGTTTCCCTTCTCAGGGTAAACAGATCTTACTGGCTTTAAGTATTCAGTAAGTAAACAGATATTAGTGGCTTTTATCTAGTCAACCAGGCTGGCTATTGTCTTGGGAATAACCTCCTGTGTGCCTGTAATATATATATTTATCTGTGATTGTTCACTAGCGAGCGGTGGGTTCTGAGTCAACCAAAACAGGTTCTTCTACTTTGCAGCATTTAAAACCAAAGACATTGCTCTTCAGTTAGTTATTCTCACTACCCATTTTAGTAAAGGTTTCTGAGGAAGCTGATGGTACCAATCTACAAAACAGAACTTATCCCTTTACATTATACCCTCCGGTTTCAATAATTACTTGATTTTGCCTTTCTCCAACATTGACTACCTTTTTGGAAACTGCGGGTCTCAGAGGTGCTTTTTGGTGCCCGGGCATAATTTTCCCTTTTGTGGGTAGCTTTGAGGCTAGTGGTCTGAATCCAAACAGTCTCACATCTGAGCTTGGTTTAGTTTGAAGCCCGAACTCCGCACTCTCTTACTTTCTTTGGAACTATTATAGATAACAATAACTAAGGAATTTAATTTTTTTTCCTCGTTAGTTCACATTTCCTTATGCATCCAGTGAGCCAGCTCCCCAGGAGCTTAATCCATCTGTAAATTCCATGGGTAACTTGTAGCTTTAATAACTGAAAGCAGCACAGCTGCAGCTCCATATGATGGGTGACCAGAGTGCCATCAAGAATCAAAGGTTAATTTAATAACAGGTGTACTCTAGTGTTTTTTTTTTTGAAACACAATTTTTCTTTTTCCCAACCCCCATTTCTACCAAAGACAAATCATAGTAGACCCAATTTATTTGCAAAATTGTTAGTCTTATTCTAGGTGGCCTGATTATTTGCATAAAATACAGCAAGAATTATTGTTCTCATAGGTTCTTTTAAATTGGGCTTTGCTGGAACTTTTCATAAGGAATCTCAGATTTGAAATTAAAGACCTCTCAAGCCCGGCCAAGGATTTATCTGTGCCTGAAGATACTTGTATGAATTGGGTGAATTCCTCTCTTCTTGAGGTCCCAGAATAACTTGTGGTTTCTGGGCCTGTCAGAAAGTGACATTCTTTACTTACCACAGGCCAGGAACCCTGCAAAGGAACTGTGTAGACCAGGTACAAGGGCAGTATTTTTAAGGGACTTTCATAGGCTCTGTAAGTCAACATCAATTCCTCAAAGCATTCTGCTCATATCTGAAAATACATTATTCCAGTCAAAGCCTTGGTAAAATAACCAGTGCCTCCAATTGTGTCCAGTTATAAAAGAAAACAGAATTTTATTAAACTTATGCAAATAACTATTGCTATAAATTAGGAATATGCACAGTTTCCAAATTTTGCAGAAATCAGGTAGAAACAGAAATATGCTTCAAATTTTGATCACAAGATATACTCCACACAATAGTCGAAGGCTATACTTAGCTCAAAAGGAAAAAAAAAGCCTCGTTGACTCTAAAAACAAAAACAAAAATAATCAGCAATTTGCAAAAGCAAATTTTGGACTATAGCTGATTGTAAGCTGCTTTTTGAGAAGAATCAAAATGAAACAATAATTGTAGATGACAAAAGTCTTAAGACACCCATAGTTAAAGACAAAATTGACAAGGAAATTTGGTTATTTCTGTGACAATTTAACATAATAATCATAATTATTCCTGATAATATACTAAGATAAATCAGGATTTTAGGAATCTCATACAATTTTGGAACACATTTATATAAATATAACCCAAAGAAAGCCAAACTCCATTTCATATTTGACAAAGCTTCCTGTAAAATTTTAACATATCAAATGAAAATAATATGTCCCTCTTGGGCTTCAGGGAACCCTACTATCTAAAAAGTTAGTTTCAAGTCAAAAGACTGAATTTAGAACTTGAAATTTTGATTTTGGAAAGTTGGTCAAATAACAAAGGTTTAAAACATTTCGTATCACAAAATAATATCACAGGTCACTATAAAATAGGTATTCATTTAGCCAAAATACTAATTACCAAATAATAAGGCCTAATAAAGACAGCATGAGGCCAAAAAAAAAAAAGTCTCTCTCTCTCTCCTCTTTTTTTCCTGCAGTTTACTCAAAAGATAAACAAAAAACTTTTATTATCTCTTATTAATATTATATGAAAATTTTATTCAAAAGATAAAAACAAATTTTACCTTGGTATGATGTATTATTTATGTTAAAGCTAATTTCAATAAATCTTTATAAATAATTCTATCCAAGTTTAATAAATTTGACCACAGGTAAGATTTTCATAAGCCTTTTATAACCTTTCACAATTCTCTATGAAAGAGCAGGTCAGTGCTGTAGGAGAATCCTGTGATTCTGACACAGGGGCCCAGACACTGGCCTTGGAAAAGTGTGCTTTTGATATTGTTTACTTTCTAGAGAAAATCTGAACTAATCTTATCCCTCAAAATCAGCCCTACAATCTCACATGCCCACCTCTTCCCCAATAGTCCCTGGGCCAAGAGAGATCAAACACTTTAACTTCTGGCCTCATGTCTTATGAAAGCAGTTCATTTTGATTGCCATCTTCTCTCAGTCTGAAGATGAGGCTTTGATTGGTGTCAGTGTTCAAGATTTAGCAGAAGGCAGTGCCTTTTTCGGACCCAGCCAAAGCTCTGTAACTCAACAGCACAAGGACTTTATTAGCAATAGAGAAAATTACGTGATGTAAAAGCCTTAATTCCTCAATGCCTCTAAGTCCCAGTATTCCTAAGCAATCAAAAACCTAATAATGATGACACAGGAATTATCTTGGTAAAATATAAAATTTTTTGGGGGGGCATATAGCAAAAGGCAAAGAAAGACCTTCCACAGCGTGACTGCTTCTCTCTTTTTTTTTTTTTTTTTTTGAGATGGAGTCTCACTCTGTCACTCAGGCTGGAGTGCAGTGGCGAGATCTCGGCTCTCTACAACCTCTGTCTCCTGGGTTCAAGTGGTTCTCCTGCCTCAGTCTCCTGAGTAGTTGGGATTACAGGCGCCCACCACCACACCTGGCTAATTTTTGTATTTTTAGTAGAGACAGCGTTTCACCATGTTGGCCAGGCTGGTCTTGAACTCCTGGCCTCAAGTGATCTGCCTGCCTCAGCCTCCTAAGGTGGTGATTGCTTCTCTTTATGGGAAGCTTATTTAGATAACCTGAAAGTCAAACCTGATGAACAATTTCAACATGGCAAGAAAAGCCAAGAGTATAGAATCAAATTATTCTAGAGGAAAACATTACTTTTCTAGACCTTCAAAATAAACATTCAAGCATCAGGCCACAACATCAGTTAGAACAGGAGGAAAAATAAAGTTACAGAAGCTGACAAAAAAGTTGAAGGAGAGAGTTATCATCTCAGGCCTTTACAATGAGAAAGAAAAAAGCTGAAAACAGCAAGACACAACAAAGTTGCACCTCAGAGATAGAACTCTGAGAAGTTTTCAAAAAGAAACAGATTATAGAATTAAAATCAAAGCCTCTTATACAAGATCCTTTCTCATATAAAATCATTCTCTTTTCCTTATAACCTTTCTTACCAAAAATACATCTTCATATCCGTAACTTTTTTACATGTCTTTCCCCTACTTAGTGTTTCCTTTTTTTTCGTTGTTTCATAAATAACTTTTCCAAGTCCATAATTTGAATCAACCTTTAGATAACTTCTGAATTTAGACAAAATTATTCTTTTTCTCAATAAGGACACATCTTCTTTGGCATGCTTTATATACAGAATTATATATTAACTAGAATTCTTATTTTTAGTAACCTTAAATTTTAGTGAAAACCTAGGATGTAAGAAATCCTGAACTGTCTATCAGAATTTAGCATTTCACAGATGAAAACTTTCCACAATTTTTAAAAACGTGTTTCTCTAGGTCATAACCCTTTCTTTATTGGAAATGACCCAGACATCTAATGAGCTTCCAAAATAATTAGAAGATTTTTAAATCCACAAAGATTCCCTTACAGTATTTACCCCATTTATATTTCATTCATTTTTAGCAGTTTATCTAGATGACTTATGAAAACAGTGATATCAGAAAAAGCTAGTAATGATTTCCTTGTTAACCATTTTTATGACCGGTGCCTAATAGGCATTCATCTAGGTAAGAATCTTAAAGGCACACACATAGGTATTTTCACCCATAACGCAGAAGATTCACCTGTTTTTGTTAAACCAACAACATTAAATTAGTTTTATTCATTTAAAAAAAAAATCACAGAAAGATCATTTTGTTCTTGTCTGGCTTTGCAGTCTTACAACCTTTTGTGCCAAACCCTGACACCTTAAAATTTCCAGCAGAGACAAATATAAAACCCAGACAAAAATATATGCTGACAACTCTGAAGACATTTTTATTTTTATTTTACTAATAATCTTAAAGCCAGCTTGCTTATGATACATTTACTTCAGTCATACACATTTGAAAAATGCTTGGACTTATTTACTTAACTTATGAGTGCTCTTTTAGTTATAGGCCAATTTGGTACTGTATGAAAACACGTAACATTCAGATACATGTACACCCATATAAATAAAGAGCCAGTAACTTTTACCTTGGAATTCTAGCCATGAGACAGCAATGCAAACTTACTAGTCTGTAAAAGATAGCTGGATCCAAATGATTTCTGACAAAATTGGGACCTGTCCACATGGCTAAACTTTATTTGCTCTGATAGGTAATCCGATGAAGGCTGTGAACCAAAACTTTGGGTAAAGCAGTTTCCATGGTAGTTAGATTTCCTTTTAGAGGTCAAACTCTCCCAAACTCCAAAGAATACTGGGGCCAAACACACTACAGAAGAACATTATGTACTAACTAGGCCCAACCCTGCTTAGAACAGCAGCATAAAATCCTGGGTACATGGAAGTCCCTCCTGCTTTCCTATTCAACAGCAAAATGAAGACTGCCCTATAATTCAAAGACCTTCCAAGATGAGATGAGACCTGGCACTTTTGAGGTGGGATGGCCATAGCCATCAGCCTACAACTATATTCAGACCAACCGTGAAGGATGCATCAAAGTGGGCAGCGCTGTGGGATCAAATCCCGACCTCCCACAACTACATCAAAACATACACAAAACAATCAACAAAATATAATACAACTGTTGCAGCAGCAAACAAGGGCCAAAAGGCCCAAACTGAAACAGTTGAGGTGCTTCCTCTCTCTGTCTGTTTGGCTTGTTCAACCTGCAAATGGAAAGTCCTTTGAAATTTCTCAAGCTGAGGGGAGCTGATCTCACTGTCTGGTAACCACAAAAGACACTCAGTTGCCAAGACACACAAGCAATTACTAACAAGCCCCAAGAGTGTACAAACTGAAACAGTCAGAGTGCTTTCCTCTTTGACAGTTGGGCTTGTTCCATCTACAAATGGAAATTCCTCCAGAATTTCCCAAATTGAGAGGAGCTGATCCTGCTCTCTGAGCCCACAAAAGACACTCACCTACCCAGACACTGATGCCAAATTAAAAAGGCTGTTCTTAGGCAATCAAGAATGCAGTTGGAGCTGGCAACGGTGGGGCTAGAGAGAGAGAGACTGAAACCAACCTCTGGCCAAAAAAAGGTGGGCAGCTGCTTAGGAGGGCTTCTGAAACTCTGCCAGCCCACTGTGGTCAAGCCACAAGCAGCACGTTCCCAGTTAGGGAACCAAAATCTGTTACTGAAATAGCAGGGGTTTGGTCTAGGTCCTTGTATTAGTCTGTTCTCACATTGGTATAAAGAACTACCTGAGACTGGATAATTTATGAAGAAAAGAGGTTTAATTGACTCACAGTTCCACAGGCTGTATAGGAAGCAAAGCATGGCTGGGAGGCCTCAGGAAACTTATAATAATGGTAGAAACTGAAAGGGAAGCAAGCACATCTTACCATGGCAGAGCAGGAGAGAGAGAGAGCAAAGGGGGAGATGCTACACACTGTTAAACAACCAGATCTTGTGAGAACTCATTCACTATCACAAGAACAGCAAGGGGGAATTCCACCCTTATGATCCAATCACCTCCCACCAGGTCCCTCCCCTAACATTGGGAATTACAATTCGACATGAAATTTGGGTGGTGACACAGAGCCAAACACTATCGGTCCTGCTGCTCACTGTATAGAAAGCCAATCACTAAATCAACGAGTATTGCCAGGGAAGAAGGCTTTGATAGGGTGCTGCAGCCAAGGAGAACAGGAGATAGTCTCAAATCTGTCTCCCCAATCGACTAAAATTGGGGGGTTTATGTAGCAGGCAAGGTAGGAAAACAGGAATTAGAAAAGAGTAAGGAAGCAATTATGATGGATGAGGGGTCTGGCATCTCACTGGTTGTGGTGATCTGGTGAGTTTCAGTTCCTTGCCTGAAGGTAAGTTTCCTGAGAAAGAAACTCAAATGAGACAAATGTTAAGTTTCAAGTTTTAAGACTAGGGAGCCTCAATTTCTATGTTGATTAAAAAAAATCATAAATATTTGTTCTAATGGACAATCAAGTCAGTTTCATCCATATGTTCTCAATGATTACAGAGAAAGGGAAAGGAGAATAAGGGAAAGGAGCAAGCATTGGCTTACAAAATTTCTGCCCGGAAGTGACATATGACATTTTTTTCTTACATTTCATTGGCAAAGTGAGTCACATTATCACTCCTGAGATCTTATGAATGCAGAAAAATGATTCTACATGTGCCTATGGCAAAAGACCACCATTTGTAAACTGCTGTACTGACTTCCATAGGTACCATCCATGTAAGAGACGATGATGACAGAGCAGGAGGTGCCATCTTTGACGTAAAGAGGAAAGAGAGAAAAGCAAAGCTCTAAAGATACAACTTCAAAGAACATTCTTATTTATATGACAGTAGGAGGAACACATACTTGAGAAGGGAAAATAAAACCATGTAGACAAGCGAAGGGCTCAGTTTCATCTAGGGTCACATCTGTGAGAAGCATGTCAAGAAGTTTCCTCAGTGCCCAATCTGGAGATAAGTCAATGAGGCAAAGCTGGGTCTAACCTTGAAGAAGACATGGTTGGCCTTCAGGAGAGCTGCTTCAGGGAGGCAAGGGGGCTGGATAAGAAGCCAGTCTGAGAAGGGAGCCATCAAAAGTGGGGGCAGAACACTGAAATATGGGAAAAAGGAAGGGACACAAGATGGTTGCTTAAGGTAGCAGCAAAACCAAAGCTGCTTTGTTAAATCAAACCTGACACAGTTTTTGATTCACCCATTCAGCAAATATTTATTGAACATTCACTCTTGCCAAACACTGTTTTAGGAGCTGGGAGAGAGAAAGCAAGATAAGTTTCCTGTTCCCATGGAACTTTTCTTCTAGTGCAACAGTCCTCAAACTTTTGGCACAAGGGGCTGGTTTTGTGGAAGACAATTTTTCCATAGACTGGGGCGTGGTTGGTTTCAGGATGAAACTGTTTCACCTCAGATCATCAGGCATTAGGTTCTCATAAGGAGCACACAACCTCGATTCCTCCATGTGCAGTTCACAACAGGTTTTGTGCTCTGATATGGTTTGGCTGTGTCTTCACCCAAATCTTACCTTGCATTGTGATAATCCCCACATGTCAAGGGTGGGGCCAGGTGGAGATAATTGAATCATGGGGGAGGTTTCCCCCATACTGTTCTTGTGGTAGTGAATAAGTTTCACAAGACCTGATGGTTTCATAAATGGGAGTTCCCCTGCACAAGCTCTCTTGCCTGCCACCATGTAAGAGATGACTTTGCTCCTAATTTACCTTCTGCCATGATTGTGAGGCCTCCCCAGCCATGTGGAACTGTGAATCAATCTTCTTTCTTTTATAAATTTTATACACTCCTGTGAGAATCCAGTGCCACCTCCGATCTAACAGGCGGCAGAGCTCAGGTGGTAATGCTTGCCTGCCCACAGCTTGCCTACTGCTGTATGGTACTGGTCCATGGCCCAGGGGTTGGGGACCCCTGTTCTAGTGGAGGCAACATACAATAAACAAGTGAGCAAGGAAATGAATGAGTGAAGAGATGATTTCCCATTATATCTAGTTCAGATAAGATAAATTATATTTAGTTCTTCCTTCCCTTCTGAAAGGAAGTAACCATGTGGGTGGGAGGTATGAGCTGAAGAGCATATTCACACTAGTCAGGAAAGGTCTCTCAGGATGTGACATGTAAGTTGACTCCCAGAGGACAAGAAACATCAGTCAAGCTGATTTTGAGGTTTTGAGCTGGAATGTTCCATGGCATGCAAAATCTCCAATGGCAATGTCACAGGGCAAACCCCCAAATTAGGGTTCATCCCAGGAGGCCACATGGGTCCTTGGCTTTGAGCAGGAAGGAATTCAAGAGCCAGTCAAAAGAGTAAAGTGAAAGCAAGTTTATTAAGAGAGTAAAGGAATAAAAGGGTGGCTACTCCACAGGCAGAGCAGCCCCAAGATCTTCTAGTTGGCTACTTTTATGGTTATTTCTTGAGCATATCCTAAATAAGGGGTAGATTATTCATCTGAGTTTTCCAGGAAAGGGGCCGGGAATTCCCATAACTGAGGGTTCCTCCCCATTTCAGGCCATACAAGGTAACTTCCAGACGTTGTGATGGCATCTATAAACTGCCATGGCACTGGTTGGGGTTTCCTTTAGCGTGCTAATGTATTATAATTAGTGTATAATGCACAGTGAGGATGGCCAGAGATCACTTTTGTCACCATCTTGGTTTTGGTGGAGTTTGGCTGGCTTCTTTCCCGCATCCTGCTTTATCAGTGGGGTCTTTGTGACCTGTATCTTGTGAAACCAGTCCTGCCAAACTCCTATCTCAAGATCAAGCTCTCACAGAAAATAGGGACAAGGTGGAAATTTAAAATTTAAAATTTTAAAATTTTAAATTTTAAATATCTGGGTTTGTATACTTGTGTGTTTGTATATTTGTGTGTAAATACCTACAGTAAATGAAGTTTCTGGAAGACATTTACTTCTCAATACGTAAGATTCATTAGTTAGAGGTATATGCCTTCTCCCTTAGGCAACTCTGCCACAGAATCATCTTCAGCAGTGTTGGAGCTCAGAAACCATTCTCCAAAATATGGTGCTTTGACATGCTGAACTGTAGAAGAAGCCTTAAGGTCTCTTCAACCTTCCCCTCTTCCCACCATCTCTCTCAAAGCACAGGATAAAGTTGTTAAGTTCCATTATCTCCCTTAAGTCTGGACCCCCCTCCCCACCAAAAAGGAGAACAATTATTTTGTCTTCCTGTCACTGTAAGACCAAGAATGTAACCACACCTGAACAGACCTTTTCACAAGGTAATGTCTGCCTCTCAGGCTTATTCAAATTCCAAAGAGAAGTGTTTACAAGTAATCTCTGTTCCAGGATCCATGGTTCTTCCCAGCAAGCCTTTACTGTTCCTCAAAAGAATTCCTCTTCTCCTCTTCCCATAATCTGTTTTGCCAGGATGCTAGAGAAGCGTCCAAATCCCCTTGGCAGGAGGTAATCACTGTGATTCTCCTCATGTACGTGTTAATAAAATTCGAATGCCTTTTCACCAACGAATCTGCCTTTTGTGAGATGATCTTTCAGTGAACATTCAGAGGGTGAACGGGAAGTTTCCCTTGGTCCCAACAGCTGTTTGGGAAAGATGGCTGCCGGGTAGCAATCTGCTGAGGTGGATTCTCTCAGTGTTTTCAATAGTGCAGACTCTTTCTTTCTATGATTTTTGAACCAGCCCTTACTGGCTTAACATGCAATACATCTTCTACTTGGATTTGCCCTAGTTTCAGATGTACAGAATTTAGTCATATACCTGTATAAGGCTGAGCTTTCTCAAATATTACTGTGGGACTTAGGAAGGATTTTCCTGGGTCTATTCTTTTACCCGTGTGGGTTTTTGAAAAAGAAACTTAAACAGATCTCTGCAGAACTCTATGACTAGCCTCTGTAGCTTTAGGAGATGAAAGTATAAACCAAAATGTATCTGAGACAATCTCAGTCAACTTAGAATTTTATTTTGCCAAGGTTAAGGATGTGCCCGTGGCACAGCCTCAGGAGTTTCTGACATGTGCCCAAGGAAATTTTGATACAGGAGCTAGAAAGAAATTATTTAGGCAGTTAGTGAGGGTAAGAGAGTCTTTGGCTAGGTTTCCCTTTTAATAAAAAGCAGCCCCCAAATCATTTTTTTTCTAACAAAGAGAAGCCTGAAAAATCAAGCTGCAGACATAAAAAAGCAAGCTAGAAGCTTGCAGGGGTGAATGCCGGCAGCTGTGCACAACATGGAGGCTCCATCTTCCCTTTTCTTTGTCAACCACGTGTAAAGAAGCAAGCAACATGGTGCCGGCCAGGTAGAGAACTCACTTGCATGATAACAGATGAGGGTGGGGCGGCCAGCTTCTTCGTGTGCTATGTAAATGGCACACCTGATCCAACCAATCTCTCATCCCCTATGTAAATCAGACATCACCTCCTCAAACTCATCTATAAAACCACGTGCATTTCACCATGGAAATGGAAGACCCACGCAGGACCCCCTTCTCTATGCAGAAGAGAGACCTTTTCTCTTTCTCTCGCCTATTAAACGTCCTTTTTTTTTTTCTTTTGAGACAGAGTCTCGCTCTGTGGCCCAGGCTGGAGTGCAGTGTCGCGATTTTGGCTCACTGCAACCTCCGCCTCCTGGGTTCAAGCAATTCTCTGCCTCAGCCTCTTGAGTAGCGGGGATTACAGGCATGTGCCACCACGCCTGGCTAATTTTTGCATTTTTAGTAAAGACGGGGTTTCACCAACTTGGCCAGGCTGGTCTTGAACTCCTGACCTCGTGATCCAACCGCCTCGGCCTCCCAAAGTGCTGGGATTACAGGCGTGAGCCACCATGACCGGCCTTAAACATCCACTCTTAAACTACTCCTTGTGTGTTCGTGTCCTTGATTTCCTTGGCCGTGAGGTAACAAACCTCAGGTATTTTCCCAGACAAATGGCTCTGCTTCAGTTTGGCTACAGCTGGGATTTATACATTTTAGGGAGACATAAGACATCCATCAATACATGTAAGATATACATTGGTTCAGTCTGGAAAGACAGGACAACTTGAAGTGGGAGCGAGAAGCGGGACTTCCAGGTCATAGATGGATTCAAAGATTTTTTGATTGGCAATTTGTTGAAAGAGTTTATCTGCAGACCTGGAATCCATAGAAAGAAGTGTCTGGACTAAGATAAGGAGTTGTGGAGACCAAGGTTCTTATTAAGCAGATGAAGCCTCCAGGTAGCAGGCTTCAGAGACAATAGATTGTAAATGTTTCTTATCAGACTTAAAAAGGTGCTAGACTCTTAGTTAATTCTCTCCTGGATCAGAAGAAAAGAACTGGAAAGGGAAAGGGAGTCTCTACAGAATGTAGATTTTTTCCCCATGAGAGAAAGCTTTGCAGGGCCATTTCAAAATATGTCAAATAAATATATTTTAGGGTAAAATGCTTCGATTTCATTCAGGGCCTGCTATTTGTCAAGTGATGCTATACTAAAGTCAGGCTGGGACTTGAAGCCTTATTGTTACAAGAAGTCTTAAGATGTCTGTTTTGATGTTAATGCTGGTCAGTTGTCCCTGAATTCCAAAGGGTGGAGGGCATAATGAGGCATGGCCAACACCCCTGACCCCGGCTTCCCATCCTGGCCTGAACTAGGTTTTCAGGTTAACTTTAGAATTCCCTTAGCTGAGAGGAGGGGTCCAATCAAAGGGCTGGAAGGCTTAGAATTTTATTTTTAGTTTACAAAAGCAATCATTTTGGCCATTATGGTCTGAATTAAATTGCCACTAGGAAAAACTATATATATTTTAAAGTTGGGATGATGCCATTGTGGTGGGATAATCTGGAAGAAGCTTAATTTGTGTTAACTTATTTCTATTTATTCTTAATATTTGCCTATATCCCCCCTGCTATAACATAGCTCCCTGAATACAGGAATACTTGTCTGTTTTGTTCCTGGATATTTCTCCAGCTCCTAGAAAGTGCCTGACCTGGAGAAGGTGCTCATGAAGCATCCAATGAATCAGTGTTTCTTCTACTTGTGGGACTGTCCTACCAGTCCCCTATTGACTCCAGTAGGGATGGCACCATGTCTGAGAGGCCAAAGAAGAGACCTGGAGACAGAAGGTTTATTAGCATGGAGGGGGTGGGAACTTACATACAGAGAAATCCAGCGGAGGCAGGCTGGACAGGAGAACTACTATTGTTTGTAAACAGCATGTTGTGTATAAAACATTTTCACTTAGCACCCTCTACCTGGCAACCTCCATTTAACCCAAAACAAAGGGCCTCAACTCCCTCTATGGCCTGTGTTCCAAAGAATGGGCAGAGGTTTCAGACGACCATCACAGATAAAGCAAATCTCTGGGTTGGCCACTGCCACTCTTAGATTCTGTGAAAGGAAAATCTTGGGGTCCCCAAATTACTAAACTAAAGGGAAAAGTCAAGCTGGGGACTGCTTAGGTCAAACCTCCCTCCCATTCTATTCAAAGTCATCCCTCTGCTCACTGAGCTAGAGGCAGATCTGACTGCCTCCTTCAAAAAGGCTTCAGAAATTCAATATGAAACTGTCAGGCCTCTGAGCCCAAGCCAAGCCATCGCATCCCCTGTGACTTGCACGTATACATCCAGATGGCCTGAAGTAACTGAAGATCCACAAAAGAAGTAAAAATAGCCTTAACAGATGACATTCCACCATTGTGATTTGTTCCTGCCCCACCCTAACTGATCAATGTACTTTGTAATCTCCCCCACCCTTAAGAAGGTTCTTTGTAATTCTCCCCACCCTTGACAATGTACTTTGTGAGATCCACCCTGCCCACAAAACATTGCTCTTAACTTCACTGCCTATCCCAAAACCTATAAGAACTAATGATAATCCACCACCCTTTGCTGACTCTCTTTTCGGACTCAGCCCGCCTGCACCCAGGTGAAATAAACAGCCATGTTGTTCACACAAAGCCTGTTTGGTGGTCTCTTCACACGGATGCACATGAAATTTGGTGCCGTGACTCGGATCGGGGGACCTCCCTTGGGAGATCAATACCCCGTCCTCCTGCTCTTTGCTCCGTGAGAAAGATCCACCTACGACCTCAGGTCCTAAGACCGACCAGCCCAAGAAACATCTCACCAATTTCAAATCCAGTAAGCGGCCTCTTTTTACTCTCTTCTCCAACTTCCCTCACTATCCCTCAACCTCTTTCTTCTTTCAATCTTGGCGCTACACTTCAATCTCTCCCTTCTCTTAATTTCAATTCCTTTAATTTTCTGGTAGAGACAAAAGAGACATGTTTTATCCGTGGACCCAAAACTCCAGCGCCTGTCATGGACTGGGAAGGCAGCCTTCCCTTTGTGTTTAATCATTGCAGGGATGCCTCTCTGATTATACACCCATGTTTCAAGGGTGTCAGACCACGCAGGGACACTTGCCTTGGTCCTTCACCCTTAGCGGCAAGTCCCGCTTTTCTTGGGAAGGGGCAAGTACCCCAATCCCTTCTCTCCTTGTCTCTACCCCTTCTCTGCTTCTCTGGGGAAGGGGCAAGTACCCCAACCCCTTCTCTCCTTGTCTCTACCCCTTCTCTGCTTTTCTGGGGAAGGGGCAAGTACCCCTCAACCCCCTTCTCCTTCACCCTTAGCGGCAAGTCCCGCTTTCCTAGAGGGCAAGAACCCCCCCAATCGCTTATTTCTGCACCCCAACCTCTTATCTCTGTGCTCCAATCCCTTATTTCCACACCCTGACCTTTTATCTCTGTGCCCCAATCCCTTATTTCCATGCCCCAACCCCTTCTCTGCTTTTCTGGAGGGCAAGAACCCCCCACCCCTTCTCCGTGTCTCTACTCTTTTCTCTGGGCTTGCCTCCTTCACTATGGGTAAGCTTCCACCTTCCATTCCTCCTTCTTCTCCCCTAGCCTGTGTTCTCAAAAACTTAAAACCTCTTCAACTCACACCTGACCTAAAACCTAAATGCCTTATTTTCTTCTGCAATGCCGCTTGACCCCAATACAAACTCAACAGTAGTTCCAAATAGCCAGAAAATGGCACTTTGAATTTTTCCATCCTGCAAGATCTAAATAATTCTTGTTGTAAAATAGGAAAACGGTCTGAGGTGCCTGACATCCAGGCATTCTTTTACACATCAGTCCCTTCCTAGTCTCTGTGCCCAGTGCAACTCATCCCAAATCTTTCTTCTTTCCCTCCTGCCTGTCCCCTCAGTCCCAACCCCAAGCGTCACTGAGTCTTTCTAATCTTCCTTTTCTACAGACCCATCTGACCTCTCCCCTCCTCGCCAGGCCGAGCTAGGTCCCAATTCTTCCTCAGCCTCCGCTCCTCCACCCTATAATCTTTTTATCACCTCCCCTCCTCACACCTGGTCCGGCTTGCAGTTTTGTTCCATGACTAGCCCTCCCCCACCTGCCCAGCAATTTAATCTTAAAAAGCCAAAGGCATAGTCAAGGTTAATGCTCCTTTTTCTTTATCCCAAATCAGATAGCGTTTAGGCTCTTTTTCATCAAATATAAAAATCCAGCTCAGTTCATGACTTGTTTGGCAGCAACCCTGAGATGCTTTACAGCCCTAGACCCTAAAAGGTCAAAAGGCCATCTTATTCTCAATATACATTGTATTACCCAATCTGCTCCCGACATTAAATAAAACTCCAAAAATTAAATTCCAGCCCTCAAACCCCACAACAGGATTTAATTAACCTCACCTTCAAGGTGTACAATAATAGAAAAAAGTTGCAATTCCTTGCCTCCACTGTGAGACAAACCCCAGCCACATCTCCAGCACACAAGAACTTCCAAACGCCTGAACTGCAGTGGCCAGGCGTTCCTCCAGAACCTCCTCCCACAGGAGCTTGCTACACGTGCCGGAAATCCGGCCACTGGGCCAAGGAATGCCCGCAGCCCAGGATTCCTCCTAAGCCGCGTCCCATCTGTGTGGGACCCCACTGAAAATCAGACTGTTCAACTCACCTGGCAGCCACTCCCAGAGCCCCTGGAACTCTGGCCCAAGGCTCTCTGACTGACTCCTTCTCAGATCTTCTCGGCTTAGTGGCTGAAGACTGACACTGCCCGATCGCCTCGGAAGCCCCCTAAACCATCACGGATGCCGAGCTTCCGGTAACTCTCACAGTGGAAGGTAAGCCCGTCCCCTTCTTAATCAATACGGAGGCTACCCACTCCACATTACCTTCTTTTCAAGGGCCTGTTTCCCTTGCCTCCATAACTGTTGTGGGTATTGACGGCCAGGCTTCTAAACCTCTTAAAACTCCCCAACTCTGGTGCCAACTTAGACAATACTCTTTTAAGCACTCCTTTTTAGTTATCCCCACCTGCCCAGTTCCCTTATTAGGCTGAGACACTAACTAAATTATCTACTTCCCTGACTATTCCTGGACTACAGCTATATCTCATTGCCACCCTTCTTCCCAATCCAAAGCCTCCTTTGCATCCTCCTCTTGTATCCCCCCACCTTAACCCACAAATATGAGATACCTCTACTCCCTCCTTGGCGACTGATCATGCACCCCTTACCATCTCATTAAAACCTAATCACCCTTACCCCACTCAACGCCAATATCCCATCCCACAGCATGCTTTAAAAAGATTAAAGCCTGTTATCACTCGCTTGCTACAGCATGGCCTTTTAAAGCCTATAAACTTTCCTTACAATTCCCCCATTTTACCTGTCCTAAAACCAGACAAGCCTTACAAGTTAGTTCAGGATCTGCTCCTTATCAACCAAATTGTTTTGCCTATCCACCCCATGGTGCCAAACCCATATACTCTCCTATCCTCAATACCTGCCTCTACAACCCATTATTCTGTTCTAGATCTCAAACATGCTTTCTTTACCATTCCTTTGCACCCTTAATCCCAGCCTCTCTTCACTTTCACTTGGACTGACCCTGACACCCATCAAGCTCAGCAAATTACCTAGGCTGTACGGCTGCAAAGCTTCACAGACAGCCCCCATTACTTCAATCAAGCCCAAATTTCTTCCTCATCTGTTACCTATCTTGGCATAATTCTCATAAAAACACACGTGCTCTCCCTGCCAATCGTGTCTGACTGATCTCTCAAACCCCAGCACCTTCTACAAAACAACAACTCCTTTCCTTCCTAGGCATGGTTAGTGCAGTCAGAATTCTTACACAAGAGCCAGGACCGCACCCTGTAGCCTTTCTGTCCAAACAACTTGACCTTACTGTTTTAGCCTAGCCCTCATGTCTGCGTGCAGTGGCTGCCGCTGCATTAATACTTTTAGAGGCCCTCAAAATCACAAACTATGCTCAACTCACTCTCTACAGTTCTCATAACTTCCAAAATCTATTTTCTTCCTCATACCTGACGCATATACTTTCTGCTTCCCAGCTCCTTCAGCTGTACTCACTCTTTGTTAAGTCCCACAATTACCATTGTTCCTGGCCCAGACTTCAATCTGGCCTCCCACATTATTCCTGATACCACACCTGACCCCCATGACTGTATCTCTCTGATCCACCTGATATTCACCCCATTTCCCCATATTTCCTTCTTTCCTGTTCCTCACCCTGATCACGCTTGATTTATTGATGGCAGTTCCACCAGGCCTAATCGCCACACACCAGCAAAGGCAGGCTATGCTATAGTACAAGCCACTAGCCCGCCTCTCAGAACCTCTCATTTCCTTTCCATCGTGGAAATCTATCCTCAAGGAAATAACTTCTCAGTGTTCCATCTGCTATTCTACTACCCCTCAGGGATTGTTCAGGCCTCCTCCCTTTCCTACACATCAAGCTCGAGGATTTGCCCCTGCCCAGGACTGGCAAATTGACTTTACTCATATGCCTCGAGTCAGAAAACTAAAATATCTGTTAGTCTGGGTAGACACCTTGACTGGATGGGTAGAGGCCTTCCCCACAGGGTCTGAGAAGGCCACCACAGTCATTTCTTCCCTTCTGTCGGACATAATTCCTCGGTTTGGCCTTCCCACCTCTATACAGTCTGATAACGGACCAGCGTTTACTAGCCAAATTACCCAAGCAGTTTCTCAGGCTCTTGGTATTCAGTGGAACCTTCATATCCCTTACCATCCTCAATCTTCAGGAAAGGTGGAACGGACTAATGGTCTTTTAAAGGCACACCTCACCAAGCTCAGCCTCCAACTTAAAAAGGATTGGACAGTACTTCTACCTCTTGCTCTTCTCAGAATCAGAGCCTGTCCTCCAGATGCTACAGGGTACAGTCCATTTGAACTTTTATAGGGATGCACTTTCTTGCTTGGCCCTAACCTCATCCAGACACCAGCCCTCTAGGCGACTATCTTCCAGTCCTCCAGCAGGCTAGACAGCAAATTCGCCAGGCTGCTAATCTTCTCTTGCCTACTCCAGATCCCCAGCCATATGAAGACACCCTAGCTGGATGATCAGTTCTTGTTAAGAATCTGACCCCTCAAACTCTACAACCTCGATGGACCGGACCCTACTTAGTCATCTATAGTACCCCGACTGCCATCCGCCTGCAGGATCCTCCCCACTGGTTTCACCATTCCAGAATAAAGCTGTGTCCATTGGACAGCTAGCCTAATCCCTCCTCTTCCTCCTGGAAGTCGCAAGTACTTTCCCCTACTTCCCTTAAACTCACTCGTATTTCTGAAGAACAGTAATAACACTTATGAGCCTAATACATCCCTTCATTCTATTAGATCTTTTCGTCCTTACCCTACTTTTTGCAACAGGGCTTTACGAAGCCACCCCCACCACTTAGACTGTGCCCCAAAAAAACTTGTCATCCCTACTATCTTTTTTCTAGTCATACTCCTATTCACCGTTCTCAACTACTCATACATGCCCTGCTCTTGTTTACACTGCCGGTTTACACTGTTTCTCCAAGCCATCACAGCTGATATCTCCTGGTGCTATACCCAAACTGCCACTCTAAACTCTTGAAGTAAATAAATAATCTTTGCTGGCAGGACTATGCTGAATCTCCTTAGGTACTCTCTAATCAGATGTCCTAGGTCCTCCCAATTCTTAGACCTTTTATACCTGTTTTTCTCCTTCTCTTATTCCATTTAGTTTCTCAATTCATCCAAAACCGTATCCAGGCCATCGCCAATCATTCTATACAACAAATGTTTCTTCTTACATCCCCACAATATCACCCCTTACCACAAGACCTCCCTTCAGCTTAATCTCTCCCATTCTAGGTTTCCACGCCACCCCAATCCCGCCTGAAGCAGCCCTGAGAAACATCTCCCATTCTCTCTCCATACCACCCCCCAAAAATGTTCACCGCCCCAACACTTCAACACTATTTTGTTTTATTTTTCTTATTAATATAAGAAGGCAGGAATGTCACGCCTCTGAGCCCAAGCCAAGCCATCGCATCCCCTGTGTGACTTGCACGTATACATCCAGATGGCCTGAAGTAACTGAAGATCCACAAAAGAAGTAAAAATAGCCTTAACTGATGACATTCCACCATTGTGATTTGTTCCTGCCCCACCCTAACTGATCAATGTACTTTGTAATCTCCCCCACCCTTAAGAAGGTCCTTTGTAATTCTCCCCACCCTTGAGAATGTACTTTGTGAGATCCACCCCGCCCACAAAACATTGCTCTTAACTTCACCGCCTATCCCAAAACCTATAAGAACTAATGACAATCCACCACGCTTTGCTGACTCTCTTTTCAGACTCACCCTGCCTGCACCCGGTGAAATAAACAGCGATGTTGCTCACACAAAGCCTGTTTGGTGGCCTCTTCATTTATTTTTAGTTTACAAAAGCAATCATTTTGGCCATTATGGTCTGAATTAAATTGCCACTAGGAAAAACTATATATATTTTAAAGTTGGGATGATGCCATTGTGGTGGGATAATCTGGAAGAAGCTTAATTTGTGTTAACTTATTTCTATTTATTCTTAATATTTGCCTATTTCCCCCCGCTATAACATAGCTCCCTGAATACAGGAATACTTGTCTGTTTTGTTCCTGGATATTTCTCCAGCTCCTAGAAAGTGCCTGACCTGGAGAAGGTGCTCATGAAGCATCCAATGAATCAGTGTTTCTTCTACTTGTGGGACTGTCCTACCAGTCCCCTATTGACTCCAGTAGGGATGGCACCATGTCTGAGAGGCCAAAGAAGAGACCTGGAGACAGAAGGTTTATTAGCATGGAGGGGGTGGGAACTTACATACAGAGAAATCCAGCGGAGGCAGGCTGGACAGGAGAACTACTATTGTTTGTAAACAGCATGTTGTGTATAAAACATTTTCACTTAGCACCCTCTACCTGGCAACCTCCATTTAACCCAAAACAAAGGGCCTCAACTCCCTCTATGGCCTGTGTTCCAAAGAATGGGCAGAGGTTTCAGACGACCATCATAGATAAAGCAAATCTCTGGGTTGGCCACTGCCACTCTTAGATTCTGTGAAAGGAAAATCTTGGGGTCCCCAAATTACTAAACTAAAGGGAAGAGTCAAGCTGGGGACTGCTTAGGTCAAACCTCCCTCCCATTCTATTCAAGGTCATCCCTCTGCTCACTGAGCTAGAGGCAGATCTGACTGCCTCCTTCAAAAAGGCTTCAGAAATTCAATATGCAACCATTTATCTCTCACCTACCTGTGACCTGGAAGCCCCCTACCTGCTTCAAGTTGTACCTGCCTTTCTGGATGGAACCAATGTACTTCTTACATATATTGATTGATGTCTCATGTCTCCCTAAAATGTATAAAACCAAGTTGTGCCCTGACCACCTTTGGCACATGTCATCAGGACTTCCTGAGGCTGTGTCAAGAGCGCACATCCTCAACCTTGGCAAAATAAACTTTCTAAATTAACTGAAACCGTCTCAGATACTCAAGGTTTACAATTCCTTAGCTTGGAATTCTGAACACATGTTCTTCTTAGACCATAGGGTTCTTCTTAGAGTATGCTTGTTATTGCTGTAGGGTGCATCTGCCCTACAGGCACTGCCACCTTCCTCCTTGTGCCAGTGTCCCGATGTCCCAGGAAATGCATCAGGCAGATCCAGGCATCTCTGACTGAGGTTGAAGGTTCAGGTCCATTTTTGGTCTGTGACATCTTTTCTTTTCAGCCCTCACTACTGACTTGAAGGGTCAGCTCTCTCCGGGCTGACACTGAAAAACGGTGTCACTTTTCTGCGTGGGCAGAGAACTTGTTGCTGTTTTGTGCCTATTGCTAGAATTGGCTCTGAGAGGAAAGGTCAGGCCTACCTCTCTGCTGAGACTTAAGGGTTATAATTGTTTGGAATTTTCCACAAGGTGAGCACCATATGCACTCATGGAGCTAATGCCCTGGGCAAAATGGGTTCCAGCAGTACAGTCAGTCAGGTGGCTCCCAGAGCATTGATTTTCATAGGCCTGAAAAGCTATGGGGCTCCAAGAGCATTTGAATAAGGATGATTTAGGGAGATCTACATAATGTTTGTAGCTTTTCAATTCCCTCCCAGACAACCTGAACTAATGTGTGAGAACAGAGAAAGCTGATTCCCAAAAAGCCAGTCCTTAAGGGCCTGAACCCGGCAGGCCCACTCTCCCATTTTCCATCTCTCCAAATCCTCAAGGCCAGCACAATCCTGCCTCTGGGAAACACCCTCTGACCTTTATTAACCACGTGAATTTTGCTCTCTCTAAATTCCCACGCTACCTACTATTTCATCTGTTCAATTAACATTGACCAAGCTCCTACTTTGTTACAAGCAAATGAAAATGACAATGCCATCATCCTCCCCTCGTGGGGAGTTGGCAGGGAGACACAAGCTCGTCAGAGCATGCATCACTCATTAATATTAATGTATACTGCCTTAGGATGCTTTTCACTTCATCTGCATGTGTATACATCTATGTTTTAATTACATATGTATGAACTGGTTTTCCCATACGACTATAAGCATTTGAGACATTTTGAGATTGGGGCTGTATCTCATGTGTTAATTCACAGGGTGCAGAGTATAAAGCAAAGCTACGATCATTCCTTTTGAAATGGAAAGTAAATGGATTTGGGGAAGCAGAGTGCTGCGGTCAGAGCATCTTCTGGAAGAAAAGCAGCAAGTCACTCGTGTGAAATAATGAAGCATTCGTGGTTGGTTTCACTTGCACTTTTTCCACTTGAAAAAAATCCCCACAAGTTATGAAGCTAGAACAGAACAGAATCCTACTGCTGACCTCAGAGTACACTGTGGACTGATAATTTCCAGGTGTATCTTTTCAGGGAGGCCAAATAGGTAATTAAGAAGCAACGAAGGATTTTCCTAAGGGAAAAAATTAAATTGGATCTCTATTTTATACCATACACAGATATAAATTCCAAGTAAATTAAAGATCAAGATGCAAAAAGAAAACCCAGATAGCTAATAGAACAACTCTTTATATTCTTGAGATAAGAAAGACCTTCCTAATAAACAAAAAATACCATAAAGCCGTAAAGAAAAATATTGAGAGATTTGAGCAGATAAAATTAAAAACTTCTTCAATAAAGAAAAAGTATTTTTTAAAAAGCCACCAAGGAGGAGAATATTATCCATACCATATAAAGACCAATGAGAAAGGTAAATTTTTAAAAAGCTATCTATAAAAAAGGATAAATAAAATGACATAGGCTGGGCACAGTGGCTCACACCTGTAATCCCAGCACTTTTGGACGCTGAAGTAGGTGGATAATCTGAACTCAGGAGTTCAAGACCAGCCTGGGCAACATGGAGAAATCCTGTCTCTACCAAAAATACGAAAAATTAGCCGGGCATGGTGGCGCATGCCTGTAGTCCCAGCTACTCAGAAGGCTGAGGCAAGAGGATCACTTGAGCCCAGGAGGTGGAGGTTGCAGTGAGCCAAGGTTGTGCCACTGCACCCAGCCTGGATGAGAGAGTGAGGGCCTGTATAAAAAAATAATAAAATAAAATAAATGACATAAAAAGGAAAGTTACAGAATACAAATGCCAATAAGCGTGAAAAAAATGTTAACTCTTACAAGTGTTCATGGACAAATCTATCCTTTGTTGATAGGTTTGACAGAGTTTAAAATGATTGACAATGTTAACTCTTGGTGAGGTTGTGAAGATTTCCTCACACACTGCTGGAGAAAGTGTAAATTGCCCTCTCCTTTTGGGAGGACAATCATGTAACATCTAACAGAATTGTAAATGCACATAGCTTTTCATCCAGCGGTTCCCTTCTTGGAATTTACCCTTAGGTGGGGTCCAAGAAGACCATACACAGAAAAAATAAGCTACATAAGGTGGAACAATATGTGTAATATATACCACTGATGTCAATTTGTTAAATAAAACATGATTGTTACATATGTTTTATATATATGTAAACAATGATATTTACTGCAGCTTTTTTTTTAGAGTAAAAAGTTGAAAACAACCTCATAGGAGAATGGTTAATCTAGTGATGATCTCTTCATAACCAGATGACTAGGCAGAGCCTTAAACAGTGACACAGAAATTTATTTTAAGACATGTCATTACATGAGAAAAGCAAAACAGAACAATACAAGGTCTCTTTTATATTTTTTTAAAAAAACATATTGCATCATATGATGTTTTATCCCCTACTTTGAACATCAAAAATCTGAATACATCTTAAAATCAATAACATCATAGATTAATTGGCAGTGTTTTTTCTTTCTTAGTGGTACATAAAATCATTGCATGCCTTACAAACAAAAGGATCATATATTTGTTAGGAATGTGGTGTATATACATAAATTTATTATGCAAATGAGCTTTTTCAAAGTCAGGAAGGATGCCTACTACAATGTCCATAGGAGATAATCTGTAAGATGTGTCTGATTAAACAAGGTAAGGGGATGGGAATGTTTTACTCTGTATGTTTCTATGTTTGAATTTTAACTACATGTGAAATAGAATCCCATTTGAACAGTTAAAAATATATGTGCCTAGAAAAAAAAATCTAGTGGAATGTAAGCCAAAATATTATCAGTAGTTTTCTCTGGGTAGAAAAGTCATAATTGGCTTTTATTTTATTTTTTGGTTTGTTGGTATTTCTGTATTTTCTCCTACAGTTAATACATATCAGTTGAATATATTTTTTAAAAGACAGCATGAAATTCCAAGACGTGCTGCATTAACTCCATCTGTAGCAACGGACATGTCAGGAAGCCCTGAGTTTACATTATCAATATACAAACACGCTTGCATCCCTGCTCACTTACACAGACAGCCAGTTAAGTAATCATGGGCAGAGATGCCTACACTTGTCCTCACCTGAGTGTGTTTATTATGTCATGGGTACCAAAGACAAGTGAAATAGGTCCCTGCTCTCTGGGAGCTTCTAGCCTAACTCAAGGTGTAGGTTAGAGAGGATGTATACAATATGGAGAGCCCTGGCCCAGCCAGTTGACTTGCTGCTGAGACAATCTCATTTTGCTACAATTTCAAAAATGATAAACCACCTGCCTGATGAATTGTGAGCTCCTTAGGCAAACTAGCGGGATGATTGGGATGAAAAACACTCAACTTCATTAATCCCAGTATCTTCAATTGTGTGACTTAAGCTACACCTGTGTTTTTATTGCCATTAGTCTATTTTTGTCTTTATCATAGTAAAATCCATTTTACAATGTGATTTTATAAAATAAGGTATCCTTCTCTGATTAAAATCTTTTAGAAAGAAAGAAAGAATTTTATTATTTTGAGATACTGTACCTCTTTGAAGTCATCTGGACTGAGTGTTCTCATTTTGACTAAAAATGAGAGGGCAAGTTCATCAGGGCCTCTGCTTTCAGATGCCATCAGTGGAAGAGAGAAGCTGTGGATCATTGCCACGATGGCAGAGCGTCCTGTTCCCTGCCAATGGCGAAGCTTCTTTAGTGATCACATGGATCCAGTGCTCTCAGCAATGATGAGCTGTATGTGTATTTCTTGGTTGCTTAGAGTAAACAAAGAATTTATTTTGGCTCCAGTGATGTTTCAGACCTTCTCCTGTTTAAAATCAAGCTGACTTCGAATCATACATCTTTGTTTCCACACATGAAAATATGATGCCATTGTATCCCCAGATGTTAGAGACCTAAACACACTCACTTATCCTGTTAGCAGTTTTCTCCTCATCTGACTCCATTTGGGGAATAGGTATTCACTCCTCTTTCCAGAGAGGACCTCAGCAGACCATAGCCACATGTTGCATGGCTCAGCTGGACTCACAGACCCAAGGAAGAACAAGGAGAAGTCTTGTTCTTCCAAAGAGCAGTCTGGAGTATAAATAAATACACCAGACCATGTGCATAGAAAACATAGGCTGTTGGGAGAACTGGAAAGAGATTCTGAGGATGAGAGAGTGGCTGAGAGGAACGGGAACAATAGTAACTCAGATAATTATCTACGAAGGTAATCAGAGGCAAAAAGATCTTTAATACAGTGAGAAACAAAAAGCTAACTATCAACAAGTGGCAATTAGGCTGACAGCTGACTTAGCAGCAATGATGGAAGTCAGAAAACACTAGATAAGTATCTTCAAAATGCTGATATAAAATAACTGTCAACCTAGGTCAATACATTTTGTAGAAATATTTCTCAAGAACAAGAGCAAAATAAACACATTTTCAGATGGACACTGAGAAAGTTAGCCTCCAAACTCACACTAATGGAAAATCTATGTCATACTATAAAAAGTAAGAGAAAAGAAGAAAAAAAGGATTCCAGAATCTAGTTCTGAGATACAGAAAGTAGTAAATTGTAATTGTAAATAAAGAAATAAATTATTTTAAATTGTTAAGTTTGGAAAAAATCTAAAACATGTTATACAAAATAATATTTAACTTGTGGGGGTCAAAAGAGCTAACACAACGGACAATTTCTTGTTGGGGTTTTCCTAAGGTCTTTGTATTATTTGAAAGGTGAATTAAAGACACTGATGAACTTTTCATTCTTTAGGATGCATGTTGTAGTTTTTAGAATAACCATTAGAAAAAGAGAGAAAAAGAATAGAATACAGGAAAAATTTAATCTGTTCCAAAACATGACAAAATACAACTTTAAAAATTGGGACAAATAAAAGCATATAATAAAATGTTGGAAGTAAGTTCAAATATATCAGTAACCTCAAAACATGAAAATGGGCTGAATTATTTACTTAATAATTAGGAATTGTCAAAAAATATTCTGCTATAGTCTAAGACATGACACGCATGAAACATAAAAACATATAAAGGCTTAAAATAAAAGGACAAAAGCAATAATATTCCAGGCAAATACTAACCCAAATAAAGTCACTGTTGCTCTATTATATCAGTAAAAACTTTGAGGCAAATAGCAGAAGACCAGTACATAATAGAAAAAGTTGAGTTCAGCAGAATATACCATTCTAAATTTGCATAGACCTATTAGTGAAGTTTACAATATGTAAAGAATATTTGATGAAACTACAATGAGTAATTGACAAGCAAAGCCATTTAATACACTTGATCCAGTGACCACATATTAAACCCTGAAGCCAAAATAAAGTTGGCTGTTTGTAAAGGTTGGTATAATGGACAAACCTCTGGTGGGTTTGACCTAGGGAAAAAAAGGAGAGAAAAAGATATAAAAACCAATATTAGAAATGAAAAGAGGCTAGGGATGGTGGCTTGAGCCTGTAATCCCAACACTTTGGGAAGCCAAGGCAGAGGATCACTTGAGCTCAGGAATTCAAGTCCAGTCTGGCCAACACAGCGAGACCTTGTCTCTACAAAAAAATCGAAAATTAGCTGAGCATTGTGTGGTGGGCGCCTATAGTCCCAGCTATTCAGAAGGCGAGAGGATCACTTGAGCCCTATTGTATCTCTTTGAAGTCATCTGGACTGGGTTTCCTTATTTTGACTAAAAATGAGAGGGCAAGTTCATCAGGGTCTCTGCTTTGAGATGCCATCAGTGGAAGACAGAAGCTATGGATTGTTGCCACCATGGCAGAACCTCCTGTTCCCTGCCAATCGTGAACCTCCTTTAATTAGGGAGATTGAGGCTGCAGTGAGCTGTGATTGTGCCACTGCACTCAGCCTGGGTGACAGAGCAAGCCCGTACCTCAAAAAAAAAAAAAAAAAAATGTAAAAGAAAAAGAAAAATACAAAAACTGGGATTGGGAGGCTGACGTGGGAGGATCATTTGAGCTCAGGAGTAGAGATTCTGTCTCAAAAAATAAAAATAAAAAGTAGAAATGAAGAGTCAACTACAGATACAACAGAAATAATGAAAAAATAATAGGAACATTGTAGTGCATTTAATGTAAACCTGATGAAATTAGGATTCACATCTATTATATTTTCACACACTACAGTATCTCCAGTGCCAGAACTGTAGTCATTATTATTGAGTAAATAGGTTTGAAACCTTAGAAAAAGGATAAATTATCTGAAAAATATAATTTACCAAAACTAACTTACACAAAAAATGGAATCCGTATTTTGAAACGTTTCCAAAAAGGAGCAATAAATAAACAGAGCACAGAGGATTTTTAGGGCAATGAAACTACTCTACAGTACTATAATGGTGGCTACATGCCATCACAAATTTGTCCAAATCCATAGATTGTACATGAAGAGTGAGCCTTAACATGGGCTATTGACTTTGGCCAATAATGCTGTGTCAGTGCAGGTTCATCAATTACAGCAAATGCTCCACTCTGGTGGGATGTTGGTGATGGGGGAGTCTGTGCTTGTGGTCGGGGAGGAGGCGTATGGGAACTGTATATTCTGCTCAATTTTTCTGTGAACCTAAAACTGCTCTTAAAAAATTAAAACTAAAAACAAATAGTCCAAAAAACCCCAAAACATACCCAAAAAGGGAATGCTAGGCTCAGATGCTTTTAGGAGTAAATTCAACCAAATTTTGAGGAATAATTTTTTTCAACTTATACAAACTTTTCCAGAGAATAAAAAGAGAAAACTCTCCCCTTCTTTGAGGCTAGTAAAATATTGATTCCAAAACTAGATAAGACAGTACAATAAATAAAAATTAAAGCCTATGTTACTCATGAACATAAAAGCAAAAAATCTATCCAAACTATTAGCAACTCAAGTCCAGTAGAACATAGCAAAATAATAAAACATGATCAGACCGGGTTTATTCCAAGAATACAATGGTGTTGAATATTAAAAATCAAATAGTGATTTATCACACTCATAGATTAAAGGAAAATAAAATAGGATATGCTCAGTAGAGGTAGTTAAAGTAGTTAATAATATTTAACAATCTTTTATGATTAAAAATATTTTTTAATCTGTTAGCAAATTTGGCTTAGAGAGAAAGTTTCTTACCCTAATAAAGGATTCCTAACAAAAACCTAATCCCAACTCTAAACCTAAGGGCCCAATAGTGAAACATTAGAAGCGCCTTTGAAAAATTGAAACTAGAAAGATGCTGGCTCATCCCACACCGGCTATTACTACTGTGATCCAACCACACTGGAGCCCCAGCTATAGTGAAATAAAAATGACAAAAGATATAAAGACTGGAAATGAAAAAACAAACTATCATTATCTATATAAGATTTTCTACATAAACAGAACCTCATAATCTAAGGATTAATTATCAGAATTAACAACAGTGTTTATCAAAATTCCTGCTACTACTCAAAATGCAAAAATCCTTTACACTTTCAAATATCCACAACAAAGAGTTAGAAAATATAATTTTTTAAATATACTAATTAAAATATCACAAAATAACTGAAGCCTAACAAAATAGATCTAGGGATAAATCTAACAAAAGATGTGAAAGATCTTCATGGATAAAATTATAAAGCTTTACTAAAAGGTATTAAAGGTCAGCTGGGCGCAGTGGCTCACGTCTATAATCCCAGCACTTTGGGAGGCCGAGGCGGGCAGATCACGAGGTCAGGAGATGGAGACCATCCCGGCTAACACAGTGAAACCCTGTCTCTACTAAAAATACAAAAAATTAGCCGGGCGTGGCAGCGGGCTCCTGTAGTCCCAGCTACTTGGGAGGCTGAGGCAGGAGAACGGGGTGAACCTGGGAGGTGGAGCTTGCAGTGAGCCGAGACCGCACCACTGCACTCCAGCCTGGGCAACAGAGCGAGACTCCGTCTCAATTAAAAAAAAAAAAGGTTTACACTGATGTAGAAAGATAACAGGTTCATGAATAGGGTGACTTAAATACAAAAAGATATTTATCCTCTAACTGACCAATAAACAAAATGTAACTCCAATCAATCCCAACAGGTGATTTCATAGGCCTTGTTAAACTGATTCTACATTTGTATAAAGACCATAAGACCATAGCGATGACGCTCTTGAGTGAGAACAGAAGTGTGGAGACATTGGCCTATAAAATGTAAAGAGTTATTTTGAGGTGGTAGTAATTAAAAAGAGTGATGTTGGTGCAAAAACAGACAAATAGACCAACAGAACAGGAACTAGGGCTCAGAAATAGACTCATATGTATTTGAAAACTTGATATGCACTTGACATGGCATTGTAGACCAAGAGAAAAAGATAGACAATATAAATATGTTAGCATTATACACAACTAATTATTCATATGAGAAAAAAGAAAAAGTATCCCTATTTCACATCATACACAAAGATGCTTCCAGATGGATCAAGGACTTAAATATGAAATACAAAACATTAAAAATTTTACAGTAAGACAGTATCGTTATGACCTCAGGATAAACAAGAATGTTTTAAGCAAGTCTCAAAAAGTGCTAAACCTAAGGGAAAACATAGACAATGACAATTACATTAAAATTAAGATTTTCTGTTCATAGGAAACCATCTAGCTTCCAAAAAATCTATTTTCAGAAAAGATACTTGTAGCACATAAAATGACAAAAGATTAGTATCCATAATTTAAAGTGAAATTCTACAAATTAATAAGAAAAAGATAATAGAAAAAAAGGGCAAAGGTAATGAATATGCCTATACTAGAAGAGAGTATAAATAGCCAATGACTACAGGAAAAGATGACCAACCTCGTTAGTACTCAGGAAATTGAAAATAAAATGTCAAAGAGATATAATTTCTCACCCACTAAATTTGCAAAAATTAAAGTCTGGCAATATCAAGTATTGTTGGAAAGATTAAGCTACAGGGAACAATCAGTCATACATTGTCATAAGGTCAACATGGGGGACATTGATGACTTCGAGAACAGTTGGTGGTTGGTGTGGGTAAACGCCCAACCAGAGAAGATTTTAAGAGATGATGGGAGAAGAGGAACTGAAGGCAGAGAGTATAGATGATTCTGTAAAGAAGAGCAAAGAAATAGGGTAGTGCCTGATGAAAGAACTCAGGTCAAAAGCAGTTTTCTATTTCTTCACCCTCCCCATGCCTTCAGATGGGAGAAATGGCAGAAAGAGGAAATTTTTGATGCAGGAGAGAGATTGATGGAGTGATGCCCTTGAGTAGGTAAGAGAGGATGGGATGAAGGTGTAAGTGGAGGAACTGACTTTAGATAGCAGCATGAATGGTTCACGTGCAGGAAGAGAGAAACCACAGATGCTGCAGGTACAGGTGCTTGCAGGTGGGTAGGTGTGGTGGTAGCAGTGGGTAGAAGTCTTCTGGTGCTTCTATTTCCTTGGTGAAATAGGAGTCAAGATGGTTAGCTGAGAGGATCGGGGAGAAGGTGCTAGACGTCTGGAAAAAGAGAAGCTTGAAATTTTCATCCAGAAAAGCACAAGGTCAAATGGGTTAGGAAAGTATAGTAAGATTGCCCAGAGGCACTAAAAGCCCATTTGAGACTGTGGTCATGAGTTTAAGGTGAGACCAGCCAGCAAGATTGTGTGTTTTTTTGGTTTTTTGGTTTTTTTCCAGCCACATTCAACCACATGAGAGCAGGCACGGAGGAAACAGAGATTTTCATTTAACCAGGATTGTTTCTTTGCTGAGCCAGCATGACAAATGGAGACGGGGAGAGAGTTGAGGATGTACCAAGGGAGTGATTATAATGATTAACCATGGAATTCTTGCAGAGGAAGATGAGGAAATAGGATAGCAAGTGGGTGAGTGATAGGATCAATATCTTTAAAGTTCTGCTAGACTCGAAGGATGGTTGGAATTGAAGGACTGAAGGGAGCATATAGGAAAGATTAAAGGTGGTGGTCAGTGTAGGATACCTGGAAATGAGATGAGAAGGAGTTTTGATTATTGGTAATAAGTGCATCTTGGAAATAGAAGTAAGGTAAAATGGAAGAGGGCTTTTAAAGGAGAAGAATTCAAGGAACTGAGAGTCTAGGGTGATGGAAGAATCATCTTTATGTAAATCTACAGAAATTAACAGGGGCTTATGTTGTACAGAGTGATGGTGCACTAGGAGTTATAGTCAATAAATAAGTAGGGGACCTACTAGGTCAAGTGGTGTGATGGCTATTGGGAAAAAACATCTACCACTTAAAAGTGTTGCAGGGGAAGCAATAAATTCAGAGGAATATGCAAGAAAACTTTATTTTAAACCACATCATATCTTTTTAAAAAATGGCATTGCCTATGTTCTGAAATACTACCAGTTCATTTTGAATAGCTCAAGTTCCTGCTTTACTGATTAATTTTTGAGATCTGTTCAGAATATATACTTGTCTTCTCATTTATCAATCATTAGTCATTCAGCACATTTTTATTCAATGCATAATCAACAAATATTTGCTCTAGGTACTTAAAATCCAACAATGGGAACAAAACAAAGATCCCTACCCTTGTAGAGCTTATATTCCCAGTCTATTTATTTTATTTTCAATTTTGTGTGGAAATCAGAGCTGTGGATCATCTTGCTTTTATAGTAAGCTATTTTGCTCCAAGTACAGTGAACAAAATGGAGTCAGTTAAAAAGAAAATAAAAACTGAGGCACCAAAGCTGGGCACTGAGTGGGAACATTTTCCTGCCAAGCAGGAAAGCCAGTAGAGTACAGGGTGTAGTAGGTTCCCAGGGATGAGAAATGAATAAGATCTTTTAGAGCCTGTCTTAGTCCGTTCTGTGTTGCTACAACAGAATACCTGAGACTGGATAATTTATAAAGAATGGAAATTTACTTCTCACAGTTCTGGAGGCTGGGAAGTCCAAGGTTGAGGGGCCAGCATCTGGTAAGAGCCTTCTTGGTGCATCATCCCATGGCACAAGGCAGAAGAAGGCCCAGGGAGCATCCAAGACAGACAGAGAGGGAGGGGGCCAAACTCATCTTTTAAATCAGGAGCCCACTCTCACAATAACTAAGTCATTCCCACAATAACAGCATTAATTCATTCAGGAAGGCAGAGCTCTCATGATCTAACTAACTCTTAAAGGTCCCACCTCTTAATACCATCACAATGGCAATCAAATTTCACCATGAGTTTTGGAGGAGACATTCAAACCGCAGCAAAGCCCAAAGATCAGGAATGATTTCTGTCCCATATTAGAAAGCAAAGTCTCCATATGCTGTTGACTGACTGAAGAGGTCTGGGTTTGTCAGGTGGGCAACAAGACTGTGTTACTGGCAGAGGGGATCCGAGTCACAAGGCACCAAAATATGTTAGTGGTAGAAGGTATCTGAGTTACTGGTGGCAAACCCATATGAGTCAGCAGGAACCTCAGTTCTTGCCCCCCAGAAGAAAAGAATTTGACCGAGAGGCATAAGGCTGAAAAGGAGACTGAGGCAAGTTTCAGAGCAGGAGTGGAAGTTTATTAAAAAGCCTTAGAACAGGAAAGAAAGGAAAGTATATTTGAAAGAGACCTAAGCTGACATCTTGGAGGTCCAGTGCAGGGTGTGATTTAAAAGTTCATATGCTGGCCTACTTCCATGTCTTGTGCCCCTTTCCCTTCATTCTTCCCTTAGGGTGAGCCGCCTGCATGCACAGTGCCCTGCTTGCGCTTGGAAGGTGAGCATGTGCACTGTGTTTACTGGAGTTGTGTGCATGCTCACTCGAGGCTTTCTTCCATTTTCTGGTGGAATGCCCCTGGAAGGTCATACTCTGCCATTTTTCCTCTTAATCTGCATGCATAAGCCCACTTGCCCAATTCCTGAGATCTTATTGGAGCCTGCCGATTACCAATTTCAGGTACTTGTATCTACTGGGAAACTACCTCTCCCTGGCACCAGCTTTAACCTATGATCATTTTAGAGAGGCAATGTGACAACTGCTGGACCATTACCTGATGGTTGCCTGACATTCCTAGTGGGTTGGGGGGAGTCTCCTCCTGCCCCACTCATGCCTGACTAGCTAGCTATCTACTGTAACAGCTGGAGGTGGTCAGCTGTGGACGTGGGCCACCCATACAGGAGCATGGTGTCCGGCTGCCTCTGCTGCATGTGTGACCCGCCCAAGTTGACTCTGTGTAGGTGTTGGCAGGCTGATGTCCAGACCAGGGATGGTTGGTCCAAGGTCTCAGACACATTCTGTAGTAGTTTCCTAGGGCTGTCAAAACAAAGTACCACACATTGTGTGGCTTAGAACACCAGAGATGTATCGTCTCACAGTTATGAAGGCTGAAAACTCTGAGGCCAAGGTGTCGCAGGGTCACGGTCCCTCTGAAACCTGCAGGGGAATGCTTCTTGGCTTCTTCCAACTTTGGTGGTTTGCTGGCAATTTCTGGCATTCTTTGACTTGTACATGTGTCCGTCTAGTGTTCCATCTTCACACGGCATCCTCCCTGTGTGTCTTCCCTCTGTATGTGTCTATCTCTATGTTTAAATTTCCCCCTTTCAATAAAGATAGCAGTCATATTGGACTAGAGGCCCACTAAAGACCTCATCTTAATCTGATTACCTCTGTAAAAACTCTATTTTCAGTTCTGAGGTACTAGGAGTTAGGACTTCGACATATCTTTTTTATTTTTTATTTTTTTGAGATGGAGTCTCACCCTGTCTCCCAGGCTGGAATGCAGTGGCACAATCTCGGCTCACTGCAATCTCTGCCTCCCAAGTTCAAATGATTCTCATGCCTCAGCCTCCTGAGTAGCTGGGTTTACAGGCACATGCCACCACACCTGGCTTTTTTTTTTTTTTTTTTTTGTATTTTTAGTAGAGACGAGGTTTTGCCATGCTGGCCAGGCTGGTCTTGAACTCTTGACCTCAGGTGATCCACCTGCCTTGGTCCTCCCAAAGTGCTAGGATTACAGGTGACAGCCACTGCACTTGGCCTTTTTTTTTTTTTTTTTTTGAGGACACAATTCCACTAATAACTCTGAAGGAAATAAAAATATTTTACCTCAAAATATATTTTTTATATTTAAAGAAATAAAAATGGCTGCCACAAAGTGAGCAAACAGAAGTGACCTTGCAAAGCTGTATTTTGTGGCGAAAAACTTGCATCTGTGGAGCATCTCCATTAAGTGTAGTCAGGCTCTTTCCATGCCTTTCCAGGATCTAGAAGAGATTGAGAGTCTGACATCATTAAAAGTCTAAAAATAATCATTTACCATCTATTCTGTCAGAGGGAGGCTTCGTCTACGTAACAAGGCCATCTTTGCCAGCCAAGCCTCTTCCTTTCTCCCTCTCATAACCTGTCTTGCCACTAAAACCTGGTTTTGGGGCATCCATTGAGTCATATTCTTTCTATAATCCCAAGATGACACAGAAACTTCTAGAACATATTGTTGGGTGGAATCTTCATTCTGAAGGCTCCCACATATACACATTAAATAAATTGTATGCCTTTCTCCTATTAGTCAACCTGCCTCATGTCAGTGATTTTTCAGTGAACTTTTAGGGGCCAGGAGACTATAGCCCCCACATTTTGAGGACACAATTCAACCCATAGCACAATCTCAATCCTAATTGATGGTTCTAAACTGCAGACCTTACCTGTGTCTAACTGCCACTGCATCTTTCCTTTCTATCTCCCATTGAAACTGCCTTTGTAAAGTTATGACATAAGAGAAATCCGACATGGCTGACTCCATCTTGCTTCTAGCCTTACAGGCTGGCTGTCTTTGCACATTCCTGGGTGTGGGCCAAGCTAACTTCGGGAGAAATTTAATTTATAGTTTAAATGGTAGTGGCCCTTTCCCAAAACTAAACTGCTCTTGTAAAACTAATGAAAGGTCACCATCTTAGGAGGAAATGGTGTAGGCATAGTTAAAAAATTATCAGCCATTATTCCAGAGGTCACAAGAGTTGCAACTTCTCCAATTACTCCTGCAGATAACATCACTATTAGAGAAACTAAGATTGGCCTTTTGAGTTGTCTTTTCAGTTTTTTGCGTCTCTGACAACTGGATGCCCCGCTGCCCAAGACTTGCCAACCAGTCCTCTGGCCCTCACCTAGGAACAGATTCAGCTCAGGAGGACAGCTTCAATTCCCTATGATTTTATCTCCAATCAGTCAGCTCTCCCCACTCCCTGGCCTCTTACCCAGCAAACTATCTTTGAAAAACCCTTAACCTTTGAGCCTTTGATGAGATTAATTTGAGTAATAACTCTGTCTCCCATGTGGCCGACCTTGCATCAATTAAACTCTTTCTTAACTGCAATGCTATGGTCTTAATAAATTGACGTTGTTTGTGCAGTGGGCAGGAAGAACTCATCAGATGCAGTTACACCATCATTTCAAACCCTCTGTATTAGTCCATTCTCATGCTGCTAATGAAGACATACCCAAGACTGGGTAATTTATAAAGGGAAGAGGTTTAATTGACTCACAGTTCCACAATGCTGGGGAGGCCTCACAATCATGGCAGGAGGTGAAAAAAGAGCAAAGCCACATCTTACATTGCAGCAGGTAAGAGAGAGTTTGTACAGGGGCACTCCCATTTATAAAACCATCCGATCTCATGAGATTTATTCACCACCATGAGAACAGTATGGGGGAAACCTCCCCCATGATTCAATTATCTCCAGTTGGCCCTGTCTTGACATGTGGGGATTATTACAATTCGAGGTGAGATTTGGGTAGGGACACAGCCAAACCATATCACACCCAGGGCCAACATCACTCGCAGCTCCATACTTTTACACAGCTTGTTAGGACTGAATTGCCCTCCACAAAATTTCATACATTGAAGCCCTAACCACCAATACCTCACAATGTGACTATATTTGGAGATGGGGTCTTGAAAGAGGTGATTATAAGCTAACATAAGGTCATGAGAGTGGGCCCTAATCTAATCTGACTGGCATCCATATAAGAAGAAGACATTTGGACACCAGGGATGTACACAGAAGAAAGTCCATGTGAGGACACAGCAGGAAGGCGGCCATCCACAAGCCAAGAAGAGAGGCCTCAGGAGAAACCAAACCTACCTACAACTATCTTGGACTTCTAGCCTCCAGAACAATGAGAAGACACGTTTTTTGTTGTTTAAAGAGCTGAGTTGCCAAGATGGCCGAATAGGAACAGCTCTGGTCTGCAGCTCCCACCGTGAATGACACAGAAGACAGGTGATTTCTGCATTTCCAACTGAGATATCTGGTTCTTCTCATTGGGGCTGGTTGGACAGTGGGTGCAGGCCACGGAGGGTGAGCTGAAGCAGGGTGGGGCGTTGCCTTACCCAGGAAGTGCAAGGGGTTGGGGGATTTCCCTTTCTTAGCCAACGGACGCAGTGACAGACTACCTGGAAGAATGGGACAATCTTGCCCAAATACTGCGCTGTTCCCAAGGTCTTAGCAACTGACAGACAAGGAGATTCTCTCCTGTGCCTGGCTCGGTGGGTCCCACACCCACAGAGGCTTGCTCACTGCTAGCACAGCAGTCTGAGATCAAACTGTGTGGTGGCAGCCTGGCTGGGGGAGGGGAGTCCGCCATTGCTGAGGCTTGAGTAGGTAAACAAAGCAGCCAGGAAGCTTGAACTGCGCAGAGTCCACCACAGGTAAACAAGGCCCACTGCCTCTAGACTCCACCTCTATGGGCAGGGCATAGCTGAACAAAAGGCAGCAGACAACTTCTGCAGACTTAAACGTCCCTGTCTGACAGCCCTGAAGAGAGCAGTGGTTATCCCAGCATGGCATTTGAGCTCTGAGAATGGAAAGACTGCCTCCACAAGTGGGTCCCTGACCCCCGGGTAGCCTAACTGGGGGACACCTCCCAGTAGGGGCCAACAGACACCTCATATAGGCAGCTGCTCCTCTGGGACGAAGCTTCCAGAGGAAGGATCAGGCAGCAAGATTTGTTGTTCTGTAGCCTCCGCTGGTGATACCCAGGCAAACAGGGTCTGCAGTGGACATCCAGCAAACTCCATCAGACCTGCAGCTGAGGGACCTGACTGTGAGAAGGAAAACTAACAAACAGAAAGGAATAGCATCAGCATCAACAAAAAGCTCATCTACACCAAAACCCCATCTGTAGGTCACCAACATCAAAGACCAAAGGTAGATAAAACCACAAAGATGGGGAGAAACCAGAGCAGAAAAGCTGAAAATTCTAAAAATCCGAGTGCTTTTTCTCCTCCAAAGGATCGCAGCTCCTCGCCACCAACGGAACAAAGCTAGACAGAGAATGACTTTGACGAGTTGACAGAAGTAGGCTTCAGAAGGTCGGTAATAACAAACTTCTCTGAGCTAAAGGAGGATGTTTGAACCCATTGCAAGGAAGCTAAAAACCTTGAAAAAAGATTAGACAAATGGCTAACTAGAATAAACAGTGTAAAGAAGAGCTTAAATGACCTGATGGAACTGAAAACCATGGCACAAGAACTTTGTGATGCACGCACAAGCTTCAGTAGCCAATTCAATCAAGTGGAAGAAAGGGTTTCAGTGATTGAAGATCAAATTAATGAAATAAAGTGAGAAGACAAGGTTAGAGAAAAAAGAGTAAAAAGAAACGAACAAAGCCTCCAAGAAATATGGGACTATGTGAAAAGACCAAATCTACGTTTGATTGGTGTACCTGAAAGAATGGAACCAAGCTGGAAAACACTGTTCAGGATATTATGCAGAAGAACTTCCCCAACCTAGCAAGGGAGGCCAACATTCAAATTCAGGAAATACAGAGAACACCACAAAGATACTCCTTGAGAAGAGCAACCCCAAGACACATAATTATCAGATTCACCAAGGTTGAAATGAAGGAAAAAGTGTTAAGGGCAGCCAGAGAGAAAGGTCAAGTTACCCACAAAGGGAAGCCCATCAGACTAATGGCAGATATCTCAGCAGAAACCCTACAAGCCAGAAGAGATTGGGGGCCAATATTTAACATTCTTAAAGAAAAGAATTTTCAACCCAGAATTTCATATCTAGCCAAACTAAGCTTCATAAGTGAAGGAGAAATAAAATCCTTTACAGACAAGCAAATGCTGAGAGATTTTGTCGCCACCAGGCCTGCCTTACAGGAGCTCCTGAAGGAAGCACTAAACATGGAAAGAAACAACTGGTACCAGCCACTGCAAAAACATGCCAAATTGTAAAGATCATCGATACTATGAAGAAACTGCATCAATTAATGGGCAAAATAACCAGTGAACATCATAATAACAGGATCAAATTCACACATAACAATATTAACCTTAAATATAAATGGGCTAAATGTCCCAAGTAAAAGACACAGACTGGCAAATTGGATAAAGAGTCAAGACCCATCAGTGTGCTGTATTCAGGAGCCCCATCTCATGTGCAAAGATGCACACAGGCTCAAAATAAAGGGATGGAGGAAGATCTACCAAGCAAACAGAAAGCAAAAAAAAGCAGGGGTTGCAATCCTAGTCTCTGATAAAACAGATTTTAAACCAACAAAGATCAAAAGAGACAAAGAAGGCCATTACATCATGGTAAAGGGATGAATTCAACAAGAAGAGCTAACTATCCTAAATATATATGCACCCAATACAGGAGCACCCAGATTCATAAAGCAAGTCCTTAGAGACCTACAAAGAGACTTAGACTCCCACACAATAATAATGGGAGACTTTAACACCCCACTGCCAATATTAGACATATCAACGAGACAGAAGTTTAATAAGGATATCCAGGACTTGAACTCAGCTCTGCAACAAGCAGACCTAATAGACATCTACAGAACTCTCCACCCCAAATCAACAGAATATACATTCCTCTCAGCACCACATCACACTTATTCTAAAATTGACCACATAATTGGAAGTAAAGCACTCCTCAGCAAATGTAAAAGAACAGAAATCACAACAAACTATCTCTCAGACCACGGTGCAATCAAATTAGAACTCAGGATTAAGAAACTCACACAAAACTGCACTACTTCATGGAAACTGAACAACCTGCTCCTGAATGACTACTGGGTAAATAATGAAATGAAAGCAAAAATAAAGATGTTCTTTGAAACCAATGAGAACAAAGACACAACATACCAGAATCTCTGGGACACATTTAAAGCAGTGTATAGAGGGAAATTTATAGCACTAAATGCCCACAAGAAAAAGCAGGAAAGATCTAAAATCAACATCCTAACATCACAATTAAAAGAACTAGAGAAGCAAGAGCAAACACATTCAAAAGCTAGCAGAAGGCAAGAAATAACTAAGATCAGAGCAGAACTGAAGGAGATAGAGACATAAAAAACCCTTCAAAAATTCAATGAATCCAGGAGCTGGTTTTTTGAAATGATCAACAAAATTGATAGAACGCTAGCAAGACTAATAAAGAAGAAAAGAGAGAAGAATCCAATAGACGCAATAAAAATGATAAAGGGGATGTCACCATCGATTCCACAGAACAAACTACCATCAGAAAATACTATAAATACCACTATGCAAATAAACTAGAAAACCTAGAAGAAATGGATAAATTCCTGGACACATACACCCTCCCAAGACTAAACCAGGAAGAAGTTGAATCTCTGAATAGACCAATAACAGGCTCTGAAATTGAGGCAACAATTAATAGCCTACCAACCAAAAAAAGTCCAGGACCAGATGGATTCACAGCCAAATTCTACCAGAGGTACAAAGAGGAGCTGGTACCATTCCTTCTGAAACTATTCCAATCAATAGAAAAAGAGGGAATCCTCCCTAACTCAACAGGATGATGAGTCCAACATCATCCTGATACCAAAGCCTGGCAGAGACACAACAACAAAAAAAGACAATTTTAGACCAATATCCCTGAAGAACATCGATGCAAAAATCCTCAATAAAATACTGGTAAACCGAGTCCAGCAGCACACCAAAAAGCTTATTCACCACGATCAAGTCAGCTTCATCCCTGGGATGAAAGGCTGGTTCAACATACGCAAATCAATAAACATAATCCATCACATAAACAGAACCATCGACAAAAACCACATGATTATCTCAATAGATGCAGAAAAGGCCTTCGACAAAATTCAACAGCCCTTCATGCTAAAAACTCTCAATAAACTAGTTATTGATGGGATGTATCTCAAAATAATAAGAGCTATTTATGACAAACCCACAGCCAATATCATACTGCATGGACAAAAACTAGAAGCATTCTCTTTTGAAAACCAGCACAAGACAAGGTTGCCCTCTCTCACCACTCTTATTCAACATAGTGTTGGAAATTCTGGCCAGGGCAATCAAGAAAGAGAAAGAAATAAAGGGTATTCAATTAGGAAATGAGGAAGTCAAACTGTCCCTGTTTGCAGATGACATGATTGTATATTTAGAAAACCCCATCATCTCAGCCCAAAATCTCCTTAAGCTGATAAGCAACTTCCACAAAGTCTCAGGATCCAAAATCAATGTGCAAAAATCACAAGCTTTCCTATACACCATTAACAGATAAACAGCCAAATCATGAGTGAACTCCCATTCACAATTGCTTCAAAGAGAATAAAATACCTAGGAATCCAACTTACAAGGAATGTGAAGGACCTCTTCAAGGAGAACTACAAACCACTGCTCAACAAAATACAAAGAGGACACAAATGGAAGAATATTCCGTGCTCACAGACAGGATGAATCAATATTGTGAAAATGGCCATACTGCCAAAAGTAATTTATAGATTCAATGCCATCCCCATCAAGCTACCAATGACTTTCTTCACAGAATTGGAAAAAACTACTTTAAAGTTCATATGGAACCAAAAAAAGAGCACACATTGCCAAGACAATCCTAAGCAAAAAGAACAAAGCTGGAGGCATCACGCTACCTGACTTCAAACTATCCTACAAGGCTACAGTAACCAAAACAGCATGCTACTGGTACCAAAACAGAGATATAGACCAGTGGAACAGAAGAGAGCCCTCAGAAATAACACCACATATCTACAACCATCTCATCTTTGACAAACCTGACAGAAACAAGAAATGGGGAAAGGACTCCCTATTTAATAAATGGTGCTGGGAAAACTGGCTAGCCACATGTAGAAAGCTGAAACTGGATCCCTTCCTTACAACTTATACAAAAATTAATTCAAGATGGATTAAAGACTTAAATGTTAGGCCTGAAAACATAAAACCTCTAGAAGAAAACCTAGGCAATACCATTCAGGACATAGGCATGGGCAAGGACTTCATGACTAAAACATCAAAAGCAATGGCAACAAAAGCCAAAATAGACAAATAGAATCTAATTAAACTAAAGAGCTTCTGCACAGCAAAAGAAACTACCATCAGAATGAACAGGCAACCTACAGAATGGGAGAAAATTTTTACAATCTACCCATATGACAAAGGGCTAATATCTAGAATCTACAAAGAACTCAAACAAGTTTACAAGAAAAAATCAAACAACCCCATCAAAAAGTGTGCAAAGGATATGAACAGACACTTCTCAAAAGAAGACATGTATGCAGCCAACAGACACATGAAAAAATGCTCACCATCACTGGCCATCAGAGAAATGCAAATCAAAACCACAATGAGATACCATCTCACAGCAGTTAGAATGGCAATCATTAAAAAGTCAGGAAACAACAGGTGCTGGAGAGGATGTGGAGAAGTAGGAACACTTTTACACTGTTGGTGGGACTGTAAACTGGTTCAACCATTGTGGAAGACAGTGTGGCAATTCCTCAAGGATCTAGAACTAGAAATACCATTTGACCCAGCCATCCTATTACTGGGTATATACCGAAAGGATTATAAATCATGCTGCTATAAAGACACATGCACACGTATGTTTATTGCAGCACTATTCACAATAGCAAAGACTTGGAACCAACCCAAATGTCCATCAATGATAGACTGGATTCAGAAATTGTGGCACATATACACCATGGAATACTGTGCAGCCATAAGAAAGGATGAGTTCTTGTCCTTTGTAGGGACATGGATGAAGCTGGAAACCACCATTCTCAGCAAACTTTCACAAGGACAGAAAACCAAACACCACATGTTCTCACTCATAGGTGGGAATTGAACAATGAGATCACCTGGAAACAGGGAACAGAACATCACACACCAGGGCCTGTAGAGGGGTAGGGGGCTGGGGGAGGGATAGCATTAGGAGAAATACCTAATGTAAATGATGAGTTGATGGGTGTAGGAAGCCAACATGGCACATGTATACATATGTATCAAACCTGCACATTGTGCACATGTACCCTAGAACTTAAAGTATAGTAAAAAAAAAAAAAAAAAAGAGCTGAGTCTGTGGCATTCTATTACGGCAGCTGGAGCTGACTGATACATTGCTCCATTTGATAGTTCTCCCAGGCACTGCCCCAGGCCTCACTCACTGCCCCTGTGTCATCTCTCTTGACTCATGTCTCTGAATGTCAGTGTGTAACACCTATGCAGTAATTTTCATTCTCAGTTTCGGTAGGTAGGTGATATGGTTTGGCCATGTTCCCACCCAAATCTCATCTTGAAATGTAGCTCCCATAATTCCCATGTGTCGTGGGAGACACCTGGTGGGAGTAAATTGAATCATGGGGACGGGTCTTTGCTGTGCTGTTCTCATGGTAGTGAATAGGTATAAAACCATCAAGAGATCTGATGGTTTTATAAAGGGGAGTTCCCCTATACAAGTTTTCTTGCCTGCCGCCATGTAAGACGGGATTTTGTTCCTCCTTCCCCTTCCACCATGATTGTGAGGCCTCCTCAGCCATGTGGAACAGTGAGTCAATTAAACCTCTTTCCTTTATAAATTACCCAGTCTTGGGTATGTCTTTATCAGCAGTGTGGGAACAGACTAATACAGTAGGCATAGTTTGTTAGGCTTCTATCAGCTGGCTGGTGTGGCCTTTGATGCCCACGGCATGGGGCAGCTAGGTAAGGGGTTGATGGAAACAGAGGGAAGACTGGGTTCCAGCAGCTGGTTTGAGCCATGGTTGCAGAGAATGGGAAAGAGGATCATGTAGACATTAGGCAGCTCACCTGCAAAGCAGCTTGATGGAAAAGCTCAGTTCATTCTTGAAATTCTTACTTATTTTAGTAGGTTCAGAAACGGAGAATGGGGGAGAATGACATTTCTTAGATTTTCCCTCCTTGGCTTTCTCCTGGATACAGCTTCCTTTCCTTAATGGATATCCTTATGTCCCTCTCTCCTATGGTACTTTCCTTCCTCTTCTAGCTCTCCACTGGCTTCCTGATCTTGCCTAGATAACAAGAGTTAAAGCTGCAAAGAGAACTAGGTGTTGAGCACCTCATTGTTTTGGACTCTGTGGCCGTTGCTGTGGATGAGATTGACTTAGGAGTTTACATTCTTGTGTTTTGGAGGCAGAAGATAAACAAACAAGGAAACTATCGGAGTGTAATGTGCTGATAATTAAAATGAAGAGATGAGAGTGCAACTGCGTGCTCCATCAGGGGATGGCTTTAGATTGGGTGGCTTTTGCTGCAGCTCTTGTGGTGTTGAGGTTGGGGGGGAGTTGACAATTTATGATCCACAACACCATTAATCAGGTTGAGAAAGTATCAGATACACCGCAGAGTTCTGCAATTTTGACTCTAAGTTACACAAAAAGTAAGTTTTCTTATCTATACCAGACAGAGGGTGTAACCAGGCCTTGTTAGAAAATGAATAAACAGTGATTCCAAGTGCCATTTCCTTTGTCTGTTTAGAGAATTTTTAGTTATCACAAAGCTTTCTTATGAGGTCTTTGATAAGGCAATGGCATGGTATTAAAAGCTATTATCTAAGAAAACAAAACCAATAGATGCATATTTTACCTGATGCTATCTTTAAGTGGCAGACATCGAGGGACACTGGAAAGTAACTTGGGATATTAAAGCCAGGCACTGTCCCTTGGGCCTCAGCCCTAAGTCCAGGGTGTCCTTTCAGGTGGGGCACCTTTGTAGAAACATCCTCTTGCCCCAGGGGCAAGTTGCTGAGGGCCAGGAGGATTCAGTCCTCCAGGTCTTGGAGGAGCTCCAAGCTCTTGGCCTTGGAGGTGCTCAGAGGTAGCCCTTGGTATGGAGCTCTCCCTGGAGAGGAGTAGGGGAGGGAGCTGGGGAGAGGCATGGGTGGGGAGCACAGGTGGTGCAGGAGCAATTGGAGCATCCAGACCCTCCCTCCAGAGGTGGCTGGACAGAAGGTTTGGATCTTGTTGCTAATGTGCATTCCAGGACCAGCACACTGACCTTAGGCTCAGGAAGGGACTTACTGGTCAATTGCTTCTTTTGCGGGGCCTGTCAGGATTTGAAATGAAGCAGAAGCTCTTATAACATTCAGCCATAAATCTAAATCTTTTTTTTTAACTCAAGCAAAATAGTGAGATAACTTGACATTTTGCATGCTTAAATTTAGAACAGATGACAGAAATTGAATACTCATGTCATAAGCTGCTTCATTTAAACAAACACACAGAACCAGACTCTGCTTCATGTGACTTGGATCTTGAGAATGCTTCATCCTTTGCCAAAATTTAAAATCCTTAAGGTGGCTAATAAATATGGGCCTGAGAATGAGGTCACCTGACCTCCAGGCCTGGCTCTTGGTTGGCTGACAAAGCCACCCGTCTGGGCCTCAGTAAATCCTTCTCTGAGATGGCCTGGTGTGGTGGCTTTTGTGCCCAGAGGGCACACACAGTCCAAAATGAGCACACACAGTGGTGAGGACACACCTCAGGGTCTGGGAGCATGTGAACAGGGGAATATATGAGACTACCTTACAATTTATGCCTACTATGTCTAATAATGGTTGTCAATAACTGCTGGAAGCATGCTTTGCTTGTCTTTTTTTTTTTTTTTTTTTTTTTTTTTTTTTTTTTTTTTTTTAGAGACAGGTTCTCAGTTCATCACCCAGGCTGGAGTGCTGTGGCAGGGATCACAGGTCACTGCAGCCTCTAGTGTAATCACTCAGTGGGTTCTTCCTGCCTACTGTACAGAAAAGACCAGTTCACTGAGACCATGATACTGCAATTAAGAAAGAGTTTAATTGATGGGAGGCTGGCCATGTGGGAGATGAAGTCATCACTCAAATCAGTCTCCCCAAGAACTCAGAGGCTGGGGTTTTTATGGACAATTTGGTGGGCAGAGGGGCTAGGGAATGGGAACTGCTGATTGGCTGGGGATGAAATCACAGGGGTGTGGGAAACAGTCTTTGAGCATTGAGTTTGCCTCTGAGTGGGGGCCACAGGATTGGCTGAGTCATGAGTCATGGGTCCAGGTGGGGTCTATCTATAGGAGCAATTGGGAAAGTCACAAATCTTGTGCCCTCTGATTATATGACTCCTGAGCACTTAGGGATTATAGAAACTATGTCTACATTTTAGCAGAATTCAGGTCCCTCCCATAATCCTAATCCCATAGCCTTTCATTAGTTTTTGGTCCCTGAGCAAGGAGGGAGTTAGTTTTAGGGAGGGACTATTATTATCCTTGCTTCAAGGTTAAATTCCTTCCATGATTAGCTTGGCCTATGCCCAGGAATGAGCAAAGCCAGCCAGCCAGCCTGAGAGGCTAGAAGCAAGATGGAGTCAGCCATGCCATATTTCTCTCACTGTCATAATCTTTGCAAAGGCAGTTTCACCAACTCCTGGGCTCAAGAGACCTTCCTGCCTCAGCCTCCTGAGTAGCTGGGACTACAGACATGTACCACCATTCTGGCTAATTTTTAAATTTTTTCATTGAAACAGGATCTTGCTATGTTGTCCAGGCTGGTCTCAAACTCTTGGCCTCAAGTGATCCTCCCACCTTGGCTCTCCAAAGTGCTGGGATTATAGGCCTGAGCCACAGCACCTGGTTTACTTTGCCTGTCTTAAATCTCCCAAGTCTCATGACAACCTTATGAGGTATTACCATTTTACCAATAAGGATTCTGAAGCTCAGAAAGGTTAAGTAACTCATCCAGGTTCACACAGCTGTAGGTAAGGACCCATGCATCTGAGTGCACACGCCTGCCTCGTAGTCTCTGAGCACTTTCCATCATCACTGAATGGAAGGATGGGAATGGGATGGAGCTAGTGATTCTGATCCACAGACACTCCCCACTGGGAGTGATCATCTCTGGTTCTGTGTCAGCACTGGAGAGAGAGTTACTTGCTGGAGGGCAGGAGAAGGCATGAATGGAAAATGAAATGATTGATTCAATTTAGAAAAAAAATTATTGCTCCACCACCATGAGCAAGGTACAGTGTTTTAAAATTTCCCTTTCGAGAACAAAATGAATCTAATGGAAGAAAAAAAGAGAGGCAAAGGGAGCCCAATAATTTGGGTATAAACATTCCAGTTTAAATTACCTTTTCTTCTTCAAATATCACCTTTTCTCACCTTTGTGGGAAGACCCTATAATTTTAGATTTATCTCAACTATTGCTCCCAAGGCTGGCTGGGGTTGTCAGTCAGGACCATCTGTGCTGGAACGAGGTTTCCTGCAAAGACACGATTTTCACTTACTAAGAGCTATACATGACATCATGCACTTTCAACAGGAACTTCTTCACTTTTGCATGTCTTTTCTTTTCCTGCCTAAACAGATGCCTGCCTGTTATTCTACAAGAAAAACAATGGTGAGGCACGTTATTGGATAAGCCGTTTCATTTTCATGGGGCACAGCTGGAGAACCCATATGTAGAGATTTGGCCAGAGTTGATTCCTGGCTTTGCCTGAGGACAGAACATCCAGATCAACGTTAAACATTTATTCAAAGCCAATGGGTCTAGTCTTTCCAACCCCTTCTTCACGATCTCTACTCAAAAGTTGTTAGAATGAATTCATTTAGCTTTTTGTGGGTTTTCTTATGGATATTCGTTTTTTCTGACTGCCTGGATACACATGTACATCAAGCCTTTTGTCACCTAATTTAAGTCCAATTGATAGACATGTATAAGGCAGGTGCCCTGGAGATGAGGAAGGAGGAAGAGGTTGGGTATCAGAGTAGAATGATGGTCCCTGAACTCTGGAGGCTTGCATTTAAATTAAGTACCTATCTAATGTTTAAATAGATCAATTCAAATAAATGCATACATAAAGTACCAGAGGGTCATCCCTGTTGGTGACACACTGTTAAATAATACTGACCTAGAGAATATTATTATTAATGTAATAGTACACGACACCATTTATTGAGCATATGGTATGTGCCTGGCAGTTGTAAGGTGGTCGCTATCCCCATTTTGATGACAAAACAACAAACTTGGTGTTAGTCAATTCTTGTGTTAAGATAAAGGAATACCTGAGGCTGGGCAATTTACAATGAAAAGAGGTTTAATTGGCTTACGGTTCTGCAGGCCGTACAAGCACAGTGCCAGCATCTGCTTGGCTTCCGGTGGGAGCTTAGGAAGCTTGCAATCATGGTGGAAGGTGAAGCAGGAGCAGGCAAAGGGGGAGCAGTCACATGGAGAGAGAGGAAGTGAGAGAGGAAGCAAGAGAGGCAGTGGGGGAGGGGACCACACACTTTTAAACCAGATCTTATATGAACTCAGAGGGAGAACTCACTCATCACCAAGGGGATGGCTCTAAGCCATTCATGAGGGATCTGCCCCCATGATCCAATCACCTCCCACCAGGCCCCACCTCCAACACTGGGGATTACATTTCAACCGGAGATTTAGAGTGAATAAACATTCAAGCCGTATCACTCTGTGAAGTGCTAAGGTCACAGAGCTGGTAATGGCCAAGTCGCAGATCCTATATTCTGAGCTGTGAGGCTATGCTGCCCCCGATGAGGAAGCCAAGGCACAGATAGGCAATGTGATACCATGCATGGGCGCAAAACTTGCTAATGAATTATGCAAAATGGTATTGTAAAAAAGAGCTGAGTCTGAGGACCTGGGTTTGAGCCCTTTCTGCAGTTTTCTACTTGTGACTTTAGAAAAGTTGTATAATAATTCTTTGCACTTCAGTTTCCTCATTTCTCCAATTTTCATACGACTAGCCAACTCTTACATACGTTGAATAGGAAAATGCATGTGCAAAGTCCTTGCTAACTACTATTAACAGTTTGGAAGAGTACATGCAAAGCAAACGTGGGTGAAACAAGGCCTATTTTAACTACTGGTAAATAAAGAAATAATGCATCTAGGAGGTACCTAAAATAGCATTAGCTTCAACCTTTGCATACTGCAAACAAAATCTGTGTCTGCTCCCTGGGCTGGTGGCTCCTTGGTCCTCCCATACCCCATTCTGGTGGCATGCAGAGTGAACCTATAAACTCCCAGTAGAAATCAATTCACAGAATCGCCAGGAATGAAGATGTTATTTCTGGATATATGGGGCAAAGGTCTGTCTTCCCTAATATTTTATCCCTTAAATCACAGAGAAGAAAAACTGTGAGATTTACCTGACCCAGTAGAATTGAGGGAGTGTGTGTGGAAAGACTCACACAGAAATCGTAAAGCATTTTGTTTTCTTCCCCTCACCCACAAAGTTCCCCAGACCCCTTTAGGAAGATTCATAAAGCGAATCACTGGTGCTTCCGAGTGGGTGTGGCCCCTGGCAATCCCTGTCATCATCAGCTTGCTTCCTGTGCCATCGCAGGCCCCAAGAGCAGGGCTGGCATGACTGCCTGTGTCATTCCTCTTTGCTCTACTTGTCTAGGGTTATGGCTGAGCCCCAGGTGCCGTGGTGCTGTCACATTTCATCAACAGGGGCCCTGTCAAAGAATTCCAGAGAAATCTCCAAGTTGCCTTTCAGAAGTGATACCAAGCACCTCTGCCCCAAGCCATGTCTGGCACTGCCAAGCATCACCGATGAAGGTTCCGGTAGTAAGAACAGCAATGGCCCACTGAGTTCTTCCTCTGTGCCTGGCTCTGGGCTTGGGGCTTTTCCAGGGCTGTCTCCAGATCTCCCAGGTAGCCAGTGGGGAAGGCTCTACCTCATTGTGCAGATAAACAAATTCAGGCTCACAGAGGGACTGGGCTGGCATTCGAACCCAGGCGGACACTTCTGCCGAACTTCCTTCCAGTTCAGCAAGGTTAAGACTGGGATTGATTCGTACCTGAAGGTAGCATAGTACTGGAGGAGTTCACACCTCTCACATTAACAATTACTCAAACTTTCGCTAGATGTCTGACTCCGTGTTTTATAAGCAGTATTGCATTATTTTTCACAACAACTAATGATACCTCACTTTAGAGAGTGAGGGTTCTGGGAACTTAAGTAACTTCCCCATGGGCCACAGCTGTAAGGAGCTGAGCCAGGATTCAAACTCAGGCCTGTCTGAGCGTGAGGTCCTTGCTCTGAACCACTGTCCTCTACTGGCTTTTTCTGTGGTTCTCTGACATTCATCTTAGGAACTTATCAAGCCAGGGCTACTCCATGTGGCAGGCAGAGAGTGGGAAGACAGCCAGGAAAAGGGCAAGGGGCATGGAGAAGTCCTGCTCGGTTCTTTGGCCGCCAGCTGTCCCTGTTAAGTCTGATTGGGATCCAGCTGTACGACATGTGCCAGGCATTGGCGTGGTGCTTTCACATTTATTAGATTGTTTCAGTCTCAGAACAAGCTTGTTGAGCAGCTGCTATCACCTCCACTTTACAAACGAGGACATTGAGACTTCATAGATTAGGTGACTCTCCAGGTCACATAGCTAGTAGCTAGCAGCAGAGCCTGGGTGGGAACTGTGGCTCTAGACAGTATTTGAGAAGTGGCTCCTCTGGCAGACACTCTTTGTTGATTGACTCAGTGGATAATCCTGCTCCCTTATGCTGGGCGTCTCTTTACAAAGGGCAATTGCTTCCTTTCTCAGTCCCTGGTCTGATCACATGACAGTTCTGACCAATGGGATGTCAGCAGAAGTCCATTAGGAGCTTCTGGGAAGGCTGTTGCTTTTTCTGAGGAAAGGGATAGATGCCATTAACTCCACCTCTTCCCGCCTTCTTCTTGGTTTAATGAGGTCACATTCCTAGAGTAGCACCAGCCATCTTGCAAACTTGTAAGAAAGGCCAAGAGCAGGTGGCCCTGACATCACTGAGCCACCGGATCTACACCATCAGCTGCCTAGCTGTAGGCTTCTTGGTATGTGCAACAAATACACCTCCTTTCTTTTTAAGCCCCTGAAAGTCAGGCTTTCTATAACCTGCAGCCAAGCATACTCTTGATGAATGCAAGTTCTTATGGGACAGAATAAAGCAGTAGCAAACCTTGTGATGCCCTGGTCAGGTGGGTTCTATTGATTAGTAAGCACCAGACACAAGGCTCTTGGATGTGATAATAAAACTCCTGGAATGATGAGAGTCATGTAAAATTGGTGTTTTATTTCTCCAAACTAAAATATTAGATCAATGGTCAGGCACAAAACACGAACTAAAGTTGATAGACTTTCAGGAGCAAACTTGTCAAGGGCTGTGGTCCTCTCTGAGACCCCTTTAGAGCCCACCAAACCCTGATGAAGATCTTTCTGAGAAGAGCAGAAAGGAGAGCAGTCAAGGAGGACAGAAGTCAAAGTTGGAGACCCCGAGATATTTCCCAGGGAGTGCCAGAAACATGGGGATGTTGATGACTCTGCCTGACTCTCTCTTTGCTCCTCCACTCTTTCTCTCCATCCCTGGGTGCAAAATTGGCAATTTTATGCGGGGGCTAACAGTGTAGGCATCAGATTGTCTGAGTTCAAACCTTAGTTATGAATACAACCCAGTTATGAGAGTTACTATCCATATAGCACTGGACAAGTTACTTAAACTCTCTAAGTCTGTCCTCCATCTATAAAACAGACTAATAATGGTGCCTAATTCACAGGGTTTTCATGAGGCTTAAATTAGATAAGCCACACCATGTGCTTAACTCAGGCCCTGGCTTATGATGATTGATAATGTTAGTTATTGTTAGGGTCTCCAGCAAGAGCAGATGGCTATCTGTCCACGGTGCTATTATCACACAAGAAGGCCTTCTTACCTCCAACTCCCCTGCTTTCTGCTTGAGTCCTGCTGTGCTGACCGTTATGTGCTCACACTGTTAACTCCCCTTGAGGTCAGAAAAGCCAGTGTTGGGGATGGTGGACAGTCAGAGCCTTGGCCGCTTTCCAGCTGAAGGCCTTGGCCAGTGGCCTTGACTTTCCCAGCACTAACCTGTTTATACCCAACAAGACAAACTACCACAGGGCAGGTCAAGACAAGAGCAGGGGTGCCAGGAAAGAGCCAGCCCATGAAATAGAAACAGGGGTCGACCAGATACCTTCTGGGGGCCCCATTTTGTTTTATGGTTTGAGATTGGGATAAAATTGAATGTAATAAACTTAACTCTGAGTGAGACAACATGGGATTTTTTTTTTTCCTCCTCATTTAAGTCTGGGCAGTTTTCCTATTAGTCAAGAGAACAAGCCATAAATCTTGCCATGGACACGAGCGCTGGGCACACAATGCACTGCGCTGCCTCCCCTGTTTCCAGAAAGGGCTGATGGATCCTTCCCCTCACATTTATTTCACCCATTAACGCGGCACAGTAGAATTTCAACAAGACAGAAATAGAAGACAGAAAGGTTGGTCCTGTCAAAAGCTCTTAATATAATTATGAGTCCAACCTCTCCATGCACCCCCTCCCCCAACCTCCAGGAATAATTAGGCTGCAAGACGCTAGGAACAAAACTGAGGTCTGGGAGGAAAGAGACAGGCAGGCTGAGGACAGGCTGATTAGCACAGTGGCTGCTGGTGTTCTGCAGGAGGAGGACGCTGAGATGCCGCAGCCCTGTGGGCTCCCTGGGAATTCTGCTGGTTCATAAAAGTCCCGGTTAGAGCTTAGCTCATCCCAGGCAGCAATTAGTGGCTCTAATGATTTCAGCTGATGGATTTGGGCTGCCTCCTCCCCCAACCCTGAACACTTCATAGTGCACAGAGTCTTTGCTGCAGGTTAGTTCTATGAAATAGGCCTTCATTGCACCTTTCCACCCACAGTGTCCACAGAAGGGGGCCAAGGACTCTAGGCTTCCGGCCTGATGGGGGCCTCAGAGGCAGGCCCAGCCCAGAACATCCAGGGTACCAGCAGGAAAGCAGATTCCCTCTTCCCTTGGACATTTGCTTTATGTTTAGTGTTTAATTTTCTCTTTGAAAGGCAATCTACAGAACGAAGAAAAGCAGTCCCCAAAGTCCATTCTGAGCTGTCTCTTCTCCAACTTAATTTCCATTCTAATGTTTATGTGGCTCCCACCTGCAGCTGGCACTTGTGATTCCATTTCTGCAGCTATTCTCCCCAGGGTCTTCTGTCTTGTCAGGGGCTTTCACTGTATCATTTCAGGGTTTGGAGCAGAATTACAGAGCTCGGGTGTTGATGGGGGCAGCTCAGGAGTGGCCCAGCACCCTGGAAATGAGCTTCCTCAGCTTCATTCTCTCCAGCCCCAAAGACAGGCTGCCCTTTTGCTCTGCTGATTGTCACCTGGACTGCAGAGCACCTATTCTAGACTAGTGGTGAAGTGACAGGTCTCTGTGCTCTGTACACAGAACAGACTTGGGTCCGTGGAACCTGCTTCTTCATAATTCTGCACCTGGCTTCTGTCAACAGTGGTGCTGACTGTGTCTTTAAGAGGCACTTCAGTTTAGCCTTTTAAAATACTCTCTTAAGCCAAACCAGATTGCCTTGGGTTTGAATCTCAGAACTGCCACTTACCAGCTATATGAATTTGAACAATTTCTCTAACTTCTCTGTGCCTCGGTTTTCTCACATATAAAATTGGGTATCAACAGTACAGGGCCTTTGTTAGCATTAAACAAAGTAGTAGATATAAATTTCCTGGAAGAGTGCCAGGCTGGATGTGGTGGCTCACGCCTGTAATCTCAGCACTTTGGGAGGCCGAGGTGGGAGGATTGCTTGAGCTCAGGAGTTTGAGACCAGCTTGGACAACAAAGTGAGACCCTGTCTGTACAAAAAATAGCCAGAATTAACCAGGCGTGATGGCATGCACCTGTGGTCACTGCTACTCAGGAGGCTAAGGCAGGAGTATTGCTTGTGCCTAGGAGTTTGAGACTGCAGTGAGCTATGATTGTGCCACTGCACTCCAGCCTGGGGTCACAGAACGAGACCCTGTCTCAAAAAAAAAAAAAAAAAAGCGTCAGGCACACTTAGCATCAATAAGTGTTGGATGTAATTATTATTACTATTAGTAAACATTCCTGGGAGGATGGAGCTGCAGTCCCGAGCATGTCCAGCAGAGTGCGCCCTGCAGTTCAGAGGCGCAGAGTGTTCAGGGGGTGGCCTCACTGTGGGCTCCCCTGCATGCCGACTGCCAGATACCCACTTAATGGATCCCATTGGACCAATGGGTGCTTCCATCCCTTCACAGGCTCCATCTTTATCTTTCTAAACCATCGTGCCTGAAGACTCCTGGAGGTGACCTGTTTGTGAGGAAGGCAAGAGACCAGGAAGACAGGGAGGAAATCACCTGGATTCTGATTCCCAACCTCGGAAGGGCTCAGTCACTGGGCAAAACCCTCACTACTGGCAAGAGGCATAACGGGCATTTTCATCCACACAGACTGGCTCTGAGGGTGCCCCCACTCAGCATTATGAGCCCTTTGGGGAGTGGTCCTTTCGCCAGGGGCTGCTCTGTGCCATCCCAGGCTTTGGAGCGGCGGCTGGTGTGGATGATTCCACCAACAAATCTCTGAAATCAGAAATGAGGCTGTTTCATAATCTCCAAAGGCTGGAGACGTTCCAGGCAGTGGAAAGAGAAGCTGGCCTACTTTAAAGAGCTTCAGAGAATGAAATTCCCAGCCCTCCGCAGACATGGGAAGAGCTGCCACCTTCAGGCCAAGTGTAGATGACAGGCCTCTTCCTAAAATGCTCAGCCACCTGTTCAACCCCTGTGGGACCCAATAGCTCACAAACCTGTCTCCTGCCTGCTGGCAGGGAATTCCTAGGATCTAACCAGAGCCTGTGCCCTGCTCACTATCTATCTACGTGGCCTCGCTTCTGGGCAGGTGTGGATAAATTTCTCTGTGCCCCCACTAAATTAGGTCCCCAGGTAAGAGGACACGCAGCTGTCTCTGGCAGCCAGTCTCCACATTTGCCTAACTTGCTTTGTGGCGCACTGCCAGCTGCCTATGTTAGCGGCTGCTCCACAGCACAGAACGCAGATTAGAAGTCTGTGGACTCTGCAGGGGTCCAGGCTGCGCTGACCTCCTGCAAGCTGGGTGGGGTAGGGTGAACTCCAGGAGCGTGGGTCTCCTGAAGGCTGGGCTTGGGCCCTGGAGGTGGGCAGACCTCCATGTCTGCAACCTGCCACCCAACCCCTCCTTGGGCCTTCAATACCCTGGAGTCACCCATCAGAAAGGCCAGGCCTCTTGATTGCCTGTGATGATCTATTTAGGCTCTGTTTATATCACCTGTTTTAGGCTGACTTTCCCTGGATCAAGGGCCCACCAGTGTTGTTTCAAGTAGACAAGGTAGCCCTAGGTTGATTTGAGAAGCTGCTGGTCTTTGGTGTCCGTCACTCCCCAGCCACAATCTCCTCAGGGCCTGGCTTTCCTGCGGTCTGTCCTGCCAAGCTCAGCAAATGTCAAGGATGTAACCAGTTGGAGTGATGTGGGCCCTATAACACTTCCCTGCCATTCCCCTGCTATGGCTCCTTAACTGCCCTTGTTAGAGATTCAACTTCCTGAGGCCCCTCAGGAAGAGTAGGGGTGAGGTGTTGACACAGCCCAGGCTTTGGGGCCAGATCTGGGCTCCAGAACATGGGCGATGTGTAGCCTTGCGCAAGAGGTGCCTCTACTCCTCAAGATGCCCACCTGCATGGTAGGGTGAGCAATGCCTCCTTTAAAAAGGCAAAAGATTTATACAATCTGAAGAGAAACCAGATTATGCAATGTCTAATTAATCACTGTATATGAAGGAGTAAGAATGTATAGAAACCTTCTGAGAAGTCATCCACTGCACACACTTGATACTCATTAGCCACTATGTAACTACCTGAGAGGTTCTTCTTGCCTGCTACACAAACAAAATCAATTCATGGAGACGGTGGCATTGCAGTAAAGAGTTTAATTGATGAGAGGCTGGCCACACCACGTGGGGGACAGAATTATTACTCAAATCAATTTCCTGTGAGCCTCAGAGGTTAGGGGTTTTCCAGAGATAATTTGGTGGGCAGGGAGCTAGGCAATGGGTGCTGCTGATTGGTTGCAGATGCAATTATAGGGGTGTGGACAATGGTCCTCAGGCACTCAGTCTGCTTCTGGGTGGGGGCCACCGGACTGGTCGAGTCACCAGTTAGGGCCATCCAGTTTTCAGAAATGCAAAAACCTGAAAAGACATCTCAAAAAGCCTATCTTAGGTTCTATGATAGTGATGTATTCTGCAAGAGTAACTGGGGAGGTTGCAAATCCTATGACCTCCGGAATAATGACTGGTAGTTATTTAGAATTCAGGCCCTTCTCATCTCCTAAGTCGGTGGCCTTTCATTAGTTTTACAAGGGCACTTTAGTTTGGGGGAAGGGCTATTACCATTTAAACTATAAATTAAATTTCTCCCAAAGTTAGTTTGGCCCATACCCAGGAATGTGCAAAGACAGCCCGCCTGTGAAGCTAGAAGCAAGATGGAGTCAGCCATGTCAGATTTCTCTTACGGTCATAATTTTGCAAAGGTGGTTTCAATTTGCTGAATTATTACACTAAGCCCATGACATCCCAGCTGTTTGGTGAGCATGGCTGCTGGCTGGATGTGAAGCCTTGCTGAAAGGAGGCTGGGTTAGTTTGGGCTGGGAGAAAGGGTAGGAAGTTGCCTTGAACCCAGGCACTGCCTGAAAAAAAAACAAAAAGAAAACACACACACAGCAAAATCCAGAACTCCCTGAAGCAGAAGAGGGAGGCATTGAAGGGCATTTGGAATAGAAAGTAGGGAGGATGGTAAAGGAGCCACAAATGATTTGCCTGTGTTGTCATTTTGCCCAAAGATGGCTCATCCTCAGGCTGAATACAGGTTCTGAGGTTTTCTACCCACCCAGCCTCCCCAGCTCTGGCCCTGCCTGGCAGCCCACTCATGTCACATAATCTTGTGGCCTTGCTCTTTGCAGAGGAGGCAGATCCCCTGGGATATCCCTGAGAATGCAAACACAGGTCCTTCTACATGTTGGGGCACAGGTTGGGCAGAAAGAGGGAGGTTTTTAAGGCATTCAGGAATATTTAAGTGGGGAGAATCCTGCGGAAGAATGGGAGGGGACAAGAAGAACTTTCAGCTAACAAGGCTCCTAGGGCACCCTGGAATCAGCTGGTACAACTTGACCAGCAGAAAAAAGGGAAGAAGAGGGACAGAGATGTGTGTGCCTGAAAGATCAGGCTGTTGGATGCATGGTGCCTCACTCTTGGTTCTGGGAAGGTTCTCGCTCTTGCTGGCTGGAAGAGAAGTTAGTCCGACAGAAGAGCCTACTTCACCAACTATGCCTCTGGCTGTGAAGACCATGCTGCCTCCCCCAGGGCTGCCTACAAAGGGACAGGGAACAAAATGCAGGAGCTGGGCAGGCATGCAGGGCAGCTGGGCAAGGCTGTGGTGGAGGCAGAGCCAGCTGTCTGCCTGGGTTCCTTCCTGTCTCGATTCGGCCCCACAAGGATCCAACACCTCCTACCCCAGTTCTGCCCCAAGACAGCATCACAAATAAAAATTACAGAAGAGGCACATTGGTGCATCTTCAATGCTACAGACATATATAATGCAATTTCCCCGATATCTGAGCTCCCCAGCATGCCAATTGATTTAATTATTCATAACCACCATCAATAACTACTGATCGTCAAAGCAATGAATGAAGCTACTGGAGTTTTTGCTGAAGGAGGTGAACAGGCATGCACTGTCCCAGCCAGTCTGTTCTGAGCTGTCAGGCGCCTCTTCCCCCATTAGTCCCCGAAGCACAAAGCCCTCTCATCAGTCATTTCTGGCCTTATCTTATCGATCCTTTTAATAGCAGGAAGTAACAATTTATTAGCAATTTTCCAGAATCCCTGCCTCTTGGCTAGATGTTTTCCCATCTTGAGAGCTGAAGTCATATTTCTTCTAAATCTGGCTCTCTTCAAGGTACTCAAGGAGGCCAGGCTGAGAGAGCTGTGATGCCTATAGAGAAGAAACAATTAAATTAGGACAGTAATATTGTTTTAATTTTTCTGCTAATTTTGTGGTTTCAAATGAACAACTGGGCACAGGGAAGGGGTGTGGGGGGATGAGGGGACCCTACAGAAACCAGATGAAAAAACAAGTTTTATTTCAATCTTCTATTGAAATCTTTCTTTCCATTTTTTGTTCCCCCTTATTGAATTTGATTTTTAAAAGTGAGGCCCCAGGAAGAAGGACCTAGGCTGCGGGTCAGGGGCTGGGTGGGGGCCGAAGCTCCTAGAAGCTTAGCACCTATCCCTGCTCTAAGCCCCTGCACCTGTGACTCAGGCTTTTTGGTGCCTCAGTTTTACCCAGAAGAAAAAAAGAAAAAAAAAAAGCCTAGGAGAAGAAGAGGCCACTTCCCTATTCCATGACCCATGAACTGATTCATGAGCCCTTCTCATCTCTAGAATGAGGAACTGCAAGGGTGACTGGAAAGGCCACCAACACCCGGCCCGCCAGGCCCTCCCCGGCCGCCCGACTACTGGAAGGAAGAGGAGAAATCTGGCCGCGGGGGGCGCTAGGGAGCCCCTTCTGGCTTCCAGACTGCGGGCCCAGCCACAGCCGTGGAGACTAGGCAGGGGCAGGCGCCTGGGGCTCCGCGAATGCAGCATATATCCTGCTGATGGCCTAAGGAACATACGCTATGAAGACAGCCTCACAGCAGCACGAACTCTCCAGGCTTCCGGGCCAGAGTCACAAAACCGCTGCTTCCCCAGGGGGAGACTCGCGTGTCCTAAGGACACTTTCCTCGCCCCAGGAGGCTTTGTCGCCTCTACCCGTCTCCGCCCCAGCGTCCCTGGGGTCCTTGGATCATCTTCTCCCAAGACAGTGGGTCCAGGGCTGACATGTGGAACAGCCACTGTGTGCTGTGCCGGCCAGTTAACCGTTCTCCCCTTTAATCTGTGCAACAATAATAAATATTATTTAGCTCAGAACAAAAAACAGAGGCATCACAGAGAATAAATGGCTTGTCCAAGACCACCCAGCTAGTGACTGCCTTCAAATGCAAGTCCATCTGCTTTATTATTTATTTTTCCAGTATCTATATTATAGTAAGCTATGGATGTCTATAGTTATATAAATATATACATATTTATTAATTAGTAATTAACATATACTTACAATTTATTAATTATGTAACTTTAATATAATTTTGTAGTTGATATGGTTTAGCTCTGTGTCCCCAACCAAATCTCGTCGCAAATTGTAATCCCCAGGTGTGGAGGGAGGGACCAGGTAGGAGGTGATTGGATCGTGGGTTATTTTCCCTATGCTGTTCTCCTGATGGTGGGGGAGTTCTCACGAGACCTTGATGGCTTAAAAGTGGCAGTTTCCCCTGCTGTGTCTCTGTCCTGCCGCATGTAAGACGTGCCTTGCTTTCCGTTTGCCTTCCGCCAGGATTCTAAGTTTCCTGAGCCTCCCCAGCCATGCAGAACTGTGAGCCAATTAAACCTCTCTTGTTTATAAATTACCCAGTCTCGAGTAGTTCTTTATAGCAGTGTGAAAACAGACTAATACAGTAGTTAATTTTAATTTTTATTATTGTTGCTGGAGTTTTTATGTTATTTATTTTTCAAATAGGCAATAGTTCATGTGATTCAAAATTCAAAATATACCAAAAGGAATTCAATGAGAAGTCCCCTCCTCAACCTATGTCCTTCTGCTCCCCAAGTCCCTACTCAGAGGTAACCACAGTTAATTAGTTTCTTGGTTATCCTTTCAGAGATGGAAACAGAGAAAGATAAAAACAATATGCCTATATATTCTTTTTTACCTTTTTTATACAAATGCTGTGTACAATACACATCATTCTACTCCTCATTTTTCTTCCCCACTTAGTATTTTTTCACACTTAGTATTTCTTGGAGATCATTCCATTTCAGTATATAAAGAGCTGCCTAATTTCTATTTATGGCTCCATACTATGAAGATATCATATTAAATTATATTTCAATTTTGACGTAAATACTTCCCCGACTCCCTTCTTGTCTTACACATTTATTGTAAAGTTTCCATCTTCTATCTAACTGAACTTTCCATTTTGAACCTTGATCCCAAGTACTCTGACCTGTTAGTTGGCAGAGTCTCTGCCCAGCCTCAGTCTGGGCCCTTCTACAAACTGGAGTCCTAACTTTCTGCAGTGATGCCTCCTCCACTGCGTGCCGTGGAATTGGGTCCACCGCTGCTCTGTAGCTGTGATCAAGAAGCATTTCAGATGTTATCCCACCATGTGCAGAGCCCATGTTTTCAGGAGTCAAATGAGGTTAATGATCACATCTTATGAATTTAAGGAGAGGGCACTGGAAGAGGCTACAACTCTTGATGTCACTCTGACCCACACATTTAATAATGTTTAGTAATAGGGTTTATGGTATAATAAAGCTGTAACGCTAGAAATGACTCACCTGGTTATACACTGCAACACTGCTGTGGACAAATAGAAACACAGAGCAGTTAAGTGAGTTGCTTGAGAACACACCACTCAATAGTGAGAAAAGGGTCTATCATGACTAGAAAAATGATTATAGCATTTCCTACCCTGGTTGCTGGATATGATGCCAACAGGCAGCTGATGTGGCCTGAGAAGAATTACCAGACAGCCTTTCAAGGTGAGCTCAGGATGTCTGCAGTAATTTTACCAAGGACAACTGTGAGATATATCATTATCGACATTCAGATGCTGATAAGGACACTACAAGTTTTGAACATATGTGATAAATGTTTGAACAACTTTTTGATGAAATTAATAACCTGGTGGTTTTTTTTTTTTTTTTTTTTGAGACAGAGTCTCACTCTGTCGCCCAGGCTGGAGTGCAGTGGCTCAATCTCGGCTCACTGCAAGCTCTGCCTCCTGGGTTCACGCCATTCTCCTGCCTCAGCCTCCCGAGTAGCTGGGACTACAGGTGCCCGCCACCATGCTGGGCTAATTTTTTGTATTTTTAGTAGAGACAGGGTTTCACCGTGTTAGCCAGGATGGTTTTGATCTCCTGACCTCGTGATCCGCCCGCCTCGGCCTCCCAAAGTGCTGGGATTACAGGCGTGAGCCACCGCGCCCGGCCATAACATGGTGGTTCTTAATGAATGCTAACATAATGGAAACATCAGGAAAGGTTGACAAGTATGTAACTCTGGTGGGTGAGCTAAAACTGCCTCTATTACATATTACATCTCTGTACTAAAACTTTCATTTTACATATTTGAGTAGGTCACCAGACTGGGAATTCCTCAAAGTCAGGGATGGTGGCTTGTTTCTTCTATAGCCCTAGTGACTAGCTTGTCACATGCAAGTTAGACAGGACACTGTATCACTGAACTCCTAGGCCTGGCGGGAGCGTGGCAGGCCCACCAGGCATGGTAGACAGTGAAACTGAAAAGAGAGGCAGGAGAGGGTCAGGTAGGTCACAAGAGTCATGGGAAGGAGTTTGAACTGAAAACTACAGCAATGGGGACCAGGTGTGCATATTAGCAAGTTGATTCTACTGAGGCCAGGTGCAGGGGCTCACATCTGTAATCCCAGCACCTTGGGAGGCTGAGGCAGGTGGATCGCTTGAGCCCAGGAGTTTGAGACCAGCTTGGGCAACTTTGCAAAACCCTATCTCTACTAAAAAAGACAAAAATTAGCTGGGCGTGGTGGCATGTGCCTGTAATCCCAGCCACGTAGGTGGCTGAGACATGAGAATGGCTTGAATGGGAGGCGGAGATTGCAGTGAGCTGAGATCACACCACTGCACTCTAGCCTGGGCTGCAGAGAGACACTCCGTCTCAAAAAAAAAAAAAGTTGATTCTACTGAGCAGAGGAACAGAATAGAAAGTTCTGAAAAAAAAATACATCTTATATGAATTTCTTATATGATAAAGCTGAAATTTCAAATCGGTGAAGAAAATATGGATTATTTAATAAATAATATTGGGCCAACTGTTGAACCATTTGGACAAAAAGCAATATTAGATCCTGTGGTAGACAGAATCATGGTCCCCCAAAGTGATCCATGTCCTAATCCCCAGAATGTGTAAACATGTTACTTTGCATAGCAAACAGATAAGACTGAATTAAGGATCTTGAGATTGAGAGATTATCCTGGGTCTGGGTTCTAGGTGGGCCCAAGGTAATCACCAGGGTTCGTACAAGAGGAGGGCAGGGCCTCATATTCAGAGAAACAGAAATGGTGATGGAAGTAGAGGTTAGAGTGAGACAATTGCAGGCTTTGAAGCTCAGAAGAGGACACTAGCCAAGGAATGTGGGTGGTGTTCTAGAAGCTGCAAAAGGCAAGAACACACATTCTTCCCTAGACCTCCAGAAAGAAAAACAGCCCTGTGGACACCTTTATTTTAGCCCTGTAAGACCCATGTCAGACTTTTGACATCCAGAACTTCAAGAAAATTAATTTGTGTTGTTTTAAGCAACTGTTTTTTGGCAATTTGTTACAGTATCAATAGGAAAGGAATACAGATCCCAAGTGTCTATCAACATATTGATGAATAAATAAACTGTAGTATATTTTACAATGGAATACTACTCAGCAATAAAAAGGAACAAACTATTGATAATTACAGTGCATGAAAAAAAGCCAGGTTAAAAAGAGAAAAAAAAAGACATGTTGTTTATAGTTAGTTTATAAGTTTATGTGTAATCCTTGTTTATAGTTATCCCTGGTTTATAATCTATCAAGTATGTATTAGATAGATGAAATGTTTATATGGGATACCCCCCAAAACATAACAAACAAACAAAACTTGTGGAAAGAGGGGAATTTTATAAGTATAATTTCAAAGACAAAGAGTTATAGCATTTTTAAAAACCTCTATATTAAAAAAATCTATAAATCAAATTACAAACTAGAAAAATATTTGAATTGTATTAAATTGATAGAGAATTATCATTGAATGGTAGAGTTAAGGATGCTTTTCTGCAATGAATGTGCATTACTTTTTGTAAAGAAGACAAATCTTAACAGAAATCCTGTTACTGTGGTAGTTGTATCAAAAATGAATTAGAGACCAGTATGGACATTTTACCAAAGAAGATACAAGGATGGCAAATAATTACACAGAAAGATGCTCTACATCATTAGTCACTGACAAATGCAAATTAAAGCTACAACAATATGGCACTACACATCTGTTAGAGTGGCTAAAATGAAAAAGACTAACCATACCAAGTGTTGGTGAAGACATGAAGCAACTGCAATTCTCACACTGCTGGAGGGACTATAAAATAGTACCACTGTTTCAGAAAACTTTGGCCATTTCTTAAAAGTTGAGCATACAGCTACTATTTGATTCAGCTGTTCTACTCCTAGGTGTTTCCCTCAAAAGAATGGAAGCATATGCCCATACAAAGACTTATATTCAAATGTTCATGGCAAGTTTACTTTTAATAGATCCAAAGTGGAAATAACCCAAATGCCATCAACAGATTTACGAATAAAACAATTGTAGTATATTCAGACAAAAGAATACTACTCAGCAATAAAAAGGAATAAATTACTGACATATCCAACAACATGGATAAACCTCAAAATAATACCAGTGCGTTAAAAAAAATTTACAAAAAAGATGCACTGTATGATTCCATTTATAAAATTCTAAAAAATGCAAACTATAGTGACAGAAAGCAGATGAGTGGTGGCTGGAGATGGGGTGGAGTGGGGAGGGGCAAGAGGAAGAGATCACCAGGAACTTCAGGGGATGATAGATATGTTCACTAGCTTGATTGTGATGATGTTTTCACGGGTACACACATGCGTAAAAGCTTAAACTTATCAAATTATACACTAACCTTGTACAGTTTGTGGTATGCCAATCATACTTTAATAAAATGGTATTTAAAAGTGGCTTGACCATGAAAAAGCATGGAGAAAACTTAAATGCATATTACTAAGAGAAAAAAGCCAATCTGAAAAGACTATATACTGTGTGATTCCAATTATATGGCATTCTTGAAAAGGCAAAACTGTGGATACAGTAAAAAGATCTGTGGTTGCCAGGGGTTAGTGAAGAGGGAGGGATGAATAGACAGAGTATAGAGGATTTTTAGGACAGTGAGAATACTCTTTATGACTCCATAATAATGGGTACATGTCCTTATGCATTTGTCCAAAGCCATAGAATGTACAATACCAAGAGAGAAGCCTAATGTAAATGATGGATGTAGGGTGATTAGTGCCAATGTAGGTTCATTGATTATAACAAATGCACCGCCACAGTGGGGGATGTTGATATTGGGGGAGGCTGTACGTGTGTGATGATGAAGGTATGTGGGAAATCGCTCTACTTTCTGCTCAACTTTTCTGTGAACCGAAAACTTCTCTAAAAAATAGTCTATTTTTAAAAGTGGCTTGAACAATTAGGATATTTATTGTCTCCCAAATCAGGGGTCTGGTGGGTAGAGAGGATCAAAGGTTGGTTCAGTGGCTAAAAGTGCTATTAAGGACACAGATGCTTCCCATCTTCTGGCTCTGTCCACCTTCATATTATAAAAAGTGTTGCAGTTGTTGAAGTCACACATGCGGGCAAAACAGCGTCCAGTAAAAATGAACAGTTTCCTTCCTATTCATCTTGTTTTAAGAGAGAGGAACGCTCTCCTATGAGCTCCCCATAGACTTCCCCTTGGGTCCCATTGGTCAGTGTTGAGTCTCATATCCATGATCTGACTGCAAGGAAGGGAGAGGGCTGCAGGGCGAGCACCCACTGGGGCCACACAGGCACTTGCAGAGTTCTGTGCCTTTACTCATGCTCCTTCCCTCTGGCTTCTCTTGGCTCTCCCTTGACCCACCTTCTTTCGCTGAGAGCATTCAGGAATCCTCCTTGCATCTCCCTCAGGCCTTTCTATGTAACTTTATCTTCCCTCTGTGTAGACTTTTTTATGTGTGTATCTGTCTTAACAGCCAGACATGAGCTTCTGCAATCTCTCCTCTTTCATCAGGGGAGCCCAGGGACCTTGTACAGGGCTTGGTGCACAGCCGTGCTTGAAAAGTGGTCTTGGATGGCAGAAAAAAGCAGATGGAGCTTTTCCCATCCTGGGGAGAACACAAAGGCCAAGGCGGGGAAGCAGCTTCAGTACAGAAGTGAGTGCAAAACACTAAAAGATTTCATTATAGAAATAGCAGAAATGGTCAAGATCTATCATTGTGAAGGATATAACTGATGGTCTCAGAAGAACACACCTGGGAACATCACTCTGAAATGAAAAGGAGAGTGCTTTAGGGCAGAGAAAGCACAGCTGGACTCATAGAATAGAATTCTCACATTCTTCATTCAACATGTGAAACTTATTACCTCTAGTAGGTTATTCAGGAAAGACTGTAACAATTATTTTAAAAATAGAGATGTGGTCTCACTGTGTTTCCCAGGCTGGTCTCAAACTCCTGGGCTGAAGGGATCCTCTTACCTTGGCCTCACAAAGTGCTGGGATTACAGGTGTGAGTTACTACACCTGGCCATAGCAATTTTTAAGGGGTTAAAAGCTACTAAAGGGACAAAGCGACAAGTCTTGTCTATGTCAGGCCATGCTGCTTCACAAAACACCCTCTCTCTATGCTGGTTTTCTAGAGGAGTTCCTGGGCTGGGTGAGTCATGGGTCTGAAGTGAGCCTAGTGTTATCTGTGCTTCTGTGACTCATCAAACCTAAAACCACCTCTGCAGGACAGAGATTCCTTGATGGCAAGAGAAAGAACAGAAGATGCTCCTGACCTTAGGGTCATACAGTAATTTCAGCAGTGACTACTCCTTGCTGGGCCCCTGAGGCAGAATCCCAGAGATGTCCTGGAAGTTCAGGCCCTGACTTCATTTGGTCAATGGCGTTGGCGTTAAAATCAGGATGATTCCTGTTTCTCAGGCCCTCTTAACCAACCATTGCTGTTCTGAGGCTATTCTTCTGAGAAGTGCAGGTGGATACTCAAAGAGTCCAGCTCACTAACTACAGACTTTCAAAGTAATTAAACAACATTTGAGCTGATCAGGTTAAAATTCCCAGCTGAGCATAGCTTTTCCATTCTCTGAGTTCTCTAGGAGTGCAGGAAAGAAATCTTGCAGCACCAGCTGAATCTCATCTGCCTATATCACAGCCCCTCCACCTTAAGTTGCACCAATTTGTAGGGGTCTCTGAGTTTTAAACCCAATTGGCCTCTCCCTTTCTTTCTTTCTTTTTCTCTTTCTCCCTTTCTCTCTCTCTCTTTCTCTCTCTCTCTTTCTTTCTCTTTCTTTCTTTCTCTTTCTTTCCTTCTTTCTTTCTTTCTTTCTTTTTCTTTCTTTCTTTCTTCTTTCTTTCTTTCTTCTTTCTTTCTTTCTTCTTTCTTTTTCTTTCTTTCTTTCGTGTATCAAGTTTACTACCTACCTCCTGGCCAAACCGGGCCACATGGTTAAGCCCAGATTCAAATTGGGTGGGAACTACAAAGTTACAAGGCAAAGGTCATGCATACAGAGAGGTCATTAATTGGGATCTACCACTGCAGGGTGGTAAAAGAGAATGAAAACTGATATGGTGGGGAATACCTTAGCATCTACTAAGGGAGTAATCAGGAAGATATGAGATATCCTGTGAAGGCTTCCCGAAGGAAGGAGAGGAAGGGAAGACCATTTCAGTTGGAAGAAGGATACATTATGGGAATAAGTCATTTTACTGGAGATATGAACACTTATGTAACCAATTCCCAATTGATAGACATGTGGGTTGTTCTACATATTCTCTATTACAATCAATGCTGATCTGTGTATCTAGCTATCCAGCTGGCATAGAGAGGCATATGGTGGATTTGTACACACACGTACACATACACATACACACTGCACACACATACCATGCAAATATAAGATAAATTCTTGGAATGACTAATTCTAGTAGCTTATAAATTTGTATAGGTATTGTCAAATCAGCCTTTTTCTTTCACTCCCAAGTTGGGAATTGCTGGGGACTCTCAAAACCATGTCACTGACTCCATTTTTGGTTGTGGGAGCTGGGAGCCCCTCCATTTCCTCTTCCCAGTTCTTTCTTCTGCAGCTGCCCCCAGGTTTGTTCTCCATGATCCAGCAACTTCTGTCTCCATCCCCCGTTCTCAGAAGGCTCCATCTCCTCCTTCCCCAAGAAAGTTGCAACTGCCCTCAGCTTTCCTCCCTCCCTCCTCAGGGAGTACCAACATCTCTCTCTTATCTTTATTCTTCTTTGTGAGGCTGATATGCTAAATTTCATCTAGTTTTCCCCAAACTCAAACCACTACCTCTCTACTGCTGCCTTCTCCCTCTCCATTTCCATCCCTAGCACTACTACAAAGGAACCCCATCCAGTCCAGCCGGTTGGCTTGCTCCTCCCCTCCTCCCACTCCAGTTCACGCTCCAGCCCACTGAAGAGTGGTGCCCACCCCTAGGCCCCTGCCTAAATGGCTCTTCCAGAAACACCAGTGACTTCCCACTCACCAAAGTCTGGGGCCGTTTCCTCAAGATCCTGCCCACTCCCTGACCCTTCCCTCCCTTGGGGCCACCATGGCTGCTTCTGGATGACTCAATCAGACACCCACATTGCAGTCCCATCCTTCCTGTTCAAATGAAAACATCTCATTTCAACAGCTCTCTTCATCTTCAGGACTAAGTCAGCCCCTTACACAAAGGACTCATGAGGGACATGCAGTCTGTGTGCCCAGCCTGAGCCCAAGGGTCTATTCTGATCCTTTTTTTTTTTTTAAGATAAAGGTTTTTGCAGGTATAATAGGGGTCTCCAACAAAAAGTAAAGAATAATTTTGTAGAAAGATTTTGAGACTTTCCTAACTCTCCGAAACTACACAAGCTGGTCCTTTTGACTTGGAAGCTAAATTTCTAAGATGGAAAGTCACATGTATGAGTGGGAGGCATGAAACCAATTATTCGACCTGTCTGGGGTCATGAGTGCAGAGGCGGCTCCTACGAACCATCTGCCTCTTCAAGTGTGGATGAGAGGTGGGTATGGCGGATGCTTGTCATTTCCCAATGGCTCGAGTGGATGTGGGGAGTATGGGAGTGAGGGCAAAAGAGAAAAGAGGGAGAGAGGCCGTCCAAGCTTTCACAACTCACTCTCTTGTGTTTGAAAATATCTGATTTCATTATTTTCTATAATTAATTTCTAGAACATCTATTCTGAGGAAAATGCTAGAAAGAAATATGCTATTCATTTGTATCAGCATTACTCTTTGTTGATATTAAATGGCTCAGTCACTTTATGGGGGAAATAAAGAGGTTGATTCATGGTGATGTGACCCTCTCGACACTTCTGGTTCCCTTTTTCCTGCTATATATCAAGACCTACAGCCCTTGGGAAGTGCATTTCTGCATTCGAAGAAGAATCTGAGAGAAACCTGTAAGTAAACTTTCAGAATAATCTTATTTCTAAAATTGCTTTTAAAAAAGTACTAGTAAATTGGAATAAACAATTGTGACCAGAGCATACTTTAAGGCCCCCTATACCCCGACAGTCTCCCTATGTATGGAAGTATCAGAAAGTCTTTTCATGTTGGTATCTGAATATCCTCTGCTCAGGGAAAACTGCAGCATGAATATCTTCTTATGGGTGTAGCCTGGGTATACGCGAGCCACCCTTCACTTTATGAATCCCCTCAGCTAATCCTCCTGGTGGTTATGGGGAGCCCTAGGCTGGCTCAGTCCTGCCTGGCCAACGATGCAGCTCCCGGCACCTGGCACACGCAGCAATGGGCTGAATTGTTCCGTAAATGCTATTCTGTTTACCTAGTAGCGTTCATTAATCTTTCCTTTCTTGTGTGAAGGCTGCTTTCACAGAGGAAGGCATTTGCTGGCTTTCCCAAGGCAAGAACAATGAAAACAAAGTCATGAGGAGTTCTCTCTACCTCAAATGAAGGCCGCAGCTCCTGCTCAAGCTATTTTGGCAGTCTGAGAGAACAGTACATTCTGAACCACATTGTAAGTTTGCAAGAGCTTATACAAAAAAGAAAGGGAGAAAAAAGGAAAAGGAAAAGAAACCCTCCATTCTTCTTTTGTTCCACTCCCAGGTGCTGGGCTTTGATGTTCTGTCTCAGAAGTGACTGCAGAACGCCAGCTCCAAGAACCAGCTCCGCTGCTCACTGCACCTTTCATTTCAGAGAGCATGGGGCTAGTGGGGACCTTAGAACTCAGCTAGCCCATAGGAGCTGAGGTCCAGGAGGTGACATGACCTATCCAAGGCCACGCAACCTGGCTTGGGTAGAGGCAGGTTGGACCACAGGTCTCCGTTTGGCGCTCTTTTCCTGTTCTGCTCTGTCCTTTGATCAAATTCCTTTTAAAATGAGATTCACATCAAGCCAGTGAGGGAGGCTGATGGGTTCAGACTGGGTTCCCGCAGGGGACCGGCAGGGCTGGTTGAGGAGTACAGAAAGAACAGAGTGCTTGTCCGTTTGGGTTTATTGTCCCCTGGGGTGTCTGCAGACTATATCTGGGCTTGTTGAGCATAAGCCATTGGCTTCTGCACAGGCAGAGTCAGAATGAACTGGTGTCACTTAATGGGAATTGCAGGACATCAGATGAGGCAGGAGCTTTGGAAATGGGGAGAGAGGGGAGCAATAAGATGCTCCCAAGGTCATTGTCTCCTGGCCTTTCCTCCAGAGAAGGTCACATTTCTTCCTCCCACACTTTCAATAGCAGTAAGCCTGTGGGTTTCTGCTTACCAGCTCTGGAGACACATGGGTGATGTGCAGCTTCAATACCCCTCCAGTCTAGAAAGCTCCTAGGGTGGGCCATTCATGTGGAGATTCTCATTATTATTTCATGGCTCCATTTTTTGTAGCTTCTGACTGGACCTTGTATCTGAAGCAAGGACACATTCATCTGCACCTTGAAAGTTGATCTGTGCTCAAAAGACAGTGCTCAGGAATGCCGGTCTCCTTCACTCATCAAAAAGGTGGCCAAACAGAGCTCTGTGGGTGGGGGCTGTGAGCCCTGTGCCCTCCATGCTGGGGCTCTCAATGCTCCCACTGACACTGAGATCCCATGCAGGGAAAACGATTGAGGTGTATGTACCTTGCAGAGGTGTCTGCTAGCTAGCATGGGCAGGGTTGATGTGGAAGTCTGGCTGTTTCTGTTTCCCATGGCAACAGCTTGGCCCTGCATGAAAGCAGGTAAATGTGGGCTCAAGCCAGATGCACAGACTGCATGGCTCTGCAGGGCTCTCAGCTCAAATCAGGGCTCTTCATCCCTAACCCTGTTCTGCTATTTTCCTGTTCCCTTCCACTCAGCCACAAAAAGGGCTTTAACCCCATGAAAGAGAGATGGGGCCCTTGGTGGTACTCTGCTGTGGACTGCTAAGGCTTCCCTGCCTGAGGTGTGGTAGAAACTGCAGTTCTGAGATAAAAGCAAGAGAGTGGCCATTACTCTAGGGATAGTGCTGTTGGTAAAAGCCAGAAACAGGTATTGTATCCTGGGGACACAAGCATGTTGAGTCAGGAATAGACATTATTGACAATGGAGGCAAAATAAAGAGAAATTACAGGTTAAAGGGATCAGGTAAACTTTTAGATGCTGCCAGAAAAAAACGATGGAGAGGCAGAGGGAGGGACTCTGTAAGCACAAGAGAGGGGAATAAAACAGTTAGAAATCTTTGGGCAAAAATAAACATTTCCGAGGTATAGAGGAAAACCTTTATTTGTGAGACTGGAACTTGGTTTAAGCATGGCTTTTAAATGTCTCCAGGGATAAAAGGGGAAAAGGTAATTCACAGGAATGGAGAAGAGGAGGGCTAAGGTGAGAAGCCAGCCAGAGAGGAGAGAAGAGAGCCATGTGAACGTCATCTGATGATCAAGGCTGCACTCTCACAATCCGTGGCCAAAATCAGCCGTCAGAGTGTTTAAAAATAATTTGAGCCAACAGTTTTTTAAGAACCAGAAGATGTCACCCAAAGAAATCTAGATTTCTGACTTAAAAAATAAAAGTCAGAAAATCTGGTGACTGCCTCCATAGAGAACTTTCAAGAAAATCTGCTGGGTTGGAGGCTGCTGTTCCTACAAGTTAAATGGGGGCATGGGCTCTCCAGCCCCCCAGAGACCCATGGCCCACTGGCCCACACCCCACACTCCCAAGGAGTATCTCTATCTCCTTACTTCCTTCACTGTTTCTGGTGCTTGTCTGACCCCTGTAGGCATTTGAAATGCTAAGTGCTGCCTGCAGGGGACAGGATGAGCCCCCATTCCTGACCCCAGCTCAACAGGGAAGGTGAGACCAACACGGAATGCACTTTTCTTCCCCATCCCTGGGAGAGATGGCTAAGTTGGGAGAGACAGCCCTTGATCTGGACCTCAGACCAGGATGGGCCTGCGTCCGGGGTGCCCGAGTTTAAGGGGTGAGCAAGGTGAGCCTAACGCTGGCTGTAACAGTCTCTGAGTAAAATATAGGTATTCACGACTGCACGATGCTGTGGAGCAAGTGTTCACCTGGGGAAAGGAGAGCTGCAGTCAGCTTTAGATGGCTCAATAAAGCTATGCTGGCAGAGGAGGGGAGGACCCTGGATGTGGTTGACAACGCAGGACAGCTCATCCTGGCATGGTGAATCTGCATTTCAGGATTCTTTTGTGATTGGGATCCTGGGAATATAGTTCAACCAAATTCAGAAGCTGCTCTATGATCATGTCAAAGAGGGGCTGAGCAGTTGTCCATTCTGACCCCTCAGGGTCATTTAAACATGGGTTAAAATCCTGGCTCTTGCACTTATTAGCTGTGTGACCTTGACCAAGTTGTTTAACCTCTCTCAGCCCCAGTTTCCTACCTAAAAAGATGTAGCTACAATAGTACAGGGTTAGAAAGCGTGTATATCAGATGCTGTGGCCAGGCATAAAGTAACACATTAATAACTACCGTCTATTATTAGGAGTATTTCACTAAGCCTCAGACATTGACACAAGCTATAGTTTGTCTGCTTCTCTAATTATGTATTCTGTGGTGACTCAGGACCAACTGGATATTGTTATGGACAGAATGTTTGTGTCTTCTGCCAATTTATTTGAACCCCCAGTGTGGCTGTATTTGGAAATTGGGTCTCTAAGGAAGTAATTAAGGTTAAATGAGGTCCTAAGTGTGGAGCCCTCATCTGATAGGACTAGTGTCCCTATAAGAAGAGGAAAATGTAACTGCCTCACCATTGTCTAAGAGAGAGACAAGAGACTGGCAGCCAAACAGAGCAGTGGGTAAAATGATTTCTGGGTGCCATGTTGGAAAAGTCTTTGTACTTAATTAAAGGCGACACAGAGTGAAGAGATACCAGAGAGCTCACCCACCTTCTCTCCCCGCCATGTGAGGACACAGGGAGGAGGCAGTTGTCTGCAAGCCGGGGAGGGGTCCTCACCAGAACCCAACCCTGCCAGACTTTGATCTGGAACTTCCAGCCTCCACCACTGTGAGAAATCAATTTCTGCTGTTGAAGCCACCCAGCCTGTGGGGTTCTGCTATGGCAGCACTGGCAGATGACAACAGGTACATAGGAAATTTTAATTCCATTACTCAGGAACTGTAGTGGAATTTTAAAACAGGACTCATGAAAAGTCAGAGGTGAGATATTAATGTGATGGGAAGTGTGTCACCAAGTGGTGGAAAACTGGGGGTCTCCCTCCTAGCTTAGAGTCCCTTAGCCTCTTTGGATTTTATTTTCCTCAACTGTGACTATCAGCCAGGGAGGTGTCAATCAAAATAATCTGGACTTGTGCTATCCAATACATAGGCTCCAGTTATTTATTTAACTTTAAGTAATTTAAATTTTATTTAATCTTAATTTAAATGTAAGTGATTTGATTTATTAAAATTAAAATTAAATATCATAATTAAATAAAATAACACTAAAAGTAATTAAATTTATTAATTAAAATTAAGTAAAATTTAAAATTCAATTTCTCAGTCGCATGAGCCCTATGTCAAGTGCTCATGTGGCCAGTGCCTCCTATGCTGGACAGTGCATATATACAGCACGCCCAGCATCACAGACAGTTCTATCCAACAGCGCTGAATTCTAGAGCTTGCTACCTGAAGCCTAGTCTTCACGAGAGCAGCTTCAGCAGCACCTGGGAAATTGTTAGGAATGCCAACTCTCAGGGGCCACCCTAAACCTTCTCAATCAAGATCTGCATTTTCACAAGATTCCCTCCAGTGATCACGTACTCAAGTCTAAGAAGCTCTGAGGTATGATTCCCTCCAGCTCAAAAAAGAAAATTTATGAATCTGGGTATCTGCTTGACAAAGTCTTTGAGAAAGAAAACACTTGCTTAGCTTATCAAAATTCCAGTTTACTGATTTGCCTAAGAGGAAAGAATTGAAATATCTGAAGGAAGATCAGCAGAATGGCTGCACCTCCACAGGAGCAAAAAGAAATCAGCAGATGTCTAAAGGAGGCATGGGTGGCGTCACCGTGCCTGGAGGGTTGTACACCTTGGAGGTTGGTACAATCCAGCTCCTATCTCTTTTTTTGTAGTTGTTTTTTAAAAAGAGAGATGGGGGTCTCTCTCTGTTGCTCAGGCTGGTCTCAAACTCCTGGGCTCAATCAAGCAATCCTCCCACCTCAGTGTGGGATTATAGCCATGAGCCACCACGCTCAGCCTCCAGTGCCTGTCTCTAAGCCTCCCGTCAGCTTGGGCATTCAATCTTTGCCTAAAGAGCAGAGAATGGACATTCTTCATTTTCTGTGGCAGCAAAGAAACAACAAGGAATGAGTTGCATTTACTGGGGACCTTTTATCCAGAGAGTCTTAAGGTGCTTGCTAAGGTTCCCCTCATTAAACCAAAGGGAGCAGGTAGGTCATATATTCAATTAGGGAAAATGAGGAACAGAGAAGAAATCAATGCCACAGTCAACGATGCCAAAAGGGCAGACTGGAACATCAGCCTTTGGGCTCATGGGCCGAAATTGTGCTCTGGAGCTTGAGCTGTAAAATAAGAGAAGATACCTTCAGTCCTCTCACTGCAGAAAGTTTTGGTGTCTGGTGACGTGCTGTTTTTAACACAAAAATAAGAAGGATAATATTAGAGCTGTTGCCTGTTAAGAAAACGTGTTCTTCTTACAGGACAAAATTGCAGTCGTATATCTTCTTTAATTGATACTAGATTTTATTGCAGAACGTTAAAATGTTAATGTGTCCATAAATCTTTTTCATACTTTCAGAAAAATGTCTGTATTAGGAACACACTGTACAAGGATGAAGGCAAGAGAAAGGAAAAATGAATCCAGAATATACATTATTAATTTTTTAGGAAGGAAGCAAAATGGTGCCTCATAAAGGAAATTAGAAAAAAGTTAAACAGCTGGGATTTCTGATTTCCTTTAAAGAAGAATCTGCTAGTTTGAGAGATATCCTTACAGAGTCAACTATTTTGATGCAGGGAACAAAAAGTGAGCAGATAATGGAAATGGGCTTGTGATATACAGGTCAGCTCTTAACAGCCACTGGCAGAAGGTGTGATGCCTCCAGCAGGGGCAAACAGTGAGCTGAGGGTCCTGTCACATCACGCAGAGCCATGGAATTGGGGCATGGTACAGATGACAGGGCCTGCCCAGGAGTTGGGGAAGTCTGGCCTAAATCCTGCTGTGCCGTCTCCACTGTGTGATTGCTGACAAATTCCGGCAAGCACTCAGAGCCTCAGTTTCCAATGTGCCAGATGCAAAGAGCATCTGCAGGCTTGGGGCACGGTTAGAGAGATGCTTTATAAAAAGTGCTTACAATGTAATAGGGAATTATCATCTTTTAGGGTATCAATCAAATAATGGTTTGGGGTCAAACCCAAAGTAATGGGAGAGCAAAGAGTCATGCCTGGGAGGAGAGGCCACAGCTCCTGACTTGGTCTGGTGCTGGGCATCCTGCCCTCTGCCCACCTGCCCGCAGTCCTCCTGCCTGTGCCGTGGAGCCTGTCTGACTCGGTCTGTAATGCCAGGGAAGGTTCAGCAGCACAGGGGCCTATGGTAAGGCCTGTCTCTATCTTCACCCTTCAGTCCAGCCTCTGATTCCAAAAGGAAGCAAGCTTTCAGGAAAAAGGAACTATGGCCTTTTGCTGGCCCCCATTTTAATTACCATTCTAATTCCCTTTCCTGCTGATGCTGTCAGAACATCCTTATATGTGGGATCTGGACTCTGCTAAGGCCAGTTCCACATGGCAGTGACCACTCTTCAACACTCAGGCTCGCCTCATATCTCTTTTCTGCTCTGAGCATTTCCATTCAGATTATATGGCAGGAACTGCAAGCACTCTCTATTCCTGGTGGAGAAATTTACACATGTTTATTCATAACCTGCCTATTTCCCCCATTTTATTTCTGCCCTTCGTTAACCTCATTCGGCCTGAACACAGAAAGAATAATTTCCTCACCTCTGGTTGCTCAGTTCACAACCTCTATCCAGTGCCTGGATTCATCTTACACGACAAATGTAATTCACTGGCTCTCACTGTATTCAGCTACTCCGTAAATTCAGACCCATCCTATTTAATGTGAGAAGGGATTTATTTGAGATTGTTTAAAAACTGATCAATGTCCGCATTAAAATCCCATACATATGATATAACGCTTATTAGATATTTTCATGTCAATCAGGAGAGAATATCAAATTTATTTTATATATATATCACTCCAAATGAATCCAAGTCTCTCTGAGAGCATCACAGACCTAAATCTGTGTGACTGATGGCGTGTTAGCAGCTCCAGAGTGCCTTCATTTTAATTATTCCGATCTAGGAAAAAAGAAAAGATGATTATCTCAGTGACAAAAAATAAATATTCTTCTTTTCTTTGTAAGATTCTCAGGAGGAAACTGTTCTTGGAGGGCAGGGGCATAAGAGGGAAGAAGCCGTGGTTACAGAGCAGAGACACAATGGCCTCAGTCCAAGGCTGCATTTAAGTTTGGATGCCCTTGGTGTGCTTTCTGGTCTGTAAAATTAGAGCACAAGAAAACAGATGACTATTAAAGAGTAAGCTTGCATAATGCAGTTTATTGACATTTCAGCCTCTCAACCTAGGGTTCAACTATTAAGGCTTATGATATAGGACTGTTGCCTTTATCAATAAACAAAGACTCTCTAGCAGACCAGTACAGAATTCAGTGGCTTAAAATAAATCAGCATTTATGATGGCTCACGTGTCTGTGGTCAGCCGGTGGGCCGGCTGAGAACCAGCTGGTCTAGGATGGCCTCTCTCACATCTGGCAGTTGGACGGCTATTGGCTGAGCTGATGGAATTGCCTGGTCAGGTGCCTTTTGTCATCCAGCAGTCCAGCCTGGTATAATAGGCTCAAAAATGGCCCCCTCAGAGTTGTCCATGTCCTACTGCTCAGAACTCATGAATATATTACCTCGCATGGTAAAAGGGACCCTGCAAATGTGTCTTGAGATGGGGAGATTATCCCAGATTATCTGGGTGGGCCCAGCGTATTCACAAGGGCTCTTATAAGAGGGAGGCAGGAGGATCAGAGTCTAGAGAGAAAACATAAGGATAAAAGCAGAGGGAAGATGCAACATTGCTGGCTTTGAGATGGTGGAAAAAGGGTCCATGAGCCAGGAAATGTAGGTGGCCTCTAAAGCTGAAAGAGGCAAGGAATCAAGTTCTCCCCCAGTGCCTCCTGAAGGACCACAGCATTGCAGGCCCATTTTAGACTCTGACCTCCAGAACTGTGAGAGAATAAATACGTGCTCCTTTAAAATACTCAGTGGTTATTTGTACAGCAGCGATAGCAGGGAAATGCAGCTGGACTTAACACAGCAGGAGCAGGGTTCCGTGAGAGCACGTGGAGCGAGTCCCAGGCCCAGGATTGTCACTGTCATTTCTGCCGCATTCGATTGGGCAAAGAAGTCACAAGGCCAGGTCAGATGCAAAGGATGGAGGAATAGACCTCAACTCTTGGTGGTGGAAGGTCAAAGAAGCTGTAAAGTCATATTTCAAGGGAGAGGACACAGGAAGAGTAAAGAATTATGGCCACGTTTTTTGTAGTCAGTCTACCACCATGGCCTTTACGAAGGTCAGAGGACATTCAAAAGTAATTTCTGACCTTGGTTTCTTTTTCATTTTCAGGACGCAGGGAGCATGGGTATCTGGACCTCAGGCACTGATATCTTCCTAAGTCTTTGGGAGATTTACGTGTCTCCAAGAAGCCCCGGATGGATGGACTTTATCCAGCATTTGGGAGTTTGCTGTTTGGTTGCTCTTATTTCAGTGGGCCTCCTGTCTGTGGCCGCCTGCTGGTTTCTGCCATCAATCATAGCGGCCGCTGCCTCCTGGATTATCACGTGTGTTCTGCTGTGTTGCTCCAAGCATGCACGATGTTTTATTCTTCTTGTCTTTCTCTCTTGTGGCCTGCGTGAAGGCAGGAATGCTTTGATTGCAGCTGGCACAGGGATCGTCATCTTGGGACACGTAGAAAATATTTTTCACAACTTTAAAGGTCTCCTAGATGGTATGACTTGCAACCTAAGGGCAAAGAGCTTTTCCATACATTTTCCACTTTTGAAAAAATATATTGAGGCAATTCAGTGGATTTATGGCCTTGCCACTCCACTAAGTGTATTTGATGACCTTGTTTCTTGGAACCAGACCCTGGCAGTCTCTCTTTTCAGTCCCAGCCATGTCCTGGAGGCACAGCTAAATGACAGCAAAGGGGAAGTCCTGAGCGTCTTGTACCAGATGGCAACAACCACAGAGGTGTTGTCCTCCCTGGGTCAGAAGCTACTTGCCTTTGCAGGGCTTTCGCTCGTCCTGCTTGGCACTGGCCTCTTCATGAAGCGATTTTTGGGCCCTTGTGGTTGGAAGTATGAAAACATCTACATCACCAGACAATTTGTTCAGTTTGATGAAAGGGAGAGACATCAACAGAGGCCCTGTGTGCTCCCGCTGAATAAGGAGGAAAGGAGGAAGTATGTCATCATCCCGACTTTCTGGCCGACTCCTAAAGAAAGGAAAAACCTGGGGCTGTTTTTCCTCCCCATACTTATCCATCTCTGCATCTGGGTGCTGTTTGCAGCTGTAGATTATCTGCTGTATCGGCTCATTTTCTCAGTGAGCAAGCAGTTTCAAAGCTTGCCAGGGTTTGAGGTTCACTTGAAACTGCACGGAGAGGTAGGGCCCACAGGTACTTCTCATGGTTTATCCCGGCTATTTGCTGGTCTGTCTTGCAAAAGATCATGAACCTCCCGAGGCAGGGCAGTGGCTCATTCACCTTTGCATCCTTGGTGCCCAGCATAGTGCTTGGCACATAGAAGGAACCCAACAATTGCAGGTCAAATTGAATCGAAGTCCCAATGTTAGGGTGTGATTCTGCATTAGTTCCCTGTGGCTGCTGTGACAAATGGCCAATAATTGAATGGCTTAAAATAACAGAAGTTTATTCTTGGATAGTTCTGGGGGGAGAAGTATGAAGTGAGTGTCGCTGGCCTGAAATCCAGGTGCTGTTGCCGCTCTTTGCATCTTCCAGATTCTAGTGGCCGATGGCATCCCTTTGCCTGTGACCACATCACTCCCGTCTCTGCTCTGTCATCGCATCACTTTCTTCTTTGCATGTGGAAAATCTCTCTCTGCCTCTGTCTTAAAGAATCTGTATGACTGTATTAGGACTTTCCAGTATAATCCAGGGTAATTTCTCTATCTCAAGATCTTTGACTTAATAACATTTGCAAAGATCCTTTTTCCAAATAAAGTAACATTAACAGTTCCAGGCACTAAGATCTTATATCTTCAGGGCATCATCCAGCCTCCTACAGTCAACAAACACTGAAATGTGGAAATAAGTATCTCTGAGGTTGAACATGAAGTGGATTCCCAAGCAGGACTATCCGGCGTGAACCTAAGAGACACGGATTTAGGGTCTGCCTTCCTCTCATCCTCAAGCTTAGGCAAGTAGACTTCAAGCACCTTCTCTGAGTGAGAACTTTTCTGTGCATCTTGAGTCCTTATCAAATACAAGAGGGTTCCCAAGGCATCAGTGCAATGTTTAAAAGGATGATTGTTGAAAAGGGCTCCTAAGTTACCCAGTAAAATGGCTGGTGCTAGTAGCTGATAGCACCCACTTTTAAAAATGCTACACAGCTACACTTCGGTTTTTTGAGACAGATTGGATTACTAGTTCTCAATTTTAAATGTGTGTTAAGAATTTCCTGAGTTGGACATAGAGTTTCAGGCCTCGATTTACACAGATTTTGTTTTAACTGGGAGAGCATTTTAAATGAGCATGCCTGTGATTTCAAGGTAGGTGGTTCATAGACCACATTTTGAGCAACTCTGGTCTAGGTCTTAGAAAGCAAGGACCCGCTAACCCAGAGGTCCTCAACCTTGGATACAGAGTTGCATCACTGCAGAGTTGAACTAACAAAGCAACTCAATTCCTCTCTCCAGAATCACCAGATTCTGTTTTAATTGGACTGCGGCGAGAGATTTTTAAAACCTCCCAGAGTAATTCTAATGTGCAGCCAAGATTGAGAACCCCTGTTCTAAACCCCTCACTCCAAGAACAAAGCCAGAAAGTTAACACCTAATTGCCATCAGATGGATCTGTGACAAATCTTCATTAGCCAGGATAGCATCTGTGTCTGAGCTGGTGCCTCCCGCATCTTGAGGGATGTGGCTTTCTCTCCTCTATTCTCCTTCTCTCTCCTCTTGGCAGCCATGGACAAACAGAGAAGATGGTGGGGATGGGGCATCCCATCGTTTATCTTTTCTTTTCCATTTTCTCTGTGGATATTTGTGCTTATGCTGACATTTCAGAGGATCTGGATATTGTGAGACACTTGTCTTATTGTTTTTTAAACCCAGAAATTGCCAGGCTGAATGACGTGGTGTGTGTATGCACATGTATGGGTGTGTATGTGCATGTGTGTGATGCATGCTGGGTTAAGTACACTAGCCCAGGCTGGCAAAAATAATGCAGGTGAACCCCAAAATTGGGGCTTAGCCTAGGAGGGTTCTTGGCTTTGCTTGGGAAAGAATTCAAGAGTGAGCTGACAGTGAAAGAAAGCAAGTTTATTAGAACAGAGTACAGCAAAATGACTGCTCCATAGGCAGAGAAAGACTATCGCATAGGCAGAGTGGCCCAGAGTAGCACTCATGGATTGCTGATCTCTTATATTTATACCTAGTCTTAATTTTATGCTAATTATGGAGTGGGTTATTCATGAGCTTTCTGGAAAAAGGGTGGGGAGTTCCCAAGCCATGTAACACAACTTCTGGGTTATTGCCATGGCCTCATTTGTAAGCTGTCATGGTGCTGGTAGGAGTGCCTTATGCAAATATATTATAATTAGCATATAATGAGCAGTGAGGACAACTCGAGGTTTTTTTTCATCACCATCTTGGTCCTAGCTGATTTTGGCTGGTTTCTTTGTTATATCTTGTTTCTATCCACAGGGTCATGACAGAGGCTCAGTAAACAAGTCCTGCTTATCTCCTGCCTCAAAAACACCAACAGCTGTTTCTTTTTTTAAAAAGATTATTACTTTTAACTTTTATTGTTATTTTTAATTGACACATAATCATTGTACATATTTATGGGGTATCCAGTAGCTGTTTCCACGGGTCTGATTTGCCCTACTATTCCTCAAGCTGCAATAGGCTGTGCCAGCTGCTGGGGAATTCATGGAGGAAAAACGGCCACAATGTTGCCTGCAAACCCTCCCATGAAGCCCCACTTGCCATTTCTCTCTTTCTCTCTCAGGGCCTTAAATCCTCCTGCTGCATTCACACTTTTCCTCCCTTTTCCTCTGGCTCAGCAGATCTAGTCCCATGGCTCCTGCCCTCCTAAGCCTGGGCTGCTTCTCAGAGTTGATTATTCTGAGCTCTCTGAGTCCCCTGAAGAATCCCGTTAATTACAAGGCACCCTGTTGCTCTAGATATTTGGAGCAGGGTGGATAATGGAAGTAGTGTTTTAGCTGAAAGCCAAACAAGAATTTCAGACATGCTTGATCTTTGGGGGTGGCCAGGAAAAGGGTCTCACTCCTTCACTGCCATTCTCCTCCTGTGTTCTCCTTTCTTGTCTTCCCCCCTCAATTCTCCCTCTCTCTCCTACATTTTTCTTCTCTCTCATTTACTTCTCTCTCAGCAAGTACCCATGGCTGTGTTGTGAATTCTCACCATGTTAGATAGAGGGGAAAAAAAAAAGCAAGCTCTGCCTTCCAAAAAAACCCAGCTTTCCAATGACAATGCCCTGACACCTTTGTCTTTGGGCATTACTGGCTCCTGGGGGCACAAAGATGTCTAGGTTGTGAGGGCCTCCTTGAGGGGCTTATGTCCTGGGAGGGAGGTCACCATGAACACACGTGAAACAGTAGGGTGGTGGGCACTGGAACAGATGTGAGTACGAGACTGCTGTGGGAGCGCTTCTCAAACTCTCTCCTGCTGTGTCTGGGAGACTGTGCTGCCAGCAGCCAGCTTCTGCATGACTGACGATGCCCTGCCCTTATGCCAGGGTGCCCTTGGGGGCTCCTTGTCTTCACCATTGCCTCACATTTGCCAAGGAGAAGTCACACAGGAAGAGAAACACTGGCTCAAGGTGCTGCCAATATTTCTCCCTCACTTTAATATGATTTTAATTATGTGTTTTGAATAAAGAAGACGGGAAATGACCCAGGTAGAGCTAGCTCTGTGGGTGGGCAGTGTGAGTAAAAATAGCCAGAGTTTCTACTTATTGGGCACCTACTATGTTCACTGCACTTGGCTGCATTAACTTTTCAGGACTGGCTGACAGCAGAGCCTGGCCTCCATTCATTGCTTAGTGTTGTGCCAACAAATTGTTTACTTAAGAGAGGAATATAAATATTGAAACGTTGGGGTGCCATTTAGTATACTGCTCAGGCATTTTGGAAGAATTAATTTGTCTTCCACATCACCCTCAACCAACCCCACACCAAAGTGTTGACTCAGCCGTTCTGAAGCCCGGATTCCCAGCTGCAAAATCCCCAGTTAAATTTCTAGACAAAATAACTTTGTCCCAGACCGAACACCCGCTGCTTTCTTATTGCAGGATTTCTCATCACTGACTCAATCGATATGTTTGTTTCTTCAATAGTATTAAAAAGAGTTCATGTCTTTGCTCTGGGGACTGAAATCTCTCTATTTAATTGTAGGCAGCCTATCTTTTTAATAAGAGAAAGGGAGAGGCAACACAAATGTTTTTCGTTGCTTCGGCACAGTGCTGGGGAAATTATAGATTTGATTTGGCATTTGTGTAGAGGTCCCAGGTTTGGGGTTTCCAAAGTCTTCACAGGCACTGGAATAGATCCAAGGTGCCCAGCGTCCGCTGGGTGTAGTTGGGTTCTTTTTGAGAAGTCATTTACCTTTTCCCAGCCCCAGGGCTCTGTGGCACTAGAGTGATAATAACTTACTAAGCACCCCAGTCTATAAGGCTAATGCTCCTTCCCCAAGGTGTTTAATTTACACTGGGAGTAGTTTATTCATGGGCAGGATCTGGTCCATTAACTCCTGTTTTGCCAAATTAGAAAAGAAATCCACTGAGAGATTAAATGACTTTCCCAGGTCAGAGAAAGAAAGAGCTGGATCAGCACACACTTCTCTTGTGGGTGGCTTGGCTGGGTGGCTCAATGTCATCTCCTGCCCTCTGTGTCAGTCTGCTGAGGGCAACTGGCTTATTCTCTTGCCTTCAAAAAGAAGGAATGTACCTCTCATGAGCATCCAATAGGGATGAGAATTTTTCCTATTTTTAGGACCTGCCCAAACATGATTTCAGAGTCTCCTTCAATAATGTGGGCTAGAGGGCCAACGTATCAACCCAGAAGGGAATATAGTACACTAAATAAGAATAATCCCCCCTAAGCTCCAGAAGGTAGATGTAGAACATAATTTAATGCCTCAACATCTCTGTGACCTTGTGGTCTGCTTAAGGGGTATTGGGAGGATATGATGGGGTCCTAAGGGGCTATGTTCTAAAGCAATCTTCTCCCTGAGTTTAGCTGACTCCCCGCTCTTTCTTTCGCCCCATGTGTGCTAACATGTAGAAACAAGTATTCCATGAAAATGAGTTATGTGATCAAATTTGTTAGGAAAACTGCTGCTAAAATTAAAAGATTCCTCTGCCTACTCCTCAGAGCCTTCAACAGTCTAATGGGCATTGTGATTTTCAAAAGAAGGGATAGAGTAAAAAAAATGTATTTAATACACTTCTCTCAAGGGAATCTTTACTGTATTTCTACAAACCCATTTCAGAAAACACTGCAATAGTTACAAATAAGACACATCTCTTCTCCTTTGCTCCAATCATAACACACAAAGGAAGATGTGATAGTTCCTTTGGCCAAAGCTCCCTGTATATTTGAAGATAGTGCCATGTGCTGCAGGGAAGTACTGAGAAAGACAAGAACTGAGTACAAAAATGGCATGCATCATGATTATTTTATTCTTTCATTTTAGAAACAAGGAACTCAAGATATTATCCATGATTCTTCCTTTAATATATCTGTGTTTGAACCCAACTGTATCCCAAAACCAAAATTCCTTCTATCTGAGACCTGGGTTCCTCTCAGTGTTATTCTTTTGATATTAGTGATGCTGGGACTGTTGTCCTCTATCCTTATGCAACTTAAAATCCTGGTGTCAGCATCTTTCTACCCCAGCGTGGAGAGGAAGCGCATCCAATATCTGCATGCAAAGCTGCTTAAAAAAAGATCAAAGCAGCCGCTGGGAGAAGTCAAAAGACGGCTGAGTCTCTATCTTACAAAGGTAAGGCCAAGATGGTGGTGTAACCTCCAATTGAGGAAGTGTTGAGTTTGGAGGGAAATGGGAAAGGGGACTTCGAAGCATTTAATGCTTCAACTTCACATCAGGGCTTGTACCCCAGCAGTAGATAGGACATTGAGGAAAAATGAACAAACGTACGTGGCTAGGACTCTTAACTCTGTGATTTGAATGCTGATCCAAAGGATACTACAAGATATCTTAAAATATTGGTTTCAAGAAAGTATGTTCAGTCATTGTAGAGAGGCGACTGGAGAGGTCCTTAGTGTTGACTAGTAAAGGACAAAGCACAGTAAGATATGCTTTCCTAGGTAAAGAAAAAACAGACAGGGAAATGTCTACTATAGCTTTGTAAATGCCAAAGAATTTGTTCATTTTCCAGTGTGTGTTTGTGTGTGTATATATAGAGAGAGGATATACAAAAATATAATATATACACAAATATATAAATAAAAACATGACTCATACATAAAATGGACATATATCAAAAATTTTACGTAATTTAATACATATTTATTAATGAGGGAATGGTAAGAAAAATTAGAACCAAAGAATAATTCAAAGAACACACATATATATAGGCCATCAGGAATACCAAACGAATTTGCTTAATAGATGCAAAACTGTCTTTTTCTTTAAGGGTGGATGGGAGGGGTCAGTTGTATGCTACTGGACGGAGATCATGTGCATGTCATGGACAAGAATCACTCACATTGTTTCTATCAGCCATCTGCAACTTACAGAATTGGGAAATAGCCCATAGACAATGGAAGACCAACATAACCCACAAAAATAAGCTTGTCTATTTCAGTCTTTTGCTGTTTTTCCCAACATCTTTAACCCCACAATGAAAAATTGATGTCAGAGGCATTTAAAATGACTCCAACTCCAATGCCCATTTATCCACTTTTCTGTCTCTTCAGATTCATTTCTGGCTTCCAGTCCTGAAAATGATTAGGAAGAAGCAAATGGACATGGCAAGTGCAGACAAGTCATGAGAGACCCCGACTACTCCTCAGCCACATCGCACCAACAATTCTCTTCAGGTCTAGGATGGCAGTCACTATTCATGCCGGATAATAGAGAACTATGTGACGCAGTCCTCTCAGGAGTCTGAGTTTACAGAGCCAACTTGCAGCACCTGGTTATGCCTCCTTTCATCTCAAAGCCAAAGAGCTGCCAGGTAAATGGTTATGTGGTCTATGTTCCAAACAAACCACATGATCTTGCCTGTGTCACAATGTAACAAGACTCTAGCTGGGTCCCCTGGTGATGAGTTTCAGCATAGAATAATGTTCAAGGAAAAGAAAACGAAAACAGTTTAAATCTCTACCACAGCCTCACAAGCAAATGCTAAGGGGAACATACATGTAAAAAGCCAGCAAACTATCTTCAAACTCTTCCGTCCTTAATGTCTTCCATGGCTATTGCCCCCACAATGGTCTCTTTTCTCCCTGCTCCCTTATTAAAGAACTCTTTCTGAAACCCAGTCCTAGCAGCTCCTTGTTTCTTCTTACCACCGCCTGCACTTCTGCCCTCTACCTGCCTCTATTTTGTTTTCTCCTCTTTTAGCAAATCCCCTGGCTGGTATTTATGACAGGGTGGCCTACGGACCATGTGCATTAAAATTATATACAATTCTTGTTAAAATATATATTTGGGCCCCTTTTCTTCTTTAACTATACTCCAAATCAATTTTATTTTTATTATTTTATTATTTTTTTTTTTTGGAGATGGAGTCTCACTCTGTCACCCAGGCTGGAGTGCAATGGTGTGATCTTGGCTCACTGCAATCTTCGCCTCTCAGGTTCAAGCAATTCTCCTGCCTCAGCCTCCCAAGTAGCTGAGATTACAGACGCCTGCCACCACGCCCAGCTTATATATATATATATATGTATTTGTGTTTTTAGTAGAGATGGAGTTTCACCATGTTGGCCAGGCTAGTCTTAAACTCCTGATCTCAGGTGATCCACCTGCCTTGGCCTCCCAAAATGCTGGGATTACAGGCGTGAGCTACCATGCCCAGCCCCCATATCACTTTTAACGAGTCACAGGACACACTGTCTTTATCTGTTAGGCAGGTTTGCCCTCAGTCTGAAGTGCTCTTCCATGTTGGAAGGACAGACTGGAAAGCAGTGCTGTCACCAAAGGCAATTTTGATCTTGAAAACAGGATTTAGACTAGCTCATTAGGGTCCATTTCACTTGGATGGGAAATGCTTATTTAATTGCAGCTTATTCACTTTGATTTAAATGAATGTTAAGTTAAATTTCTTGAGAAATCCATTGTGAAATGTGCTCTGTTAATCTTACAGAGGCAGAAAGGTACTGCCCAAGGCAATTTCATAGAGCACCCTTTTTTCACCTCTAATTGTAATGGCCTATAAAAGTATATTGCATTATCCCCTAAATCACCATTTCTCATCTCACAAATCTCTGTCTGGTGCCATATTTTGTTAGGAGCTGTCAAGTGTCTTTCTGATGTGCTTACTAACTCTGTTGTCAGTTGAGTTTCTCTTTGACAGCAAGACATGGGAATTCTAAACACCTTCATGAGAACAGGTCTCTCTTATTGTTCTACCTGGGATAAAAAAAATGTTATCTTTCCTCTTCTCAGATTCTGTATCTACTACTTTGTCTGTTGGGACCTAATCAATCATAATTATAATATGGGATATGTTGAAGTCCTCACATGTCACATATTTTTGTCTTAATTTACTTAAGAGAAAGAAGTACACATATCTCACCCCAGGAAAGTAAGAACTAGCTTTCTCAGCCAAACTCAATAATAGTGATTCCCAAAAAGTAGTAAAGACTACTGAAGTCAATTGGTGAGATTATAGTATGGAAGAGAGGAACTGGCTGAAAAAATGAGTGTGGGTTGAATGTAGCTAAAGAATCTCTGAAATCTCTGCCATCTCCTTAATATGTTTTTAAAATGTGTTTTTTAAATATGTCTATATTTAAAAGCCTGTATTATATTAGGCTAATATAACCCCCACACAGAGGGGAGGAAAATTTTAAATTAACAGGTGGCTGAGGCTTTTCCAAGTTTTCCCAGCTCAAAACCCCTTTTGGTTTCAATCCATCGTGATTGCAGTGACATTGTTAAAAGCAGGAAAGAAAAGGAGGTGAGTAACTGGGTAGTGGGGAAAATGTATGACCTTTTATGATCTCAATTCTGAGTGTCCATGAACTTTACTTTTGTACTCAGGGAGCAGAAGAAATCAGAATTGAATTTGTCATTGGAGCACTCTGTGAAATGCAAATAGAAAGCAAAAAAGGCAATGACAGAGATAAAAGCATAACAAGCCACATTCACTGCAATTAAGGCAGAAGGTGTTTGCACCACTTTCCTGGATGCTGAGAAAATACATTGTGATGAAGGAAGTGCCCCTACCCCTGCACTCAGCCTCATTTGACAAAGACAGAGAAGAGCACGCACACTGACCAAAGCGTAGGGCTCAGGTGGTGGACAGGTTTAGAGGACTTAGAGGAGGACCAGGAAAGACTGAGACAAAGACGCAGGGCCTTGCCTGCTCACTGGTTCTCTAGGGTAATGGTTCCCAAAGCTGGCTGATCATCAGAACCATCTCCAGAGGTTAAACAATAAAATAAAATTACAGACGCCCAAACCTAAACTCAGATATACTGACTTAGGTAGGTGGCGGGAAGGTCCTGGAAATCTGCACCCTAAGGAACTTCATGGGTGATGCAGATGATTAGGTCTGTTTGTTAACCACTGGTTTAGAGAATTGTGGCAAGCCTTGGAGAGGGGGGATTGCTGATTAAATAAAAACACATTACATGTTATCTATGTAATTATCTGTGTGAACATACATACAGGACTTTGATTCTACCTGTTGCTGAGCCATTAAGTTTCTCCAATAATGCAAAATGCAAATTTCTTGTCAAGAAATGTATTGTTCTCATCATCTGCAGTCCAACTCACTTACTTGTATAAACAAGCACCCAAACAAAAACATAACCCATGGCAACACCATGAATTATATAATGTTAACCTATAGTTACTTGCTTTTTAAATATTATTTCGTACCAAATATTATTTTTTAATTAAACTATTTCAATTTGGAGGATAGTATAGCACTTTTTTAAGAAAATGAAAGGTAACCCTGACTACAACAACCACATGATATAATTGAAAGAATTATAGAATCTTCAAATGGAGAAGGCTGGATTCAAATCCTCATTCTGCTAATTGTTAGTGGCATAAACCTAGCAACTTAACTCTTACCTCTCTGAGCCTGTTTTCTTATTTACAGAATGGGGCTGAAAATATCAGTCTCCAGCATCTTTTTGAGAACTTAATGAGATGACATATATAAAGCCTCTATTATCCTGTCTCAGATAAATAAATGTTAGCAATGTTAGTTCTTTTCTTCCTCTTTCTTCTTTCCCATAATTCTCTACCCAACTGCACTTTCTTCAACTTTTGACAATAGGGTCTGATACAAAAAGAGTAAAAAAAAAAAAAAAAAAAAAAAAAAAAGAGAATTTCAGTCAAGCTTGATATACAACAAGGGTTGGCGAACTTTTTCTGTGAAGGGCCAGACGTTAGAGCGACTCTGATGCAACTACTCAATTCTGCCACTGTAGCGAGAAAACAACCATAGACAATAAGTAGACAAATGAACATGGCTGTGTTCCAATAAAACTTTATTTGCACAAACAAGTGGCAAGCTGGACATGGCCTGTGGCTGTTTGCCAACACCTGATAATACAGAAAGGCTTTTTAGAAATACATGAGTTGGTGCAGGACATGAGTTGGTGCAGGACATGAGTTGGTGCAGGACATGATGCAATGGGGACTGAAAGTCAGAAAAAAGAAGGTTTGAAATCCCTCTTTGCCACCAACTAGCTGGATGACTTTGCAAGTCATGTCACCTCTCTGAGCTCAATTTTCTCATCTATAAAGATCAAGGGGTTTAGCTAAAGAATCTCTGAAATCTCTGCCATCTCTTTAAGCCTATGATTCTTTGGGAGACCGCAGTGTCCTGGAGAGAATCACCAATGGACTGTAACCCAAGTTTCAGCATTTGATGTGTTTGTTCTTTCACGGTTGATCAATGAATCATAAAGAAAAACAGAAGTGCTCCACTCCTAAGTATGATTTATTTGATGAAAAAGAGAAAAGATAACATTTGGTCAAAATAAATGTTATTTTCTCCACAGACACAAAGAAGCAATCAGTATGGTTATTCAATTCTAAATGTCATGTGTAATTTCATATGGCTTAAAGTCAGATTGCCATGTCAGTGGCTGAAGACCTGAAAATTGAAAGTCTTGCTTTTTTCTAAGCGAGCAGTACTCTCACTCTAAATGTGATATATTACGGAGTAAAAGAAATCAATCAAAATTGTTTTTCCAAAGGAAACCATTGTGGAAGTATGTTTGTACTGTAACAGTAAGTGTGCTATGTCTTGCAAGAGGAAATGTTAATATGTACTAGAAAATACATAATAAGTTGTTTAAAAACACATGTGATGAAAGAAAGGATACTGAATTAAAAATTGGAGGAACTGGTCTCTAATTCTGATACTGCTACCAAGTAGCTTAGCCAAAGCACTTCTCTCTGACTCAATTCAGTTATTCATAGAAAATATCATAATAGTTATTAGTAAGCCCTTACTAGATGCCACTGTTTTTAGTGAATTATTTCATTTAATCCTCACCCAAACCCCATGAGAGACGATCTGCTGCTATTGCTGTTTTGTAGATGTGAAAACTGAGGCACAAAGAGGCTAACTTGTCCACAAGTTATCTATAAAGCATTGAGAAACCTCTGTTGTCATTCCTGATTCCCTTCTCCAATAAAAAGCCTATTGCTGTGCAGGGATATCTATACAACTAGAAAATTGTTTTCCTGAAAAATCAGCATAATTCTAAACAGTCCTCACTGTTCTTTAGAGTGCAAAAAATCACGGGATCATTAATTCAGCTTACAAAATGAATGATTTCTCTGACTGCATTCTTCAACCATGAAATCCTAGACAACTTCCAGAAAGCTGTGGCCCAGAACACCCCGATCCCACTCAGAACACTATTTATAAGAATGCCCCGTATGCAGTAGTCTTTACAGTTTTTCTTTTTCTCAAATGTTCTTTAGCCTATGTAGATGACATTTATGCAATTCAGAGGAAGATGCCTCAACAGGATTAGTCAGCAGCAAAGTCCTCTGACGCAGCTTCTGTGATCTAGTTAAAAATAGGAAAGAGGATGTTTTGCATAAGTCATCACCATTGTGCGGTATTGGAGAATTGACCACTTTTTTGGTTCCCACATCCTGCTAATTTATCTAAAAATAGATGAAAACCCTGTCCCTGAATTCCTGGACAAGACCTTTTGCTTCTGTGACCTCGGGGCTCAGGCTCTTCTTGTTCTGGGCTCCTTGGTCACTTCACTTCACCCCCTGCCATTAACAATCCCAAGTGTCAGTCTTGGGCTCAGAGCTTCTGCTTTCCTTTTGCCCTCCCAGGGATTGCAAACTAGGGACTAGAGAGTTCAGGTAGATAACATGAAGCCAACAAGGTGGATGAGGGTAAACTAGACGACGCCCCTTCTTGAAAGGAGGGCGTCTCTTACTAAATCTCTGACAGCTCGACTGGCTTTTCCCAGAGCATGCAAAAATCCAGATTGGTACAGAAACTTGCCTAATCTTGAAATGTTACAAATAAATTAGAATGTTAATTTAAAAAACAGCGTGGAGGTCAAACCATAAGCTTTCAGTTTGTGATCTCTGCCCCACACCCTCTCCTATGAGGAAGTCGTGTGTTACCAGCTATAACATGAAATTCTACAAAATCTAGATAAACCCTCCCACTTTTTCCAGTTCTTGATTTCTAATTTACAAAGAGTATGGGATGATGATAAGTCCTGGGTCCTGGTTTCGCTCTGCCCTTTGCTAACTATGGAACTTTGAATGAGTTAGTTTCACCTTTGTGGGACACAGTTTCCTCATCTTTAAAAGAGGCAATTAGAGGCAATGATCTTGAGAGCTCTATCAAGCTCTATTAGCCAGTGAGTCTGACAGAGCTTCATCCTCATCTCCCCTTCCTTGCCCTTCCTGATCTCAAATTCCACACCACAATGAGTGACCCGAATATTTTCCTGATTTTCTCAGCTTAGAAGTTCGCTTTATTCGTAACTCTCTTGCTGTGTAACTCCCAACCAGTTCTGTTGCTGCAGCATCCCTTAACCCTCCTCCCCACCCCACAATGTTGGCTGTCACCGTCATTTCCTTATCAAATCACTACATTTGCTTACATCTCTACTCCAGCTTCTCCATAGCCCCTCAGCTTTGGCCCAGAAACGAAACAAAAACTAATTTAAAAGCACTTGGTTCAGAGCTTTTCCCTGGAAGAGAATTTACATGCAACATTTACAATCCCCATTGCTTATCACAGCCAATCCCCAAATTGCCTGCTGCCTTTGTAGGTCAATGGTCATCTTTAAGTCACAAGCTGGGCATGAGGGGAGGTGCTCTCAAGTGGTCCCTCATTAGGAAATCAAACATTCATACCCCATGAGGAGCTATAAGTATTTAGACACTATCTCAAATATAAGTCTCTAACGCATTATGGACAACAATGTTACCAAATGCCAGGCAAAGAAAACCTCCCTAGTACTTTTTTTTTTTCTCACAAAAGTGGAAAAAGTTTCTGTCTTTTAGAAGTAGAGAAAGTGTTATCGCCCAAAATACAAATTCCTAGTTATCTTTCGCAGGGCTGAACCTTGAAGGCAGGAAGATTCCGGAGAATTTAAACCTCTCCCCCTTATCTAGTTTTTCAGCTGGTGAATGTATTCAAGCCGATTCAAGGTGTCAGCAGTATCATGCTCCCTCCAAATTCTCCAGTGAAGAAATCTTCCCTTGTCTTTTCTGCCTTCTGTGGTTGTTCGCACTCCCCAGCATTCCCTGGTTTGTGGCAGCATAAACCAATTTCTGCTTCTGTCTTCACATGACCGCCTTCTTTCTGTGTCCAATGTTCTCGCTTCTTACAAGAATAGTTATTGGATTACAGTCCATCATCCAGTATGACCTCATTTTAATTTTATTACATCTGCAAAAAACTCTTATTTCCAAGTAAGATTATACTCATAGGTACTGGTGTGTCCGGAATTGATGGGTTCTTCGTCTCGCTGACTTCAAGAAAGAAGCCGCGGACCCTCGCGGTGACTGTTACAGTTCTTAAAGATGCTGTGTCCGCAGTTTTTTCCTTCAGATGTTCAGATGTGTCCGGAGTTTCTTCCTTCTGGTGGGTTCATAGTCTCGCTAAGTTTCTTTCTTCTGGTGGGTTCATAGTCTCACTGACTTCAGAAGTGAAACTGCAGACCTTTGCGGTGAGCGCTACCGCTCATAAAGGCAGCACAGACCCAACGAATTAGCAGCAGCAAGATTTATTGCAACGAGCTAAAAAACGAAACTTCCGCAGAATAGAAGGAGACGCAAGAGAGCTGCGTCGGCAGACTCGCGTGGCCTGCTTTTATTCCCTTATTTGGCCCCAATCCACATCCTACTGATTGGTCCATTTTATAGAGAGCCGATTGGTCCATTTTACAGAGAGCTGATTGGTCTGTTTTACAGAGAGCTGATTGGTCTGTTTTGACAGAGTGCTGATTGGTGTGTTTACAAACCTCTAGCTAGACACAGAGTGCTGATTGGTGCATTTACAATCCTTTAGCTAGACAGAAAAGTTCTCCAAGTCCCCACCAGACCCAGAAGCCCAGCAGCTTCACCTCTCAGTGGCACTCCTGGCGGGATTTTGTGGCACCCAACCCAGGCACTCCAGCAGCCCAGAGGGAGCTCATCCCCTGATCAAGCACAGCAGGGCTTGCGGAACCCCCGTCCACCTGGAACCCACGCTGGCCGAGAGCGCCCAGGTGATGTTCAGGACCTAAACAGAAGACCTCAGCAATACATTGAACTGAGCCACCAGAAGCCATATATAGAGAGATACCAAACGTGGGAATCAATACGGTGTTTTATCGGAAGGCAGAGAATGATGGTTAAGGACCTTAGGTGAGGAATAGGATCAGCTGCTGCACCGAGGGAATCTCTATCCACACCGGCTGTGAGTAGTGTATGTGTGGCAGACAGTTCTAGAAGAGGTGAAAATTCACCTTGAAAAGAAAAGGTGAGGTGATCCTCAACCAGTATTAGTGGGCCCCACCAGAGTATTTCTTAAAAGTCTTACAAGTTTTAGCCTGGGGGTGGTGGCTCACACCTGCAATCCCAACACTTACAGAGGCCAAGACGAGAGGATTGCTTGAGTTCAGGAGTTCAAGACCAACCTGGGCGACATAGTGAAACCTCATCTTTACAAAAACTAAAACAAGACGTAACAAAATTTGCCAGGTGTGGTGGCACACGCCTGTAGTCCTAGCTACTCAGGAGGCTCAGATGGGAAGATCACTTGAGCCCTGCAGGTTGAGGCTGCATTGAACTGATATTGTGCCCCTGCACCCTAGGCTGGGAGACAGAGCAAGACCCTGTCTCAAAAAACAAAAACAAAACAAAGTCTTACAAGTTTACAGTTGAAGAAGAGACCATGGTTAAAAAAAAATACACTATATGAATAGAGAATGGCTCAGCAAGATCCATCCTCACTCATTAAAGGGGTGCAAACCACGTTAGGGCCTTGGAAAACACAAATAGACCAGTCTAATAGAAATGGCAAGGTAAAACAAAATTAAGTGTTCACTGTGACTATTATTCCTATATTTGCTTGCGATGATGTTCAGGTCTTCTTCAGTCTTGACGGTGAGACTACCAGCAGCCTGATGATGGCAGTGACCAGGAGTGGACAGGGTCTACTGAGGTGGGTGAAAGTTTGAGAGCCAGACATTATTTTTGGAACCAAATGCTTCTCCTAGAGACTCTTTTGAGGGCTGGCTTTCAATATGTGAGAAGAAAACAGTTTTGAAAAGAGTCAATGAAAATGGCTGACAAGAATTGTTTCTTGGCAAGGAAGTTGTGAAGAAATTTTATATTTCTAGTTTAAAATGAGTTTAAATGCATTTTCAAAGTTAATTTCTGAGAAGACAATGTTCCCTTAATTTAAGAGATTCTGTATCAAGACTAGATGTAAATACGGCTGGGGATTGCCATGGTTAGAAATTTGAATAAAGTACAGCAGTGCCTGGGAACTAGAGGCCAATTGAGAACAGCATAATGTAGAAGTGAGTTGCCAGGGAAACGAGCCTCCAAGTGAGACACGACCATCCTGCGGGCGGACACCATATACAGAGATGGGAGGGGGACCAGGAACATGCTAGACGGCCAGGAGTCCTCAGGAGGGACAATAAGACAGCCTGCCCATTAGCTGTCTGCCACCAGAAAGAAAGCCAACGGCTTCCAAAGCCACCAAAAAGGGGAATACAATTCAGGGCTTCTTGGGCATTTTCAATCTGACCATATTCATTTGTCATTCATATGTTGGTTTACTCCAAAGAACAGTGACTGAATGCCTTTTGTGTGCCAGGCATAGGTGTAGGGCTAGGGACTAAGGAGGCACAGTAGCTCGCTGTCGCTGGTTGCTCTCTGGAAGAGCAAGACGTAAACACAGCCACTGGCTCACTCCTGGGAATTGGGCCTCCTTTTGCCCTGAAGCTCTGGTCCTGTTCCAGGGGGCCTGCCAGGTCTCCTTCCTGGCTGAGGGGCACCCTGACCACTGTGCCCAGGATTCCAGTCCTTCAGAACTGATTTTCTTGGGCTCCACCTCATCCCCATGGCAGTTGCAGCACCTGCGATCAGCCTCCTCTGTGCTCCCCGACCTCCTCTGACGCCTCCTGCTGGGCTTTCTCAGAACTTGCCTGGAATGTCCATTTCACCATCTTGGTCTTCCCAACCCTGTGTGTCTTCCCTATCGGTTCTCATGCTCAGTCCTAGCCTTGACTTTGGCATCTTGCTCCTGGCTCTGGCTTTTGCATGTGACCTTCAATATGGATGGGATAGTGACTCATGGAAAATGCTCACATCAAAGCTGTTATCCTAACCCCGTTCCTCTGCACATCAGTGAACATAACCTCCAGCTTCCTCCCGTGGGACCCGGCAACACCTCCTCCTGTTAAGTCGCCAGGGATAAACTTCCGGTTCAGGTCCTCATTATTTTCTTCATTCCTTAGCACCCTCTCCTCAACAGTGGCCTTCTGTTATTACTGTGATCTCACCAATCTATTTTAAAACCTCCTGTTGCCTTTACAATCTCGCTCATGCTGCATCTTTCACTACAAACCAACTTTCCTTCCAGAGCAACGGACACTGAGCTAGATGTTCATATTGTGATCACACTGTAGTTGGATTACTTTATTGTTCACCAACTTCCTCTCTTATGGTCCTTTTAACAATGCAGTAAAGTAAGCAAGGCAGGTATTATCACCTCCAGTTCACTGATCAATAAGTGAGGTTCAGAGAAGTTAAGTGACTTTGTCCAGGTCACATGCTGAGAAGTGATGAAACCTGTCTTCTCATTCTAAGTTGGCGCCTTGTCCCTGTCACGTGTCATGTGGCACTTGAGGCTCTGCCTTTTGTGGCACTGAGTCTGTGCCCACACTATGCTCCACTCTTGTTCTAAGACTTCTTCCTGCTTGGTATGAAGCCAGCATCCTCCAAAGAATTTAAATAAACAGAAACACCAACTCATGCCTGCTTTTTCCCATTTCCTGTTAGACCCAGTGGCATAACCACATTGTCTAAGGCCCTCCAGCTAAGATGCAGGATGCTCCATTTTTTCCTTTTTGCCTACAAACGAAACAACGAGAAAATCCTGGGAGGCTCTCCCTATCTCAGGAGCTCCCTTGAAATCCCAGCCCTGCCTGCCTAGCACTCCTCCTGCACTCCGAGAAGCCTCTCCCTGGCACGTTTTTATTATAAGCGCCCCGAGGGCTGTGTCCACATCTCCTTAATGTTCTGGAAGCTTCGCCCGCTCTCCGCAGACCAGTGCAGGGCGGTACATATTGATTGGTGCGGGCGTGCTTGTTCTATTGGGAAGGAGAAAGCAAGCCTTCTTGCAACAAGAAATCCCAAGACAAGAGAATTATTTACAGTGAAATTGGCCCCAAAGTGTAAAGCGACTCAGAGGATTGTAAACCACTTAAGAAAAGGAAACAGAACTTGGGGAGGCGGTGGCGGCGAGAGTAAACAACTCCCAGGGGGCCCGTCTGCAGCGCCTAGGGGAGGGGAGAGGCCGGGAGCCGCCTCCGGGGGTCTCGCGGGGCCGCCGCTGGGACAGATGAGTCGGAGACAGGCCAAGCCGGAACCTCGCTGGGTAAGGAACAGGACCGGAGCGCGCTCCGGGTGGGAGAGGCTTGCGCTCCTGCAGCCCCTTCCCAGGGCCTGCGCTGACTCATGGCGCGCACTGGAGCCCCTGCAGTCGCCGTCATTTACCAGCTGGCGCCCCGTCCCGCTCTGCGCGGGTCGCGTTGCTTGCAGTCTCATCCTCTCCTGGCCCACACACTTCTGACGACGCTCCTGTTTTCCAGCGAGGAACCTGCGGTCCGGAGTGCAGAGGTCCTTCGGCCCTGGCCTCCCAGCCGCTAAACGCTGCTTGTTGGACTCCCAAACGCTGTAAAAATGGGACTCTCTTACCTCTTTCTGGCATTTGATAGTTTTCAAAGCGATCTGTGCCTCACAATAACCTTGTGAGGAAGACTCCGTGAATGCTACCACCTCCAGTTAAAGGAATGGAAGCTTAGAGAGTTTGAGTGACTTCCCAAGGCCACCCAGCTTAGAAAGGGAGCAGAGACGGGCGTAGAGAGAGTCCCTTGGACGCCGTTCTCAGGAGCCCAGTCAAGGCAGATCTGACACTGTGGTCACATCTCATGACCGTAAGCAACGTCGCCTTTTGGAGGTCGCTTCCCACAGAGTTTGATTCTTGGAGAGTGGGCAGAGGATGGAAGTAGAAGACCTCAGAAGCAGTAAGGATGGAGCACGCAGGGTGCCTTGCCAGGCAGAGAGGTGACCCACAGGTTCTCCTTGAATTAAGAAATTGCTTTGATCAGGGAAATGCTCAGTTATAGAACTTAGGGAAACAAAGCGGTTTCCTAATACAGTTCTGGTTCTCACAGTAGAGGACTGCTGATTTCTAATGTGACTTTTTCACAGACCCTCCCTGATCATCTGGAAGGACTTGGTTCTTTACCTCTGGGAAGAAGACTGAGGGGCATCGCAGGTGGGCTCCTTAAACCTTTTACTGCCATTCGGAGACATTTGCCTTTCAACTCCCCTCTCTCCAACTTTTCTTTAAACTTTTCAACCACCTAAACTCCCAAATGCCTCACTTATATTCACCAATTTATTTTAAAATGGTTATGTGAAGCCTACTTCCTTTTTCTAGTTTTTTAAAAATTGTGGTAAAATACATATAAAATTTACTATTGTAACCACGGTAGTTTTAGAATGTACATTTCAGTGGCTTTTAGTACATTCACTGTGTTGTACAACCTTCGCTACTCTCTAATTTCAGAATATTTGTCACCCCCGAAAGAAATCCTGTACCCATTGAGCAGTCACTCCCCATTTCTCCCTTGCTGCGGCCCCTGGAAACACTAATCTGCTTTCTGTCTCCACATATTTGCCTGTTTTGGATATTTCATGTAAATGAACTCATGTATGTGGCCTTTTGTGTCTGGCTTCTTTTACTTAATGTAATGTTTCCAAGGCTCTTCCATGTTGTAGCACGCATCAGTACTTCATTCCTTATTTAATAGCTGAATAATATTTCACTGCATGGATATACCACATTTTGTTTATCTAGCTGACAGTTGATAGACATTTTTTGTTGTCTCCCCATTTTAGCTATTATGAATAATCTGCTATGAATATTCGTGTATGGATTTTTGTTTCAATGCCTGTTTTCAGTTCTTTTGGGAATGTCCCTAGGACTGGAATTGCTGGGTCACATGGCAGTTCTGTTACACTGATTGAGGAAGCACCCAACTGACTTCCACTGCTGTGCCTGTTCTTTGTCTGGCATCACCTCACGCACTGGGATGCAATGATGAGTAAGACATAGTCTCTGCCTGGTTGAATTCATAGCCCAGCTGGAGAGACTGGCATGTGGTAGGGGCAATTACAGGAGTGTGTAACTGTTGACTTTGTTTGCTCAAACCCAACCCTTTAAGAGGCTCTCTCAAGGCAAGGACTCTGACGGTAACAGTGCTATGGGATATTAGAACTCCAGTCTCTTGCAGAATATCAGTGGCCACTGGTCCTCAGAATATGTACCATGTCCCATAGAAGCTGAGGAAAGACTGTGACACAGTCAAGAATTGCTTTGGGGCTTGGAGTAGGCATAGAAACAGGGAACAAAAGGTAGTGCCATTGATTTATTACAAAGCATACTTGTAGGCAGAAGAGAGGAAGGCACTAGGAATAGTCATTGTTAACAGGTACTGGGGGCTTATCAAGTGTCAGATGCTGTTCAGAATACTTTCATTTAAGCCTCGTGAGAATCCAGTGAGGTAGACAAAATATCAGCATTTTAGAGGTAATGACATGGAGCCACAGGGTTTCAGTGGCTTGCTCCAGATCACACAGGGTGGGGCTGTGTGATTGGCTGGAGGGTTAGCAATCTCTGACCATTTACTTCTGGTCAACCAGGTGAGTGGGGAGAAGGTAGTGGAGTTGAGAGAAGCGAATGGGGTGGTTGGTGAGAGGATTGAACTGACGTAACTGGGGTACTCACAGGTTCAAGAGTTTCAATTATTATCCTAGATTGGACTGTTGTTTTGTGGTCATTAGACTGAAATTGATTTTTAAATGCCAGAATATTATCTTGCCACCTAAGCATGATCATCAGAGCTGTGGGATCTGGCCAAGATTTAACCTGAGAGAAAGAGAGAGGGCAGGGGAGAGGGGAAAGAATGAATGCACAGAATAAGTTTGAAGGGACCATAGGAGAAAGTTAAATAGAATAAAGTTACTTTATGACTGTCAAGCCCTGCTCATGCACAAAGGGGTGATTTACATTCTGGGAGCCTCGCACATAACCAGGAAGAATGAAAGAGTCAGCAAACATTTGCTGAGCAATTGAATGAATGATGTGCACAGTACTCAAAGGTGCAGGTGCATCTCAGGGAAGAGACACGGTGCCAGAACTTGACACTGCTTGACATTTTAAATTGTATTTAGTTATTTGTACTTGCCTCATTTCAGAAAGATTGGAAGAAGTGCCGTCTCACATCATCTTCACTTCATTGCTCGGTGTTGTATTTCTAGATTACAAAACTGGAGCACATTCAGTGGCAAAATTCATGGGATTATATTAAGGGCCTGGTAAACTGGGAACTTTTACATTAATCACATCTGCAGAATTAGGTGCCCCTGCTCAGAAACTGCAGTTTCCAGTCAAGAAGAATTAGCTTTCATATCTCGTTACTTAATAAATTAAAAGTTTTCCCCACTTGAGGTGTTGAATCTTATGATTATCTATAGGGCTGCTATTTTCAGGTGACTTACTAACTGTGACTTCAGGAAATAAGCTGCCTCGTAGAAATAATGAGAGTTGATTTCTATGAGCACCTTCTGTGTGCTGCTGCTGTGCTGGGTGAATTGTTTACACTATCTTATTTAATCTTGAGGTGGATACTATGATGATTCCAGCTTATAGGTAAAGGAAATGGAAGCGTATTCTATTTGGAGAAGACTCACAAATTTAATCTTGGACTCAGCTTTCTCCTCTCTGTGTTCAACACCTTATTTGATCTCTCTGCTTGGATATCTCACAGGCATCTCAAATATAATGTGTCCAAAATCCAGCCTCTGATCTGTCTCCCGAATCTGGTCTTGTTTTCTTTGGGAATGGCAGTAACATCTATCCAGTTTCAAAAGCCAGAAAAAGAGGAGTCATCTTTGGTTCCCTTTTCTTGCTGACCCAGTACTTTACAGTTTTTTTTGGTCAATTTAACCAATGAAATATTCCTAAAATGTCCCACTTTTCATCTCTACCACCACCACTACCACCACCCTTGTGCAAATTATCACCATCTCTGGCTTAGACACCTGCAACGGCCTCCTTTCTGGCCTGTAGGTCTCCATTCTGGTCCTCTCCAATTCATCCTTTGTGCTATAGCTCCAGTGATCCTTACGGAATGCTGTTCTGATCAGATCAGAACTCTGCCTAAGACCCTTCAAAGGCTTCGTATTGCTCTTAGGATGAAGAAAAACTGTCCTGGTTCCTCTAGGATCATCTCTGTCTTTCTCAGGCTTTCTCAGTCTCTCTCTTTCTCAGTGTTAATCTCTCTCTCTCTCTCTCTCATCTTTCTCTTTCATTTTCTCCCATACTTTAGCCTTCATTTCTTACTTACCCTTCTAGGTCCTCACCCTCCCCAGCCCCAGCTGCACACATGGCTTTCTGCAGGAAGACTTTCCTTCCCTCCTTTGCCTGGTTATCTCCTACTCATTCATCAGGTCTCAGCTCTTACATCACTTCCTCAGGGAAGCCCTCCCTGACCACTCCCCAAATCACCAAATCTTCTTTCTAGTTCTTGTTTCACCGTATCCCCTTCTTTGTAGCACTACAGTTATATATTTAGGCTGGCTTGTGATCAGTGTCTGTTTTTCCCAGGAGAGCAGAAACAATGTTTTGTTTTGTTTTTTTTTTTTAATTCACAATTTTATCACTGGTGCCAATACTTGGCACATAATATATACTCAATAAATATTAGTTGTCTAAGGGCAAGGGCTAGCAGTGAATAGGGGAGCGAGGAGGGGAGCTCAGTGTCATATATCTTCTGAGCCTCCCTTTCCTCATCTGTGATATGAAACTAAATGGCCTTCCTATCACTAAATTTCTATCATGCTCTTATTTCTCATCTGAATAAAATTTAAGTCTGAACTATGTTTGGATATAATGAAGACTTCATCCAGCAAAAAACTCTCTCTCTCTGTCTATTATAATACTAGTTTTGAGAAATGAACACTTTCAGTTCAAGTTTGGTTTTTGTGAAAACAAAGTTCCAAAACATTTACAACTTTAGAAGAGTTTGTTGCAGCAGTGTTTTATTCCAATGATTGTTGACATCTCATTCACCAGTAATTAACTCAAATAATATATCTGGGGAGACAGAAAGTCTTATTGTTTAATAGGCTCATGAGAAAACTGGAAAAGAAAACAGCAAGGTCTATTTCTCAAGCGGTTTCGTAAATTACCTGAGGAACAAGATTGCGCTTCAGTGCACCTCAATGGTTAAAGTAAGAAATCACTCTTTTTTTTTCGAGACAGAGTCTCGCTTTGCTGCCCAGGCTGGAGTGCAGTGGTGTGATCGTGGCTCACTGCAACTTCTGCCCCACAATCAGGTTCAAGTGATCCTCCCACCTCAGCCTCCTAAGTAGCTGGGATTACAGGCTCTCAGCACAACATCCAGCTAATTTTTGTATTTTTAGTAGAGATGGGGTTTTGCCATGTTGGCCAGGCTGGTCTCAAACTCCTGGCCTCAAGTGATTCACCTGCCTCAGCCTCTCAAAGTGCTGGAATTACAGGCGTGAGCCACTGTGCCCAGCCAGAAATCACTCTTTTTAAGTCAGTGTATTAGTCTGTTCTCATGCTGCTAATAAAGACATACCTGAGACTGGGTTATTTATAAAGGAAAGAGGTTTAATTGATTCACAGTTCTGCAGGGCTGGGGAGGCCTCAAAAGACTTAACAATCGTGGTGGAGGGAGAAACAATCACGTACTTTTTCACATGGTGACAGCAAGGAGAAGTGCTGAGCAAAAGGGGAGAAAGCCCCTTATAAGACCATCAGATTTCGTGAGAACTCACTCACTGTCATAAGAACAGCATGAGGGTAACTTCCCCCATGATTCAGTTACCTCCCACCACACGTGGGGATTATGGGAACTACAATCCAAGATGAGATTTGGTGGGGACACAGCAAAACCATGTCAATCAGGAAACCCACAAAAGTAAACAGGAGGACAATAGTCTATCGCTATTGACTGAAGGGTTTGTCTTTCAGTTTTAGTTTTGTAATTGTACTATTGAGCAGCAGTAGCCATCAGCTGTGACTCAGAGGAGACTAGAAGTTTCTAAGATGACATCAGATGGTTTCGTCCTGCTTTGATGTAGAGCAGTAAGGCAGTCAAGCTCAAAGAAATAATAGTAGCTATCATTGATTGAGGGCTTACTTTGTGCTCAGGGCAATGTTAATCGCTTATGTCTTAGTTAATTCTCTCCCAAACTCAGGGAGTAGGTATTATTATTCCCCCATTTCACAGATGAGACCCGTGAGGCTAAGCAAATGTAAGTAATTTGTCTAAGTTACATAAGTGGCAAGTGTCAGAGGGAAGTTTTGAACCCAGTCAGTTTGATTCTAGATTTTGTGCTTCGTATCCTTCCCTACACCACCAGCCACACCTCCTCCCATGGAGGTGAAGACAGGGAAGCTCAGAGCGGAGCTATAACTTGCACGAGCCCCACAGGCAAATGGTGCAGAGCCGGGACTAATGCCGGGTTCCTGGAGTCAAGCCCACACTGCATCATGGGAAGTGCCCCTGGCAGAGGCGCTGATGGTTATGGGATAGCCCAGGAACAGCGTGTCCTCATTGACTCTGCTTCAAGTTCAGTTTTTGGATGACTGGAGGGCTGGCGTGACCAGGCCCCCACTGGTCTGTGGCACTTTCTCAGCAGCAGAGCGACCCCCACCTGGAGAAGCAGCCCACTCAGAGGCCCTTGGCACCATGGGTCTCTCCCACCCACTGCTCGCCAGCCTCCATTTCCCACCTGTGCTCTTGTCTTTGGGTTCAAGAGGGAAAAACATCAAATTTGGATTCAATTCTCTTGAATAAGATGTTTAAAAGAAAACAAAACAACCAACCTTCAGGCTGCTCCAAGAGAGACATCCGTACCTGAATGCTAGATTTATCATAAGGAATCAAGTCTGATTCCATGATAACTGCCACTGATTTCAGAAAATCATTTCTTATGCTTTGGCTTTTTATGTATTAGTAATTGGAGAAAGTTTTTAGCAAGACTGTAGAGATGAGATGATACACTTTCACTGATACTGGCTTGGAAACTGTGTTTACTGAAATGGCTTAATATACCTTGGAAACTCCTTTCCGTGTCATCCTGTGTAGCCTGAAAACTTACAGTTAATGGATCTTTCTGTGCCTCAGTTTCACCATATATAAAGTGAGGATAATCTCAGTGCTTGCCTCATGTTGTTGTTGGAAGGATCACGTGAACTAATGTTTGCAGAGTGTTTGGGGCTCATTAGGTGAGCCCTTAATAATTGTGAGCTCCTGGTATTTTCTCCTGAGCTCTAATGATGTTCAGATTCTTTTTTCTCCCGAGCTCTAATGATGTACATCATTCAGGAGTGAGTTATTTCCAAAATCTTGATTAAGAGATACATTAGAGGGGTGATGTGAAGTCAAATGGACCAAAATTCATGTCCTGGGCCACCCACTGACCTGCTGAGTGCCTCTGGGCAATTACTTAACCTCTCTCAGCCTTCATTTTCTCATCTGTTAAATAATAACAATAATATAAAATAATAAAAATAATTTGTTAATAATAGTAGTAAAATAATAAATAATAATTTATTAATAATATTAATAAAATAATATATAATAAAATAATATTGCCCTCATAGGGCTGCAGAGACAATTAAATGATGGCATCTATACAGACCTTAGCACAAGTCTGGGCACCTAATAAGGGCCTAATAAATATTTTCATTAAGACTCTATTGAGCACATTTATAGGTTTTGTTAAAGAAAAAGCCAAGGTCCTATGTTCTTGTGAAGACTGCATCCTATTATAAGGCAAAAACAACAACAACAAAAAAAGAACCACTGCTTGAAAAAGCCCTGAATGCTTTCTCACTACTGCAGCTGGTTATGCAAGCTCACCTAAGCCCACAGAGTCTCAGAAGGCCACTCCCCAGTGCCATTTATATTTTTACAATCACCATTCACACTAGGATGGCTCTTAAGACAAATGGAGTCCTGAGCCCTGGACACAAATAATGATTTGTCATAGTGTTACTTTTTATTCATGAATTATTCCTCTCCTCCTCCTCTGTCATCTTCTGTTCCCAAGGTTAATTCATTCCCTCATCAAGGATTTACTGAGCACTTCTTTGTGCCACTCCCTGTGCAAGGCATTTGAGGAGCAGTGGCAGCCAAACTAAGGGGTTTGCTTCTGTGTTTTATAAACAGTCGGTGTTTAATAAATGATGGACGCTCTGTGTTTCTTTTTTTTTTAAATTTTAACTCGTGCACAGATATTCTCCAAAACGAAGTAAAGGGAGAAAGTTCATTTGTCAAAAATTAACCTAATTAAATATTTCCCTTCAGGGGGCTCTGTATTGGATAGATGGGAACGAAAAGAGTGGCAGTCGTGATGGGGCAAGAGAAAGAGACAAGGTTGAATCTGTCTACCACTGAGGGAGAGCTGGGGCTTTGCATGTGCCATCCCAATGTGTCCTTTCAACCATCCCGTGAAAGAGAGGTATGATTAATTACTCCTACTTTTTCAATAGAGAAACTGAGGCTCAGGAAGTTTACCTATCTTGCTCAACTGGTTCAAATCCAGCTCTTGTGACTTGAAAGCCTCTAACAAGCTCTTGATCATTCCCCTACAGGATGCTGCATCATGTAGAGAGAGAACGGAGAGAAAAGGGCCTGCCGTAGTTGGCCTGCATGCTGACATTGGGACCTGCTGCACCTGCGCGGGTCACTTGAGAGTGAGGCTCTACCCACTCCCGTATTTCAGTCTGTACTCCTTCTCAGACAGCTCACAATGCTAGTGCCTGGGACCCAGGCCCACTGACCCTCTCCAGGCCCGCCTGACGCCCTCACCCTGTGCCTGGGCTCACTCCTCCTTCCCATTCTTGGCTTCCATGCTTTTGCAGCTGTCAAAGGAGTTGGAACTACAAAGCATGGTGAACTTCCCCATAGAAAGAGAAGAACAGTCGACTTTGGCAGTCTCTTGGTAGCGTATCATTTATTAACTCACTGCATGGCTGTTAACACAGTAATCATAGCTAGCACTTGTTGACCATACAGTCTGGGCTTCGTAATCCTCATGGTGTCCTTGTATATTGGGCTGACACCCTTATCATTCTCCTCTTATAAATGAAAAAATGGAGGCTTAGAAAAATCAATTAATTTACACAATGAAAAGGAGCTCAGCCTCATTAGTGCTCAGGAAATGCAAATTCAAACTTCAATAAGATCCCTTTTACATGGATCAGAATGGCAAAATTAGTAAATTGGACAATATCTGCTATTGATGAGAATGTGGGGCAACAGAAACTCGTACACTCTCTTAATGAGGGCATAACTCACCACTTTGGAGGACAATTTGCCAGTATTTAAGTGAGGCGAGAAAGGGCCCACCTTAGGATTCACCAGTCCCACTCCCCTGTACTGAAGGCATGTGCCCTGGAGGAGCTGTCACATGTGTCCACGAGGAAACCGGCACAGAAATGCCTATGACAGTGTTGTTTGTGATAGCAAAAGAATGGAAACAATCTAAATGTTTATTAAACAAGAGAATACCAACATAGATTGTGGTATGGTTATTACCATGGAATCCTACATAGCAATAAAGTAAATAACCAGAGCTAGGCCTATGAAAACAACTCCCAAACATGTTGACTACAAAAAAGCAGGAATCAAGACAATACATACTATGTTGTGCATTTATAAGATTTAACCACATACAACAGCAGTCCCCAACCTTTTTGGCACCAGGGACTGGTTTCATGGAAGACAATTTTTCTACAGACCGGGGGTTGGGAGGGATGGTTTCTGGATAAAACTATCCCATTTCAGATCCTCAGGCATTAGATTCTCATAAGGAGCACATAACCTAGATCCCTTGCATGCACAGTTCACAATACGGTTCACACTATGAGAATCTAATGCTGCTGCTGATTTGAGGGAGGTGGAGCTCAGGCAGTAATGCTCGTCTGCTGCTCACCTCCTGCTGTGCACCAGTTCATGGCCCAAGGGTTGGAGACCCTGACATACAAAACAGTGGGGGGAGGGGAGAGGGATAGCATTAGGAGATAAACCTAATGTTAAATGATGAGTTAATGGGTGCAGCACACCAACATGGCACATGTATACATATGTAACAAACCTGCACGTTGTGCACATGTACCCTAAAACTTAAAGTATAATTAAAAAAAAAAGAAATATGTACATACATAGCAAAGGTATAGGCTGGGTGCAGTGGCTCATGCTTGTAATCCCAGCACTTTGGGAGGCCAAGGCAGGTGGATCACTTGAGGTCAGGAGTTTGAGACCAGCCTGGCCAACATGGTGAAATCCCATCTCTACTAAAAATACAAAAATTAGCTGGATGTGGTAGGGGAAGCCTATAATCCCAGCTACTCAGGAGGCTGAGGCACAAGAATCACTGGAACCTAGGAGGCGGAAGTTGCAGAGAGCTGAGATGGAGTCACTGCACTCAAGCCTGGGTGACAGGGCGACTCTGTCTCAAAAAAAAAGAAAAATGTATAAATGATGGACACTGGAATAAAACAGCAGATCAGGACACTGGCTACCTTGGGGAAGGAAGGGGCAAATCAGAGGGAGAGAAACACAGGGGACTTCAACTGTATTGGTAAAGTTTTATTTTCCACACTGGGTGATAGGTTCAGAGATGTGGTCATGTTAATTTTGATGCTTTTTATATATTTCAATAATCTCATATTTTAGTTTTAAAAATTTCTGAAGGCCTCATCGTTAGTAAATAGAGGAGCGAAGTTTAGGCCCCACCATGAATACATGGTTCCCTCCCAATCCATCACAGTACCTAGGGGAGGAGGGAGGCAATGGAAGGGGAATATGGAAAAAGAATGTTACTCATTCCACCTATTCTTTCTGCAGACCTTAAAAATGCAATTGTTTAGTGACAAATCTTTCATTGTATAGTGAGGCAGCCTTGAAAACTATGGTATTAAATATTAATAGCTTGAATCATGTTTTTCTGTTGCTTTATATTATTATTTAGACCTATCTTTCCATAAAAATATTGCGACAAAATCTAATAAAAGCAACAAAGGGATTTCCACATTCATTTCAAATGTCTTTATTGATGCAGAATCCTATAGCTATTTTATTCTCCCGAACAGATCTATCAAATAGATAATGACCTGTGCTCTCCATTTAAAGCAGCCTTACATGAAAATGTTCTACAAAGTTTGTCCCTATTTTGTTGAGAGTTCTCACTAACTTTATGAATTTGAGAACTGAACAGGAACTCCTTCACTTCCTCCCTTATCTGAATATTAATAAATATCCATTGAATACCCATCAATTGCATGGTACTCTGCTAGATGCTGGTGAAATAATAGTGAACCAGACAGGCCCTGTCCTGAAGAAGCTTTCAGTTTCCTAGAGGAGACAGACAAGTAGAACAGCTATTATAAGGCAACGAGATAAGGCACGGTGATGGGTGTATGCTGGGCCTCCTACGGAGGAGCATGTCAGATCTGGGTAAGGCTCTTAGTGGGGTGCTATTACAGCTAAATACCAAAGGATGAGTGGGAATTGACTTCTGGGTAAGAAAGCAATTTAAATATTTCTTTCGACAGGATTCAGTAGTCTTATTGTAGACTTTCCATTGTCAACCAAAGCAGAGAAGAGAAATAAATATTTTGAAGTATCTCTTAACCTGAGAAAAAAGAGCTGTAGTTTGATTGAACCAGAAGGATTTTCTTCAGATGCAGCTCACCGTCCTTTCTCTTTGTGCTCAAAACAAATCACAATTGGGTAAACTGAATTTCTACTACCCTTTGTTAAATGTGCAAATATACTCCTAAGTGAGTATGCTGGGGGCAGATGCACCTGCAAGGAGAGCATAATCGCCCCAATTTTATTCCATCTTTTAAAAATCCCTCTTGACCTAGTTACCTAGGAGAAGAAATCTAAGCTTAGTTTCTCTGCACACACAGAAGGATCATACCATAGACTAGGAAGTGTGGGGGAAGGAAGGTATTAAGGCAGCCTCTTTCAGCCATGCTGATTCCATTTAATTCCCTCAAATCTCGAATTCATCATTGTGATTGGATAATTTGCCTTGGACTTATTTTAAACTTGAGCATCTAATTTGATTAGGTGGGTTTTCCAAGACCAGATTTCCAAAAGTTGCTGAAGAGACGTGGCCAGGACTCATGCTCTCAAATGAAAACCAACCTCCTAGAATCCCAATCCCACTAGTTAGAAGGAGATACAAATAAATCAGATAATAAGGTATAAAATGAAGATCTCAATGTTTATTAATTACAATAAAAAGTAAAATCACAGAGCTATTTTAAAACTAATGTAACCATTTTTTTAAAAAAAGAAACTATTTAAACAAGAAAATGATTTTTAAAAATTCTAAGTAAGAAATCTAGTACAAGCAAAGATGACATTTTAAAGTATCATCAATGAATTTCCACACAGCCTTTCCATCACAATAATATAAATTTATACCTTCAATCTTATGCAGCAACAAAAACACAGTGAGAAAGACAGCAATTGCTTCTGAAAGAAAATCAAAGAAGCCTATAGTGGTGAATTTTTTCTAAAGGATCCTAGGGAGTTGAATAAGGCCTGCTTCTCCATGGGTTGACAATGTTTGGCTGTGAAGGGAATGGCAGCCTCCTTTCCTCTGATTTTTTTACCTTTGAAGAGAATGAAAGGAACTCACTGTAACATTCTCCCTCACAAAGAGATGCAGAATTCAAACCTAACCCCCAAGAAATGCTATAATCAAAGTAAACACTAATCCTGCTCCTATAAATGTCATTAATAGCATGTTATAGCATTGAATCGCATTCCTTTCTCTTGCTAATCTTTCCCTGAATTTTTAACAAAATCATCCTAGATTAGAAGAATAATTCTGGTCGTCTGAAAATGACAAAAATGTTGAGACTTTGGGCTAGATAGTCCTGTTAAAGACACAACATTCAATAATGAAAGAACATGGCATGTAGCACAGAGGGCTTTGCCATTCAAGCCCTCATTATCCAAATCCCTGCAGGAACAGGATTTATGCAGGGAATAAGAGGTTGTCAAAATGTGAAAAGGTGCAGTGCCTGAATATGTAGAAAACCAGACCGTTGTCAAACTGTGCCTCTCATTAACACAAATGTCTAACCAGGTCCATTAGGTCAACCTCTGGGGTTAAGTCTTGTGCAGATGGCCACGTGTTGAACTGTCTGAAAAGATATCACACGTTAAAAAAAAATTAAGAGCCTAGCAAAATTGCAAAACTGGCAAAACATGTAGATTTCATGAAGTCAGTGGAAGTGATATTAGGGAGATGCTAAAATTACAGCAAAGCCGCTGTTAAATGAGGATCTGAGAGAGCAGGACCAGAAGACAACTGAAGAAAGAAAATTGACAAGGATGATGATACGAGGCACTTCAGAAAAGAAAGATCTGCATGTCAAAAGACAGAGAAAACTGATGAAGTGCTCAAATACTTTTGCAAAAATGACTGTATCTGTAATATTATTCCCAAAACTAACTGTGAAATAATCAGATACTATCAAAGAATTTTTCTGAAGGATTATATCCCCTAAAGCAACATTTTATTCATTTTTCATTTATTCTAAATTTTAGAACACCGTTGTATTTACAATATGAAGATTCATTTCTCCAGATAAGGTCCTAATTCATTTGTAAATTTTGACCATGAAATTATACTCCCTGTCTTAAGTAGTTCCCTCTGTATGTTATCAGCCTCCTTAGTGCAACTTGCTCATAGTTGATTATCCAAGGCTGTATTGAATGTTTCCTAACATCTTAAAGAATGACTCTCTAGCAAGCCCAAGGCCTTCTACAATCTGGAAGGCTTATCTAAATGTTCTGCTTTGATCAATCTTCCCTTGGCTCAATTGTCCTTGAGTCTTGGATCACTGTGAAGCCTCTGACCTTGATCTCTTCAACCCTTATGAGGAGAGATGCTAATTTCATATGCTGTCATGCAGGAAGACTTTTCTTGCCTACAGTCCCTTACCGATGGCACACACTTCAGGGGTGGGCCTGTTTCCTGGTCCCTGCTGTGGCATCTTCTTTTGTCACTCTGGATTTCAGTGTGGCGACTTCTCCCTTATAGGGTGCACGCTCCACAGGGGTAGGTGTGCAAGTCTGAAAGAGAACATTTCATTTCTCTCTTGTGGTTTATTTTCTTGAGTTCAAAGTTAAGTGTAGCTCCCTTTATGAATTGCGAGAGCTTTAAAAAAAGAATCTTATAAATTTATCACGTGCCTCCCCATCCCCTTGGCCTTTCACGGAAATTCCTGGCAACCTTGAGAATCTGGATTGTCCCACTTTTTGTGGGTATTAATCTGCCTCAGACAGAGGCCCAGGGACACTCACTGGGGCCTCTGCCATATCCTCACGCCCTTCTGAGTCCCACAACTGTCTCCTGCTGTCCTTTCCAACATCCGACCTTTTCTTCTAGTTTCAGTCCTACTCACCTGAGTTTGCAGTGCTTCTTTGTACCTCTCCTAACACTCTCAGAGCAGTTGCTTCAGATTCTAGCAATTGGGTACGCTTTCCACTTTCCTGTCTCTGTGCATTATGGATCTTCCACAGAATCTCACCTCGTTGGTGACCGACTATGCAGCAGAACCCTCTGCTGGATTCAGCGAGAGCTGTCAGTGCTTGAGCAGAGTTTTGAAATCACACACACACACACACACACACACACACACATACACACAGACAAATAACAAATTATTGTGGGTCTCATTTTGACCACCCAAACTAATACATTGTAGTGATCAACAGTGTGACCTTTGAAGTGAGACAGATCTAAGTTAGAATTCTCCATTTGCCATTTACTACGCATAGGAAACTGACAAGTTAATTAATGCCTCCAGGCCTACTTCCTCATCCATGAAATGGGGGAAATAAACCTATCTCTCAGATAGTGGAGAATTTCCAGAGCCAAAGCATTTTCTTCATTCATTCAGCAGATATTTACTGAGCTCACACAGCCCCAGAGAGTACACCAAACACCGAGGATCCAACACAGAACAAGGCCCACAGCTCCTGCAGCCACAGAACTTGAAGCACTGCATCGGGTGTGCACTGAGTGCTCAGGAAATGGGGGGACTCCTGCCCTTCCCTCACCAGGCCAAGCCTCTGCTCACTTTCTGTATCTGTCTAAATGCTTTGCTGGACTTCCATTTTGGCTCACTGTCTACTCAGTCTTTGAGCCCTGTTCTCATCTTGAGGAACACAGACACCAGGAAATGAAGGGCCAGCCTCCCATTTCTACCACCTTGGACCACCACATCTGAAACCTTAAACTCACTAATACCCCACTCTCTGGCCACATCCTCCCTTTCAGGTCCTTGGTCCCTGTTTTTTTTTTTTTTTTTTCTTCTCCTGACTTGACTTTCCAAGCCAGACTGCCTGAATATCACTTAAACCTAGGGTGACTGTACAATTTATCATCCAAAGTAGGACACTTCTTAGCATGAAAAGGGCACTAAACATAATTAACGTAAGTATAATCCAGGCCCGTCTGAGCAAACCAAGATTTATGTCCTTCTTTCAGCTCGTTCCTGCCTATCACCTAGAGGGCTTGACTTCTCTCTGCTCCTCTTGGCATTCATACTCAGCAAAGCCGATGGTATATTTCAGTTCAATCTTCAGGCTCTTTTGCAGTGAGTGCCTCTGGAGCATGTGACCTAACTGAGCAGACTTTTGTGCCGCCTACTGTGTGCTGTGCAGCCCTCCTCAGATCCCATTCCGTCTCCCTCTTCCTACACCACTTCCTTGAACCTACACTACTTGCACTTTTCAGCTGTTCATTTTTTGTCTGTCCTGGACTCCGTCTTGGGAACTGACTGCCCATGCCAGTGGCTCAGGTGGGGCCATCACACACAGGGCCTGTCCTCCTCACTCAGAACAGGGCTTGCTCTACAGCCTGCTCTATCACCTAGAGGATGCTTCCCCAGAACCCAGCTTGCAGGCTCTGGGAGCAGGCACCACCCAGGCCAGGCACATCAGAATCCTTCCTGGTAGCTTCCGGTCAGGGCCATGCTTTTGCATGGGCTGGGCTGCCGCTTTCATTTTTGTGTAATTATCTGACTTCTCTTTTATCACTCAGCTCAGCTAATCATCAGTCTAGGAAGCTTTGGCCCTCTGTCCCCTATCCACTATCTTGCTTACCCCAGGTTTCTGGAATAATCTGTTCACTCGTCAGTCTCCCCCAGCAGACAGAGGGCCGGTGTGCTGCTCTCTTTCTTCATAACAAGCACTCAATAGATATGGGTAGAAGGGATTTTTGGGGAGGGAGCTATGAAGGGGGCTTCCCATCTAAGCCTGCTTTCTTCTTTTTGTGGTTTGGCCTGGCGTGGGCTGACTCCGTTTCTGTCAGGCTCTTTTGTTGTGCTGCATCATTTATCTGTTCTCCAGGCTGTACTTTTTTTTTTTTTTCGAGACAGAGTTTCACTCCATCACCCAAGCTGGAGCACAGTGGCACAATGTTGGCTCACTGCAAACTCCACCTCCTATGTGCACACGATTCTCATATCTCAGCCGCCCAAGTAGCTGGAATTACAGGCACACACCACCATGGCCAGCTAATTTTTGTATTTTTAGTAGAGACGGGATTTCGCCATCTTGGCCAGGCTGGTCTTGAACTCCTGACCTCAAGTCATCCACCTGCCTCAGTTTCCCAAAGTGCTGGGATTACAGGCGTGAGCCACTGAGCCTGGCCTGGGCTGTACTTTTTCTGTGGCTGGCTGTCTACAAACTGCTTTCTGGCTGTTCAGTCATGGAGCCAGCCATGTCTGGCTTGTCACCCTGGTCACGCTGACCATCACATGTCTCTGACCCGACTGGCTGGGTCTAACCTGCACCCTCTCTCTCTCTTGCCTGCCTCTGAGGCTCTGGGTGGGCCAGGTCTGCTTTCCTCTCAGAATGGCCATGGATGGGAGCCACACCTGCGTGCACGGCCACCTCAGAAACAAGCAGCCTCCTGTCAGGAGTCCTGTGCTGTCTCACTCTCCACAGTCTTTCCTTTTGATAGATAAGTTGACAGAAATCAAAGACAACTTAAGTTCTACTCTCAAGCCTCTCAGCCCTTTTAACCTTTTAATATTTGCTCATCCTTAGAATTGGGTTACATAAGCTCTATGATGGCTAGACTCATGCCTTCTTCATCTTTGTGCTGTCTGTCACTTCTGGCATTGTTCTCTGGGCATGTTTTAGGACATCACTAGATGTTCACTGTGACAAAATGGAAAAGTGATGGCACTCCTTCTGCAGAATCTGAAACCATCACTGCTGTTATTCAGAAGTTCAGCTGCACATTTGTTTTCTAAGTAGACTTAACCTCCAACTCTTAGCAATCCTTGTCTTATTCCTTCTCTCTAATGATGATGGCAAACCTCTGTCCGAAGTAGGAACTGCCCAGCCTGACACAGACCCCAGCATATGGCAGAGCCATTGCTTAATGCATGTAGTTGACACTAGCAGTCAGGGTCAAAATAAAGTGAGCCTCTTTCTCTGGCATCCCAGATGAATATGGTGATAATAAAGACTCCATCCCTATTCTCCTGGCTAAAAGCATACCTAATTCTTACAGGACATTTATGCAGCATAAAACACATAGAAAAACCAGGATGAGGAAACAGAGTACTCTGGATTGAACAAAGACAGCAGGTTTCTTTTCTCGCCTTCTGGGACTCCATGTTCTCCTGATGGTCTTCCTGCATCACTGGTCAGCCTTCTCAGACTCCACTGATGCTTGCTCTTCTCCTCCACCTCTGAAGGTTGGTGGGCCCAGAGCTCTATCTTAAGCCCCCTTTCTTCTCTAATATAGTTTCCTTGGTGACCTTAAGACTCACGGTTTTAAATCTATATGTTATGGCTCCCAAATTTTATCTCCAGCTTTGATGTCTCTTGATCTCCAGACTCCTTTATCTCCTTTGTGCTCATTAGCTACAGCACAAAGAGGTGTAAAATTGCTCAAACACAACTATAACTTAAGCACCATGAACCACAGTTTGAAACAAGTAGAATATAAGCTCTTTGTGATCAGACTGGCTGTCTTATTAATGCCTATATCCTCAGCATCTAGAATGGTGCCTGGTGATCTACAAACATTTATTAAATGAAGGGAGATTTCTTGACTATAGGACTTCTTGAAACTTTTTATGATATTGGGCAATTGTATCACCTGAGGGTAACATCATCTAAAATTATTTGACAACTTTCTCAAGGAATACTTCAAGAGACTCAAGTCCTGAGAACACACTGTTGGAAGGCTAATTTGATTATGGTATTTTTTCCCCCCAGTACATGCTGGTCAAGATTAGATGATCACACCTTGACAGCAATTCTTTCCATCTTGATGGTATCACAATCAAATAAAATGGCTTGAGGGTAAAACCACATGAGAGGCTGTTGCTGTGGTTTGAATGTTTGTCCCCTCTCAAACTCATGTTAAAATTTAATTGCCATTGTAACAGTATTAAGAGGTGAGACTTTTGAGAGATGGTTAGGCCATGAGGGCTCTGCCTTTATGAATGGATTAATGCTGTTATCTTAGGAGTGCATTCCTTATAAAATGACAAGTTTGGCCCCTTTGGCTCTCTCCCTTCTTCTCTCTTTGCCCTTCTGCCATGTGATGCCTTCCTCCATGGGATGACACAGCAAGAAGGCCCTCTCTAGATGCCAGCGCCTCGTTCTTGGACTTCATAGCATCCTGAAATGTCAGCCAATAAATGTCTGTTCATTATAAATTAACCAGCCTCAGATATTCTGTTATAGCAGCAAGCACAAAAAATAAGTAATACAAAAGACATAGGTGGCACCTCACCTAGCAGGACATCGGTGGTTTACTTTGGTAAATGAGAATTGAACTTGAGTTCTCAGTATTTGATGATACTTGTCATTGTGACAAATTAATAGAGAGACAGAAATGAAAATTATATAATTTGTGGTTCTATAAATAAACATTAATTCCAATTATCATTACACTTTCATAACTGCAGAAATGCCTTTTGGTTACATGACCAAGGAAAAAGGAAGACATAAGTTGATAGTAAATTTAATCATATTGGGCTGGGCATGGTGGCTCACACCTATAATCCAAGCACTTTGGGAGGCTGAGGGAGGCTGATCACTTGAGGTCAGGAGTTCAAGACCAGCCTGGTCAACATGGTGAAACCCCGTCTCTACTAAAAATACAAAAATTATCCAGGTGTGGTGGCCTACGCCTGTAGTCCCAGCTACTTGGGAGGCTGAGGCAGGAGAATTGCTTGAACCCAGGAGGTGGAGGTTGCAGTGAGCCAAGATCATCCCACTGCACTCTAGTCTGGGCAACTGAGTGAGACTCTTAAAAAAAAAAAAAGAAAAGAAAAAGAAAATTTAATCATATTGACTGCTGAGGATGGAATGTGCTGGGATGCTAGATTTTCTTTTTTTTTTTCTTTTTATTTATTTATTTATTTTTTTGAGACAGAGCCTCACTCTGCTGCTCAGGCTAGAGTACAGTGGTACGATCTCAGCTCACTGCAACCTCCGCCTTCTGAGTTCAAATGATTCTTCTGCCTTAGCCTCCCAAGAAACTGGGATTATAGACATGCACTACCACTCACGGCTAATTTTTGCATTTTTAGTAGAAAGGGGGTTTCACCATGTTGGCCAGGCTAGTCTTGAACTCCTGACCTCAGGTGATCCACCCGCTTCAGCATCCCAAAGTGCTGGGATTACAGGTGTGAGCCACCACGCCTGGCTGGATGCTAGATTTTCTGAAATTAGCAAGATCAACAGAGAAGAATCCCAAAGGTATTAATGATTGAATGCTGTTCATGGAGGCTAAGATACTAAAATATCAATAAAGACAACAGAACTTCCAAATACCAAACAGCAGATGCTGGGTCAACAGCAAGCAGACCAAATGAACAGTGACTCCCTGAGAATGAAATCCACGCCTGGCCTGGTGAATGTAGAGGGCACTCAGCACACATTGAACTGAGCTACCCAGGGCTCTGTGAATCACTTGTACATGAGAAAGCCCTAGGTGCAACAGAGGTGATCTATAACAATGAAGATTGGCATTTTGATGATGTTTACAATTTACCAAATATCTCAATTTAATCCTTAAAATATCCTGGCTGGAGTGGGAGAGGGAAAGATTTTGAAGCAATAAATAAATAAATAAACAAACAAACAAACAAAATGCTGTGAGCTACAAAGCTGGGCTGTCTCATTTCAGGGCTGGCTCCTCTGGTAAATTTGCCAGTCCGAGAGGAAGTGAACCCTCTGTGCAGAGGGGAGACTGAGGGAGCGATATCATAAGGATGGGGGAATGGGTGGCTATTTGTTTGAGTAGGGATTAAAGTTTATGGTTAGGATACTGCAGTGATACAAGTTAAAGGGATTGGCTTTGGAGGTAGACAAACCTGGGTTTGAGTCCCAACACTGCCACTTGGTAACTATGTGAGCTCCCTGAGCCTCTATTTCTTAATATATGAAATAGGAATATCACTACTTACCTCCAAGGGTTGTTGAAAGAATTAAAGTGTGCTTGGAACATAACTGGTGATCAATAAATATTTACTGAACGGATGTTGATTGATTAGATAAAGCATGAAAAAGAGTACTTAGAAAGTGTCCTGTGTGTAGTGATGTGTTGGTAAATATTAACAACTATCTCTACCTTCCTTTTTCCTCACCATCCTTAAAGCCCTAACTTAAAGCACCTGCCTATTTCTGTGGTGTAAATACTCCTTCTCTGGCTGTTTTCAAGCTACCAAACTGACACCACTGAATGAAGAGTTGGGCACAGATGCGTACATATGTCTCTTGTGAGCCAAAATGAGCCAACTCCAGCATGTGTATTACCTTGTATTGGTAGTGATTAACCTGAAGAAATTAGGATTATATGGCAAGTGATATGTCTTAAATTATTTTCTCTGAGCTACCACCTTGAGAAAGACATTGACAAATGGTTATTTCAGAAATGGAGAATACCCATCTCAAGGACCAAAGCAGCCATCCACTCAATTTTATCTTATCTACAAGGCAAATTATGCTTATCATTGCAAAGATACAACCCAGTTTAAAAGCTTTGGCAGCAGTATTCTGAAACCATACATCACTCCATGAAGCTATTCCTGTTTCTCTATAAAATGCAATGTGATCCTGATTTTCCAGAAAAGGTTGGGGTTCCCTATTACTGAAAAAAAAAGAGAAAAACAGATGACTTAACAAATGTCTGTACTTTCACATTTTGTTGGAACTTATAACACTCTAAACACACAAAAATTCAAGAAACGTAATCCATTTTAACTTAAAGAGCTATATATTTTTTGTAAACAATTAATAATATGTAGTTTTGCTCAGTCAGGATTCTCTTGAACATCCAAGTTGCTCTTACATTTTTCCCCTCCCTCTTTTCTTTTGCTTTTCTTTCCTTAAACAACTTTTATATGAAGTTGAAGTTGAAATATATTCTATTATGTTATATTTATCAAATAAAGTTTGATGGCTTATCTTCTGATTCAATATTTTCCCTTAGGATCAGCTGTCTACATTTTAAAATACATAAATTAACAATTCTCCAAAGCTGTCAAATCAGATAAAAACGTCTTCTCTTTCCTTTGAAATTTCCCAAAAGATCCAGTAACAGTAATAGCTGCATGGTATGGTGTTGACAAATTTTATTATTATGCAATAAAATCATAGATAAAAATCAAGCTCTCACAAGATAATCCCACTATTTGAAATAAGGCAGGGGTAATCTGCTGGGTAAATTTAGTTAAATTTCCTTCTACGCATCTCTGAAACTATAGCTTTTGCTCCTTCTGTGTGCAGTTTATTCATTTACCAGATGCCACCTATGTACCAAGTACTGGCAAAAAAGAATAAGATGCTGCTCTGAAGGAACTAACTCTAGCCAGGAGACCAGCTGAGTTCAGGGACTGACAAATGCTGATGTGACTCTGTACTCTGTGCTTTGGGAGTCCAGAATAGGAAGTGATTAATTTTCTTGGTAGGGACAACAGATAAGCAAAGAAATAGCATTTGCTATTCCTGCTTGCCCTCAAACTCTTATCCCCACTCACAAAGAAATCTGAATATTTGAAATGAAAACCAAAGCAAGGACTTTGATAACCTCATGTGAATTTAAAAATCTAGAGTTTTTATGATTCTTTTTCTTAACCTTCATGTGATATTTTTATCCTGTAAGTTGTCTTTGCCTAATGCCATAGGGAACCATCTCCAGACAGTTCCCAAACCTCATTTCATTTTATCCATTTTATTTAATATCTTTTCCACACCAACATTTTTTGAATAAGGCATTTCTCCATGATTTGGGTTTCATGACTATTTTCTTCCTTTTATTTTTTTTTTTTTGTCTCTACAGAGGTCCAGTGGTACAGTGGGAATCAAAAAGACCTTATCACAAATCCTGGCTCTTAGGTTTACTTAATGCTTAACCTAGGGAAAGTTACTTAATCCTACTGAGACTCAGCTTTCTATTCTGTAAAATGGGAACAATAATACCTACCACTTGGCTTGCTTTATGGATTAAGTAAAATAATGAATATAAACCACTTAGTACAGAGCTTGGCAGATAGTGCTCAAAACAGCACATGATAACTATCATTTATTGGTATTTTTAAAACAATGATGCACTAAAATGCCTAAAAATTTGATACCAGAAAAAAATACTAAGAAACTAAAATAATTCACAGAATTGATAGTGAACTCATAAAAATTTCAGTTGGCATTAATTCTGCCAAAAAAATCACAAAACAATTTGCAAAGGAGAACTGATGAAACCAGTGATTTGATGATCTCTGCTGCCTCAAAACGTTTTCTCTACAAGAAGACTAAGGCAAAGCCAAGCATTTAAATATGGTCTATCAGGGTTCCCTGTTAGTCTAGCGCCCCTTCTGGAAGCAACTGGAACTGATGCCAAGATTGGCCCTACCTTGGATCCACTTCAGGCGTCACATAATCTATCATCCAGTTCTATTGATTTTACTACTTTATAATATCCTAAATCCACCCTCTATGTTCATCTCCTAGATTACTGCTACAGTCTCATGAATGCAGCAGCTGCCATCAGTGCCTCCAACTTAATTTTTTCCTTGAGAGACTTTACAAAACAAACGCTGAGTAACTTATCCTTCATTACTTCATTTAACTCAATGTTTATAATTTACAGCATCTATTATTACTTAAGGATAAAGTTTTTGGAATCATATAAGCAGGGTTTATGTCCTGGCTCTGCCATACACTTGCTTGTGTGACTTGGACAAATTTCTTAATTTCTTGAAGCTTCAGTTCTCTTTAACTTTTTTTTTTTTTTTTAAGACAGAGTCTCACTCTGTCGCCCAGGCTGGAGTGCAGTGGTGTGATCTTGGCTCACTGCAACCTCCACCTCCCAGGTTCAAGCTATTCTCGTGCCTCAGCCTCCTAAGTAGCTGGGACTACAGGGGTGCGCTGCCACGCCCAACTAATTTTTTGCATTTTTAGTAGAGATGGGGTTTTGCCATGTTGCCCAGGCTGGTCTTGAACTACTGAGCTCAGGCAATCTGTTTGCCTCAGCCTCCCAAACTGCTAGGATTACAGGTGTGAACCACCACACCTGGCCAGTTCTCTAATTTTAAGTGAAAAAAATACCTCCCTCCCTCCCAGGGTTATTATAGTGACAGAGACCTTAGCAGTGTGTCTTGCATTCAGTAAGCACTCACTAAATGTTAGTGCTGCTGTTATTTATCACATACATCTTCAGAAACACCGAGGATCCTAGGATTCTTATAGTTACCACCTACTTGTCACCCATTAATGTTAACATTTATAAACTAACTCCCCAGAAATATTAACTGTAACCTTAAACCACCTATTTTGACTGAGCATATAAATACAGCATATAAAGAACTGCAGTTTTCTGAGAATTTAAAGCACGTGAGAAAACTTGTTTACCTAATCAAAGCCTTAGGAAGTGTTTAAAAATGGATAAATCTTGCATAATGGACTCTGAGAATCCACAAGTAAAAATTTTTCATAAGACATTAAAGGAGAAACCAAAGCCTCTACAAGATCCAAATGAATTGAATCAAAAAAACAGCCAGAGAGCTCTGGAAAAGGAGAGGTACATTTGAAAAATGGAAAGAAGAGGGAGAAGCCTTAGAACTAGTCCAAGGGTGGCAAACACTACCATCTACATGGCCAGGCAAGTAATGTGTGAAGCCTTCTGGGTGAAAACCAGAAATACCTCCTAGCTAGGGGCCTGCCATCTAGCTCTGGCCCATTGGACCCATGTGGGATTGAGGACACAGGGTTGCCTCCCCGGCCCCCATATCCAGAAATTTAGATTTTTTAAATCTAAAATTCTCAAATATTTTAGTGTATTTGGTGTAGTAAAATTTTAAAACTATTTCAAACTCTGTGTGAACTAAACAAAACTTGTGTGAAAGCCCCAATATCTCTTTTATAATAACAGGGGTCTTTGATAGAGATTTGGTCATCAAAAGGGGAAAGCAAAGAGACAAAAGTGACATTTATTGACCTCCTACCAACCTGTTGCCCAGGCTGGAGTGCACTGGTATGGCTGGCTAATTATTTTTTATTTTTAAATTTTTTGTAGAGATGGGGTCTCACTCTGTTGTCCAGGCTGTTCTCAAACTCCTGGCCTCAAGTGATTCTCCCACCTCTGCCTCTCAAAGGGCTGGGATTACAGGTGTGGTGAGCTACTGCTTTGGGCCATGCCTTTCATTTAAAAAAAAACCCATTTGAGTGTCACAATTTGTTAGGAAGGAAACATTGTTGTCATTTTCCAGATGAGGGAATTGAGCCCAAGGAGGATCGAGAAACTTGCTCAAGGCAACACAGCTAGGAAATGGTGGCGAGGGCAAGAGAGAATTTAGGTCTTCTCCAGCCCAAAACTCCACCATTGCTCTGGTGGTCATAAAAACTGACCTTGCAGATCTTCAACTAATGGGAGCACATTTTTTCAAGGGGCTGCTGCTGACCTCTGAACTTCATTACACTTTTACACAGAGGTCACACCTCCCACAGTGGCTCTCAGCCAATGACTGGGCCTGGCCTGTAGCTGGGAGATCTGAGACTTGGCTCAAGGACTCCCTGACGGCCTTTTTCAGCCTCCCCTAGACTGTAGGGTGTTCCAGGATGCTCCTACCCATTTTATCTCTTTCTTTTCTTTACTGGTTTCAGACTTAACTTGCAATCTGAGGGCTCTCCCAATCTTTTCCAGCCACCTCCTAGTTTCTTTCACAGGTGTTTCCCCTAATAAAACTCATACACCTTTATCCATCTTGGTGTCTGCCTCTTGGAGGACCCTGACTAACACAATTGCCAAAAGCCCCCACCAGATTACCCCACAATCTGGAAATCCCGAACTGACCTATCAGTCTGCAAGGGGAAATGCGTGCATCCAATAATGATCCTTTATCTAAAAACTGGCATCTCTAATCTCTCATATCAATCCTGACACCCCAGGAATACATTAAACCAAGTGTGATGTGTCAACACCACTACTACCAACAATAACCAGCCAGACATCCAGAAGCAGGAGACAGTCCGACTTGTGGCAGTATCCCACTGTGGCACACTCACCCGGTCTCGCTGCTTTATTCGTTTGTAAATATATTCAGCAAATGGTTTTCGAGGAATAAACTTCCCATCTCCTGCCGTGACACTGAACACTCCGGCTTCATATACCACTTTGCCTCTTGAAATAGTCACAAGGGGCACCCCGTGGCAAACCATGCCCTCGAAAATGTTGAAGTTAACAGCCTGATGATGAGTTTTTGCTGAGATAGTCCTATATTTGTGAAAACAACAAAAAAGTTCTGGATCATCACCAGCTCACTTGATAAATATAAAATATTAAAAGAAGAATGACTTAGAAGAAAACTTAGCAACTCTATTAAGTCATAGCTTCATCACTGTAACAAGTAACTTTAAGAATAGAACATAACATTAACATTTCATTACAAAGTAATTACATTTTTCTGAGAGAAAAACCCAAGAGATCACTCTTTAAGGTGATTAATGAGGGTGGAGTGAGTGGAAGGAGGGCATTGTCTTTTATGTTCAGATTTTAAAATTATTTTTATTTATATGTTAACAACACATTTTTTCATTTTTAAATTATAAAATATTTTTAAACGCAGATGACTGATGAACACACTGACCCTATATCCAGCTCTATGAAATTTTAACTTTTTATAGATACAATGGGGGCTTCTTCAATACCCCTTCCCAAATCCCATGCCCGTTCCTGCCTTCCCAAAGGAAATAGCTATTTGGTAGTTATCAAATTGGACTTGGTAGTTATCAAGGAAAAGTATGTATGGAATTTCTTTCATTGTCTGTAGCAAAACTAGAAATTTGAAGATAACAGAAATAATAAAATACGTTGGAATATAATCTCTTAGCATATTCTGTGTCATACATTTGTCATCATTCTCAGTAGTTTATTAATACTTTTCAATCCTACATAATACGATTGATGACTTTCAGGCTGGGTATTTGAAAATGCTACATGCCTCCTTTCCTTAAATCTCATTAAATGGAAAAGAAAAAAATCTGGCAGCAGTGACTAATATGAGCATAATCTGAGTCCTTTTTTTCTTTAAAATGTTTTATTTCCATAGGCTTTTGGGGAACAGGTGGTATTTGGTTACGTGAGTAAGTTCTTTAGTGGTGATTTGTGAGATTTTGGTGCACCCATCACCCAAACAGTGTACGCTGAACCCAATGTATAGTCTTTTATCCCTCACCCCTTCCCACCCTTTCCCGCTGAGTCCCCAAAGTCCATGGTGCTATTCTTATGCCTTTGCATCCTCATAGCTTTGCTCCCACTTATGAGTGAGAACATACAATGTTTGGTTTTCCATTCCTGAGTTACTTCACTTAGAATAATAGCATACTCTAAATTCTGGTAGAAGGTTCTACAATCCCTCTCAGGAATGGATTAAAGAGATAAATTTTTTAAAAATCGTCAAGGCTGAGTGAGTCTAAGGAGGAGCAGCTCAAAGTTCCCCCAGCCTTATTTGGAAGGGCTGATGAGGAAGCCCCCGCTGCTGTGTGCTGCAGTCCTAGTAATGAACAAGATAACACTGGCCTGTTCCTTGGTCTAACTGCTTACTTGGTTTCCAATCCCAACATGCTCAGACAGAATTCTTGACTTGTAATGCTGACCACAACCCACCCACTCAAGTTTGCTCCTCCCTTGAGTTCTCATCTCAGTAAATGACATCACCATCTATCTTTCCTCACCCCTCAACCAGCATCAAGCTTCTTTGTTCTACCTTCTCCCAAAATAAACCCCCCGCTTCTCCTCTCCCCACTCCATGGCTCCCACTGGAGTCTATACCGTCATCTCTCACCTGGACAACCCCAACACTTCTTACTGGCTTCTTTGTTTCAATTCTTACCCTCCTGCATTCCTTACCACTCTCCACAAAGCTGCTCAAATTGTCTTTTAAAAATGAAGATCAGATCATGTCACTTTCCTGCTTGAAACCCTCAGTGGCTCCAGGCTGTTACCTAAGAGCCAAATAGCTGTAAAAAAGCATGGTGATGATAATAATAAAAAATAAACTGCTCTCAGTGAGAAATAGCTGCCATGGAAAAGAGAAAGAGGAGCATCTAGTATGTCAGGGAGATCGTTTATAACATCTTATTTCATCTTTAGAATGCCTCTCCAAGGTAGAGAGTATTTTCCACATTTTATAGGAAAAATAAATTGAGATTTAGAAAGGTTATATCACTTGCCAAAGGACATATGACCACTTTGATGAAACTAAGATTTTTTTTAATTTTAATTTTTAGTTTTTGAGACAGGGTTTTGCTCTTGTTGCCTAGGCTGGAAGTACAGTGGTGTGACCATAGCTCACTGCAATCTCTACCTCCTCAGTTCAAGCGATCCTCCCACCTCAGCCTCCCAAGTAGCTGGCACTACAGGCACGTGCCACCACACCCAGCTAATTTTTATATTGTTTTTGGTAGAGACAGGGTTTAGCCATGTCACCCAGGATGGTCTCAAACTCCAAGGCTCAAGCAATCCACCCACCTTGGCTTTCCAAAGTGTTGGGATTACGGGCATGAGTCACTGCACCTGGTTGGAAACTTGGATCTTTTTATATTTTTTAAATTTACAATAAAAATGACCTTCTGGTGCACATTTCTATGAATGTTTACACATACATAGATTTGTGTTACCATCACAACAATTAAGACACAGAACAGTGATACCACTACCCTAGACTCATACTATCCCTCTGTAGTCACGCCCTCCCCCAATCCCTAACACCTGGCAACCACTGATCTATTCTTCATCACTATAGTTTTCTCTTTTCAAGACTGTCATATAAGTAGAATCATAGAGTATGACTGACTTATCTAATTCCACATCAATCCTTTGAGATTCATCCAATTTGTTTTGTGTATCAATAGCTCCTTTTTTGTTGCTGCATAGTATTCCACTGTATGGACATACCGCAGTGCTATACATTCACCCACTGAAGGCCATTTGGGTTGTTTCTAAATAGTTTTTTGATGAATATGAATAGAACTGTTATAAACATTCAGGTACCTGTTTTGCATGAATATTTCTCTAATGTAAATACCCAGGAGTGAAATTGCTGGGTCATATTTTAAGTGTATGCTGCAGCAAAAAAAAAAAAAGAGCTTTCAGTGACCTTAGGAACCAACTTATTGATATAAAGAAATGTCAAAGAATCACCAAGAAGCAGGAGGCGGGTACAAATACACAATAATTTCAAACATTAAGAAGGATGGAGGGGTATTAATCAAGTGGTAAATAACATCACTGAAACAAGAAAATTATTTAAAGGAATACTAAGTATAGAATGAGTTATGATGAATTATGGTGATGAAAGATACAAACTCAAAGAAAATAAAGCTAGGAAACAATAGAGAGGGGCTTCAAACCTTTAGGGTGAAAAGACTTTTTATGGCCATTATAATCTGCCAAATATTTCCATAGCCTGGGCTGCTGCATTCCTACACATCACAGTTATATTGATGGGAGGGACTCTTGGGATTGTATTACAGCATACTATATAAAGAAGATTTTTGGACTGATGCATTAGTAAGGTTGCTATATGAAGAAAGTAAAATGAATTAAAAATTTGTGCTGAAATGGTTATTTGAAGTACATGAATGGGAGGAAAAAAGAAATTCTTAAGAGTTACTGAAGCTCTTAGGGAAAACATCTAACAGAAGAAATAATCTTTATACACAAATATTGTCATTACAATGTTGCCTAAACTATTTAAAAACTGAAGCATAACTATTTTCCAAAGTCTATCCTATAGAATATTAGGCATTTATGAAAGACTAGAATTAAAAATACTCTGGGAAGCAAAAACCCTGACAATTATGTAATATCAATGGAAAAACTGGTGATAGAGAGTATGTACATTATGTCTACCAGAAAAATATATATGCATGTGGGCAAATACAAGAGGGAATATACAAAGTAGCTTTTTTTGTGGCTAAGAAAAGGAAGATGGCAGATTCCAGGTATCTTCAGTGTTCTTGTTATACTGTTTCCTTGATGTAAGTTGTGATCTTAAAATGAGGTTGACACAGCAAAATATCAAATCAGATTTCTTTGCCTCATACCAAAAAAAAAAAAAAAGGTCATTATGTTGACTTTCTCAGACTTGGGGTTAGCAAGAGAAAGAGGACAATTAGACAACATCTAAGAGATTCTTTATATTAAGTCATTATGTAAATGAAGTCATATTAACACAAAATGTAAATTTGAGGCACTATCACCAGCAGCAAAAGGAATGTGCTTCCACTTTCACATTGGAAGGTGTCTGACAGGGTGTCATTTGTCACCCAACTTTTTCCTTCCAGCTGAAGCTGTAATTCTCCAATCTTAGGAGCTTTCACACTTCTGAATCCTTGCACATGAAGTTGTCTTTTCCCTAAAGGCCCTCCTCACTTCTGCCCTTCTCCCTGCCCTAAAACTCCACCCAAGAACCCTGGTCCCTAGAAGCTGACCCTGACGACATGGGGTGAAACTGAACATTTTCCTCCGTCGTTTAGCATTATCTGAAGGTATCACATTGATCTCTTGACAAGGCTCTCTTTTCCTACTTGGTACACACTTTAAGACAGAGACTAGGTTGGTTTAGCTTCAGCACATGCTAGGTGCTTTATAAACATTTATGTGATGATCAAATTAAAAGATTGCATGATTGTCCTCCTGTTTAGTCAGGTTGGTTTAAATTCCTGCCTCCACTGTCTTCTGGGACATGACTGTGTTTTGGGAACAGAACACTGAAGTAAATGAGAGGTAAACATCCAGCCCATTTTTGTTGGGTACCCAACATTTCTAGCATGCTGTACAGGTTGATTAGTAATGAATAAATAAGTAAAATTGTTATAACTATCATTCTTAGTGGCATCTTAGCTTATATGAAATACTTGTTCACTAATACCTATAAATACTTGGCAATTTTAATATTACCAACTGTAATAAGCACACAGCTCAGTATTATTACTCCATTTCCAAGATGATAATGCTGAAATAGTGCCGTTTCACAACTTGCCCAAGGTTCACATAGTTTAATATTGAATGAACTTGTGAGAGGCAGAAACCACTTCCAACTTTTGAGAATACTGTTATATTTGTAACCCTGCCATCAGAAAGTTTTAAAAATTGTGGTACATTTTCAATATTTAATTATAGACAGTTTTAAACATAAAAATACAATGCAATATCATCACGTGATTTATCAGATCACTACCAAACAGTGTTTAAAATCTATGCATTTGTTGTGCAGTTTGGGAGATGTGGTCCATTATTGGAACAAACGCAAGTTCAGAGTCACACATCTTTGTAAGGACATCTGTCATTCCTTTGAACACACTTCCTCTGGGGAATTCTCCCCATGGCAGAAGCCAAAAACATGTCTTCCCAGACTTCTTTGCAGCTAGGGCCCAGGCATGTGACCTGGGCTCCTTCAAAATGATGCCCTAGTACCAGACTTTGCCTGGCAAGTTGGTGACACAGGAAGCAGCTACCACAGGAATCCATGTGGAGGGTAGAGATGGGTCAATCCTGGGTTTAGGGCCAGCTGTGACAGAGATTCTAGCAGCAGGATCTGAGCTCCACTGCAGTGAGGTGATCTGCAGTATCTGTGCCTAGGAGCAGGAGCAGAGCTCTCCGATGCCCTGTGGGATGCCTGGGGCATCAGTCCTGGCTGCTCAGCCTCTCAGCTTGCTCCTCTAGCCCTCCTGGAGAGTCTATGAGCCACCCAGTATCCTTTGATACATTCCCTTTTTGTTTAACTATTTAGAGTGAATTTCTCTTGATTGCAGCTAAGAACCCTGCCTGACACAGCTTTTTCTTTCAATTCTTGCAATGTATCTATGGAACTTTTAGAAAAATCTGCTTTTGTGATAATTTGAAAAACACAAATTTGAGGCCTTTCTTGAATGTGAAGGCTGAACCCAACTGCCCTCCAGGCATTGTCCCTAAGAGAGGCCCTGGAGAGAGGTGAGTGTTTAGCACAGTATCTTAACACCCATCTAGGGCCATTGTCATATAGCACATGGGAACAGACCCATCCTTTCAAAACTCACCCTATGCCTTTATTTCACTGTAATGAAACATCCCCCAGGTTCTTGTAACTTGCCCAAAGTGGCTTCTCCTGAAGCAGCTGAGGTGCAGGTGTGAAGGCCAAAGTCAGACTCACATAACCTCCCCTGCAGAGCTGATGGGCCTCATGTCATCTGATGAGCAGGCCATGCTTTGAAGGCTGGGAGATAATCTTGGAAGAAAGCAAGAAAACAGGCCAGGCATGGTGGCTCACGCCTGTAATCCCAGCACTTTGGGAAGCTGAGGCGGGCAGATCACTTGAGGTCAGGAGTTCGAGACCAGCCTGGCCAACATGGTGAAACCCTGTCTCTACTAAAAATACAAAAGTTAGCAGGGCATGGTGGTACATAGCTGTAATCCCAGCTACTCAGGAGGCTGAAGCAGGAGAATCAGTTGAACCTGGGGGGTGGAGGTTGCAGTGAGCCAAGATGGTACCACTGAACTCCAGCCTGGGCAACAGAGTGAGACTCCATCTCAAAAAAAAAAAAAAAAAAAACAACAACAAAAAAAAACCAAGAAAACCCACATCCAGGCTCTAAGATATTCAGCCAATGGACTAATACGCTATTGTCATAGGGTGCTGTGACACTGAGATATTTGGAGCAGGCATCATGTATCTTTTGCAGCATATTTAAGCTTTTAAGTGGGCCCCACACACTATCCCATCCTGAGACATGCAGGAGAACAAGAACTGTGGTTTGGCCCCTTGACATCCATTCTCCCATCTTCTGGTGTCAGCACCCCAGTTTTTCTTTAAGAAACTACTTTCCTGCAGCTGCGTGCGGTTGCTCACGCCTGTAATCCCAGCACTTTGGGAGGCCGAGGTGGGTGGATCACGAGATCAGGAGATTGAGACCATCCTGGCTAACATGGTGAAACCCCGTCTCTACTAAAAATACAAAAAATTAGCCAGGTGTGGTGGCGGGCACCTGTAGTCCCAGGTACTTGGGAGGCTGAGGCAGGAGAATGGCGTGAACCTGGGAGGCGGAGCTTGCAGTGAGCCGAGATCGCACCACTGCACTCCAGCCTGGGAGACAGCAAGACTCCGTCTCAAAAAAAAAAAAAAAAAAAAAAAAGAAAGAAACTACTTTCCTGCTTTGGAGATAATCTGACAAGACCCTTAGGCATGGTTGTCTGCTTTTCCCTAACCAAGAGATGGGCAATTGCATTCTCTTTCCCAGGAATTTAGAATATTTTGCATGGTGACAAAAATAATTAAAAGTGGTTGGAGGGTACATCCCTGAGCTCAGACCAATTCCTGCTGCAAGCTGCCTGGGGTCACCCTGGGCTCCAACCATTCCAAGCTGGAGCAGGGACTGTGCCTTCCATCTGTGAGCTCCCCATGGCCTTCCCACAGAGTGTGTTTTTACTGAAGTGAGCACAGGTTAGTTACCAGGGTTTGCAACCAAAGTCCCTGACTGATAGACACCTTGTCCTCTGGAGAATAATTCCCTTAATGAAGAGCCCATGGATGTTTCTGAGGCAGAGTTCAAAAGGCCTGAGACTCAAAAAGAACCAAGAAGATCTTTTCAACTAAATCTTCCTGCAGAACAGATGCAGATGTGGGGAGATGTTATCACTACATTTGTAGGCAAAAGCAAAGAGCTTCAAGATTCATTACTAAATAGTTTTCAAATTTACCAAACGCAAAGCAGCTCAAGAGAGTGGCAATTGTGAGAAATACATTCTCTCTAATGACTGATTGGACAGCTAGGATTTTGGCCTGCTCTGGCAGCAACAGGAAGGATACAGAATGATGGAAGCCTGACCATCTAGGGAGTGAGGCTGAGTTCCTGGCCGCTGACTCATTAGCAGATTCACAGAAATGATGTTCTCCATGGTCACTCTGCCCCAAGGCAAAAGCTACTCTTTGTCAAGCTCACTTTAAGCCTGTATGAAAGAGGCACATCTTGCTGCAGAGGGGTGTCAAGGTTGTCTTACTGAGTCCCAATTATACACATCTCCAAGGCAGAAGCAGATATGGAAGCAGAAGCCCTGAAAACATTAAGCTATTTTCCAACTTAGCCAATAACTTTGATACCACTCACATCACAGCTGCAGAAAAACATTCTGTCCCTTTGCAAATAGCTTTCTGTCAAAGAGCCGCGTGCTCTTACAGATGAGAAAATCACTGAAGCAGAGCCTGCAGGAGATAGCAACACCACCCATATGCATTCAGAAGGAGCATTGTGGAGAGGAAGAGAATTTCCTAGAGTAATGTGGGTCTCCCCAACCCCAGATAAATGACTTGTTTTAGGTATTCTGTTATATTCTCTCCCACTCAGGCACTTTGGCCTTGGAACAGATAGATTCTTACCAGGTTGCCATGAGAAACAAAAAAAGTTAATAGAATCATGTCAGGATTATTAGTGGCATCTTTAAAAATATACCTCATCTCTCTACATTGTGTTGTGTGATGCCTTATGTATTCAGTGTGAAACAATAATAATCATGACATCTTCCTATGAGGTAGGTATTATTATTATTATTATTATTATTATTATTATTATTATTCCCATGGGCTAGATAAGGATGATGAGGCACAGAAAGATTAATAACACTCACCCCAGTTTACACAGCTAGTAAGTTCATGTAGCTGAGATATAAATATGACATATGAGATAAGCCTGGGCCTTTCGCTTCAGAGGTTGTGCTCTTAACCACTAGACAATACTGCCCCTCGAAAGCTTTATGGGAAGCTACCTGGAAAGCATGCGGTTGATGAAAACATTCTTAATCCACCAGAAAATAAATAGGAAGCAGCTTGTTTCATACTCCATGATGTTTCTTGGTCTGTTTTCTGTTTAGCAGTAAAGGATTTAGGATGCTATTAAGAATTCCTTAAGCCAAAATTGACCAGTCATTCTTGATGTAATCACCATAGAAGACTTTTTCTAAGTGTGTGTTCTGTCTATTTCAAACTACCTCTTCTGTCAGTTTCTTAGATGTGACAAGTTATATAAATGGGGAGCAAAGCAGCCACATCTCTGGAAATGCTAAATGGTGCTGCTTCAAGTACATTGTCATTATTAAGCAAAGTTGCCACTCACTGCACCCATCAATCTTCCACCCTCTATTGAGACTTCTACACCCGCCTCCTGCAGAAGAGAAAATGGGAATTGCTTCAGCCACGTTATTAAATCTAAATTGGACAATAACTTGGAACTCTACCGGTGCTCAGTAGATGACAAAATACTTAATGCAGGTTTATAAAAATGCTCCCCAAGCATTGACTTAAAGGAATAAAGTTCACTCTGCTATTTTGTCCTTGGAGGTATGTAATATAGGTCATGGATGGTGATGTAGGTCATGGTGAGATAAATTGGATTTAGACATGAGCAAGCTGACCTTGTATGTAGGTACCATGTCCTTCACCTCCTATGCCTCACACAGTACTGAGCAAACAGAGGTATTTTATATATGTATTTGTTTATCTGCAAATAAGTTATTAGCAAATTTCTGGATTTCCACTTAGCATAAATATTCCTTGTTCTATACGGTAGTTTTTAGAAAGTGGGAAACTAAAAATAATTTAGTGTCTTTAAGGAACAGGAACTGAATGTGAATCAGCCAAGCTAGCATGATACTAGGATGTATGTCTTATGAATATTAAACAGATAAGTACTTATAGGTAAGGTACGATTATTAGCTTTTGGAAAGCTAGGCTATTAGCCTGAATACTGGTGAGAGTTAGAAATAACTTTCTGGGGTGATGTGTGGACTTGGTCTTATAATTTTATTGTCATCCTTCCCAGGAAGCTGTGTTGTCTTTGGCAAGCTGACATTGCTTGACAGACTATGAGGACAACTTGAGCAGGAAAAGATGTCAGTTTCCTATATAGAAATACACTGGGTAAAACTCACACAACATCCTTCCCGAAAGTACACAATAGGCCAGGGACTTATTGGTATGTTCAGTTCTAGCTCCATATTTTAGGAAGAAAAAGGAATTAAGAGACAGGACTAGCTGGATTTCCTAGGCCAACTAAGAATCCCTAAGCCTAGCTGGGAAGGTGATCACATCCACCTTTAAACATGGGGCTTACAACTTAGCTCACACCCGACCAATCAGGTAGTAAAGAGAGCTCACTAAAATGCTAATTAGGCATAAAGGAGGTAAAGAAATAGCCAATCATCTATCGCCTGAGAGCACAGCGTGAGGGACAATGATCGGGATATAAACCCAAGCATTCAAGCCGGCAATGGCTACCCTCTTTGGTTCCCCTCTCTTTGTATGGGAGCTCTGTTTTCACTCTATTAAATCTTGCAACTGCACTCTCTTCTGGTCCGTGTTTGTTGCCGTCCACCACTGCTGTTTGCCACCCTCACAGACCTACTGCTGACTTCCATCTCTCCAGATCTGGCAGGGTGTCCACTGTACTCCTGATCCAGCAAGGCTCCCATTGCTGCTCCTGATCGGGTATTCCTGCACAGCTGAGTGCCCGGGTTCACCCTAATCAAGCTGAACACTAGTCACTGGGTTCCATGGTTCCCTTCCATGACCCATGGCTTCTAATAGAGCTATAACACTCACTGCATGGCCCAAGATTCCATTCCTTGGAATCCGTGAGGCCAAGAACCCCAGGTCAGAGAACACGAGGCTTGCCACCATCTTGGAAGCAGCCTGCCACCATCTTGGAAGCAGCCTGCCACCATCTTGGGAGCTCTGGGAGCAAGGATCTCTGCCGCCAGTAACAGAATGGCTAGACTGTGAAGGGAAGACAGGAAGGAGGGCTCTCAATTTAAGGGTTGGAAAAGAGAAGCTGGATAACAGAAATGTCTGGGGGACTTCTAAACTTAACTCTTTTTTTTGAAAGGAAGAAGATGACCTATTTTCCCTCCATCCCTACTGAGGGAAATGAAAAGAGTGAGTAAGCATAAATGCTGACAGAGGAAATGTAGTTTGACACTGGAAAATAACTTTCTGACAACCAGGGAGTGAGGTATGTTAGTAAAAGAGAGAAGGAAAGTCTACAGTCAAGCCAGACAACCATGAAATCCAGAATGCTAAAGAATTGTGTGAAATCCACAAAAATGGGCTGAAGCACTCCTTTAAAAGTCAGAGAGAACTTCAAGTTCTGCAATCCTAAGAATCAAGACCTGGCCTCCAGCTTTCCTGAGAAGGTAACAAGGCAAACAGAAACATAAGTGCCTTTGATTCTGTTCCCAAGTCACAGCTGAAGGGGCACTCAGAAACTCCAAAGCCACCACAAACATGTTCTTATAATAGGCATAACAAATATTTATGGCCTCTTTGCTCTGAGCTAGGCATTAAAGCCTTATCTTTAATCCTCACAATGAACCTATGATATCAATACTATTATTATTATTATTATCCCTATTTTATGGATGAGAACACTAAGGCTGAATGAGATTGCCTAAGACACAGTTGGCACATGGAAAAACTAGATCTTGAACTCAGATCTATGTAGTAAAAAGGGTTCCCAGCTCATTTGAACCTCAACGCAGGGTCTGTAAGCTGTTTTGGAAGTGACCTGAGACAATCAGTCAGTAACCATGCAATGCTCACTGTACTAGTACTAAGCTTATATATTTCTGCCAAGGCTAGGAAGTTTTACCTAATGCTCACTGCTCAAAACCATCAGTTGGTTTTGAATTGATGAAGCCACTTATGATCTAAGTGTTTAAGTGGAATTTGTTTAGAATCTTCTAAACTTAAATGAGTAAACAAAGTAACAGTTGTGAATAACAAAGTAACTTCATGCTTCACTGTCTGAAGACTGTGCCGTGGAAAAATAAGGCAAAAAGGCTTCCAGGCATCAAAGGCTCCTTGGTGTGAACTGGAGATCAGGATGTCCATCTGAAGAGATGACCTTGGATATTCAATGACAGGAGTCTGACCTCAAATTTCTAAACCAGAGGTTGGCAAACCATGGCCCGCAGGCCAAATCTGGCCCATAGCCTGCATTGTAAATAAAGTTTTATTGAAACACAGTCACATTCATTTACATATTATTTGTTGCTGCTTTTGCACTACAACAGCAGAGTTGAGTACTAGCAACAGAGTCCATATGGCCCACAAAGCCAAAAAGAAAGTACTATGTGGCTCTTTACAAAAAGTTTGCTCTTCCCCTGCTCTGAATATCTCTAGTGGCAAAAACAAACAAACAAACAAACAAAAAGCAACAATAACAACACAAGGCTCTGAAGAGTAATTGGAAGACCTAAAACTTGGTGTGAGAGAGCCACAAATAAGAAAAAAAAACGACAGGCAAGGACCTAAAAGGAGCGAGAACAAAAGGGATGGGGAAAAAAAAGTGACCACTAAAAGTTGCAGTGGCAGAGGGACACGAATGACTGTCCCCACAGTGTCGGGTGTGGCCACTATCCATGAAGCATCTCTGTATTCCGAGTACTTTCAGGTACATTGCCTCATTGAATCTCTCAACAATCCACCTTTGTATTTCCATTTAACAGATGAGAAAACAGAGACTTAGAGAGCTTGAGTAACTTGTCCTGAGTCAGCAGGGCCAGAAATCAAACTTAGCAGGTTGACGCTGACCCCACTCTATTCTCCTGCCCCAGTACTCCAGCCATCAGTGTTCACCCCCTGCTCAAAGGATGAAAGCACTATACTCTTCACTCATTCAAACAATTACCTACACTGGAATTTTAATAGTAATTATCTACTTTCCATCTGGGTGAGAACTTGGTGACAGCTAATCATCTCTTCCAGTGGTGGTGCATGCTAACATTTCATTGACACTCCTGAAATAAAGCATCTTGGAGGCTCTGTCAGAGCTAGAAGCTCAGCCTCAGGGTCCCAATTAGCAACTAAGTTGTATGGTTTGAGCTTTGGCCAATCTAAAAGGTGTCTGCTTCTAGGAAGCACAATCAGCTGGCGCTAATGTAGTCACTGTAACATCACCTCTGTCTGCCTGGAGCAGGCACAAGGCTGAGTCCAAGGCGGTGATGCTGAAAAGCTGCAGAACTGCAGACCTCGAAACTGACTCAGCTTCACCAGGGAGCACGCCTGAGGACATCCATGCTGGAGGGGGTGGAGGGGAGCAGCGCCCAGGAGGGCATGATGAGCTGCCCGCCACAGCCAGATGCTCCGGGATCTGCTGACTTGCTCAGCCAAGTTCATGGGGTGCTTAAAACTCTGGGCACTGTTGCAAAGAATTCACATATATCAACTCTCAGCCTTTGATATAGGTATTATAATCATTCCCCTTTGACAGACAAGGGAATTGAAGCAAACCAAAGTGAAGTAACTCCCCCTGGGTTACACCGTCAGTAAGTGGAGGGACAGATTACAAACCTGGGCAGTCAGGCTCCAGAGACCAAGTATGAACCCCTGTGCTGTAAATGGCCCCTCCTTGCCTGCCCTTCTAAGAGGCTGTAAGCTCTGCAGTGGTTAAAAGTCTAGATACTGCAGTCAACCAGGCCTGCTCTGAATCCCAACTCTGTCCTTTCCAGATGTGTGAACCGGGACAAATGATTTAACCTCTCTGAACCTCTGTTGTTTTCTCCTTAAAATGGTTACCTGCACTGATGATGGCATCTATACCTAGAGCTCTGGTGGAGGGTGGAAGTGACGCAGCAGCCATTTTGCACACATGATACCTGCTGACTCATCTCGTAGTGTGAGAATGTGGTCAGGTTTGCAATGCTCCACCTTCCCCCGGATCCTCCTTCACCTGCTCCAACTCCTGGGCCAGGTGTGTGAGTTTGGCCTCATGACCAAAAGCAGCCACCCACACCACATACCCAGGGCAAAGGCAAACAAGAACGGGCTCAGGTCTTCATCTTTCCCTGTGGGGCTCCAGCTCATGGTTGGGGTTCGACCTGGTCCTTGCTCTTCCCACTTCACCTCCATCTTCCCTTCCTGACCACTTGCCCTCTGGCCTGCAGACTCCAGCATCAGACATGAAGGCAGTAGCCTTGCAGAGAGTCCAGTCCCTATGAGTGTGGAAGGTCAAGTCATACATATGGATGTGTATGTGTATATCTATGCACGTATATATGCACACATATGCATATGTATAAACACACACACACACATACACACACACAGACATCCAAGTGGATCTACTTTTCTGATTGAACCCTGACTAATATATCCTGGCTGGGTTACTTCTGGAATAGTTTCCTGATCGTTTTGCTTCCAAAAGCATTCACCCTTGACATTTTCACTTCATTTTTCTTACATTTACTAATAGCACTTCAGTGGTTGGAAGCCATGGCCAAGGCCATCTATTATGAATACGATGCTAATAAGGAAAAGTATTCCATTGGAGCTTCCATTTACTGCATGCTACTAAACCCTATGTGAGAAGTTTTTCATACATTATTTTATTCAATCCTCATTATTTTATTTAACCCTATGGAAGCAGAGTTTTTTCATACTTATAAATGGAGCAATAGAGGCTCAGAGAAGCCAGGTAACTCACCTCACAGTGTATATGACTCAAATAGTAAGTGCTTAACCACTGTATAGTGTCTCTCACTATAAGTGATCCATCCAGAACACAAGTCTAGAGCTAAATGCACATTTATATAAAATTTTAACCCCTCTTCTTCCAGAAATACTAAAGTACTTTAAAAGGAAAACATAACAGGAGGTAGGATGATTAGGGATAAAAACAGAACAGGAAAACATTAGAAAAAAGGACGGTACCATGTACCTGTGAGTAGTGGAATTTAGGTCTACATAGGAGATTATACTCATTAGCAGAAACTTCTATACAAAACCTTTACCCAAAAATAGGCAACCAAAAAATGAATCCATTGAAGGCAAGTTGTCATGTTTTCTTTTAGGCCATGCATACAATTTATTCTCATAGGTAACAGAAAAACAACAAATGAGGCATGAGAGGAGAAGAAAACAACGTTTGCCATATTTTAGGAATTGGAAACACTGCTATATTAAAAACAAAACTACAACTTAGTCTTTTATCATTGTTGAAAATCATTCTTGGATCATTAAACTCTTCTTGTCTCTGGTTTCTCTCTTAAATGAGGGAGAATAATATACTAACTAGGCTTAAAATATTACCATAAAGAAAGTTAGGTTCTAATAAATGGGTTTCCTATGTCCAGAATCTTAAGACCACAATTCCATAGCTCTAGCCCACGAACTATACACAACCCTTTTCACTTCTGGCTTAAGACAGGAAGAAAAAAAAAAAGTCATCTTGGTGGAAGAATGTAGAAAATCCCTACCATTCAATGGGTTTATCATACACTCATTCATTTTACATGCATTTATTGATCACCTACTCCGTGCCAGGCACGGTTCTAGGTGCTGGGGATACAGCAGTGAACAAAGATAAAAATCTGAGCTCACACCCTAGCCATGCTATTTCTGCATTTGGAAGAATCTCTTTGTTATAAATATGATTCTGACATACCTTAGTGAACAAAGTCAATGTTTCAATAATAGTAACATGCTTGTAGTACCTTACAGTTTATACAAAACACTTTCATGTAACTGTAGCATTTATTTCTCAAAAAAGCCTTAGGGATTTTGCAAGAAATGTGACAGACCATTTAAATAAAGACACAAATAATATTATGTTACCAAAAGAAACATGAACAAAGGGCATGAATAGATATTTCTCCATAAGAAAAAAACCTCAATGACTAATAAACATGAAAAAGTGTTCAATTTCCTTATTGCTCAAATGTATGTTATTCATAGCTGAAAGGTAACAATTTTTACCTGCAAAAGTAGCAAAAATAAAAGGAAGAGCAAGAGATTGTGCTGTATCAAAAGATTGTACCCTTTGAAACAGTAATTTTCTTTTAGTAATCCATTCAACGGAAAAACAAGAAATTTGGTTTTAAGTTTTCAAATAGCAAAAAATTTTAAAGCTTTAAATTACCCATTACTATGAAATCTAAATTAAGGACCTAACATTAAAAAAATTATATACAGAGTCATTCCTTGAGGCCACTAGTCCATGCTGTCAGACAGAGTGCCTTTAAAATCAAAGGATTCTAAAATACATTTGGATCCTCCAAACATGTTTTTTTGTTTGTTTTTTTTTTTTGAGATAGAGTTTCACTCTTGTTGCCCAGGCTGGAATACAATGGCATGATCTTGGCTCACTGCAACCTCTGCCTCCCAGGTTTAAATGATTCTCCTGCCTCAGCCTCCCAGGTAGCTCGGATTACAGGCGCCGGCCACCACTCTCAGCTAATTTTTGTATTTTTAGTAGAGACGAGGTTTCACCATGTTGGCCAGGCTAGTTTTGAACTCCTGACCTCGTGATCCCAAAGTGCTGGGATTACAGGTGTGAGCCACTGTGCCCGGCCACACATGTTTAATGGCACTGTACAATTAAATGTCTAAGGGGCATTCTACTAAAATTGTGGTTACCACTGTGCCTCACCAACATGCCAGTCACAAACTAAATGTGCAGGGCCGGGCACAGTGGCTCATGCCTATAATCCCAGCACTTTGGGAGGCCGAGGTGGGCGGATCACTTGAGGTCAGGAGTTCAAGACCAGCCTGGCCAACATAGTGAAACCCCGTCTCTACTAAGAGTACAAAAATTAGCTGGGCGTGGTGGTGCACGCCTGTAATTCCAGCTACTCAGGAGGCTGAGGCAGGACAATTGCTTGAACTAGGGAGGCAGAGATTGCAGTGAGCCAAGATCGTGCCACTGTACTCCAGCCTGGGTGACAGAGAAATAAATTAATTAATTAAATAAAATTTAAAAAATCTTAAAAAAATACAAACTAAATATGCAGGACAGGAAATGTATAAACAAGGATGAAACTGTGATTGACAAAACAAACTGAAATTTGGGATAGTTGAATTTTTCTAAGCTTTTTTTCCTAGAATCCCACATTATAAAAGTCATTTACTTTGGTATCTCCCTACTACTGTATAACTCTCTAGTGCTTTATCACTTGATACATGATCATGATATTAATGGTTTTTAAAGTTCTACTATATGCCAGGCACCATATTAAAGGCATTAACTCTTCTCAACAAGCCCCAAAAGTTGCTACAATTATTATCATATCTACATTTTACTGGGGAGGAAAGAGCCTCGAAGAGGGGAGTAACTTGCCCAAGGTCCTGCAGCCAGTACTGGCACAGTTAAGATTTAAATACAGTTGCCTAATTTGGCTCTAAATGCCATGTCCCTTAACCATTGGGCCTAATCTTTTACCTTGTATTATAGTTATTTGAGTTACTTGGGGTGTTCCTTATCTGTCTAATTAGATCCTAAGTTCCCTTAGGGTAATAATTTTTTCACTCAACTTTGAGTACAATGTATTGCATCCAGCTGGCACTCGATAAATGCTTGGTTCATACATGAGCAAGGCTGCAGTTATTTTGAAGTCACTTCTGACTCCTCTCTTTCAGTCCATTTCCAATTTTTCACCAACCTAAATTAACTCCTTTTTTCCCCCATTTTCCAGGCCTTCATTTTGTTTGCTTTCATCTTGACTTATCCCCTCCGGCCAGACTCCTACAATAGCCTCCTGACCATTCTCTGTGAGTCCAATCCATCCTACACACTCATCACCCTAAAATACGATTTAGTCAGATTTCCCCAGCCGACAGGCCTAGACACAAGACTAAAACCCTCAGACTCTAGGGTGACCAGGTAGGTGTAGAGATCCTAGGCCAACACCTTTGACCAAAAGCAACCTCCTAGAGTGACATTCACAGCTTAGGCTTAAACTGAGAGCGCTTCCAAGGACATGGGAGTTTCAGTGCTAAAACTGGGAAAGTCCCAGGCAAACCAGGGTGAGTTGGTTTTGCTACATCCTCCTCCCCATCTCCAAAGCCCCTTCTCTTTACAGCCATGTACTCTACAAATAACACCATTTTCTACTGGTGCCAGGCAAATTGGGAAGCACAGATTTGGATCAACTCAAACCCTCACTCAAAGACATTCAATAGCTCATGCTGCCTCACATAAAATCTGCTATACTTCACCTAACATTCAAAGCCCTTGGCAGTCTGACAAGGACAAATCTCATCTTCAACTCCTTCCCATCCTGACCCCTCTCTCATTCTCCAGTTTTTATTATCCCACGACTGTATCTTTCCCATTTTCCTCATTTGCCCCTGACTCCACCATCTGGATGGCTTTACTGTCCCCATCCACCTGTCCAGAGCCACCTCCAAGGATTCGGTTAGTGCAAAGCCCCTTCCCAAGCCCAAACCAGTCATCTGTGAAGTCTTCACAGACGACCTCAACTTAGGACAATTATTTGGACTACTCCTTTGTCAAGGAGACCAGCACGTGAGACCTCCTTCATCTCTGGTACTGATGTGTTGAGCTGATATTTTTCTCTTCCAAAACTTAGTTATCCTTCACTATGTTTATATCTTTGTCTTACCAAAATGCAACCTCTCTGATGACAGGTATTACACCTTATATTTATGTCTCCCTCAGTACTCAGTAATTTCTCACACATTTCTTACACACAATGAACATGCAATCAATATATGTTTTCAGATAACTGATTAACATTGTCCTCATCCCCCTCGCCTCCACCATGTGAGGAATTCAGCAATCCTTCTACACAGATAAAGGCTCCATTTGTTTTTCTTGTGGGTAAATTGCCTTCTCATTATTCTGCCTCCAGAAACTTAGCTCTCTTAAATAAATGCCTGGTAGGAGGACAGAACTGAGAGCAAAGTAAGAACATTTCCCTTCTCTGGTGAGAAGAAAAGGGCACAATCATAGCACAGGATGATAGTGGAGGGCTCACGGGAAGAAAATATAACAAAAACGTGAAGAAACCACCTTTAAGAAATTTTGGAGAGGGAAAGAGCATTGCAAATATACAAAATGATAGAGAAAACATAGGGAGAAAAGGACTTCACAGGAAAGGAAAAAATAAAACAAAGCTATTTATTAGAAGACAGCCAGAGAAATGAGCTGAGAGCCCAGCACAAATGCTCAGCAATACCCCTCATGGGAGGGGCAGCCCCTGTTACCCCTTCCAGGAGGTGCCTCCTCCACGCAGACAGCTGGCCTCAAGAGCACATCTGGGGAGGCCCTTCCTTGCCCAGACAGCACGCGGCCCCATTTACTGGACTAAAGGCAGGCATAGTGAACCAATGGAAAATTTTCTTCAGGCAACATAACCTCAGCATAAAAAAAAATATCAATCTATTTGCCTCCCAGCCAAAGAGAAATCAAGTTAGACAAAGGAAATTAGGCAATAAGTTTAATGTGACTGCAGCTGCAGTTGTGAAATAAACCTAATGTACTCTGACTCTCCTTCCCATGTGCTCTCTGGGTTGCACAGGCCACTTTTTGGGGAGGGCACCAAGGAAGTGTTCTGCAGGTACATGAAATCTTTTAAACTTAGAAGTCAACTGACTGCTGGTGTTCAAAGAAGCCCCACTGCCAGCAGGATATGCTTGAAACCGATGTCCAGGAGCGTTGGCAGATTTGCAGGGATGCAGGCCACGCTCCTGCCAAGTGCACACTTGTAACCAAGGACAGAATGCGCAATCTGTTGCCCTGGAGCACAGAAAGAAAGCACTAACCTCAGATTCACAGATCTTAGCTTCTATGTGATGAGCTCAGAAAATCAAGGGCCAATGCGAATGTTTGTGAAAATGTGGCTATAAAGAGAGGTACTGATTAATAGGAAACAGTTATATGTCTATGTGCGTGTGTCTTGGGTGGGTGCCAATATTATATATTTCAAGCATTGTGTGTGCGGTTAGAATGATGAAATACGTGCAGACTCAAGTCACCAAATAGGTGAATATTCGGCTGTGTCGCCTCAGGGGACTGGAAGGGGTCTGGAGCTTTGTTGTCTTCACTTCCTCCCCCATTCATATTCCAGCTCCAGGCCCACCCCTGCCAGGGTTGCAGGGCCCACCAGCTTTGTTTCTGTGGCTCTGGTGTGGTAGATCTGGTCAGAGAACCCACTGTCTGATTGGTGGGCTTACTCTGGCAGTGAGAGCTAGTACCTGGACCATCAGAATCACAATTCAAAAGACAACTGGGGCAAAAAGCAAAAGCCACCACTTCTCTGCTGGCCATGCCCTTACCACCCTGGTAAAGAATGGGATTATGCCTAATCACTTTGTCTCCACCACCTACTATGTCTCTGGCACATGGTAGGGCCCAAGATATGGTTTGTAATGGCTGAATAAATGAATGTGGAACAAGATAAAAGCATAAGAGAGAGAAATGGGAATTTCTGCATTTAGTTGCAAAGGCCCATAAATTTATACGTTTCTATTGAGAAAATGTGAGAGCATTTCATATAAAACAAACCAGGGGATAGATGAATGCCCCAGAGAAACTCTCACACATATATACAAAGACATACAGTGTCTGAAATAGTGAAAAATTGCAAACAACCTGAATGTCCACCAGCAAAAGAATATATCATCAATTATGGTATATTCATAAAGCATAATAGTATAAAGCAGTGAAAATAAAAAAACCACATTTCAACATAGATAAATCTAACAATTATAATGTTGAGAAAGTTGCACAATACATATAGTACAATTCATATGAAGCTAAGAATACACAAAAATTATATATAATATATATTATGTAAATATATAGTCATGCCTTAGAAATGCACCTATATATATATAGTAAATAGAAAGAAATGCATGGAAATGATAAACACCAAATTGGGTAGTTGTTGAGATGAGGAAGGAGACAGGCCTGGGAAGGTTAATACACAAGTGTTAGCTATAGTACTCTTTGTACCTTTTGTTTATATTAAATATTGTACTTTTTAAAAAAATTATGGACGTTGTAAGTTACTGTCTACTCAAAGAGACTTAAAACACAGAAACCAGCCATTTACTATAATCCTAGTCATTTTAACATAAACATCAGAGAAGACCCAATATAAGTTTTTTAATTACTCACTGAATAAATGTGGTAAGATATTCAAACCTCATGCAATTGCTCACAATTACTGTTTTGGATGTACAAGGTGTATTCAAGGAAAATGTTATTTTAAAAAATTGCAAAGTTCTGCATTTAATTATAAAACTAATCAGCCTCAGATATTCCTGCTCTGATGGTATTACAGGCAGGAACATGTCTAGTTCTGGGACTCACATGTTTGCAGGACATGGACAAGTGTGTGTCAAGAGAAGGGTGGATACAGGAGAGGTCAGGTGATTGGGATTTTGCTACTCATGGGCCTAAGGATCTGGTGAAGAACCTGGGAATCCATATCTGGTGATGGGAAGGCTTACTGGGAGCCAGTAACTTTCTTCAAACATTTGAATGAATAAATGAAAGGACTATCATATGAGAATGTAGATATATTCTGCATAATTCCAAAGGCTAAACATGTGAAGGTCTAAGAGGAGATAATTTTAATGCAACCAGAAGAAGAATGTCCTCATAATTACAGGCATCCCAGAAAGAAAAGGACTGTTTGGTTAGGTAGTAAGTTCCCTGAAACTAGCAGCAATCAAGCAAAGGTATAGAGAACTCCATTTGGGGGCGCTAATTGGACTTTTTTAGTTCCAAAGTGTTATCTAATTTTATGACTCTAAACCAGTGTTTCTCAAACTTGAGTGTGTATCAGAAGCCGCTGGAGGGCTTGGGAAAACCTAGATTGCTGGAACCAACTACAGGAGTTTTTGAGGCAGCAGCTCTGGGGTAGGGTCTGAGAGTTGGCATTTCTGAAAAATTCCCAGATGATGTTGATGTTGCTAGTCCAGAAACCATGCTTTGAGAACCTCTGCTCTTAAAAAAAAAATAGTAAATCAACTTAAGTTTTTTGGTGTTTTGGTCAGGCCATTAAAATGCAGGCCCTTCCTTGAATTACTCACTGCCTCCAAATAGACTTCCACTGTAGTCTTCTAGAGGGAGGGGACCACTTTTATAGGTGATTTCTTCTAAGGCCTTTATAGGAAGACAAGGTTCTTTGCTGTACAATAAGCATATAAGGACCCTGGGATTCTTTTCAGATACTGATATTAAATTTCTTTTCAGCCATTTTCACTCTGTCCTCTGTTTCCTCCATAACCGATGGCCATAATTTTAAAATAACTGGCCAGAATTAGAGATGAGTCTGAGTCCAAAAAACAGTGTTGTTTGACCCACAGAAGGATCTGACCTGGTGTAAACCACATTCACGAACAGGTCTGGTGACACTAACTAGCCACTGTCTCTGGAATGCATCTTTGTCAAGCACTGCTTTGGGGAAGAAGACAGAAGTGCTGAGAATTCTCTTCTTTTTAATTCAAAGGGGGGAAGAATGTAAAACACGGCTCTTGAACCAGTTCCATGGGCAGATAAAGTTCAGACAAAAATGTTAAATCACACATTTGTCCATTAGTATCTGGTTTCTTCACTCAACAAATGACTATTGAGCTTCTATATATACCTGGAGCTGTGCTTAAACCTAGGGATACAGTTGTAAATAATACAAGCAAATGTCAAAGATATAAAAACATAGAATCTATGTCAGGTAGGAAGAAAAATACAGCAGGTGCTTAGTTAGGAAAGCCTATGCCTTTCACACAGCCTCGCTTGGTGCTTATTTTTTGCCCAATGCTAATGCTGAAAATAAACTGCTTACTCTGGCCAAGCCAAATGATCAGTGATAGAATGGGTTACTGTGATTCATTTCTAAGCTGCTTTTCTTTTATAATTTGGGGGAAAATGCAGTTATTAGTAGTAAAGTCCCTAGAAATCATTTCTAGTTCACTTGAAAGGTTCAGTTGCATAAAAATATGTTTAAATAAACAACTTGGAATAAAGAGTGGTTAAAATTGTATGCATATGTAATCAACAATGTTAGCTTTTTTTCATGCATAGCCCAGACTTTTTTTTTTTTTTAAAGCAAATGTCTTCTGAAGGCCACAAAATGAATCTTAGGAGGTTTGTTTGAACAGTTTCACTGCTAATAATTTTTAAAAGGTGTCAGTTCTGGAGGCTCGGGCTATCTTAGCCAAAATAATCCATCCAAGCTTCTTAATTTTAGTCATTCTGAAATTTAGTGGTGAAAATTAAAGGTGTGCAAGAAACCTGGGAGACAGAGTTTTTATATGAAATATAATTATAGTATCTTTTGGTCCTGTCTGAATTAAGTCATTATACAAAGATTTCTGACTCACAGCTATAGCTAATAAGAGCTCCCACTCATTTCACAAACTGACCACCTACTACTACTATCTATTACCACTAACTGACTACCTACTACATGCCAACTGCTACTGAACACTAACTATGTTCCAAGCATCTTATGATGCTACCTTAAAACTCACAACAAAGCTAGGAAATAAATATCATCATCATGCCCATTTTGCAAATAAAAAAATTGAAATTCAGAAAAATTAAATGATATACCCAAGGTCACACCCAGCTCATAAGTGGCAGACTAGGAATTTATCACCAAAGCCTTTCTCTTCACTCTATGGTACTGCTCCCCCCCAATAGCCCAGATGGCAGGTTTGATTTTGTGTGGATTAGCAACAGATATTTGTTCCTCAAGGTGCTTTGCTATCATATGCTAGAAAACTGGCATAGTTACTACCTGTATCTATATCTAGCTACCTATCTATCCACATATATCTGTGGTAACTATGATGTGAAGAGTGCCCCTGTAACTTTGCAAAAGCACAACCTGAACCACCTCAGCCAGCAGCCCTGACACCATGGTACAGCCCTGATATTGTGTTACAAGACATCACAGTGACAAATCATGGCATAAATCATATTCATTTCCACTTATGCACCCATGACAAGACCCACACAATGCACACTGGGATGCTTGTGGGTGTGGGGAGTGGCGGGCGCGTTAGTGACAGACACTCTTAGAAACAGGCATGAAAAGCAGCATCTTTAGGCCGATCAACTGTTATGAGCAGGAACACAGGCTGCTGTGCTGATGTGCATGTGAGTGTGTGTGTGTGTGTGTGCACGCTTTCTTTGAGGAAGAGGAGGAGGATTATAACGCACAAATTAGTCAGAGGATACACAATGTGCAACTTCAAGGGAAAATGCTTCATAGCTTCTGTGAAACAGTCACTGGTGATGTAGCTATCCTAATAAGCCATAACCATCACTCTTTGCCAAAGGGTACCTGACTCCTCCTTTCTTCTCCCTCCCCACGCCCTACAATCCCTACTACCCAAGGATGACAGTCATTCTTCCCCCGCTTTATTTCACACAAAAGGCCCCCTCTAGAATCCAGAAGGGCACCATCATAAGCCGCAAGCCATTACTCTTCACTGAATATAAAGTTAAATTCATTTATCTCTATCTTCAATGAGAAAAGGAAGGAAATTAAGCAAGAAAGATGGCACAATGCTTTCAAGAATGGTGTATTCAAGGTCAAAGCCTGCCATAATTGAGTTAAAAAATAATAAATGAAAATATGTCTGCTCGGCAGAATACGGTCCAGCTAGAAGTCTTCATTAAATGTTCCAGTACACACAATGTGTTAGCTGTGTGTTTGTGTGCTTGAGATTCTGTGAGATATCCTGTAGCTCATAAATACTGAAAAGGGACAGTTACCATAGTAACTAAGTGCTATTTAATGAATACCAAAGAACTGAAGCTCCGAGGATGGTTTTAAATTGCCAGAACATGACTTACTGCTGCAGCTATGGGCTTGCAAGTAACTGACATGTCACTCTCTCTAATAAGATTTTTAACAAGTTGGCCAATTTGGCTGATCTCTGTCTTGACCACATGACACCACAAGATTCTGTCTTTACATCACATGAAAAGCATGTTCCTGATTTCTTCTCCTGACTCTAAGTACCAAGATCTTCTACAGAAATGGGTCAGACATTCAGATATGGAAAACGTCCTTAAATTTGAAACTTTGACCCAAGTAGTGAAGCAGTAGGACACATACTTCCGTCATAAGCAATAGACACCAGTTCAATGAGCTGTCAGGCTGAATACAGCAGGCTCTTTATTTCCGAAAAAGGTGAATGCTCCCTTTACACTAAATGCAGTTTGTTCTTTATTGTGCAATGACACAGAAGAGCTATTGCAGTTGATTTTTGCAGGAACTTTTTACAGGCTAGTGACGTCTTAGGTAATCTTTCATCAGGATGTCCAAACCTTCCCTACTACGCCCACTCCCAATTCTCTCTCGCCATCCATCACCATATGTCAAATTCCTCACCTTGGAATCATCTCACTTTTTACAGATTTAAAAGGAAAAAATAAGCATGGCTGCCCTGCTTTTCTTTCCACTGGTCTCCCCTGGTAACTTTAACGTGGTCCATTTTTAAGGCTACAGATTGTGTGGCAAGCATACTTACGTCTACATGCCATTAATAAGTAACAAGAATTTTAAAAACGAAAACATCTATGTACCATGAAGCCAAAAATCTTTAGCAAATGCATCCGTTCTCCAGAGGCTGGCTTGTTCTTGCATAACCAGCAGCTCGAATGGCCTGGCTGGAGCCAGCCTAGCTCAGTGCTCGGGCTGCGGGCGCCCCCTTCAGCATCTAGGGTGCAATGCATGTTGCTTTCCTGTTAGATACTAACAAGACGGCTGGGCAATTATTTTTGCTAAAACTGTTTAAGGAAATTTTGTAGGAAAATTTGGGCCAACATCTAATGGTGTGAGACAAAAATCCTGCACATTACCAGCCTGCATTTAATGTTAAAATCAGGCACGTAAAATTTAAAAGGGAGGCCTTCATTGCAAGAAGAAAAAAAAACCGTATAGATATATTCATTTATTCATTTGATTAAATAACACTTCTCTACAAGGTGAACTCTATTTAAAATTGCCTCTGTCTGTGATAAACACAATTAAAAGTGGAGACAGCCACAACCTCTTCACCTTCTCATTTCCTTCTACAGCCTGAAGCTGTTCTCTCTGTAGTGCAATCCCCAGCCTTAACTGCTTCCTCCTAGAACCCCCTGTCAATGCCTTGGTTTATCTCACCTCCATGTTTAGTCTTGACTCACAGGGCCACGTTATCTACTCACCTCTCTCGTACGATTTCATGTCGATGACTGCTCTAACTCCACAATGATCTTTCTTCTTTGAATTTCTAAGGCATCTTGTTTCTGCCTCTCGTGTGATATTCTTAACCCATCCCTTCTTAGGCTGAGAATATTTGACTTTACATCTCCTCTCCTCTCCTAGACTGTCAGCTTCTTAAAGGCAGGGTGTGGCTGTTGTATAAGCTTGACCCTCAGCCTGCGGCTTGCCGAGGTGCTCCTGTGCAGAGTGAATTTGTGAATGAAGGAACACACAAAGGTGACTCTTTTGGCTTCATTTCATCTCTCTAAGAGCTCTGCTTAACAAACTCGTTGCTCCAACCTAAAAAATGAAGGGGCACTTAAAGAAAATAAGACCAGCGAGACAGTTCTTCCTCCTCTCCTTGGAAAATCTTTTCTACTTAAATTCATCTTTATCCATTCATTCTTCTAACACAGTCATGTATTGATCACATGCAGTAAGTAAAAAGCATGAAATGGGAAGATGCTATTCTTACTTTTCCTCTCACCATAGCCAGTGCTGAATAAAATCTTTCTAATTTTCCTTTATGCTGTTTCTTAGTCCTGCCAATCTTCCATGCCGTGTGGAAGGCTGCATCCTTCTCACTCACCTGTTCAACATTTATTGTGCTTCTTCTCTATGCTGAACCGAACTGGCCCACGTCAAATAGGATCAATTAAAACAAAAATCGAGAGCATAACTCCTCACTCCTTAAGTATGGGCTGTACATGGTGACTTCCTTCCAGAAAATACAACATGGAAAGGGGTGGGGAAAACAGCTGTATGGTGGAGAAACTTGGCAAGTACGACCTCAGCCAGTTCATCCAGGTCAACACCAGTAGTGGTAAGTCGTGCTCACCGTATGTCTTTTGATGAAAATGGTTCTTTACTTTTGTGATCTTCCTCCCGCAAACCCACAACCCGAAGCTTATAATTAGAAAAACATCAGGAAAATCACAACAGAGGCCATTCTACAAAATACCTGATCGATATTCCTCAAAACTGTCATGGTCATCAAAAACAGAGTCAGAGAAATTGTCACAAGTCAGGGGAGCCTAAGGACACATGACCACTAAATGTAATATTAAATCCCGGAAGGGAAAAAACAGGCAAAAACTAAGGAAATATGATAAAGCATGGATTCTAGTTAATAATAGCATATCAATATTGGATCATTAATTGTGACAAGTGTACCATACTAATGTAAGATAATAATAGTGGCAACCAGCTGTGGGGTACATAGGAGTGTCTTGTACTATCTTTGTAACTTTTCTGTAAATCTAAAATATTCTAAAATAAAACATTTATTTTTAAAAATGGAACTAGACTCAAGAATATTAATGAGAAAGAAAAGGAAGACAGATTGTGGTACAGGATTGTAAGTGGGTTTTCTGGATTCAGTAGAACTCGGGCTGCAAGGTGAGAAGAGGCAGACAGTGACGATGGTAGGGGTAGTGTCTAAGGACAGTGGAAAGCTATGGATGATTCATGGACAGTTAGAAAAGGCTAAAAATATTATTGCACTTCAGAAAGGTCCTAGTTGAGGTCATCAGCATAAATTTTGGTCGGGAACAGCCAGCCCAGATGAGCAACTTTCTCATAACAACCAGGCCAAGAATAGAGAAAGCTGGTGCTGTGATCGACCCAGACAAGGGCTCAGCATACAGTTTCTGCAACGATCTCTCTCTTTTAACGTGAACCACAACAAACACGCTTTCTCCTTGAATTCTTCCAGATTCATTATTCTATGAAGCCTCCTCTTCAACAGCCCCCTTCTCTCCTTTTTCCCACATTCTGTAACTGAAAAAAATGAATAATGATAGTGCAAAAACATTCTGATGATGGTTTAGAGGAAAATGTTAAATTAGAGGAGTAAAGAAGCAAGATATAGAGTAAGTCAAATAAGTCAAAGAAATCCAAGGGAGGCTCAATCAATTCAATATACCCTGAGAATATTTTTCCACTTTTCAAAAAAAAAAAAAAAAACGATAAAACAAGAAAAGAAAGACAAAAAGGTCACCAGCTTTTTAAAAGGATCTAGAGTCAGAGAAATAGAACCCCATGGTTCATCTGCCTTCTGATCACCACAGGCAAAATAGCTAAGAACATCTAAAAATGAAAATGTCCTGCAAAGAATGAAACTAGTCAAACTAGAGAAATAGAAAATAACCATAATAATACATATCTTGTCTTTGTGTAACACGTTCTTAGTTGACAAAGCATTTTCACATGTATCTCATGTGATTCTAACCAAAACTTTATGAGGTAGGCATAACAATTCTTAATGATCACATTTTACATATGAAAGAGTGGATTTTCAGAGACTTTAAATGGCCTTCGATGGATCTGGGACCAGAACTTACACATCAGGCTCTGGGGCCTATGCTGGTTTTCCTTATGTCTGGCACCGAGGTGTACACAATCAGCAGACATAGATAAAGAAGGCTTCATACTAGTAAGATAATGCAGAATATGTATCTTTCTCCCAAAAGACACACATACAAAAATGTAAATATTTAATTTTCTATTATCATTATTGTGATAAATATATTTGATCATTAATGTGATAAATAATGTCCTTCATAAAGTGAAGGATGGAAATCATACAAAAATGCAAAACAGCTGGGCGCGGTGGCTCATGCCTGTAATCCCAGCACTTTGGGAGGCCGAGACGGGCGGATCACGAGGTCAGGAGACCGAGATCATCCTGGCTAACACGGTGAAACCCCATCTCTACAAAAAATACAAAAAAATTAGCCGGGCGTAGTGGCGGCCGCCTGTAGTCCCAGCTACTAGGGAGGCTGAGGCAGGAGAATGGCGTGAACCTGGGAGGCGGAGCTTGCAGTGAGCCGAGATCACACCACTGCACTCCAGCCTGGGCGACAAAGCGAGACTCCGTCTCAAACAAACAAACAAACAAAAAAGAAATGTGAAAGAACTTATGAGAGAAAGCAATAGAAAGAAATGTAAAAACATAGGAGCTTTTTAGTTTGACCTTAAGTTAGTTATTCTTAGACTAGAAATGAGGGAAATTAAGCAGGTAATATATATAGATCTTTTAAAAAAAATCTACACATCTGGATCTTTATGTGCTATTCTGAAACAACTGAATAGGAAAGGAAGGGCAAGACAATGTTATAGAAATCAGTAGCAAAACTTGTGAGAAAGTGGTCTAAATTTATATAGTCTAAAACGTGACTCAAAGAGACATAATCACAGCCTATAAATATCCTCCAAGCAGCAATATGTGGTAAATAAAGCAAGTGAATTATTCACAACCTTAGGTTCAGGTCATCTCTCTTTGTCCAGTTGTCTAGGGAAGACAATGCTCTACCCCTGAGCTGGTGTCATCCCTAGAAATTAAAACGGCAGACGAGGGCTCCCCAGGCTGGGCCCTGTTGGAGATACTCAGGTGTAGGATTCAAAAGAAGAAGCACATCAAATGGCCTCCTGAGATTCTCCATATTATTAAGAATTAGACTGAAGAGTCTCACCACACAATAAAGTATTTTCATTTTTTCCCTCACCTTTGATAAAGAATGACAGAGAATGAAATCAAATCCAAAAATGCTTTTAGTTATTGGCCCACCTGATTGGAAGACAACATGGAATATGAAAAATCAAGAAAATTATAAAGTGCTCTGCTTTGCTATCAGACAGCCTGGTACTGAATCTCATGAAGAAACATCTGAATTTATGAAGTCAAAGTCACTAGGTCAGGGTTCTCATAGCAAACCTGTCACTTACACGGTTGTACAGCTACCGTTTTCTCATTGTCATAAGGTAATCAATATTTGTCTTTCCTGGTAAAATTACATTTAAGGCACCAAAACATTTTAAAAACCCACGAGAGCTGTGACGTACAGATTATTACTGATGATTAACATTAGTATGATGCTCCCTGATGTTATGCTTCAAAAACACCATTTTTCAGAAATATTTCTTTACAGAATAGTTTTCTCCCTTTTGAAAATTTCTAGGATTTCAGATTAAAGCTCACAATCTCCTTAAGCCACAAGTTATTTCAAAAGGTCTGCCTGGTCCCAGCCCTTGAAGCAGCCTAAATTGTTTGAATTACAGCCAAGATGGCCCTGGGCAGGCCCCTGCTGGGTGTACAGCAGCCCGCTGTAGAGTGATATTTTAAATATCAGGAGTTCTCTAAACACAGCATGCTCAATTCAGCCACAGAACAAGCAAAATCCAAGCAATTTTTTTTCCATTGCCTTTCCAAGCACAATTTTTCTAGCTTTGTAGAGAAGCTGCCTACATTTGGTTTTACTTGTCTTCATTTTGCATGTAATTATTTTGTATGCAACCAGATATTTAGTCCTTAAATGGGCAATAGTTCCTTATTAACATAAGAAAGACCTTGAACCATGTCTTGTTGTTATCTTAAGATACTTATGTGAGTAAGATGTGTATACCACCCTTTATGGCATTGCATGGATCTTAACCAGTGATGAGGTGATATGCTGAAGTGTTTAACTGAAGGCTGCTTGCTTGCTATGACTACGGCCTGCCAACCATGTGAACTGGTCCCTGAGTGGGAACAGTGGGTGCCCAGAGAGTGTCAAGTGGAAAAAAACAAGGATTTCCTATAGGAATATCTGGGGCTTGTTTTTAGGCTTATAGTGATGGTACCTTAGTGTTTCAAATGATCATCGTTTTCCCAAAGGTAACCCAGGAGCACTTCAATTGAAGCTGGGCCTTTGTGACAATATTAGCCCAAGAAACCGTAGACTTTTTCTTACTACAATAAAAACCCTAACAGACTTTGAACAAATGCCTGTACGAGGAGGCAGAAGTCCACGCAAGTGCACATACATACAGATTATTAAAGCATTTAATGGGATTTTCTCCACTACGACTGCAAAATTTATGAAAAACACAAATCAGGCTGCAGGTGTTGCCTGTACTAACGTCCTATAAGGAGACAATAACAGAGCTCCAGTCTCTATTGACTGCTTTCCTGAGTTGGTGGAATTTGCCAGACTTGCAATATTAACATAGAATTATGGAAATTGGAAACAAAAAGCTGGAATCTACTAGGAATGATAGGCTGAAGATGAACTCAACTGGAAAATTTGGCTAACTGAAAGTGACATCCTTTGTGCTGGAATTTTTCTATCTGAAAGCTTTAAAAAGGCTGTAATTATTTTGAGTTTTCAATTCAACCCTTTTCAAACTAAGCCTTTTATTTCCTTCATCACGCTTTACCTTTCTTCCATGTGAACTCGGGCATTTGCCAGGCACTGAAGTGGTAAATTCATATTGGTTTTATATACAGATCCATTGTCAGAGAATGCAACACAACTTCTACATCCTCTATGCCAAGAAAAACAAAGGAATATTTGCACATCAAAACCTTTATCTTGTGTACAGGATCAAAATACCTGAGCACAGCTAAAGAAGTCATCTAAGGAGAAGCGGCTGATTAATGCCAAAGCATTATTTCTGTGCAAGTTAGTGCATTTTCTCCACAATGAAGCCAAGGAATACAAGAACTTAGACTTACCTTGTGCCTTTTGGGTCCCAAATAACAATGTCAGCATCTGATCCTACAGCTATTCTTCCTTTTCTTGGATAGAGATTAAAAATTTTGGCTGCATTTGTGCTGGTAACTGCCACAAATCTGTTTTCATCCATTTTACCACTATGCTGTAAAGCAATTCAAAGAATCATTCTAATGATCAAATACTAAAAAGTATCCTATCGATAAAATGACAAGACTTGCATCTCTTAAACAAACAGAACTGCACCTAATTTCTTATATTGTAGAGCATCTGAGGATGCTGGTAAGTATTAAACAGTCATAATGCCAATGATGGAGATGATGGGGTAACATATGGAAGCCTGAAGATGACTTTTCAGAAACCCCACTACTTAGCATCCACACTAATTCTTCCCATTCATCCTAGAATCACAAAAATTGTTATAGGTGACAGCTAAATTTTGGTAATGGTATTTTCGATTCTCCTTTAAAGTTTGACAATACCACATTTATGATCTGACTTATTTATTACAGACCTAAGATTTATGAGATAATCATGTAGACATTAGATAGAATATTATAGAGTGAGAATAGGTGACAACACTTTTTTTTTTTTTTTTTGAGATGGAATTTCACTCTCGTTGCCCAGGCTGGAGTGCAGTGGTGCGATCTTGGCTCACTGCAACCTCCATCTCCCAGGTTCAAGCGATTCTCCTGCCTCAGCCTCCCAAGTAAGTAACTGGGATTACAGGCATGCACCACCACACCTGGCTAATTTTCTGTATTTAGTAGAGACGGGGTTTCACCATGTTGGCCAGGCTGGTCTCCAACTCCTGACCTCAGGTGATCCACCCTCCTTGGCCTCCCAAAGTGTTGGGATTACAGGCGTGAGCCACTGCACCCAGCTGACAACATTTTTAAATCAGCTGGCAATGCTTTTATTATTTTTAAAAGAATATTATAGAGGATAGGTGACAACACTTTTGAATCAGGTGACAATGCTTTTTTTAAATTTTTTGTTTCGAGATATGGTCTCACTCTGTTGCCCAGGCTGGAGTGCAGTGGTGTGATCATGGCTCACTGCAGCTTTAACCTCCCTTGGCTCAGGTGATCCTCCCCACTCTGCCTCCCAAGCATTAGGTTGGTGCGAAAGCAATCTGTTTTGCCATCACTTTTAATGGCAAAAACTGCAATTACTTTTGCACCAACCTAATAGCTGGGACTACATGGTGGGGTATGCCCCACCATGCCTGGCTAATTTTTTATAGAGATGGGGTTTCACCATGTTGCCCAGGCTGGTCTGGAACTGTAATCCTAACACTTCGGGAGGCCGAGGCAATCCACCTGCCTTAGCCTCCCCAAAGTGTTAGGATTACAGGCATAAGCCACCACACCCAGATGCAATCCTTTTGAAAAGATAAAAAAACAACTCAAGAGGTTCAATTTTATGCAATTGAAGTTTTACATGAACCAACAATTATGGATAGTCTATTGCAAGAGATTTTAATGTGGACAGAATTCAGAGGGGTGTGGCTCCTCTAAAATAAAATTGGAAAGTGTTAGGGGTTTATCCCTATTTATATGGTAAGAGGGTACTAAAGGTTTATTTAATTATCAAACAATGCTTGCCTTAAAAATGACTAAGAACCATGCCCTGAAAGTAATATTCCCATAAGTAAACCATATTAATGTTTCATAAAATGACATGGTTTTCTATATATTATTAAGAACTATTCAGTCACTGTAAAGCCATTTATATACCAGGGAACTATATAGATTATGAAAATCTGCTATAATAAAGATATTCATTGTAAAACAGAAGTTCAAGTGGAAGCTTGAACTTTTATCAAGAAAATCTAAGTGAAGAGAAGTCATCTGGGATGGTTAGAGTTAGGGTGGAGGAAGGGGGGTGAGGAAAATAATCAGCAGAAGATGAGGCTATAGAGATGTTTTGAAGATCTAATTGTAAGTTAATGATTCAACTATCATCCAATAAGTAATGGAGGCAAGTAAAGGGTTTTTGAGAGAACAATAGCACAAACAGAACTTTATTTCTAAATGAGAACTCCCATTCAAAACCTATCCTCCCTCTATAATATTGTAAAAATAATAATAAAAGCATTGTCAGCTGTTCTCAGTACAGAACAAGAGTTCTTGTACTGGAGTAAAGAATACACTGTAGCAAGTGAGACTCTGGAGATGGGGACCAGCTGTGAGATTACTGCAAAGGTCCAAACAAAATATGAGCCTCCAACTAGAATGGTAGCAACGAAGAAAGAAATAAGGAGGCCCTTTGGAAACAAAATTGACAAGACTTGGTGAATAATTCATTAGAGTTAGAAGTAGGTGGTATGTGTAGGGTAAAAGCAATTGAAGAGGATTCTGAAGTGTGAGATATAATTAATGTGTCATTTGAGGGAGGCATCCTAGGAGATGGGTGAAAAGGGCATGACACTGGGGACCAGAAGTCTAACCAGGCAAGTCCCCTCTGCTAGTCTTCACAGCTCCACATGTCAACTGGCTGGACAAGTTAACACATAGACATTTAGTCATGTGATTCTTCTCCGTCCTCAGGGAGAAGTTTTGTAGTCATGGACATTTAAATTTTTTTCCAGACTTTAAATTATTACTTTTGTGACTTCATATAGCAATTTTAAAAACATGATATCCAAGGATTCTTTAAGAAGTGACATCAGGCTGGGCACGGTGGCTCACGCCTGTCAATCCCAACACTTCGGGAGGCGAAGGCGGGTGGATCACCTGAGGTCAGGAGTTTGAAACCAGCCTGGCCAACATGGTGAAACCCCCTCTCTATTAAAAATACAAAAATTTGCCAGTCATGGTGGTGCACATCTGTAATCCCAGCTACTTGGGAGGCTGAGGCAGGAGAATCACTTGAACCCAGGAGGTGGAGGTTGCAGTGAGCCAAGATTGCACCACTGCACTCCAGTCCGGGCAACAGAGTGAGACTCCGTCTCAAAAAAAAAAAAAAAAAAAGAACTGACATCAACAAAGATTTCATGGAAAGGAGGTATGAGCATAACGAATACGCTTCGTGTATTTTTTTTTTTTTGTGATGGAGTCTCACTGTGTTGCCCCAGGCTAGAGTGCAATGGTGCCATCTTGACTCACCACAACCTCTGCCTCACAAGTTCAAGCAATTCTCCTGCCTCAGCCTCCTGAGTAGCTGGGATTACAGCCACGTGCCACCATGCCCGGCTAACTTTTGTATTTTTAGTAGAGATGGGGTTTCACCATGTTAGCCAGGTTGGTCTTGAACTCCTGACCTCAAGTGATCCACCTGCCTTGGCCTCCCAAAGTGCTGGGATTACAGGTGTGAGCCACTGCACCCTGCCCCTTCGTGTATTTTTTATCATTTCAAGCATTCGTGCCAATGACACATGACGCACTGGAATTCAAGAGCATGAGAAATCAAGCAGAAGGGCTATGCCATTTCAGAGAATTGAAGAATAACCCTCTTTGTATGCAATCTTAATTCATCCTCTAATGTCTCCGCAAAATAGTGCGATGCATCGTCTAAACTAAAATAAACTATGCAGAGAAGATTATTTCTTTGCTGATGCTATACTGAGGGATGGAATGGTGGTCGAGGTGATAGTATTGCATTCCTAGTATCCTCCCTAGTAAAAACAATCAAAAAGCTTCTCTATGAAAATTTGTGCCACTCTGGTCCTCAAATGGGCAGGATCCTGGCTGAAGAACTAGGCAAAGCAAGGCTGGAACCTGTGAAACCCACCACGCCTTTTTCCCATATTACGGACATCCGATCTTCAACACCATTCACCCCATTGGGGATCTTGGTAAAATCATCCTTCCCAAGAGCTTTCTGGCAGGTGTTGAAAGTGCAGTTATCAGTCCCTGTTGTGGTTAGATCATCACTGTAAAAGAAAAAACACGAGAGTGATGGGGTGAGTATACAGAATATGTTAGGAGGAAACTGCCATAACCTTTCCTAATCTCCTGGCTCCCTTCTCAATTGAAGTCAGAAAAATCCAATGGAGAATGAGCAGTTTTTTCAAGAACATATTTCATCCCTCTCCTGTCTCTATTCTAGGAAGCACTTTCAGAGGACACACTGATCGGAAGCATGATCCAAGATGGGTTAGGAAACCTGAGTTCTAAGCTCAGCTCCATCACTTAACTAGCTCTGTGATATGAGCTTGTCCGAGACTCCATTTCTCATCTAGAAATGAATAGTCACATGTACTTGATGAAGATAACTTCAGAATCACCAGCAAATATGTGAGAGAAAACTCCTTGTGAGCAGAATGCTGCATCCACAAAGACATCACCATGGTGATCCTCATGAATGGAGGGCAGGCCCTCCGGGGCAGTCCCTAGCCACACGGCCACACTGGGATGAACAGAGGGTGAGACTGGCTGGCGATGCTGATATTACCAGGGACAGGAATCCTGCTTTGACTTGTGAGTAATCTTGGGGATGCTGAATCATGAAGGAGGAAGGAAGCTGAAAAGAATGGGTAAGTGAACTCTTGTACGGTCTGTCATGAAAAACTCTTAGCTTGAGACTGAGTATCTGTGAATGGGGAGTGTCGGGATGTCCATGAAGGATAGAATTTTCTTTTCTCTTTTCTTTTTTTTTTCGAGACAGAGTCTTGCTCTGTCACTCAGGTTGGAGTGCAGTGGCACTATCTCTGCTCACTGCAACCTCTGCCTCCTGGGTTCAAGTGATTCTCGTGCCTCAGCCTCCCGAGTAACTGGGATTACAGGCATAAGCCACCACGCCCAGCCAATTTTTGTATTTTTAGTAGAGATGGGGATTTGCCATGTTCACCAGGCTTGTCTCAAACTCCTGGCCTCATGTGATCCGCCCACCTCAGCCTCCCAAAGTGCTGGGATTACAAGCATGAGCCACTGCATCTGGCCCAAGAATGGTAGAATTTTCAAGAAAAATGATCATATGTTCCCAGAAAGTAACAGGGTTAACCTAGTTCCCATATTATATCAGCATAGAAAAAAATTCAACAATATTCTGATAAAAAGTAAGGTGTAATGAAGAGCCCTGGGTTTGGGCAACAAGAGATGAAAAAAGTCAGAAAAGAGTAAAGTTTCAGTGAAAACGATCTGATTTCTGAGAGTCTAGGAAAGGCTTTGACAACATATCACAGCATAATTAAGTCAATGTTTTTTGCTCTGCAGGTGAGGGGTACCCAGGACCTGACAGGTCAAGTAGAAGAGAATACTGGGAGGTTAGTGGAGGATCCAGATGGGAGGACGAGCTCCCTTCTACCCAAACCTTCTTTTGGCAATACACTTCCCAGTCATCTGCAAAATGATTACTTAGCCAACAGATTCATGAGGAAGTCGGGTGTTGAGGGGTCTGGTCGCAAAGGTGGACCCATGACATGGTGGGCTGCATGGTGCCATTCTTTATTCCAGTAGTGAGTGCCATCTGTGCCAAGACTGGCTGCTATGGGTTCACCATAGACCACCTTCCCTGGAAAGATTAAAAGAAGCATTCATCACTTTAATTTTATTCTTAAGAGGACCATATGACAAACACATAAATATTAATCTTTTCTCCCCTAGCAGAGGGTAATATCTACAGTTTAGCAGAATCCCAAACTATAATTTACTTTTGTGGACAGGATTTAAAAATCCATGATGAACATAAATATGAATGAGAAATAAACTTCTGTAAGTATAAGCTATTCATATTTTAGATCCATTTTTATGGCCATATAACCTAGAAAAAGCTGGCTGGTACAAGAGCCATTCTAATGAAACCTTCTCCAAAACCCTACCAGATAAATGCTATTGTTATCTCCATAAAAAGATGAAAATAAAGCTATGGAGTAATAATTTCTCTACATTTACATTACATACAGTCTATGTGGTGTGGAGAAGGTAGAATTTGAACCCAGAATTTGACTCCAGTGGTTCTAACTTTTATGCTTTACTACCCTGATGACAGATAATTATTAGTTAGGTCATATGGAATTCAACCACAGCATATCTCTGCTGCAAATCAATTGATAATCTTTTCATGCCCTTGAAAAAAAGAACTCCTCAAAAAACGTGTATTAAATGAAAGAACACTCAGATAATAAAGTCTTAGCCAGAAATGCGTATTTTAAAAATCATGCAAATGAGGCCATCAAAAAAAAAAGCGTACAATGTTAGAAAAGTTAATAGTGCACAGTGAATTTGAAATTAAAATCAGAATCCTATCTCTGATTAGCATTTGTCAGAATAATAGGTTTGTTGGCATCAACCTGATCAAATTCAGGCAATCATTAAGGAGAGTGCACAGTAGAGAGATGCTGGCATACCAAATTAGTTCACTCTGGTTCATCAGATGCTGAGTTTTAGTTAAAATCCTGATATATAACTGAAATTAACGATTTCCTCAGAGAGTACTGACAGTAGATGGCCGCCAGTTGCCTGAGTCATATCAAATTGGAACACAGCACCCTATTATTTCATAGATCCTTCTTCAAACTAGCCATCTTCCACTAGCTAGCTTAGGAATTTGAAAAACCATGAAAGCAAGGCTTATTGAAGCCTAAGAACTTCAATTCTTAAGTAACCAAGTATCAATAAAAGTTATCCCCCAGGGACTTAGCCATGGCTAAGTTACTTTGCTTCCGTGACATACCCTACTGGATGAATCCCATCTCCATTCGGATTCTTACTGCCCTATCCCCAGAAAAGGAGAAACACCATTAGCAACTCTTTCTAAATATAGAATATGCCCAATCGTTTTTAGTGAATGAAGAGGTAATGTACTATCTACTGGAGAACTGGGAAGATGGACACGATATTTTATTTGCAAGTATGAAGAGACCTTCCTATTCCAAGGGAACGTCTTACAGATGCTTGGACAATGAAAACTCAGAGACTTGATCTGCAATCACTTTACAAGTCGCTGACTGAGGATTTTCCATGGTGCTTTATCATTGAGGAAAGATCCTTATCACATGTTCTATTCAATCACTTGGCCCATCAAGGTGATACGGGAATATGGTTCCAAAAGTTCTGCAATTTTAACAGCACTCAGGAAAAATTAAAAGTGTCAGCATCTACCGGGAGTCTGCCAGGACTGTTTTGAAACCAGATGACAGGTAATTTCCTTGGAAGGGCTTAGCTCCTTTAAAATGTGACAGGCCACTTTAGTGGTATATACAACAAACTCTTCGTTAACTGGGCTATTTTCAACTTTCTCCCCATCTAGTATCTGTTAATATCCAAAATAAAATTTAAAAAGTAAAAATTCCTAACTGCATATTCTATTTCCTATTTCACTATTTCTAAGGCATTTTCAAAGGACTAAAAAGCATGCAAGAACTAAAAAGGGGAAGGAAAACAGGAGGCCTGGATAATCCATAAATTGGATAATCAAACTGGATAATTCAGCATAATTATGGGTTGTGTTAGATTTGGGCTAAAAATAAAATAACAATAAAAATAGCTAACACATGCATACCATTCTATAGTTTGCAAGGCTCCCAAATACAATCTCATTTGACCTTCATAGCCGCCTTCATGCTGGTTTGACAGATGAAAAAATTGATGTTCAATGAGACTAATGTGCTCAACACACACTGGCACTAAGTTGTACAGCCAGAATTACAGTCATAGTATTATAATATCATATCATATGCACTATGTTACTAGGAAAAGTGCCATTTTTTATTACTTGGGAAAGAGCATGTATTTCTAAATGTTTAAGTCAACCACAGGCTGTTTGTGGATGTGGCTGAGCATTTTTCCAATTTCATTTACTGGTTTCATTTACTACACTTAGCTGGTTGGCAATGAAGAGTGCTCTATCTGTCTTCAGCCTGGTACTATCCTGATTACATTCACAACTGGAGGGTTTCAACAACTCTTAGGAGAAAGGAACATCTTCATCATTAATCTCCTCCCACTGTCTTAGCAAGCTTCACATTAGGTTGTATCGTCTCTACCCATAGATGTTCTCTCCTTATTTCTCCATTTTTTGGCTCAAACCCAAACAAACAAAAGATTCTGCCCTTTATGATGCAATCTCCCACTTAAAGGAGTTTTACCCTTTGAGAGATACTCAAGATTTCCCAGTAATGAAGCAGATCAAACCAATCCAAACTCTCCACTGACCAGACAACCCATTTATTAGATGACGGTGATAGAGCAGATGTTAACACCTTGTCTGGATCTGCAAGCAACGCTAAATATTGAGTCCTGAGATCTGCTAGAGAAGGTTGAAAGATGCACAGAAAAAGCATAGGCATCCAGGACCAAAAGCCCTGGCCACTAAATAGGAGGCCAAACATATTCATAGAAATAAATCTTCCTAGCCAAAAGGATACAGCCAAACTTTCCTGGACTTTATTTTGATTCAAAACATTACATTTACAAAGGAAGAAAAGAATTGAGAAGGCAAATACATAGAAGCAGCTTGGTAGAATGGATCATACAGATTTAGGTTCAAATCCTGCTTTTGCTACTTTTTAGCTGGTGACATTGTACAAGGTAAGTCATTGTTCTTAGTCTGTTTTTCTCATCTGTGAAATGGGATCATAGTGTCCCTCTAGTGTGGCAATTTTGTGAAAGTCAAATAAATTAATGTTTATGAAAGTACCCAGAATCTTCCTGGGACCCTGGAGACATTTCATGTTATGGGCTGAATTGTGTCCTCTGCCCAAATCCACATGTTGAAGTTCTAACCCTGGTACCTCAGAATGTAACTGTATTTGGAAAAAGGATCTTTATGGAGGTAGTGAATTTAAAGTGAGGTCATTAGGGTGGGCCCTAATTCAATAACACTGTGGTTCTTATACGAAGAGGAAATTTGGACACATAGAGGGGAAGATAACGTGAAGACACAGGAAGAAGATGGCCATCTATAAGCCAAGAAGAAAAGCCTAGAACACATCCTTCCTCCACAGCTCTCAGAAGGAGCCAACCCTGTTCAACCCTGTTGTCACCTTGGTTTTGGACTTAAAAACTCCAGAACTGTGAGAAAATAAATTCCTGTTGTTTAAGCGGCCCAGTCTGTGGCACTTTGCAACGGCAGCCATAGAAAATTCATACACTCCACAAACGTTAGTTTCCTGATAGCCACACGATTCTATTTTTTTAATGGCTAGCTTTTAACTGCTATGCAATTGGATATAATGTAAATTATCTTGTTCTAAATTTAAAGGACAATGGAGTGTTCTGATGTTCATATGCAAGAAAGAAGAAAGGCAGCCTGGCTAACATGGTGAAACCCCATCTCTACTAAAAATACAAAAAATTATCCAGGTATGACAGTGCACACCTGTAGTCCCAGCTACTTGGGAGGCTGAGGCATGAGAATCACTTGAACCCAAAAGGTAGAGGGTGCAGTGAGCCAAGGTCATGCCACTGAACTCCAGCCTGGGCAACAGAACGCGACTCTTTTTCCAAAAAAAAGAGAAGAAAGGAAACTTGAGACTCAAAATCACCTTGACTCAGTTGCACATCGATTCTTCCTACAGCACTAGTGCCTAAGCATCAGTTCATTGCACATGAGTAAATGAAATTTGGTGTATTCTTGTTCAACATTGCCAAGCAGCACTCAGCGTGACTACTTGGGAAGAGAGGGGCCACTGTGTAGATTTTTCTCCGCATCTTTTAAAACACAAGAGGAATATATGGGAGACAGAGTTTACATAAAATGGAAAATAGGAATTCCAAAGCCTCTGTTGACAAAAAGAGTCAAACTCTGTAAAATATTTGAAGAGATTCATTCTAAGGCAAATATGAGTAACCAATGGCCTATGACACAGCCCTCAGGAGATCTTGAGAACATGTGCCCAAGGTGGTTGGGGCACAGTCTAGTTTTATACATTTTAGGGAGATACAAGACATCAATCAAATACATGTAAGCTATACATTGTTCTGGACAGAAAGGCAGGACAGCTCAAAGTGGGGGCTTCCTGGTTATAGGTAGATGTCAAATTTTCTGATTGGCAATTGGTTGAAAAAGTTATTATCGATAGAAAGAAATGTTTGGATTATGATAAGGGGCGGTGGAGACCAAAGTTTTATCATGCAGATGAAGCCTCCAGGTAGCAGGCTTCAGAGAGAATAAATTGTAAATGGTTTTTATTAGACTTAAGGTCTGTGTTGATGTTAAATGCTGGTCAGCCTTTCCTGAATTCCAAAAGGGAGGAGGACATAATGAGGCATGTCCAACCCTCCCTTCCCCGCATGGCCTGAAACAGATTTTCGGGTTAACTTTGGAATGCCCTGACTGAGAGGAGGGGTCCATTCAGATGGTTAAGGGGCCTTAGAATTTTATTTTTGGTTTACACCTCTCTGCAAGAGAACTTTTTATTTTACAAAGATATGCCTATTAAGTAAAACTATAAGCAAAACCAAAACCAAACGAAATCAAATCAAATAAACAACAATCAAATATACAAACACATTAAACAACCACAATCTAGCCCAGTTTACTGTGAGCTGCTTGAGATCTGAAATTGTCTTAATCATCTTAGCAAATCTAATGCCTAGAGCACAGTACCTAGCATGCGCTTGGCATCCAAGAACTTTGTTGTTTATGAAAAATATAAGGAAAATATTTGTTACGTTCAAATGAGCATCATATTTTTACCCTAAAGAAAGGAACATGGATTTAAAATAGACGTAAACTTTATTAAGACAAGCTAAAACAAGTTTAACTGTAAACCAAAACAACAGCAAAGCAGTGCATTGACAATTTCAGTCATAAATGAGAAACAACGCCAGATACATAGCAATTAGGGCATCAAGTTAAATTGCTTTGAGAAATTGTCACCATTCTAAACAAATCACAGAAAGGTAGTGAATTCATGAGCCTACAGGTTCTACTGGGAAGTACAAAGGTGAAGTGAACAATGCATTTCCTAAAAAGCCATTAATGATCCCATATGCCAACACTGTGGCAGAAAAAGAACATGTATAGCTACTCAGACCAAAATTTAAAAAGGGTCACTGAAGCCAATGACACACATTGACACATACATTCTTCGGACAAAAACTGGACTGAAGTGGGTGATAGAAGTCAGGGGCTGGCAGACTGGACTGTCCACATGAAACACAATGACAACTTGTTTGTTCAACTTCACACTTGGGCTATGGAGCAAGGGAGACAAACTCTGCTTCTGGAAGAAAAGGATAACGCTTTAGGGAGAAATGCCGGATTCCCTTGCCTCATCTCTGCAAAAGTGTCTTCTCACAAGAAGGGTGGATGAGAACTAATCTAGTTTTATTAGGCTGGTGCAAAAGTAACTGTGGTTTTTCCCATTGAAAGTAATGGCAAAAACCACAATTACTTTTGCACCAGCCTAATAGTTACTCAACTTGGATGAAAAAATACTTAAGCATGAAATGGGCATTCTTTGCAAACTGTCAAAGGTGACACCACTTTTGATGGCTTGGACTTGAAAGTTTTCTTATTTCTGTAACCTGCTTTTCACTTTTTATTGCAGAATGCTAAAAGAAAATATCAAGCATGAGCAAAAAGAAATCTCAGGCTTTGGATGCACTGAATATTGCCCACCTCTTCTTTCCCAGTTCACAAAAAAATCCTGGTGAAGACAGACAAAAGGGAAAGAATCCAGAGCTGTACTGGGGTTGAAAGAAGGATCATGGCTGACCGGGGTTTTGGTAGATTTTAGGAATGTGGAAAGCAGATGGGATGGCAATAATTCATAAAGAAAAGTTAGGGGGAGTGACAGCCTAACCTGAAGGAGTAGAGGGAGTCATGAAGAGCTTTCCTCCTGGGGCAGAAAGGGCAGTGAAGGGGAGGGGAAGAGGAGGTCTGGGTCTGTCAACACTCACCCTTACCTCTGCTGGGAAATAAAGCTTCTTAGGTGGTGTTGATGCTAGATTGAGGTCCCTGCACCTTAAACTGAAGCTGTCCAGTGACTATGCCCCATGTGCATTCACACAGCAAGTTCAGGAAACAGACACGCTTGGTGGAAGAGGAAATCCATGCCCGTTCCCACACTGACCAACTGAACTGTCCCGTCAACATACGGACAGCCAAGGATCACCAGACTTTTGAAGAAAACACAAACAGCACACGCACACACAAAAAAGAAGACCAGGAGTTTTAAAAACTGAAAAATTGGCCAGGCACAGTGGCTCATGCCTATAATCCCAGCACTGTGGGAGGCAGAGGTGGGCGGATCACCTGAGGTCAGGAGTTCAAGACCAGCCTGGCCAACATGGCGAAACCCTGTCTCTACTAAAAATACAAAAATTAGCTGGGCATGGTGGTGGGCACCTGTAATCCCAGCTACTTGGGAGGCTGAGGCAGGAGAATCACTTGAACCTGGGAGAAGAAGGTTGCAGTGAGCCGAGATTGTGCCAGCCTAGGCAACAGAGTGAGACTCCATCTAAAACAAAACAAAACAAAACCCTGAAAAATTGAACTAGAAAGAAACAGAGTAACCCAGGAAACAGAAGAGAATTAAAAAAAAATCTTCATTAGTACTCTTAAATTAAGAAGATAAGCTGAGCCCAATGGTTCATGCCTGTAATCCCAATACTTTGGGCAGCTGAGGCAGAAGGATCACTTGAGCCCAGGAGTTCGAGACCAGGCTGGGCAACATAGTAAGACTATGTCTTTATATAAAAATAAATAAAAAAACAAATAAAGTACCAAATTATTTTTAAAAAGAAAGTAATGCATCTATTGAAAGAAAAACATTAAAAAGAATACGGAACCATGGAAAAAAAGAGCGCTTAGAGAACAAGAACGTTTTCTTGGAAATAGAGGTGTGATTACCAAGACACAAGTTTATTAGAAGGGCAGGAAAAAGTAAACAAAAATATTTCCTAAAATGTATAGCAAAAATTCAAATATCTTTTTAAAAAGGTGAAAATAGTTAAAAGACATGGAGGATTATGATGGAGTCCCAGGAAAAGAAAACAGAGGACATGAATATGGAGGAAAATACAGAAGAAACATTTTCAGAATCAAAGCTCAGTCGTCAGATTGATAAAGCCCTCTGAACATGCAGGTGAATTTTTAAAAGGCCTACTACTAAATATAGCCTTGTCAGAGGTGTTCCAACCAGAGCAACTCCATCTTGAAGAGGGGCTGGGTAAAATGAGGCTGAAATCTCCTGGGCTGCAGAAACAGGATGTGGTAAAGAAGCTGGCCAAAACCCACCAAAACCAAAATGACAACTAGAGTGACCTCTGGTCATCCTCACTGCTCATTATATACTAATTATAATGTATTAGCTAAAATATATTAGCTAAAAGACTCTCCCACCAATGCTATGACAGTTTATAAATGCCATGCCAACATCTGGAAATTACACAATATGGCCTAAAAAAATGAGGAACTCTCAGTTCCAGGAATTCCCTGCCCCTTTCCTGAAAAACTCATGAATAATCCACCCCTTATTTAGCAGATATTCAAAAATTAACCATAGAAATACCCAATCAGCAGCCCCTGGGGCTGCTCTGTCTATGGAGTAGCCATGCTTTTGTTTCTTTACTTCTCTAATAAAGTTGCTTTCACTGTACTTTATGGACTCAACTAAATTATTTCTTGAGCAAGATCCAAGAACCCTCTATTGGGGTCTGGACTGGAACTCCTTTCCAGTAATAGTCTCAATGAAATTTCTGGACATCTAAAATGAAGAGAAAGTATAAAAATCTTACAGATAATGAAAAGTTTGTGATAAGAAGACAAGAAATTGTATAGGGTTTTCCTGTTCCTCAGTAACACTGGATGCCAGCAGAGAAGGAAACTGTGCCTTCATAATTCAGAAGGAAATATTTCAGAACCAAGAATTCCATGCCCATTCAAATCACCCAGTAAGCGTGAAGACAAGGAATCAGAAAATTTACCTTTTACACACTTTTCCTTAAAAATTACCTGAAAATCTTCAAAGTAATTCAAGAAAAAGGGAGATATGGAAACCAGGAATCAGTATATCCAACCTCATTATCCCAGAATGACATCTCTACTGCAGGCTTAGCAAGCAGCTATCAAAAATGAAAGGGAAAGTCAGCAGATTCTCCTCCCACAAAGAATCTCTGCAAGTAGAGCTGATTCTATTCAATAGAAAGTATGATGAAGAAGCTAGAACTCTTCATGATATGGTAAAGAAGGCATATATTTCTTTTCTCAACCTATTTTAAAAAGAGCTAATTGGAAAAATGTCAGGAGAAACGAGAAACTTTGCAAGACAATAATGGTCTAAATATGTAGCAAACTAAAATAAGGCATGCTTTTGAGTCCTACTGGAATGAAGAAAACTCACTTGACCTTGACACTTGGAAATTGCTTCTCTGAGAGTCAATTTGAATAACACTAACTTGCACTGCAAGTTAGTGCTATAAATTTCTCTGAAGTTCTCTTCTCACTAATTGTTTCTACAGAGAAGAATATTTCCATAATTTTACCCTGTGACAGTTCTAAATTTTAGACTTAACCTATAGACAAAGCATGGAAGACCTAATTAGAGTTACAGAGTCTGTGTAAAGATAATAATACAGCTGGTAGACATCTGGAGGAGGCAGAGAGAGAGAGAGCACTTAGGGCCTCTAAGTTTCTTCTTCAGCCTGTAGAGAAGAGATGTCAGGCTGGGCGTGGTGGCTCACAGCTCTAATCCCAGCTCTGTGGGAGGCCATGGTGGGAGGTTAGCCTGAGACCAGCCTGGGCAACATGGTGAAATCCCGACTCTACAAGAAATTTAAAAATTAGCCATGTACAGTGGTGCATGCCTATAGTCCCAGCCACCCTGGAGGCTGAGGCAGGAAGATTGCTTGAGCCCAGGAAATTGAGGCTACAGTGACCTGTGTTCTTGCCACTGCAAGATCTCCTGTGAGATCCTGCCTCTTAAATAAAAAAAAAAAAAGGAATACCTAAAACAGGTAAAATAAAACACGTAAAATTAAATATATCATTTGAAGTGACATTTATTACTGACAAAACTCAGGACGTGAGAAGTTTACAGGAACTAAGTCATTCATTTTTCATAGTTGAGAGTCAAGTGATACTGTCAAAAGTTACAAATCACTACAAACTTATAGTTTAGGATTTTAGAGGTCACCACCAAAAACTAAAGATAGATAAGTTTAAAATCACTGGCTCTAAAGAATGAGCTGAGGGAGATAGAAGATACTTACTTTCCATTTAATACTTCATCATTTCCACCCCCAAAATTAATCTTTTAATAATGATAAAAATAGCAAAATGATAACGTCTTAAATAAAAAATGTAAATGTAATGCCAAAACCCAAAAACCAATTACAATTACAAATTTTAAAACACCAAAGCCAGCGGGTCGTGGTAGCTCGCTCCTGTAATCCCAGTGCTGTGGGAAGCTGAGGCAGGAAGATCGCCTGAGGCCAGGAGTTCAAGACCAGCTTGAACAACAAATGGAGACTTCATTTCTACAAAAAAATTTTAAAAATTGGCTGGGTGTGGTGGCTTACATGAGTAGTCGCAGCTACTTGGGATCTGAGGTTGGGAGGATCATCTGAGCACAGGAGCTTGAGGTGGCAGTTAGCTAAGACTGTGCTACTGCACTCTAGCCTGGGTGACAGAGAGACTCTGTCTCTAAAAATAAATAAATAAACCCCAAACCCATTAAATACAAACTTGATATCCAGGTTTTCCCAACTTCAGATCAATTTCTCCTTTAACACAGTGGAGAGTGACAGAAAAAGTTTGGGCTTTGGGGTCACATAGACTTGGACTTGAATTCCAAGTTTAGCACTTACTAATAAAGTGATCTTTGGCTTAATTCACCAATCTCTCCCAAGCCTCAATTTCATCAGTCACAAAAGAGTGGTAAAATTGAGCATGAAGCATTATTATGACAATTTTTTAAAAGACAATGTGTATTAAAACACATTGATAAGATAAAAATATAGTAAAACCTGAAATAAGATAAAAGAGATTAAAATACTACTATGTGCCAGGCACATATTAAGCACTCAACAAGCTGTTAGTTGTTATCATTACTATCCCGCTCTTCTGGATATAGAGCTGGCAATTGAACAATAAAATCAAATTTAATAGCATTATATTTCTAGGCTACCACAATGAAGCAATCAATAATTGGATCTCCTTTGTGCCTCCTGGAGCCGTGATTCTCAGGCTTTCATATGCATATGAATCACCTGGGATTCTAGTTATAAATGCACTTTCTGATTCAGGGAATCTGGATGGGCCCCAAGGCTCTGCATGTCTAAGGAGCAATGTGGAGGCTGCATTCTAGGGACCACACTGTGAGAGTCAAGGCCCTTGAAGACAGAATGGGCTCCTGACGTCAGGTGATCCACCCGCCCCGGCCTCCCAAAGTGCTGGGGTTACAGGCATGAGCCACCTCGACCAGTCTGGCCAACATGGTGAAACCCTGTCTCTACTAAAAATACAAAAAAATTAGCTGGGCATAGTAGTGGGAGCCTGTAATCCCAGCTACTCGAGAGGCTGAGGCAGGAGAAGCGCTTGAACCCAGGAGATGGAGGTTGCAGTGAGCCAAGATCGCGACACTGCACTCCAGCCTGGGTGACAGAGTGAGAACCTGTCTCAAAAAAAAAACATAAAACAAAAAACAAAAAAAAGAATGGGCTGGCAATGGTATTTACAGATGGGAGATTTTCATAGTATAAATGTGTAAAACTGAATGATTTCTTATTTACATCTATCTTGCTCTTTTACATTTAGAAATGATGTTAGATAATAAATGAGTACAGACAGCATCTTCTGTAAAAGGTCAGTGTGGTCCAACAGCTCTTGTCCCACAGTACTACCCAGGGATCTGTCCTTTGGTTTGCTGATGCAGTCACCATGTGAACAGCTGGGCACAGTTTATGTCCAACGCTTCCTCTTTGGGCCCCTGCTTGATCCCATGCCTTGGTCACATGCATGGGGTAGGAAATCTTTCAAACTATTTTATTCTGAAGCAATTTTGCCTCTTTGACAACTGCGCATGAGGGTATTTTCACAAGTATTATACTGTCACAGTAAGTCTGACTCAACTACAACGTTTAGGGAGGTATTTTAAATATTTCATGTTTACAATTCCTTGGGGAAAATATGAGCAATGTCCCAAAAATTACATATGCAATTTGAACCAGCAATCCCACTTCTAGGAATCTACCCTCAAGATACCCATTTTGTGGTGGGCAGAAAGATGGAGCCCAGCAGATGTCCACATCTTAATCCCCATAGCCTGTGAATATGTTACTTTACATGGCAAAGGGATTAATAGATATGATTAAATTAAGGCCCTTGAAATGGGGAGATTATCCTGAATTAATCGGTAGGCTTAATATAAGGGGCCCTTAAAGTGAAAGAGAGAGGCAAAGAGGTCAAAATAATGTGATGTGAGAAGATCTCAACCCATTGTGGCTGGTGCCGAAGATGGAGGAAGGGGCCACGAGCCAAGTAATTGGAGGGGCCTGGCAAGGGCTTCCTAGGACCTCAGAAAGGGATGCAGCCCTGCAGACACCTTGACTGTGGCCTGGTGAGACCCATTTCAGGCTTCTGACCTCCAGAACTAATGTGTCTTTCACAAATTGAAATGGCATATGCGTAAGGCCATCACTGTGGTTTCTCTTGAAACAGCTAAAGATTGGAAACAACCCAGATGTCCATCAATAGGGGACTTGTTGAATAAATACAGTAGCATACCCTGCACTTACAAAAAAGAATGAGGAAAATCTCTGTATCTAATGTGGGCTGACCTTCAGAACATATTTTCAAGTGGAAAAAAAAGCAATGTGTAGACAAGGTGTATAGTATGCTACCTTTTATGTAGGAAAGAAGGACTATATTCTTATTTGGTAAAGAGAAACATGGTAAAGATAGGCCAGAAATAAATTAATAAAAATCATTACTTATACTGTATGGGAAGAAGGAGCTAGAGAAGGCAAGTAAAACTTCATTGAACATTTTTATATATAATTTTGACTCTTGGGCCATGTAAATATTTTACAGATACAAGAAATAATATTGAATTTTAAAATAATTTACAATAAAATTAAAATGTCTGTATTTACTAGTTTTCTGCCTATGTTCTGTATTCTAAAACCCTCCCTAGACTTTTACTTTGCTCCTAATGGAATTCTATCCCAATGCAAAACAAATACCCAAGATCAAGAAACTGCTTCCTGACAGAACAGTCAAAATTGGAGCTTGAAGGTGGGTTAGAAGTGAAAATTTCTGCTGATTTCACTGTTCCTTAAATAATATTCTGACATTATGGACCCGGTACACGACTTAACAAAGGAAATAATTATAGACCGACTCATCTCATAGCGTTGGCAACAGCACCATCTGGTGGGAAAAACCTATAACTTTAAAATCGCAGTACTTATATTTTCTTTTTTAAGGGGCGAAATTCTTTTACATGCGAGAGTAGCAATCAGAAATGGTTGGTTAGTAAGATATTATTAAATCCTAGGTGAAATAAGCCTACACTTAAGGCAAGATGTTGATGGATTACATTTTAAAAGTGCACACAGCTTGCACAAAATCATTACTGAACCTTAATGCAACAAGAAGAAATTTTGACAAAATTTGTTTTGGTATCAATTATATACATGCCAAAACCATGCAGCGGGTCATGCTTGTAATCCCAACATTTTGGGAGGCCAAGGTGAGAGGATGGCTTGAGCCCAGGAGTTCAAGACTAACCTGGGCAACATGGCGAGACCCTGTCTCTACAAAAAGTTTAAAAATTAGCTGGGCATGGTGGCACATGCCTGTGGTCCCAGCTACTTGGGAGACTGAGATGGGAGGATCACTTGGAAGTTAGAGACTTCAGTGAGCCAAGATTGTACCACTGCACTCCAGCCTGGGCAACAGAGTGAGACCCATTATTTTTATAATGAATCTTACAAAAATACAGCCTGTTTTAATAAAAAACAAACAAAAACAGCAAGGTTGAATTATAACACTGTCTCTGATTATCTGCATTCCTAAAATTGAGATGACAGAAGCTACCATGGGACTAAAGTCTTTGAGTAAAATGCACCTTATTTATTTTTCCTCCTTTCTCTACCAGTATTGGCAAAAGAGTGAAATCATTTCTTTGCCCAGTGCTTATCAAAAATAGGAGATTTTCTCTTTCCTTTAAGATGAGTATTTACATACTAGGCTGAACATACTAGGCTGAACCAGAGAACTGAGGCAATTAGGCAGTTTGGGGTAAAAATAACTTAGATTTTAAAATCTTAAAATAACCATCATAAAAATACCATTTGGATAATTGCTTCAATTGCTCCAACATCCAAGTGGCTGTCAGATGAATCAATTCAATTCAAAAGAAATTTATTGAGCATGTACTAGGTGCCTTGCACTGCCCTGATTCAGGTAGTGGGAAGGGTAGTGGAGCTGCCTAAGAGATAGGGAAGCTTCTTCAAAATTAACGAAAGAGGGCTAGGCATGGTGGCTCACACCTGTAATCCCAGCACTTTGGAAGGCTGAGGCGGGTGGATGATTAGAGGTCAGGAGTTTGAGACTAGCCTGGCCAACATGGTGAAACCCCGTCTCTACTAAAAATATAAAATTTAGCTGGGTGTGGTGGTGCTCACCTGTAATTCCAGCTACTCAGGAGGCTGAGGCAGGAGAATCACTTGAACCCAGAAGGCGGAGGTTGCAGTGAGCTGAGATCACACCATTGCACTCCAGCCTGGGCGACAAAGTGAGACTCCATCACAAAACAAACAAACAAAAACCGGAGAGCTTTGCATTTAGCTATCATATTTAAAAGTGGCTGCTAGTGGCATTGAGTGTGGGGGCATGTGGCTAAAGGAAATGTCCTGGGGTCGCAAGGATGGAGAAGAAATAACAAATAAAACATGAAGGTAGAGAGGCAAGGATGAAGATGAACAAAAGTGGTGGAAAACAGACACACATAAGGATAAATGAAACCAGGAGGCTAATAAAAAGGGAGGAAGAAAAGTAGTGGAAATCCACATGCACTTTCTCCTAAACTGAAGCAGAGGCTACAGACGTGGACTTTTCTCTTCAGCTAACACTGAGTTCTAAGTGAGGTTACATTCGAGAATTACCATCTCTCCTTGCATCCGCTATCACCTTAGCTGCAGACTTGCTCATCACATGCACAATGTAGAGAGGACAGTTCACAGCGCTGGCTATGGTGATGGCTCTCAGCGTGGCCTCTGCCTCCACTGCCTCTGGGCGGCACAGCTCGTGGCCCTCAGGGCCTGTTATCCCCAGAGCCAACATCTTCTTTGCTCCCTAAAAAGACAGCAGGAATGTGTATATGTGCAAGGAAGGTTTACTAATGACAGATATCATTATTTTATCATAAATTAAATGCAATGCCAGGCTTTTGATCTGTTAGGTATAGGGGTGTGTGTGTGTCTGTGTGTGTGTGTATATGAACATATTTGTGTAAATATATCTATAACACATATATATATAACATGTATATTTGGTAAAAATAATTTTGATATTCTAATCATATAAGTTAATTTTCCATATGCATATTTTACCATCACTTTTTTTTATTGAAAAGGGGAAAAAGCAAGCACAAGCAACCAAAGCAAAAATGGACAAATGGGATGACATCAAGTTAAAAAGCTTCTGCATAGCAGAGGAAACAATCAACAAAGTGAAGAAACAACCCACAAAATGGGAAAAAATATTTGCAAACTACCCATCTGACAGGGGATTAAGAAGCAGAATATATACAAAACTAAAACAACTCTACAGGAAAAAAAGTTAATAATCTGATTTAAAAATGGGCAAAAGATTTGAATAGAGATTTCTTCAAAGAAGACATACAAATGGCAAACAGGCATATGAAAAGGTGCTCAACATCACTGATCATCAGAGAAATGCACATCAAAACTACACTGAGATATCATCTCACCCCAGTTAAAATGGCTTATATTAAAAAGACAGGCAATAACAATTGCTGGTAAGGATGTGGAGAAAAGGGAACCTATGTACGCTGTTGGTGGGAAGGTAAATTAATAAAACTGCTCTGGAGAATAGTTTGGAAGTTCTTCAAAAGACTAAAAACAGAGCTACCATATGATCCAGCAACCCCACTGCTGGACATATATGCAAAAGAAAGGAAAATCAGTATATCAAAGAGATATACCTGCATTCCCATATTTGTTGCTGCACTGTTCACTACAGCCAAGATCTGGAAGCAACCTAAGTGCCCATCAGCAGATGAATAGATAAAGAAAATGTGTTACATATACACAAGGGAGTACTATTCTGCCATAAAAAAGAATGAGATCCAGTCATTTGCAACAACATGGATGGAACTGGAGGTCATTATGCTAAATGAAATAAGCCAGACACAGAAAGACAAACATTGCATGTTCTCACTTATTTGTGGGATCTAAAAATTAAAACAATTAAACTCATGGAGATACAGAATAGAAGGATGGTTACTAGAGGCTGGGAAGGTTAGTGGGGAGGGATGGCGGTGGGGAGAGGGGGGAAGGTAGGGATGGTTTGTGTGTAAAACAAAAAAAAAGAAAGAATGAATAAGATCTAGTACTTGATAGCACAACAGGGGCACTATAGTCAATAATTGCACCTTTTGGCCGGGCGCGGTGGCTCACGCCTGTAATCCGAGCACTTTGGGAGGCTGAGGTGGGCAGATCACAAGGTCAGGAGATCGAGACCATCCTGGCTAACACGGGGAAACCCTGTCTCTACTAAAAATACAAACAATTAGCCGGGCGTGGTGGCGGGCACCTGTAGTCCCAGCTACTCGGGAGGCTGAGGCAGGAGAATGGTGTGAACCCGGGAGGTGGAGCTGGCAGTGAGCTGAGATCGCACCACTGCACTCCAGCCTAGGCAACAGAGCGGGACTCCATCTCAAAAAATAATAATAATAACAACAAATAAAAAATAATTGCACCATTTAAAATAACTAAAATAATATAATTGGATTGTTTGTAACACAAAGGGTAAATGCTTGAGGGGATGGATACCCAATTTTCCATGATGTGATTCTTATGCATTGCAAGCTTGTATCAAAATATCTCATGCACCTCATAAATATATACACTACTATGTACCCCACAAAAATAAAAAAATTTAAAAAGAAAAGGTGAAAAAGATATGAAGTTATTTCTAATCACATTCTTTGAAAAGCAATATCTATATTTAAGACAATATTGATTCAGACAAACAAAATAAAAATACTGTGGATCCTTGTTGAAGTGACTCACTGTCATACTATGTAATCAGTTTTACTTTTATTACGGAATAATCCTCTTCACTTGCTCCCCAATCCAACCCACTAAATGGTATTGGACCTGTTATCTTTCTTCTTCAAAATGTTATTTCTTCCTTACAAAAAGAGCATGCAGTCCAGACTTAGAGTGGTAAAAATACTTCCTGTTGTCATGAAACTATAAAGCAGAAGTCCAATTTAAACCCTGGTCTGTTTTTTGTTTTGTTTTGTTTTTACAGCTCACGCTCCCTTCTCATTATTCCTCTCTGCCTTGTGGCCACTGAGCCTCAATCTCACTCACTTTAATGGGAGCTGAGCCTAAGGAGATTAAAAAAAAAGTCAGCTAATATAAAGGGCAAGAGACAGCTCTTTAAATCTTGCAGATGGTGTATCCTTCAGGCATTAATAATGGGACTAACATGAGAAATAAATATCATCTAGTTTCCTCCAGAGCACATTTTAATATCCAGTTTCTGAAAAGAGCAGGGCTTTAAACAGCTACCTAATACACTGCTTAAGTCATCAGATGACACTGATGTTGACCACGCTTTGGTATTCTGAACCAGCAGCCTAAGCTTCTGAAAAACAACAACAAAGCCAAAAGTATGCTGGAGGACACAAAGAAAAGTATTTGTGTTTTCATAACTGCACATGTTTGAGATCTAAGAGCTGGTTTGCAAAGGGGAAATCCTCATTCTAGTGCATATACCACCTGCATAAAGCTGAGAGCAGGGACTCAAGGAAATGGAGTTGGGAGTTTCTGAGCCACAGAAAATCCGTTTCCGAGCCACGGAAAATCCATTTCTGGATTTCTCATCTTCCAATGCATTAAATGAGTTTACCTATGTAGGCCCAATCATCTTCACCTTATGTTATGGCTGCTGTCATTTCTGTAGAAGCTTTGGAATGCAAATGCGTACCTCTGCAATTAAGTCTCCATTTTCCGCATGGACCTGGGCAATTGCTCCAATTTCCTTGCACCGAGAGAAGGCTTCGTACAGCTCCAGGTCTGTCACCATGTACAGATCTTTATAGGCCATAAACATCTTGAAAGAGTTAACACCTTTATCTTGCACAAGGATTTTCATTTCTTCTTTAACCTAAAAGGAAGCAGCAACCATAACAACAATATGTTACTCTAATTTAAATGATAATTTCAACCTTCTCTAAAACGTTGCATTCGGAAGAGAACTAAGTAAAATAAGGAAAATAAGGACAATAGTTTAGTTCCACAAAAATGCAATTAAGGCCTTGATCTTTTTCCCAGGTTATACCCCATTTCATCTGATAAACTGCTGCTGCTCTCATACTTTTAAATCATGAAAAAGTGAATAGCTTTTCCCAAAGTGCTTTATTTCTGTACTTGGATGTAAAATTCTCTGCATCTATCTCCCGATTTGAGGAAATTATTCTAAAAAATGACCTTGAAGCCATGTTGGCAGCAACAGAAGCAATCATGGATCCAGCAGGAATGAACGTTAATGTGAGGTAAGGATTCAGGTTCCAATCTGAAAGCCATGGGTGGAGTTCTTAGAAGGAGAAAGTAGAAGATGCAGATGGACCCGGGCATGCCCAAGAAAGCACAAACTCATGGTTTAGCTGTAGAGCCAGCCGTGGTGGCATGGGACCCATTGGCAGCTCCTAGGAGGTGACAGCTGGAGACTCCACTCTGGATCCGTTGGAAGCTCAGAGGCCTTCAGGGTTGCCAGGGGTCAGGGGCAAGTTAGTATCAAAGCTATCGCAACAATTGCTCTTTTTTTTTTTTTTTTTGAGACAGAGTCTTGCTCTGTTGCCCAGGCTGGAGTGCAGTGGCATGATCTTGGTTCACTGCAACCTCCACCTCCCAGATTCAAGTGATTCTCCTGCCTCAGCCTCCTGAGTAGCTGGGATTACAGGCGTGCACCACCATGCCCAGCTAATTTTTGTATTTTTAGTAGGGATGGGGTTTCACCATGTTGGCCAGGCTGGTCTTGCATTCCCGACCTCAAGTCATCTGCCCTCCTTGGCCTCCCAAAGTGCTGGAATTACAGGCATGAGCCTCCGCGCCCAGCCTCAATAATTGCTTTTGTAGGTCAGATTCAAGTCTCAATAAGGATCAAAAATTCCAAAGGAAAAACTCATAGATTTGACCAAATAAGACTGTTTGAACTTCTATATGTTAAAACACACCCACACCCACCCACCCACACATACACACACACACAATGAAAAGTGTAACAAGCATAGGATTATTGCTCTTAGCTAATAAAAGTTCTTTCAACTTGATAAGAAAAACATGTTGAAAAATGTTGGCAACAATTCATGGAGTAATAAATGACTAAAAACACATGCAAGAAATTTCCTACTAACTAAAAAGTGCAAAATAAAGCAGCGTAATTCTATTGAGTCAGCAAAGTTTAAGAATGATAATATTACACGTGAATTTACTCATTGCTACCACTGTTTATTCCCTTGGAAATGTCCCTCCCTTTTCTTGATGGTGCTTATCACCCGGCATAGCAGTCCTTACTTGCTGATCACCTGTCGGCCCCACCAGGATTTCAGCCCCATGAGAGAAGGGGCCTTGTAAGGCTTGTCCACTGCTGTATCCTAGAACAGTGCCTGGTGCATAGTGCCCACTCAATAACTATTTATTGAATAAATTAATTGCTACTTAATTAATCTAGAAAAAAGCACCAAAATATTGAGAGTGGACAAGTGATGGAATGTGCTCCAAGTTAGGTTAAGTGACAACAGCAAGGGACAGAACATGGGACAGTGCACCTCATTTGTTCCCCCTAACAGTTTCTAATTTTTTACAATGAGTACATTAGTTTTATAGTCAGAAAAAAAAATGCTTGAAACATTGTTAGCATATTCACATAATGGGCTTCCAAAGGGGATTATGATCTGCATTGCTTACATGAAATATCTTTTGCTCCCTGAGTAGAAGAGCCCTCATTAATCATCCCTGCCATCCACATCCATGGAAGAATCTCATTATACAACTTGCAAGCATATTAGCTTCAGCCTTCCTCCTCCAAAAGTGTGGCAACTGAACCAGCATCAGCAGCGTCACCTGGTTGCTTGCTAGAAATGCAGAATCTCAGGTCCCACCTGCTCCTAACCTACTGCTATGGGTTGACTTGGGTGAGCCAAAAATTCATATGTTGAAGTCCTAACCCCTTGTTTGGAAATAGAGTCCTTGCAGATGTAATTAGTTAAGATGAGGACACGAGCATGTGCGCTTTATCCAATGTAACTGCTGCCCTTATATCAAGTGGAAACTGGGATGCAGACCTCCACGGGGAGAACATCATATGAAGATGAAGGCAGAGATTGGGATGATGCTTCTACAAGACAAGGAATGCCAAAGGTTGTCAGCAAACTTCCAGAAGTTAGGAGAGAGGAAAGGAACAGGTTCTCCCTCAGAGCCCTCAGAAGGAACCAACCCTGCTGACACCTAAATCTCAGACTTCTGGCCTCCACAACTGTGAGGCAGTAAATGTCTGTTGTTTAAGCCATTCTGTTTGTCGTACATTCTGTTTGCTAGGGTTACAGCAGCCCTAGCAAACGAATAACCCCCCTGAACAGAATCTGCAATCTGCATTTTAGCAAGGTTTACCAGGTGACTCTTTGTATACTAAAGTGTGAGAAGCACTGATAAGGACAAACACCATCACCTTTGCTCCATCTTATAAAATAGGAGAATAGGAAAATGAAGAGAAGGAAGGAAGGGAGGGAGGGAAGAGAAGAAAAGAAAGAAGGAAGGGAGGAAGGGAGGGAGGGAGGGAAAAGAAGAAGAGAAGGGAGGGGAGGGAAGGGAAGAAAAGGAGGGACGATCCTAAAAGCATAAGAGTTCAGATGCATCACTAAAAATGGCATTTTTGGAGAAAAACTAACGTTAGCTGTGGACTATAAACCTTGCTATTATGTTTGCTGAACTACCTGTTAAAGATTGATTATTTGTTTTAGATTAACTTGCTGTCTAAAGCCCGAGTTTGTGGGGGATGTGAGATTATAAGATACTCAAATAATGTCCTAATGGTGAACTCTTTCTGGTAAAAAGATTGCTGAATTAAGTGCAATGTGGAAAAACATGTTGCAATTTAAATTCCAAGTAAAAGTTTCTTCCAAAATTCACACACACATTTATGTGGGAGGAAATCAACATATTTTAACATCTCTCAGAACTGTCTTTTCTATCTAAATCATGTTATTTCTGCCATGGCCTGGGCAATTAGTGGACATGGAAGGTTGTTTTAAGCTCTATTATGAAATCATCTGACCAGGTGTGGTAACATTAGCAGAGTAGGAAGATCACTCGGTCAAGATACAGCTTGGAGAAGACTCTGGAAACAGTCCAGGCCTGTCCCTTCCTCTCTAAAGAAGGCTCATGAGTGGGAAGGCAGGCTTCTAGTTCTAGAGAATTCTAAATTTAGAATTTCCTTGATTTTATTTTTGAGAAATTAAACATTTTTTATTGAAGTTCTAACCTGTGGGAAAATACTGTTTAAAAGATTCGGGGGATATTGAATTTAAGAAAAAGAGAAATCAGTATATTAAACATTACACTTAAAGCATTGATGATTCATTGATTAAATATTAGGAGAAGCTGTTATGAATGAGCATAAAAGATTTATCCTATTGTCTTTATATGATTTTTTTAATTTAGTTTTTAAAATTGGTAATACTTCACAGAATTAAAAATTCAAAAGATACAAAAGAATATGCAATGAAAAGTCTTCCTGCCAGTTCTGTCCTCCTGTTGTCTAGGAAGCAATCAATGTCACCAGTTTCTTGCTCTTGTGCAGAGTGAGGACAAGAGGACAATGGGAACACATTGAAATCCAGGTGCTTTACCTGGTCACTCCACCACGTCACTGCCACATGAAGGCTGTAGTCGCAGCAAACTTTGGGATCAGCCCAGCTTCGCCAGGTCTCGAAGGCCTCAATGAGGGAGCCACCTTTCTGAGGAATGGCGAAATCAATAATCATGGTGGTGCCTCCTGAGAGAGCAGCCTGGAATCATAAGAGGTTTTCAACAAATTAGCTATCAATTTCCTAGTTAAGTCATTTATCATCTTGAACAATGTGCATTTGTAAGCACTTGGGCAAACTCGATGGGTCCAGGAAATTGCAAAAAGATGCTGCCTGTTTAAATGACCCAGAAGGGCATGAATAGACTTTTCATAAATTAAGTTTAAAGTATTAAACCTGCTGGAATTGCTTCTGCAAAAAGAATGTCATATCTGATAAGATGAAAATGGATTTGACTCAAAGAAAACAGAGTGAGGATTGTAAAGAAAAATCAAAATGGAAAAGTGGAAAAAATGCACATATTTTTTCTTGAGAAGTGATATTCATTATTATAAAATTCCATTTTATTAGAATCCATCCTGATGAACTGTATCTCTAACTGCCCTGTGGTACTCTCAGAATCCTGGGAGACTTACATGGTTCCGGTCTTGCCTCCATTCCCAGAAACCAAATGGTGACCCCTTTATCTTTCTTAGATTTGCACCTGTCCTTCTGTCCACTGCTACCACCCTGGTCTTAGTTCAGATCCATCTCATTCCTCATCTTGACTATTGTAAGAGTCCTGATTGATCTTCATCTCCCACTCCCTCCAATACAAACCCCTCATTGCAACGAGAGAGATATTTCCAAAGCAAAAATGTAACCACTTGACTCCAAAGATGAAAACTGAGTGCTTCTCCCTGCCTCTGCACAAACTGGAATCTTCATAACATGGTCTATAAATCCCTGCATTCTGCCTCAACTTGCAATATACCCCTTAGCACATTATATTACATTACATCACTACTAATTTAAAAACTGTTACTAAATCACATGCCTTTGACTAATTATTTAAATCAATTTCATTTAAACTAAAATCACAAGATGGTTAATTGTTTTTAATTGTTGTATTCAAACAATGTAGGTGAAGAAAACAGAGACAGGAGGGATGTTGCACAGTGGCTTAGACCACGGACCTGGGAGGCTCACGGACACCAGGGTACAAAGCTCAGCATCAACACTTATTCGCTGTGGTAATCTCAGCAATTTCTTAACCTCTGTGGCCTTTAATTCGCCATCTGCAAAGTGAGGACAATTGTACCTAAACCATAGGCTTGATAGGAGGATTAAACTGAAGTAATGTATACAGAGTGCTTAGGTCCAGGCGCCTTGGCCATGCCTGTAATCTCAGCACTCTAGGAGGCTGAGACGGGAGGAGAGCTTGAGCCCAGGAGTTCAAGACTAGCCTGGGCAACATGGTGAAAACCCCGTCTCTACAAAAATGTAAAATTAGCCAGGCATGGTGGCATGCGCCTGCAGTCCTAGCTACTTGGTAGACTGAGATGGAAGGACCACTTGAGCCCGGGAGTTTGAGGCTGCAGTGAGCTATGATTGCACCACTGCATGCCAGCCTGGGCAACAGAGAGAGACCCTGTCTCAAAAATAAACAAATAAATAAAAATAAAGTGCTTAGTACAGAGTTTGATTCATGGTAAGTGCTTTATGGGTTGAGCACTACTATTTCAGGATTAGGAATTTTTCCATCTTCCCTATATCGTGTTACCTCATCACCAGAAATGTGGTCATGTTACAACACAGGAGGGGGCAGTGCCTCAGTCTCTCTTTCCGGCCCCCACCACCCTCCCCCAACAGCTTCCAGATACACCGGATGCCCTCATGTCCTACCTGATATGCCAGCTCTATTCTACTCCCACTTTTCTTGCTTACTTCAATAGATTTTTATTTTTCCTTAACTTACTTGGCCCCACTCCAATTCTTTTTGCTCTCAAAAATTTCACTTTTTATACAGGATCCTGTATGTTGTCTCCACCTTTAAATAACACTGCCTTATCTGTGGCAAAACAATACATATTTGCATTTCTTAAGAAATCCCTATTGATGTAATGAAAATACTAGGAAAAAAATTCCTCAGGCTTTGTATTTTTATTTGAATACAGATTAATCTTCTTACCTTCTTCCTTCTAAAAGTGTCTTCCCAGTATGACAAGACATCCCTTGAGGATGAAGGACATTTTTCTAATAGAATCTGCTGTTAATTAAAGCATTAGAAGAAAGTCCTCTTTTAGCATCTACTGAACTAGAAAATCAAGCTTAAAGAACTATTCTTTGTATTCTTTCCCTATTAAAATCTACCACACGCAGGATGTGGAGAAACTAGATACACAGCTGGTGGGAATGCAAAATGGTACAGCCACTTTGGAAAACAATTTGGAGTTCCTCTCACAGTTAAAGATAGAGTTACCACAAGACCAAGCAATTCCACTCCTAGGCCTATAGCCAAGAGAAATGAAAACATGTTCTCGTAAAGACTTGCACATGAATATTCACAGCAGCATGATCCATGGTAGCCAAAAAGTAGAAACAATACAAATGTCCATCGACTCATGAATGGATAAATAAAATCTAATAGATTCATACAATGGGATAGTATTTTACCATAAAAGGAAATGAAGTACTGACATACGCTATGACATGGGTGAAGTTTGAAAATATGATGCTAAGTGAGAAAAGCTAGTCACAAAGATAATATATTGTGTGATTCTATTTATATGAAATGTCCAGAAGAGGCAAATCCATAGAGCAAGTGGAATAGTGGTTGTCTGGGGCTGGGTGGGATGAGGAGAGTCCAAGGTGATAGCTAAAGGGTATGGTGTTTCTTTTGGGGGTATCAAAAGTGTTCTGGCTGGGCATGGTGGCTGACGCCTGTAATCCCAGCACTTTGGGAACCTGAAGCAGGTGGATCACCTGAGGTCAGGAGTTCAAGACAAGCCTGGCCAACATGGTGAAACCCCATCTCTACTAAAAATACAAAAATTAGCTGGGCATGGTGGCGGGTGCCTATAATCCCAGCTACTAGGGAGGCTGAGGCAGGAGAATTGCTTGAACCCATGAGGCAGAGGTTGCGGTGAGCCGAGATCATGCCATTGCACTCCAGCCTGGGTGACAAGAGTGAAACTCCATCTCAAAACAAACAAACAAAACAAAAAGTATTCTACAATTGATTGTGGTGATGCTTGCACAATTCTGTGAACATACTAAAAGCCATTGTCCTATACACTTTAAATGGCCGAATTGTATTGTAGGTGGATTCTATCTCCACAAAACCAGAAAAGTTCTACCACATCCAAGCCACTGTATGTAGTGAAGGGAGTGGGAGATCACACAAATAATTAGGCAATGATTCTGCCCTCAGGGTGTTTATAGGAGAAGCAGAAATATGAATAAATAAATATAAAATAGTTAGATTGTAATAACAGGTAGCAAGTCTACTTTTAAAATAAACAGTAGTATAAAAATTGCTAAAGGGAGGTAAAATTTGCTAAGCTCCCTAGAAGAGGTACAGAGAAAAGATGACTGGGAATTCAGAGGAGAGAAAGATCAACTCAGAGATTAGAGACGGCTTGGATTTCAATCAGGATTAGGACCTACACGTGGAAGTTTCCAATTAAGTATAATGATATCTGACTCACAGCAAGTGCTGTGATGCTGTTTTTGTGCACCATGATGCTCTAGGAACTATTCCAATGTTTTGCATATTTTAACCATCTCAAGAGCTCCACAGTAGGTACTATGGTTAACTCCATTTTAGGGTGGTGAATACTGAATACAGAAAACCCAGATGACGGGCTGATGGGTGCAGCAAACCACCATGGCACATGTATACCTATGTAACAAACCTGTACATTCTGCACATGTATCCCAGAACTTAAAGTAAAATAAAGAAAAAAAAACTTAATACAGAACCGTCAATAACTTGGCCAAAGTCTCATAGCCAGCAAGGAGCAATGGCAGGGTTGGAATCTGAGTCATCAGGCCCTAGAGCCTGAGCCTCTGGGAAACGTGAACTGCATGAAGAGACGCTCTGAGGAAGAAGATCTGGGGGGAAGAGGTAGCAGCTCAGCAGAAAATGTTAAAGGGCAGAATTAAGGTGACTGGGGACCATATAAAGTGGTGGTCCCAGAGGAGGAAAACAGGGCAATGATTGTTTTCAGTTGCGAAGGGAGTCAGGTGAGCTGATTTGACTAGGATGAGTGAGACGATGGCAGGCGAGTGGACAGAGGAGGAGCATGATCTGCACTTAGGAGGGACGTGAATGAAGTGGGGAACATCCTGAGAGTGAGGTGCTTGGGCACGTGTCCACCTGGTGGCATTTGCAGACAGGAAGACATACAGACCTGTTTCCAAACAGCATACAAGACTAGGAGAAAATGTAGGAGTGACCTATTAGAGGATGCCATAGAGGTCCCGAGACTGGCCGAAATGGCCAGGGAGCGAGAAGCCAGACATGACAACATGAGCCACAATAACATGCTTCGGAACATACCAACACTCTGCACGAACACAAAACCACACTGAGCCAAGACAAAATGTTTACAGTGGCTGGTTCTAGGTGGTATAATTCCAGGTCATTTTAATTTTCCCCTACTTCAATTTTATTTTCAATATTTGCTAAACTTTCTATTAAAATCATAATTTTATATGAAAAATAAATATTTTACATATAAATATATGACACAGGGCATATATATGTACAGCCATGTACCATAATGGTGTTTTGATCAATGACAGTACCACATGTATGACGGTGGCCCCATAAGATCACAGTACCATATTTGTACTGTACCTTTTCTATGTTTAGCAATGTTTAGATACACAGTTATTATTGTCATTGCCTATGGTATTCAGTAGAGTAACTACTGAACAGGTTTGTAGCCGAGGAGCCACAGGCCATAGCATATAGCCTAGGCGTGTAGTAGGCTATACCATCTAGGTTTGTGTAAGTACACACTATGATGGTCTCACAACCACAAATTTGCCTAATGACACATTTCTCAGAATGTATTCCTGCTATTAAGTGACACATGACCATAAATGGTGTATAAATTAAATAGACAGAGCTGTTGATGGTCTTCTTACCAGACTGAAGATATGATAGTCAAAGGGCCACTCTTCTAAAACTAAAGCAAATGAAAATTCTCGGGGCTACAATTTGAAAGCTCTTAAATGAGGGTTGATCACAAATGCTCCACCTTCCTAATTAACTAGGAGCAGGAAAGAGACAGGAGAGGAACAACCACTTATCTTTTGTTTCTTCTTGTTCTGTTTCTTATCCCCATTCTTATCTCCCTCTCCTCAACCCCAGACTGGGAATGAGTTTGGAGAAGCTGTATTGAATGGGAAAGGATGGCTGGGGCCAATTTCTCTCAGATAGCTACATGAAGCCTAGTTATTTCCTTTGCTTTTATTCCTGATTGACTTATTTCCATTTTTATTTGTCAGTTAGCCAAACAAAATGGATTTAGCTTTTCTAACCTGGCTCACAAATCAATTATTTCAGCTCCTAATTACTTTCACTGTTCTTCCTTGTAAACCTTCCAGTTTATCTAAAAAACTCTTTTGGGGGACAGGGGAGCCCACACTGCTTCCAGAAGAAATGCAGTGGAACAGAAATTGAGATAAACTCTAACAGTGGGTCATAATATTACACAAGATTTTGTTTAAGAATATTCCATTGTAAATCATTACTGAAAGTACAGGAGTTATCCCTTATCCAAGAGGGATACATTCCAAGACCTCCAGTGGATGCCTGAAACTGAGGATAGTATTGAACCCTACATATGCTATGTTTTTTCCTATATGTACATACCTGTGATAAAGTTTAATTTATTACTGGGCACAGTAAGAGACTAACAGCAATAACTAATAAAAAATAGAACAATTAGCCAGCATCACTCTTGCACTTTGGGGCCATTATGAAGTAAAATAAGGGTGACTTGTGGGTGGCCACAAGCACTGCAATATTGCAACAGTTGACCTGATAACCGAGCCAACTACTAAGTGACTGACGGGCAGGGAGCGTCTATAGCATGAATGTGCTGGACATAGGGAGGACTCACGTCCCAGTCCCAGGCAGGATGGAGCAGGATGTCTTGAGGTTTCATCACACTACTCAGGACGTTGTACAATTTAAAACTTATGATTGTTTATTTCTGGAATTTTCCACTTAAGTTTTTTGGACTACAGTTGACCTCAGGTAACTGGAGAAATTGAAACTGTGATTCAGGGTACACTACTGTATCCAAATGCATTTTCTTCCCTTTTATGGTGCCACCAAATTCTTATTTCTAAGCTTATCCTAAAACAAGTGACTTTGTTTCACTAAAATCCATCACAGAACCTGCACCACCCAAGTAAAACAAAAAGAAACCCAACGGTATGTTTGAGCCTTAATGAGAAAAGTTCGTGGCTGAATTTCTAGCTCTCTCACAATCACTGAAACCTACAAAAACAAGTTTCATGGTCCCAACGTCTGTCCCAAATCAAGAAGCACACTCAGCTTTGTAAAGATGTCTTGCACATTCCTGTCCATGCTTGGCTTCTTGCCTCCCTAAGTTTGGAATATTAATCACACTATCATCCAACCCACCAGAAACTTAAGAGTTACTCTTGACACCTACTTCTCTTCTTCCCTGTATCCCCAAATCCAATCCATCAACAAGACCCTGGAGGCTGTCTTCTATGAACTCCAGGAGCCTCTCTACTCCTGCGTCTTCACCTCTACTGCCCGGTGCCACCTTCGTCTTCCCACTGGACTAGCACAGTGAAGAAATGAGAAGGGAGGGAAAACAGAAAGGAAGAGGGCCATAAAGAGGGTGTGTTAATGAGTAGGTTACCACTGTGAGCAACCGGAGTTCAGTCCCCAGAAAATCCTCAGAGCAACAATGTGAACACAACTCCAAGGTAGGAGGTATACCTACTATATGTCTGCCCAGCCATATCTGCCACTTCCAATCTTTTATTGACTTCTCTTTGCTCTTAAGATGGAGAAAAAACAATTGTTGCCCAACCCATAAGGTCCTGCATGACCTGAACTTTAGCTTTCTCCAAAGCTGTCTATTGAGCTATTCCCTCTCAACTCATTCACTCCACTCCACTGACACTGTCCCTGCCTCTCTTAGGAGACCTGAGCACTTTCCCATTTCAGAGAGAGACATCATTCATGTTCTTCCCTCCTCTACCCATTCCTGTGCTGAGTCCAAGCAATTCTTAGCCCTGGATCATGCAGGAATCATATAGAAAGCGTTTACCCCATTCCCCAGAGATTCTGATTTAATCAATGTTGGTTCATCTCTGTATATTCTGTGCCCATTACAGTACCTGGCACATGAATATTCTCTAAATGTTTGAAGGGGAAAGGAAGAGAAGGACCAGTGAATTTCCCTAAAAGTCACGAGATGGAATAATTATGATGGTTCACTTTTCCAATAGCAAACTGGGAAAGCTGTGTAAGTTGCGTGTTAGTGTGAAATGTCATTTCCCAAAAATATTGCTAGTCCTGGCCCTGTAGTTTCCTAGATCCTTCTATGAACATGTTAATATGGAGTGTCAATGCAGACCACATCTGAAGGCTGAATGCTCAGTTTTTCCAAAGTTCATTACCAAAGCAGTGTTAACTAAGACTTTTAACAAACACAATTTTAGTTTATTTCTGTATCTATGCCTCAAATACTTTCTTGACTTCTAAAAATGATTACATTTTGTTTTACTTTCAGGTGAATGTTAAGGTCTTTTCTGTGTGAAAAGATCCTCAGGCTCAGGAACTCATCCATGACTATCACTATATAATACAGTCTCCCTGTTAGATGCAATGAAACATAACAGAAAAAATTGAAGTGTCCTTTCTCAACTTGTTACTTGACGTGTGAGAAGAAAGCACAAAGCAGTGTTGAGGTGTAGATGGTGGCCAGTTGCCCAGGCTCACTTGTCAGCCAAGTAAGCAGGTCAGAAACACAGCCAGGTGATGCAGGCCACTGTGATTGATGACTCAGCAACAGGGAAAATGCCAGATGTCACTGACCTCACATGTTTACTAAAAATTTGTCACAATCATCAAAGCAAAGTCTATAAAGCCCAAACTTACTATATAAAATTTATTATCAAAGTCCAGACAGATTAGAGACCCATATACCTCTAGTCTGTTTACCGCTGAGAACAAATACCATGGTTTTCATCTCTATAACCTCTGCACCAGCCACAATGCCTGGCACTTAGTGGGTTTCCAAGAAATACTTGTTGACTGAATTAATGGAACCTAACAGCCAGCTTGAAAAATCCTTAGTTTGGGATTATTCCATATTAGATGGCAGTTGAGACTCTAGAATATACCACTGTAGCATAAATATTATTTTGAGCTCCAGATATTTGAGAATAGGTGTTTTTTTGTTTGTTTGTTTTTGTTTTTCCTTAAGTCCCAAATCTGCTATAAAGCAAAGCCTCCCCAAAGACCTCAATTATCATAAATCCCCTCTCTAGGAGTTTCACAACCAGGGAAGATTGACTTATCACTAGAGACTTGGAAGCTGACACCATACCTAAATAGACACTGTCACAAAACTGTCATATGTCCCATATCTCCTTCTAAGGGCCCATTTATCTTTTCTAAAAGTCATTTGTTTTCCTATGTGTCTTTTCTCCCTGTGACCATCCCCTATTAAGAAGTTGTTTTTTTGTAAGTGCCTGCTCCGCCTTCCCTTGTTCTGTTAAGATGGTGTATAACCCCCCAAATCTAGCCCCCTCGTTGAGTCACATTTTTCTGTGAATTCCTATATATGTATGTGAATTTTTTTAATTTGTCTTTTCTTTTGTGAATCTCTCTTTTGTCAGTTTAATTTGCAGGCCCCCAATTACTAAACATAAGAGGGTAAAGGAAAAGACTTTCCTCCCTGAGAGAAGCATCATGGAAACCTTGATTTCTAGACTACCTCTCTCAGACATTTTATGGTTTGGCTCTGTGTCCCCACCCAAATCTCAAGTTGAATTGTAATCCCCAATGTTGGGGGAGTGACCATGTGGGAGGTGATTGAATCATGGGGGCATATTTCCCCCTTGTCGATCTCATGAGTGAGTTCTCATGAGATCTGGTTGTTTAAAAGGGTGCAGCACTTCCCCCTTTGCTCTCTCTCCTGCCACCATGTGAATATGTGCTTGCTTCCCCTTCACCTTCTAACATGATTGTAAGTTTCCCGAGGCCTCCCCGGTCATGCCTCCTGTACAGCCTGTGAAACTGTGAGTCAATTGAACCTCTTTTCTTTATAAATTACCCAGTCTCAAATACTTCTTTATAGCAGTGTGAGAACAGACTAATAGAGACATTGAAAATACCCAGGCCAGACATGTGAGAGAGAAAACAAGGGGTGGAGGTGAAAAGCATGAACTATGGACTATCAAAGCTGAAATAAGGCAAGTCTTGGAATCTAAGTCAGTGAAAGGATTCCTAATACACAACACCCTTAACAGAACCAAAGCTTTAGTTAGCATCAAGTGGTTTCAGTTAATCTTTGAGTTTTTTTGTGCTTCCTCTGATGAGTCTGAAGGTTAAGTTTGTAATCATTAAACAGCCATTCAAGGAAACCACAGAATTACAAACCCTTGAAGCTGGAGCATCTAAACTACTAATACAACACGAATGTTCAAAGCTCAGCCTCACCAGTTATTAAAGAGATGATCTTTTAAAGACAGTAAGAAGTGCTACGTTTTTCCTCTGAAATTGACATAGATTTTTTTAAAAGTCATTATCCAGGCCAGGCACAGTGGCTCACACCTGTAATCCCAGCACTTTGGGAGGCTGAGGTGAGTATATCACTTGAGCTCAGGAGTTTGAGATCAGCCTGGGCAACATAGTGAGACCCTGTCTCTACAAAAAAAAAAAAAAATACAAAAATTAGCTGGGCATGGTGGCGTGCACCTGCAGTCCCAGCTACTTGGGAGGTTGAGGTGGGAGGATTGCTTGAGCCCAGGAGGATGAGGCTGCCGTGAGCTGGATTGCACCACTGCATTCCAGCCCAGGTGAGAGAGTGAGACCCTGTCTCAATAAAATAAAATAAAATAAAATAAAATAAAATAAAATAAAATAAAATAATGTCATTATCCATCATCGACAAGAATACAGTGAAATGGGAATGATAATGGGCACATAAACTGAAGAGCAGTCTGAATGAATGTATTAAACTCCTTTAAGATGTGTCTAATACTCATTGGCCCAGGCATTTTACTCTAAGGGATCATTTCTGAGGCAATCATCAAGAATATGAACAATAATTTACATATAAGGATGTCTGTCACAGCATTGCTATATAGTGGATAAACACTGGAGATCACCAAAATGTCCATCATGGAGAAGATGAGAGCTGAACCATCAAAGTTTGGGAAACAGGAAGAAAAATGAGTTTGAAACTTGAAGGAGAGGTCACATTTGGTTTGGAACATGCTGAGTTTGAGGTGCTTCTGGGATATCCAGGTTGTGATATCCAGAGACAGGCAGAAATTGAGGCCTGATGCTTAAGGAATATGCAGGCTGGAGAGAGAGATCCGAGACTCAGAGATCATTATCCTCAGAGAGGATAATGAGGCCACAAAATCACATTCTCCAGTGGTATTTAAGGACAGGGGGAAATGTTTAATAAACAAGGCTGACTCCAATCAGTATGCCCAATTTGGTAGAAGGAAACAAATGTTTACACGTTCCCCCAACAAATAAATATCTAGAAGGATAGGGAGCCAAATGTTAAAATTATAGGTGATTTAAATATTATTTTTCTTTATACTCATCTGTATTTTTCTTTTTTGAAAAAGCAGTTGATTCATTTAACTAATGCATATTGAGTGACTATAATGTGCCAGCATTTTTTTAAGGTCTGGATGATAAGTATATATTGTTTTTATAACTTAAAAAACTCTTTTTGAATTGCTCATCTAACCATTGCCTCATTCACAGACAAGAAAATGCTGACAATCCTGAGAGAGGAAATTACTTGCCTAAGGTCACAAAATCAGCCCACACAGCTCCTGAAGCCCAGCCGGGAGCTCTGGCAAGCAACAGAAAAGGGGATTTGATTTGCAACCAGGGTTTTTGAAGCACAGCTCTTCCACAAGTTGCAGAAGCTCTATAAATACAACTAAATGTGTGGTGTGCTTAATCACACTTACCTGCTTAATCACACACTGCCTTGTAAGTAATCCCCACAATGGCATTTTACCAAAAAGTTTCAAAGCAAAGTGTAATTTCCCTTCTCAATAATTTTGAGAACTTTTTGTCCTTTACAATAAAGAAAAAACAAAAGAAAAAAAGAAAAATGTGTTGCATGGTTTCCCAATTTTTAAAAAGATGTTCCTCCTGCCAGCTACTGACACTACCGGGTTTTCAGTGCAACTCCACCCACTCTGACCTGCATACACCTCTGAATACAAATTTATGTATATTTGAAAACTTGCCAAACTCTTATACTTCATTCTCTTATCACAGAATGTAGTAAAAGCAAAGTCACGATTCTTTCAAATTTATTGAATTCATACTACCCATTGAATAAAAAATTCCATTGTCCTTCCTCATAGATATTGAATTATCTGAAGACCACTGTACATCTGGTATAGACCAACAAAATGAAATATGATTTCTTTAAAGCAGAACATTATTTCCATTAGTTACTTCAGAAAGCTTTTACCTGTAATTAAGCTAATCAATTATAGGCTTTAAACCAATCTCTGACATGAATTAGATTTACAAAATAAATAACCTTTAGTTAATGTATATTCATTTTTAAAATTGAGTCCCATCACAATCTAGTGATCGATAAATAGAGTACCACAAATAATATCCTTTTGTATTTGTCAGGTATTATAAATGATCAGCCTGCTGGATGTAGAATGCAAACAGCTATTGGTCTAAACTTTAGGGGCCCATTTCCTGAAAGTATAATATATCATTTTTACTTTATGCTTTTTCTGTACTTAAGGTCCATTTCTGTACCCTTACAAATGATATGGCTATAAATGTATGTATTATACAAATGCCTTATAAACTGAATACCTGCAGTGTGTACTTATTTTGATAACCTTAACTGCCTCTAGCTTTAGGAAAGTGAAGAGTTACTGTCTTTTCTAAAGACGGCTCTGCTCTATTTTTGAGAAAAGATGCCTCGCATTAAAATGCAACTTATATGGCTCTGTCATCTATCACTTGCCACCCTGACAAATCTGAACATTATATGTTTTTTCAAAAGAACAGACACTAATAGGTAACAGCTTTAGCGACGGGGTCAGGCAGTACTAAATTTGAAGAGCCACTCAGTGAGTTACAGCCCTAGGTGTACAACCTTAGGCAGGTAGCTTAAGCTTCAATTTCCTCAATTGTAAAAAAGTAGACAATGGCATCTGGGATTTTTGGAAGATAATGCACAACTTAGGGCATTGGCTGGTATGTACTTGATAAAATAGATGTTACTTAAAGGTATAATAGGAAGATGTTTTTCAAGTTTAACATATCATACAACCAGTATTTACAAAAGGCCTATCTTTGTCTCTAGCTCCCCAAAACAAACACCCACCAGCGTTGCTTTGGGGATTATTGCAAAGGCCAGGAAAGAAGACAAAATAACTCTATAATGCCTTTCTTTCAGAATTCAGGTCAATACTGTAATGTTTATGTTTATCTATATTTCCCCATCTGGTTCACTTTATGAAGCCTCAGCTGTTTCGGGGGGTGGGAGTGGTTACCTCTTGGGATCCAACCAACTGACTCTGAACTAGACTATTGCAACACAGCCCCTTTGTAAGTACTGTTTAATATTCAACAGGAATTTGGTATTTGCTAAACCTTTGACCTTAATATCTCTGACCGTATCATTTTTTGTTTAAGATCCTAAGCTCATGAAGAACATGTTTTTGTTTAATGTTTTCACAACCTTTAAGTACAGAAATGCTTAGAGGATCAGCTGGTGGATAAATCCTTTGAGATGTTGACA